>NC_000018.10:24661206-25286206 GCF_000001405.40 Homo sapiens | reverse complement strand
TCATCAGTGCCAGAGCTCTTCAGTATTCCACTCCTGTCCTTTGTGAAGTGATTTTGCCCAGACACGTCTGGCTCAGGGTGAAGTGCCCTCCCCTGAGAGCGCGCACTGCAGCCCCAGGTCGCCAGCACCATGAATACATTATTATCCCAATTTCCATCCTGTTGCCACGGCAGCACTTTTGGAGCTGCTGGGTTATTAAGTCGTACATCACTAATACCCTGATATGAGCAGAAGTTGGATTTAATATCGGCCTTTGATCAGATTACCTCCCAACAGTCAGCTGTCATTAGAAAATTCCTTTGCTCATTATACCCTCAGAGCTCTGGCCTGTGTAGCAAAAGGGTGGCAGTCCTGATACATGGAGGCAATTTCAAGCCTGGGCCTTGCACTGTACACTTAATTTATTTTCTGACCTTTTTGTGATTTGGGGAGATTCTGTATAGCCATGCGTGCATGTGCGCGCGCAGGCGCGTACGTGTGTGTGTGTGTGTGTGTGTGTGTGTGTGTGAGAGAGAGAGAGAGAGAAGTGCAACTACAAAATCTGTCTGTAGTTCTGTAGGTGGTGGATAGAGGTACGTGTGAGGGGGTGGTTGTCTTTTGCCAAGTGATACTATACTTTGTTGGAAAGTGTCTGTTTTCTGCCTGTCCTCGGGTAATGTATAAAACATGGTGCTTCAGGTAGAGATGAAGGGTAAACTGATGTCCCCCTAAATGGCCAGCCTGTGTATGCACCTAACACTTCACTGAGCAATCTGTCAACATGTCAGCAACACATGTTTTATAAAAAGCCTCCAGTGGGAGCAAAGGCTCCTGCCAGGGCTTAGGAAATGCTTTGAATTCAGCAGATTTCTATTGCTGGAGTCCCCCGAGGTTCCTTTTACAATGCCTACATTTCAGAAATTTGAACTTGGGACCCTTAGGGGGTTCTCTCCGAATGCCTGAAAATGTAGAGTTATATTGTTGCGTGTCCCCAAGCGGTCTTTACTAATACCTGAATTCGGAGAAGCTGGAAATTACAGAGCTCCCCAGGGGAAGCTTTATCCACACCAGGAAGAAGAGAATAACTCTGCAGGGAGATTGCTTAATGCATTGCTGAAATAAAAGAATTTGAGAGAGATGGGTTGAAGTGTTTTTTTTTTTTTTCCCTTTTCTGGCCACTCCTTCAGCTTAGCTAAGTCCTTAAAGACAAAGTCAGGGTAAGGAAGCAGCTGGGCTCTTTTTAATGAAATTTTAGATGTGGCTTTTGAAATAGTCAGATGCCTGATGCCTCCCTGTGTGTGTGTGTGTGTGTGTGTGCGCGCGCGCACGCACATGAGTGTTTGTGTAGTCTCTCTCACTAGAAACCTCTTTTGTTTACATGCAAAAAGTTGTTTTCATTTTTAGGTGCATCATCAGTTTCATCTTGTTTCCTTCCAGGCTTAGCTGTTTCTTTTTTTATACTCCCAATGTACCTGTCTCAGTTACTTGGAAATATTTCTTCATCTCTTTCTCTTTTTTTATGGTGCTTTTCTTTTATTACATCTGCCTGTCATGCTTTGTACTCTCCCCTTTTCATAACTTGTGGTGTTGCTACTTTCCTTTCGAACTCTCACTGCTTTATTGAAGACTTCTTTATGCCTATGACTCTGCCTCTCTTTTTAATTTTCCTCCGGCCCTCAGCGCTCTCGTCTCAACTCAGATTTTGGAAATACTTGGGTATTTTTTGGCTGCTTTCTGATGAGATGACTTTGCTGATTTTTTTGTGTGACGTATTGTTATTTTGCTGCTGCTACATTTCATCAAGACAGGTTGCTTTGACAATTTGGAGTAGATCTGCAAGCTTCAGACTCGGTTGTGCATTCATTCAGGAAGTAAAGGATAGCTAGAGCAGTGCGTTTAGTGTGTGTATGTGTGTGTGTGTAAATGTTTATCATACATACATAGGGCTTGAGGGCAAGGGTGGGAGTGTCATTGTTGTATTTTAAGTGAATAAAAAATTTTGAAGTCCATTTCTGTTCTTTATTATCTCTGGTAAAGAGAAAGAAAAATATCCTCCTTGTGTGTGCACTTTTCTAGATCTTTCCTTGGCTGTCTTTTGACACCATGTCACCTGACCTTATCAGGAGGGAGCTGGGGGCTCAGGCTCATGTTTACTCAGGGTCCTCCTGGGACTGAACACTACCTTTGAGTCCAGCTTCTTTCAGCTTTGCAGACAAAGACAAGGAGGACATTCTCACAGAACTCAGCCGTCTAGTGTAAAACAGTTCCAGCTGTTGCTGCTCATGAATTTTTTTGGGGGGGGGGGAAAGTATTGGCTTGTTTTTTAGGTGTGGCTACATTCATAGAGCTGTCTCCAGACATTGATTTTTTTTCTTCAACTGATTCCGTTTAAAAGTGGTGAGGGATTAAAACACCAACTCTTTTGGAATTTGGCAAATTATAATAAGGTTTTAAACTCCCGTCAATGATGATGGGGGTATTCAGATCTTTTGCTTTTGAAGTTAAAAAGGGTCAGATGTTTTCAGATTTACCCAAATTTACGATTTCCAGCAGCACATTATTTTCTATTTTCCATTTAAGTTTATGTTCAGCTATTGAATAATATTCTTGGATTTTTCTGGAAAGCTTTCTGGTGAAACATCAAGACAATGAAATTAATTATACTTAATGCAGACACATAAACTTGGAGGGGGTATAGTTGGTGTTTTTAAACTAATGTTCTTGCTGATACAGCAAAATCCTGTGAAGGTTTTATAGACATATTTATTGTGGTCCAGTAATTGGAGACCGACCTCAGCTTTTAATTAGCGTATGTTGGACCAGAGACCAGGGAAGAGCCCCTGAATTAGGCTCTGATTTTGACTCTTGCTAAGTGCTGGCAAATTCAAGGGTTAAGCTTAGAGCACAGCAATCCTCATGAGTAGGAGAGGCAAGAGTGGGAATGTATGATGTGCAAAACCAGGTGACTGAGGTGAAATTCTTCCTTAGACAGAAGGAGGCAACTTTTCAAAGTGAGGGGCCTGGTGGAAGCTCTTTGCTGAGAAAAAAGATAGTGAGTGGAGGTGCTTGTTGATATGTGTTAGAGGCTCATGCCAACACTCCTGTGAGATTTTGGTTGTACTTTCCTTGGATAGAGTGCTTGTCCCATCCATTACACAGAAAGAGGTACCAGCTGCTTCCTGCACAAAGCAGGCACGCTGTGGTTAAAGTCATTCTCTGTAGGTTTAATGCATTGGAGGAAAGCATTTTGTACTTAAGCACTTTAAGGATTCACTGAAACACTTGAATCTGGCTCCCTAAAAATTTTAAAAGCTCTTTTATCTCTACTCCACGTGGTGCCTTTCACTTAGAAATCTTCTGTGTTCTTTGCTGTCCTTGTCAGTCTGGAAAGTGCTTTATTCTTGCTGGATTTTTTTGTTTTGTTTTTCTTATTTGCAGGTGTCCCTGGTAAAGGCCTAAAGGGGGGAAAAAAAAGCAGTAGGATTTTTTACTAAAATAATATTTCTTTTTAGGTGTGGCATTTTGTATATAATTTAACTTAATTTTTTTGGGCTTCTGACTAGTCCTTTCAAAAAGATCCCTCTGATGCCCTGTCACAGTGGGGATGGAATATTGTTTTTGGCACATCCACATTGCCTTTCATTTCCCTGTCCCCACCATGCACCGCCCCCTCCATGTGCAAGCTCACACTTTATTACCTGTATACTTGGCCAGCCGGATGGAGTGCCGCTCTGCAGACTTCCTCTTTCCAAACACTGAACTATGTTATTCTGACACCGGGTGCTGCCTCCCCTAAGGCTTGGGTGTGAAGGACTAGCCTGCACTTTGCTCCCTGGTCTAGTGGCCCGACGCACTGGTCACAAGCCGCCTGGCTTTCCAGTGGTTCCGATGTGCATGTTTCTCACCCTGCTTCTCCCTACTCCTCTCTGGCCCTCCTCCTTTCTGCCTTCCTACCTGGCTCCAAAGGCAGCTGATCCCCTCATCCCCCCAAAACAGTTTTGGGATGTTTTGGAAGAAATACCAGTACACATATTCATAGGTGCTCTGTGTTCTCAAGTTTACCTTCCAAACTGTAGAAAGTTTAGGAAATGGAGCAGAGGAGTTGTTTTTTGGAACCCTTGGATTCTTAAACAGAATTTTCCTATAATTATAAACGAGTGGCAACTTCCTAACAAAATTAATCCTTTTCTCAGGAAGGGTGCAAAGAGTATTTTCAAGAGTCTGAAAAACAGGATCCTATTTTGAACAAAAGGCAAAAAGCTTTGCCTAGAATATGAGAGGATTTTTTTTTTTCTGCCAGTTTTAGGCCAGCAGGATTCTAGTAAATGCTGATGAAGTACCGCCTGTGATTCCTTCCGTTATTTTTGACCGCATGCTTTATTCTAGCCACTTGCCTGGTAAGATACTCTAAACTGCACTGGACAGTCAGAAACCTCCTAAAGTCTTTTGGTAAGATTGTGTTTCATCGCATTCATGGAAGGCAAGTCACATTGCCTGAGCGCAATTTCTAGCTCCACCTTTTAATAGTCACGTGATTTGGGGAAGTTGCTTAACTAACTCTTTGTGCTTCTGTATCTGTAAAATGGAGCTACTAATAGTCCCCTTCTCTTAGGGTTCCCTTAAGGAGTAAAGGAGATTATGCATGTCAGACACAGTGTGAGTTTAGAACATAGTGTTCAATGACTGTTAGCTGTGATTGATTGTTACTATGTAGAGTAAGTCATTCTTAAACTTTTACTGTTTTCCACAGTCTACATTTCCAGCACATGCATTCTATGGAACAAACTTCTTGACTTGTGATTTGGGTCAGCAAACTTAATTTGGGCCAAAGTTGTACTTTAGTTAGAAAGCAAGACCCTCCCACTTGCCTTCTGTGTGCAGGAATGAGGAGGACATTTCCTCTCTCATTTAGTATTTGTGTTGAATGACAATAACAGGATCAAAGTAGGTTTACATCAAGCATAATTTCCTCACGTGTGTTTGAGATTGCTTCTTGCTTTGCTCATTATTTTCTAGTCCTGGTTTTCTATGAAAAAGTTTCTGCAGATCAAATACCATGCAAGACGGATAAAGCTGTAGGTGCATAGGAAATTAAATGGTTGTGGAACACTAATTTATATATCTCTGGACTCTTCACCCCTAAGTCCATTATTTGTTGATAGGATGTAAGAGAAATTTCACAACTGGGAAGTAGAAAATGAGGGCAAGACAGGTGTAAGGATTGATTTGCTTAGAATGAATTTAAGCAAGGAATTGATAGTATGAGCGGAAAGGGATTTGGGTGAGAGAGAGAGTGAGACAGTATTTAGAAGCCTTTGTCATGAGCCCTTGTATTTAGGTGATCGAATCTATGGTTTATATTAATATATATTATCCTTGATCAATCTTTGATGTGAATACATTTAAAACAAATATATTCCTAGAAGGCTGGGAAAACCCTGTTCTTCTCAATGGGACAATACCATTTACTTTTGCTTTAAATTGTTTTACAGAGAAAAGAATTGATCAGAAACAAATAAGGGTGATATCAACATTTATATGTTATCCTTCTAGTTTGCCCAAAATCTCACAACTACTGGATGTGGGCTCTACTGTCCCTTCCTTCTTTGTTTCTCACTTTGAAAGAAGCCTGGAGTCCTTCAGAATCCAGTGGTACTACATGTAGTTCTAGGTCTGACTTGTGTGTGTGTCTGTGATTGAGTAAAGGTGTAGACTGTCATCAGGTAATGATTATTGCATCTGAAACAGAGAAAAGGAGGAGATACAAAGAGACATTAGAAAGAAATCTTGCTCTTTTTTTTTTTTTAATTTTTTACATCCCTTCCCAATCCTGATGAAAACCAAAAGAGAGGGTCTTTTTCTTTGTAAAAGTGCCTGAGTGTGTGTGTGCTTAAACAGAATTGTCGTGTGCCTTCAATGACATCATGGGCATTTCACCTTCACATGTGCCACTTAATGGTGCTGGTGTCTGTGTTATGTGTAGACATTTGAGGCATTTCCCTGGCATTTTCTTCTATTATTTTCAGGACTGGGAGAGTCTGAGGCAGGAGGGCCATCTGTCAGGGCTGCGGAGCAGCGATGAGGGGAAGTCAGCGTTTGGGTGGTGACTGTAGAGGAGCATGGAGTGTGACGTTCTCCAAGGATCCTTCCAGCTCTGAGCCTGTGATTCTGTGAAATAATTTGGCCCTAATGTAGTGCCAGGGACATTTTTTTGAAACCTAATGTGATATCATATCCTTTATCAATATATCGTATCACTGCAGTTTGTGACATTATGCTGTAAAATGCTAGACCATAAAAGCCTATAATTTATGAGGCTATATTAGGTACTTACTTTATGTATTATAGCCTGATAGCCTTGTAATTCAACATTGCCTACATTTATTCTATATATAATTCCATGGAGGGTTCTGGTGACATTATAAACCACAAAAGCAGAGCTCAAGTGGTTAGTCATTAGAACCCCAAGATAAAAATACCTCGTATTACATTATTCAGTATTTATTATTTCCCATAATGTGAAGTTAAAACGCTTGCATATGAAACATTTTCTATTTACATTCCACATCACGGCATTCATATACATGTCAATCAGAAGTGCTCTGGTTGAATACCACATCACAACCATATATAACCTTGTTTTTGTTTGAAATTATGTTTGCTATACAAGGATGTGTTGTCCATCCCTCTGCAAAACAAGTTTTTCCCCTGACTGGTTATCAAAGAGGAAATTCTGCTGCCCATTCGTTGTGGAGTTTTTTGTTGCCTGTTAAAGAGAAGCCAAGTACATTTGTTTTTGAATGAATTTTAAATCATTCATACAGAGCTTTGTCAAAAATAAATACTCTATGAAGCTCGTTTACACACAAACCACTGTAGTATTGGTCATGGGCCAAAGGCTGTAGTTATACTAACATATGTTGAAATGCATTAGATCATTACTGTAGAATGCTGTAGTATATTTTTATAAGTTGTCTGAGTGTCCAAATTAATTCCATAATAAGTCTGATTGATGTAATCCTCTTATATAAAGTTGGTTCTTGTTGTATAAACAATGCCACTCTCTCTCCTGTTCTTCACCTTCCTCCTCACTACTCCTGTCTACCTTTTCTGGGACATTTTGATTATAGAAGCCATGGGTGGCATGACAGATTATGGTAACAGTGGCATATGGTATATTTCATTTGATTTCAGAATTAAAATTAAGCGCTTCACTCTGTCTTCCCCCACCAGTTTCTCCACAATTTGGGCAGTTTTTCCTTGAGATTTGCAGAGACTAAAAGTTTAGAAAAAGAGAAAGATAACCAAAAGTTAATAAAATAACGGAGTTATAAAGTACCTGAAGCCAACCTACTGTAAAAAGTGACCTGTTTTATGGCATCACTTTATAATAACTATTCACAGTGGCAAGCAAGTCTGTAGAGGATCCATGGTTATAGTCATTTATTATTTGTTAAAAGTGGAGAAAGAGAGATTTTTTTTTTAAACAAGAGGAGGAAAAATTAGAAGCAGCAAGCTGACTGCTTTCACTTTAAATTACAGTGCAATTTCTTTTCTAGCCAGCAAGTGACTTGAAAGTATTGAAAGATAAACAACCTGAGCAAGGGCCTTGGATTCTTGCCATATGCTAGGATCTCAATTAAGGGATGAAATTGCAAGACACTCTTCATTTTTATCACCAGCGAGGCTGGGTTCTGTGGGTCAGTAAAGCAGGCAAGAGTGGCGGCTGTTCGAGGCATGGGCACAGCTAGTGGAGGGTCATAACTACCTGCATTAGCATTAATGGGACTTAGCAGCACAGATCGCTTCAAATGGAAGAACAGACCCAAAAGGGAAAAGTGGGTAGAGAGTGGGGGTTAACTTTACTTGAATCTCCTCTTTGTTGGAAATACTTGTCTCTTTTTCTTTGTCATGTGCTGAGGCATTTACTAATGAGTAAGTAACACAAAAAATCACAGATGAAAGAAATTGGATTCTCGGTAGAGGACTGAGATTTTAAGTGCTATTCAAAATACAAGTTGCAGAATATTGGAATTACCACATTTTTGGGTACATGAATAGTGATTCTCTCCATCTGAGCACTAATTTGCATTGCCTGTGCTGTCATATTTTGCTGTGGCACCATTTTCTCTAAGTATTGCATTATTGACTTAAAAGGTGTCATTTTCCAAATGATGGAGGTAAGGAAGTACATTTTCCTTATTTCGTAATTTGCACACAGATTGAAGAAGACTTACCATTGTCACAAAATTTGGATATGATGGATCTTGTATTTTAACTGGATTGTGGGTGTAGGGAAATCTACCAGTACATTAATTTTAATGGAAGATTGTGGCATCCTTGAAAAATATTTTGAAAGTTAAGTCATGTTAATTTTCTTCCTTATTTCTTTCCTCCTGTTTCTTAAGGCCTCATCATCTTTGACTCCTTACTCTTCTGTGCCATCAATGATAACTGTTAATTCAAGATAATTGTGGCTTTAGTAATGTTTCTATTTAGTATGGTGCTTTTCACCCATAAAAATATAGTGCAGATGTTAACTTACCTGATCCAGAGCTGAAACTAAATAACTTAGTGAAATGCTAATTTTCTTTTAGGTGTGTTCCTCACAGAAAGATAAGGTAAATGACATGAAATACACACACCCATTCTTCCACTGAGCCTTTGGCACTCAGGTTTCTGTCAGTACAATCATTTATGCATATTTTACTTAATAGTTGAGGGTCCGAGTTTCTCTTTGATGTCACTCCGCTACTGATCTTTAACTTAAAAACCCAAGTTAGATTTATGTAGGGGTTTTTTTTATTTTTTTGTGCCCTAAGCTTACCTTTCTCTTACTTCCTATATATGAAAAACTAGCTGGTTTGTGGCAATAGGAAAGGAAAGTAACATTGTTTTAAAGCCAGATTTTGCAGTGGTGAAATGAAGAAGGAAAGATCGAAAAATTATAATATTTGATAAGCTTTTGCTCTTAATAAATATATAATGCTTATATTCCCTTTTTCAGACATTCTGATGTAATAGATACACTTTTTTTTTTTTTTTGAGACGGAGTCTTGCTCTGTCACTCAGGCTGGAGTGCAGTGGCATAATCTCGGCTCACTGCAACTTCTGTCTCCCAGGTTCAAGCGATTGTCCTGCCTCAGCCTCTTGAATACCTGGGATTACAAGCGTGTGCCACCACACTCGGCTAATTTTTGTATTTTTAGTAGAGGTGAGGTTTCATCATGTTGGCCAGGCTGGTCTCGAACTCCTGACCTTAGGTGATCCACCCGCCTTGGTCTCCCAAAGTGCTGGGATTATAGGCGTGAGCCACTGCCCCTGGCCTGATGTAATAGATACACTTATTAATGATAATATCCAAACTCATTTAACTTTCAGTTTAGAATGAACCATCACAGATTGTGTTTTGTTAAAGGTAAAATAAAGGTGAACTAAATATATCTGTGTTAATAAGACTTCATTAACTTCTTCACAGATACAAAATAGAAAGTGACGTGCGCATATGAACGAGGCTTTGGAAGGGGCAGTGTAAAATTGAAGTGTGGGATGTGTCTTAAAGTACAGGTCAGTTTCAGGGAGCTCTGTTTTCCTTGAATTAGGCAGGCAGCATTAATGCATTATGCTCCACTGTTCAGGGAGGTGGGACCCCTAAGTACTTCCTTTGGTGTCCAAGTATCCATTCTAAGTGAGCTCTTTCTCTGTCTCCATGTATTCAGCATTAAAGTGATATTTTACATTGCTTAGAAATTATGAGAGTGTTTGTTGCTGTTGTGTAGGAAGGAAATAAATCAAGGGCTTTTGTGGGATTTAAAATTCTTCCCAAGAGGAAAGAGCTAATATTAAGGCCTTCACAAGTGGGATTAATTTTGTATATCTCTCAGGAGTCTATTGGGTATTATATTTATACATTATAAAATGTGTTTTGATATGCCTTAAATTAACATTTTTCTATCTGCAGGGTGAACGTGAAGGTAGCACTTTCTGTCTGGGGTGGGTGGAGGGGGAGGAAGGGGAAGGAAAGAGAGAGTGATGAAGCCCCTCTTTGCTGTGCATAAGGGCATGCATATTTTTGGTCTGATAGTGATCATTTTCTGTGATGCCCTGAGTAGCCTCACAGGCACAGTTTACCTGTATGGTGGCACCAAGCAGAAAAATTCCCTGCTTTTTCCACTATCACTGTTCAAATTTTACCTTTATAAGTTAGCCCTTGAAAGTAAGCTCTTTTTGCACATGGTGCCGGTGGCCGATTGCCAAACTTTGTGCTCCTCCGCCATCAATAGCAGCTTCCCTGGACGTCTTTTAGCAGATGCTGTCAACTCATCACCTTTCTCTCACTCCCCTCACACTGCCTTCATGGATCACTGCGTATGCTGGTGCTCATGTGTCAAGGGGAAGGGCACAGCTGCAAAAAGGGTCACCCCTGGAGGCCCAAGCTTCCTGTCTCCGTGGCGTAGGCAATCCTGGTCAGTCTAGCCCTGTGACCTGTTTCCCTTTCCTTTCCTTAGATTTGTTTGGCAGGAAAGCCCATTGGCCCCAGTGCAGAACACTAAACCTTGGCTGATGGGGAGAAGGAAAGAGGGAGGGAGCAATCCCTGAAAATGTAGTAGCTTGTCATCATGTGGATACAGTGTGGGTAATCAAAATGTGTATTTTGAAAGTATGATGTGTTTCTTGCTGTCTGGTTAATAATCTTTGTTATCTTAAGAGTAAATGGGTAGGCGTGCTACACATGATGTTATTACCGCATGAGTGGGTGCCCGGATGGCCAATAAATCAAAGTGTAAAGATTCTGTACATTCGTTTTCATTTGTTCACTAGTTTGCATTCATCTTAACTACTCAGCCAGTTATAGCTCTAGATTAGAGTAAAACATGCTTATTTGTCCCCCTTTTAGTGATGTCCTTGGCTTTACCTTCCTATTTTTTAAAAAAATTTTTGCGCCATAAGTTGTATTGGGAGAAATGTTGAAGTTCATCCTTTTACAAAACCTCAATTATGAGATAGAAAGGTTTATTCAAATGCCTGTCATATTTTTGCAAGTTTTATCGCAGCAGGATCCAGTGGCCCCACAAATCGGCAGGAAATCCACTGTAAATTTTTCAGTACCTTGATGATTGAGTGTTTGCACTATAGCAAGTTTTTTTGGCAATATTTTATAGGTTGGATAAGGAATTTGTTTTGAATGAAAGCCCAGATAAGGTTTGTAAGTTTTTTTCTTTTTCTTCCTTATTTCTGTTCCCTCCACCCGCTTTGGGGATGAAACTTTTTTTTCTCTGTACTCTGCTGCTTAGTTGAACAGTAGGATATTGAGGTACTTGCCATGCCTGATGGTCATAAAGTTAAATATACAACAATGAGGAAGGAATCTAGGGGACAAGCCATAAGTCCCACAACATACTTTAAGATACTGTAAATATATTCAAATGACAACTCTCCCATCCACTAGACACAACATCTTATTTCATTCTGTAAACAAGTCTGAAGAATGCCCCAAGAATTGTACATTGAATGCCTGGCAGTATGCAAGTATTTCTTCATTATTCCAAAGTACCTGCCCACAACAGTATCATAAATATGAGTAGATTCAGCTATATTGAACTTTGTTACATTTTCCTTCCAATGAGACTATCCCTGTTTCCATTTTGTTGTGTTGGTAGATTCTCCCTTTTTCTGTAATACATAATCTTTGGAAATATTTGTCAGTGAAATTTTATTCATATGCCATTAACCTCTAATAAATACCACATATCTAATTGTTTTCAACAGTATGGTAATAGTCTGCATTTTATGTATTTAGATAACAGCACAGTAACAACTTACCTGATAGTCAGCTGACTCTGGGAGGATTTGGTCATCAGATCCAGAAGTTAGAAGAGACCGCCTTCTGGTCGTGTCATATCTACATAGTAGAGTATCCCCAGTTTCCCTTAAACCCAGCTGAAATCACCACCATGACTACTGACCATGTTGGGGAAATTCTTGTGGGTATGCTGGTTCCTTGGTATTCCTTGAATAAGGAAATTCCTTAATAGCAAAGGAATCTCCTCATTCCAGGATCAATAATTCTTATAGCAGAGTCTTGGGAGGCCAAAGTATCAGTGTGTCTGCATCATGGAAGAAGGTTCTTCCCTTGCCCTTTGGAAGTGAAGAAATACAGCTGATAAGGAGAGGTAGATTCCACCTTTTAATCTTCCACCAGCTACCTCTAAGCTTGCCTGAGTTGTTTAATTTTTCTGGCCCTCAGCTTCTTGGTCTGTGAGATGATACCTCTGAACTGTTAGGACCCTTTCTACCCTGAAGTTCTGTGGTTCTACCTAAACTTTAAACAATTAGTTTATTATTAATAATAGAAAACTGTACTTATCCTAACCCCAAATTAGCCGTTATGGACAGGTGGCAGATTTCTTATAATAAGGCCTGTACAAGATGCAACATTGTGGTAGAAACTTTTAGAAAGTAAAACAACCACTCCTAGCTAATTTTAAAACATAATGTCTTATGAACAATCCATATATACTAAGTAGTTATAACAAATATTTACATAGTACTCTCTATGCCTTACACTCTAAGTACTATACATACCCTTTTATTAATCTGATTTAAGTGTAATTGTTATTACCTTTTTACAGATGGGAAAGCTATGGACCAGAAAAGGCAAATAACTTGTCCAAAGTCACGTAAATATGAATAATGAAGCTCGGGTTTCAACTTAGGCATCCTGCCTCCAGATTCCATGCCCTTAACTCCTATACCAGGTTCCTTCTCAAACAACCATATTTGTCTTTTGTTTTCCTGCTGCTGCTACTGACATTGATGATCGTGAAAAGAAGTTTGAACTTTTAAATATATATGGAATTGGAGTGAGGGAAGCTATCCAGTAGGGCTAGCCTGCTTATATTGTGACTGCGCAACAAAATTTATTTTCTGGCACCTTCATCTTTTAAAAGTAAATGTTGCAGATATTTAAAATGTCTTTTTTTTTTTTTTTTTTTTTTTTTTTTTTTGGAGACAGGGTTTCACTCCTCTTGGGAGCACAGAGGAGCGATCTCGGCTCACTGCAACCTTCGTATCCTGGGCTCAAGTGATTCTCCTGCCTTAGCCCCCGAAGTAGCTGGGACTACAGGTGCATGTCATCGTGCCTGGCTAAATTTTTTATTTTTTGTAGAGAGAGGATTTTGCCATGTTGCCCAGGCTGGTCTTGAACTCCTGGACTCAAGTGATCCACCTGCTTCTGCCTCCCAAAGTGCTGGGATTACAGGCGTGAGCCACCATACCTGGCCTAAACGTTATTAGGATTTACAGTTTTTTATTATTATTATACTTTAAGTTCTGGGGTACATGTGCAGAATGTGCAGGTTTGTTACATAGGTATACATGTGCCATGGTGGTTGGCTGCACCTATCAACCCGTCATCTACATTAGATATTTCTCCTAATGCTATCCCTCCCCAACCCCCCAACCCACAACAGGCCCCGGTGTGTGATGTTCCCCTCCCTGTATCCCTGTGTCCTCATTGTACAACTCCCGCTTGTGACTGATAACATGCAGTGTTTGGTTTTCTGTTCTTGTGGTAGTTTGCTGAGAATGATGGTTTCCAGCTTCATCCATGTCCCTGAAAAGGACATGAACTCTTTCTTTTTTATGGCTGCATAGTATTCCGTGGTGTATATATGCCATATTTTCTTCATCCAGTCTATCCTTGATGAGCATTTGGGTTGGTTCCAAGTCTTTGCTATTGGGAACAGTGCCACAATAAACATATGTGTACATGTGTCTTTATAGTACAATGAATTATAATCCTTTGGGTATATACCTTGTAATGGGATGGCTGGGTCAATCGGTATTTCTAGTTCTAGATCCTTGAGGAATCGCTACACTGTCTTCCACAATGGTTGAACTAATTGACACTCCCACCAACAGTGTAAAAGTGTTCCTATTTCTCTACATCCTCTCCAGCATCTGTTGTTTCCTGACTTTTTAATGATCACCATTCTAACTGGCATGAGATAATATCTCATTGGGGTTTTGATTTGTATTTCTCTTAATAACCAGTGATGATGAACTTTTTTTTCATATGTTTGTTGGCTGTGTAAATGTCTTCTTTTGAGAAGTGTCTGTTCATATCCTTCACCCACTTTTTGATGGGGTTGTTTTTTTCTTGCAAATTTGTTTAAGTTCTTTGTAGATTCAGGATATTAGCACTTTGTCAGATGGATAGATTGCAAATATTTTCTCCCATTCTGTAGGTTGCCTCTTCACTCTGATGATAGTTTCTATTGGATTGCAGAAGCTCTTTAGTTTAATTAGATCCCACTTGTCAATTTTGACTTTTGTTGCCAATGCTTTTGGTGTTTTAGTCATGAAGTCTTTGCCCATGCCTATATCCTGAATGGTATTGCCTAGGTTTTCTTCTATGGTTTTTATGGTTTTAGGTCTTATGTTTAAGTCTTTATCTTGAGTTAATTTTTGTATAAGGTGTAAGGCAGGGATCCAGTTTCAGTTTTCTGCATATGGCTAGCCAATTTTCCCAACACCATTTATTAAATAGGGCATCCTTTCCCCATTGCTTGTTTTTGTCAGGTTTGTCAAAGATGAGATGGTTGTAGATGTGTGGTGTTATTTCTGAGGCCTCTGTTCTGTTCCATTGGTCTATATATCTGTTTTGGTACCAGTACTATGCTGCTTTGGTTACTGTAGCCTTGTAGTATAGTTTGAAGTCAGGTAGTGTGATGCCTCCAGCTTTGTTCTTTTTGCTTAGGATTGTCATGGCTATGCAGGCTCTTTTTTGGTTCCATATGAAATTTCAAGTAGTTTTTTCCAACTCTGTGAAGAAAGTCAATGGTACCTTGATGAGGATAGCATTGAATCTGTAAATTACTTTGGGCATTATGGCCATTTTCATGATATTGCTTCTTCCTACCATGAGCATGGAATGTTCTTCCATTTGTTTATGTCCTCTCTTATTTCCTTGAGCAGTGGTTTATAGTTCTTGAAGAGGTCCTTCACATCCCTTGTAAGTTGTATTCCTAAGTATTTTATTCTCCTTGTAGCAATTGTGAATGAGAGTTCACTCATGATTTGGCTCTCTGTTTGTCTGTTATTGGTGTATAGGAATGCTTGTGATTTTCGCAATTGATTTTGTATCCTGAGACTGCTGAAGTTGCTTATCAGCTTGAGGAGATTTTGGGCTGAGACGATGGGGTTTTCTAAATATACATTCATGTAATAGCAAACAGAGACAATTTGACTTTCTCTCTTCCTATTTGAGTATGCTTTATTTCTTTCTCTTGCCTGATTGCCCTGGCCAGAACTTCCAATACTATGCTGAACAGGAGTTGTGAGAGGGCATCCTTGTGTTGTGCCGGTTTTCAAAGGGAATGCTTCCAGTTTTTGCCCATTCAGTATGATATTAGCTGTGGGCTTGTCATAAATAGCTCTTATTATTTTGAGATACGTTCCATCAATACCTAGTTTATTAAGAGTTTTTAACATGAAGGGCTGTTGAATTTTGTCAAAGGCCTTTTCTGCATCTAGTGAGATAATCATGTGGTTTTTGTCATTGGTTCTGTTTATGTGATGGATTATGTTTATTGATTTGCGTATATTGAACCAGCCTTGCATCCCAGGGATGAAGCTGGCTTGATCATGGTGAATAAGCTTTTTGATGTGCTGCTGGATTCGGTTTGCCAGTATTTTATTGAGGATTTTTGCATCAATGTTCATCAGCGATATTGGCCTGAAATTTTCTTTTTTTGTTGTGTCTCTACCAGGTTTTGGTATCAAGATGATGCTGGCCTCATAAAATGAGTTAGGAAGAGTTCTGTCTTTTTCTATTGTTTGGAATAGTTTCAGAAGGAATGGTACCAGCTCCTCTTTGTACCTCTGGTATGATTCAGCTGTGAATCCATCTGGTCCTGGACTTTTTTTGGTTGGTAGGCTATTAATTACTCCCTCAGTTTCAGAACTTGTTATTGGTCTATTCAGGGATTCAGCTTCTTCCTGTTTAGTCTTTAGTTTGTGTCCCGGAATTTATCCATTTCTTCTAGATTTTCCAGTTTATTTGCATAGAGATGTTTATAGTATTCTCTGATGGGAATTGTTATTTCTCTGGGAACACTGGTGATATCCCCATTATCGTTTTTTATTGTGTCAATTTGATTATTCTCTCTTTTCTTTTTTATTAGTCTGAGTAGTGGTCTATCTTTTTTTGTTGATCTTTTCAAAAACCAGCTCCTGGATTTTTTGAAGGGCTTTTTGTGTCTCCATCTGCTTCAGTTCTGCTTTGATCTTAGTTATTTCTTGTCTTCTGCTAGCTTTTGAATGTGTTTGTTCTTGTTTCTCTACATCTTTTAATTGTGATGTTAGGGTGTCAGTTTTAGTTCTTTCCTGCTTTGTCTTGTGGGCATTTAGTGCTATAAATTTCCCTCTATGCACTGCTTTAAATGTGTCCCAGAGATTCTGGTACGTTGTGTCTTTGTTCTCATTGGTTTGAAAGAACATCTTTATTTCTGCCTTCATTTCTTTATGTACCCAATAGTCATTCAGGAGCAGGTTGTTCAGTTTCCATGTAGTTGTGCAGTTTTGAGTGAGTTTCTTAATTCTGAGTTCTAATTTGATTGCACTGTGGTCTGAGAGACTGTTTGTTATGACTTCCATTCTTTTGCATTTGCTGAGGAGTGTTTTACTTCCAATTATGTGGTCAATTATAGAATAAGTGCTACGTGGTGCTGAGAAGAATGTATATTCTGTTGATTTGGTGTGGAGAGTTCTGTAGATGTCTATTAGGTCCACTTGGTCTAGAGCTGAGTTCAAGACCTGAATGTCTTTGTTAATTTTCTGTCGCGTTGATCTGTCTAATATTGACAGTGGGGTCAATAAAGTCTCCCACTATTATTGTGTGGGAGTCTGAGTCTCTTTGTAGGTCTCTAAGAACTGGCTTTATGAATCTGGGTGCTCCTGTGTTGGGTGCATATTTATTTCGGATAGTTAGCTCTTCTTGTTGCATTGATTCCTTTACGATTATGTAATGCCCTTCTTTGTCTCTTTTGATCTTTGTTGGTTTAAAGTCTGTTTTATCAAACACTAGGATTGCAACCCCTGCTTTTTTTTTTTTTTTTTGCTTTCCATTTGCTTGGTAAATATTCCTCCATCCCTTTATTTTGAGCCTATGTATGTCTTTGCATGTGAGATGAGTCTCCTGGATACAGCACACCAATGGGTCTTGACTCTTTATCCAATTTGCTAGTCTGTGTCTTTTAATTGGGGCATTTGTCCTGTTTGTATTTAAGGTTAATATTGTTATGTGTGAATTTGATCCTGCCATTATGATGCTAACTGGTTATTTTGCCTGTTAATTGATGCAATTTCTTCATAGTGTTGATGGTCTTTACAGTTAGGTATGTTTTTGCAGTGGCTGGTACCGGTTGTTTCTTTCCATGTTTAGTGCTTCCTTCAGGAGTTCTTGTAAGGCAGGCCTGGTGGTGACATAATCTCTCAGTATTTGCTTGTTTGTAAAGGATTTTATTTCTCATTCACTTAAGAAGATTAGTTTGGCTGGATATGAAATTCTGGATTGTAAGTTCTTTTCTTTAAGAATGTTGAATATTGGCCCCCACTATCTTCTGGCTTATGGGTTTCTACCAAGAGATCCGCTGTTAGTCTGATGGGCTTCCCTTTGTGGGTAACCCCACCTTTCTCTCTGGCTGCCCTTAACATTTTTTCCTTCATTTCAACCTTGGTGAATCTGACGATTATGTGTCTTGGTCTCTTTTTGAGCAGTATCTTTTTGGTGTACTCTGTATTTCCTGAATTTGAATGTTGGCCTGTCTTGCTAGGTTGGGTAAGTTCTCCTGATTAATATCCTGAAGTGTGTTTTCCAACTTGGTTCTATTGTCCCCATCACTTTCAGGTACAGCAATCAAACATAAATTTGGTCTTTTCACATAGTCTCATATTTCTTGGGGGCTTTGTTTGTTTCTTTTCATTCTTTCTTACTTCAGTCTTGTCTTCTTGCTGTATTTCATCAAGTTGATCTTCAATCTCTGATATCCTTTCCTCTGCTTAATCAAGTTGGCTATTGATACTTGTACATGCTGCAGGAAGTTCTCGTGCTGTGTTTTTAAGCTCCATCAGTTCATTTATGTTCTTCTCAAAACTGGTTATTCTGGTTAGCAATTCGTCTAACTTTTTTTCAGTGTTCTTAGCTTCCTTGCATTGGGTTAGAACATGCTCCTTTAGCTCAGAGGAGTTTGTTATTACTGACCTTCTGAAGCCTACTTCTGTCAATTTGTGAAACTCATTCTCTGTCTAGTTTTGTTCCCTTGCTGGTGAGGAGTTGTGATCCTTTGTAGGAGAAGAGGTGTTCTGGTTTTTGGAATTTTTCAGGCTTTTTGTGTTGTTTCTCCCCATTTTCATGGATTTATCTACCTTTGGTCTTTGATGTTGGTGACCTTCGGATGGGGTCTCTGAGTGGACATCCTGTTTGTTGATACTGATGCTGTTTCTTTTCTGTTTGTTAGTTTTCCTTCTAACAGTCAGGCCCCTCTGCTGCAGCTCTTCTGGTGTTTGCTATAGGTCCGCTCCAGACCCTGTTTGCCGGGGTATCACCAGCAGAGGCTGCGGAACAGCAAAGATTGCTGCCTGCTTCTTCCTCTGGAAGCTTCGTCCCAGAGGGTCACCCACCAGATGCCAATCAGAACTCTCCTGTATGAGGTGTCTGTCCACCACTACTGGGAGGTATCTCTCAGTTAGGATACACAGGGGTCAGGGACCCCCTTGAGGAGGCAGTCTGACCCTTATCAGAGCTCGAATGCTGTGCTGGGTGATCCGCTGCTCTCTTCTGAGCCATCAGGCAGGGACGTTTAAGTCTGCTAAAGCTGCATCCACAGCTGACCCTTCCCCCAAGTGCTCTCTCCCAGGGAGATGGGGGTTTTATCTATAAGTCGCTGACTGGGGCTGCTGACTTTTTTTCAGAGATGCCCTGCCCAGAGAGGAGGAATCTAGAGAGGCAGTCTGGCCGCAGAGGCCTTGCTGAGCTGCGGTGGGCTCCGTCCAGTTTGAACTTCCTGGCAGCTTTGTTTACACTGTGAGGGTAAAACTGCCTACTCAAGCCTCAGCAATGGCGGACGCCCCTCCCCCCACCAAGCTCAAGCATCCCAGGTCAACCTTCGACTGCTGTGCTGGCAGCGAGAATTTCAAGCCAGTGGATCTTAGCTTGCTGGGCTCTGTGGGGATGGGACCCGCTGAGCCAGACCACTTGGCTCCCTGGCTTCAGCCCACTTTCCAGGGAATGAACGGTACTGTCTAGCTGGTGTTCCAGATGTCACTGGGATATGGAAAAAAAGAAACAAAAACAAAAACAAAAACCTCCTGCAGCTAGCTCAGTGTCTGCCCAAATGGCTGCCCAGTTTTGTGCTTGAAACCCAGGGCCCTGGTGGCGTAGGCACCCCCAGGAGGGAATCTCCTGGTCTGTGGGTTGTGAAGACCGTGGGAAAAGTGCAGTATCTGGGCCGGAGTGCACCATTCCTCGTGGTACAGTCCCTCACATCTTCCCTTGGCTAGGGGAGGGAAATCCCCCGACCCCTTGCACTTCTCAGTGAGGCGACACCCCACCCTGCATCAGCTTGCCCTCCGTCGGCTGCACCCACTGTCCAAGCAGTCCCAATGAGATGAACTGGGTACCTCAGTTGGAAATGCAGAAATCACCCGCCTTCTGTGTTGATCTCATTGGGAGCTGCAGACCGGACCTGTTCCTGTTCAGCCATCTTGCCAGCAAATCCGATTTATAGTATTTTTAAAGTATCTTTTAGAAGGCTAAATTGTTATCAGTCATTCACAAGTCAGTGGAAAACTGATTTAATCAGATTGCTTTCTTTTCTAATAAAATTGTTTTTTAATTTTGAACTTTTGTGGGTACATAGTAGGAGTACATGAGATGCTTTGATACAGGCATGAAATGTGAAATAAGCACATCATGAAGAATGGGGCATCCATCCCCTCAAGCATTTATTCATTGAGTTGCAAACAATCCAATTATACTCTTTATAAGTTAGTTTAAAATATACAGTTAAGTTTTTATTGACTATAGTCACCCTGTTATGCTATCAAATACTAAGTCTTATTCATTCATTCTATGTTTTGTACCTATTAACCATCCTCACCTTTCCCCCAGACCCCTACTACTTTTCCCAGCCCCTGGTAACCATCCTCCTACTCACTGTATTCATGAGTTCAATTGTTTTGATTTTTAGTTTCTACCAGTAAGTGAGAAGACGCGATGTTTGTCTTTCTGTGCCTGGCTTATTTCACTTAACATATGATCTCCAGTTCCATCCATGTTGTTGCAAACGACAGGATCTTATTCTTTTTTTATGTCTGAATAGTACTCCATTGTGTATACATACCACATATTATTTTCCCATTCATCTGTTGATAGACGCTTAGGTTGCTTCCAAGTCTTAGCTATTGTCAACAGTGCTGCAGCAAGCATGAGTGCACTTATCTCTTTGATTTACTGATTCCTTTCTTTTGGGTATATGCCCCGCAATGGGATAGGGTAGCTCTATTTTTAGTTTCTTGAGGAACCTCCAAACTGTTCTCTGTAGTTGTTGTACTAACAGATTGTTTTCCTTTCAGTGCTGGAGAACAGTCGTATTGAGGGAACAGGATGTGAGAATGAATGAGGAGGATGGATATGTAGAGCGCTCCTTAGGTGTCTGAATAAATGTCTCCTAGAGTCTCTTAGAGGGAGATCTTAGGACACTAAGAGGGTTCTGATATCAGGGGGAGAGAGAAACTGGGTAACAGTAATTAAGTTCAGGAAAGAAAGCAGGAATGTTTATGATAACTTCATTTATTGTAATTCTACCAAGAGCCAGTCCTGAGTCCAAGAATGGGAGAGGTAAAGATCTAATTATCCTTTCTTCCTCTTCTACTTTGGCCTCTGCTTTTTGTCTCACATTTGTTGTTCCCAACAGTCAACACCTGAGCAAGTATTTTGAACACTGGAGTTAAGTAACATCAGTTAGGTGGCAACTTGTGAGTGTTCAGAACAGAGGATGGTGCTGTTAAGTCACCTGAAATTTAGATTTTTGTTTAATATTTTTAAAAATGTATGTCATGAATAACAGTTGACTTACCAACACAGTTTTAGAAGGGAACCTATTAAAATCAAATAATAATAGTTATGCTTTGTTGTTTAATGAAGCTGTTTATTTTTCCCCGGTGATAGTTGGTTTCCATTATTTTCACCCAGAGGAATATGCTGTTATTTTCCTGCAGACTTTTTCCTTCCTTTTCTCCTTCCTGCCATACTTGGTGTTTCTCTCTCTGTATTCTTTTCCTTTTCATGGTGTCCACATTTTCCTCTCCTCCTTCCTGAAGCTTTTTCTGTTTCTTCCCTCTGTTTCACCCTGTTTTCTTCCCTCTTATAAAGTATCTAATCAGAGTTCCTTGATTTAGCTAACAAATAAATAGAACTTTCGGGCTTTTGTTTAATTAACAATGAAAATTACTGAAAGAAATAATGAACATAAAAATAAACATTATGAAGATGTAAATTAAACTCCATAAAATTTGGTTTTGAATAAAATTGACAGAGGAATGAGATCTTGACAAAATGTAATTCTTCAAAATTTGAATCACAAAAATTGAACTTGGTAGAAATATTGATCTTAGGAAACTCATAATATGTTTAATATGGACAAAATTGATAAATGAATCAAATTATCATCATATAATTTTAATAAAAATGAGCTGATCCCAGTGAAAATAATTTCAGTGAAACAAGAATTAAAATGGGAAAAAATAGTGTAGTTAATAGTGCTGTATAAGAAATTGATGAAGGAATTTAATCAACTCAGTTGAGTATATTCCAGAAATTTGTTAATGACAAAAATATATCTGTACTGACAAAATTCTGTGTAAAGTGCTTATATTCAACATTCTAAGACTCAAAATGCTGGAACAAAATGGCAGAGTAAAAATACCAGGAATGAATATCCTAATCCCCTCATTTAATCCTCATAGCTCTACAAATTAGGATAATAGTTTCCTGAGATACAAGAGTAGTTGCGGTCCAAAGAGTTTAGAAAGTTGGTGATAACTGCTTGAACCAGGTACCTGATTTCAATTCATCACAATAATGAGGGTACCACACCTTTTTCATGGTATCTATCTGGAACAAGTAAAATACTTTGGATATAAAAAGATTTTGTTACATGACAAAATTTAGCACTGTTAAATTTCAAATAGTTAACAGTATCACAGGTATAATGGTGATATTCTAATGAAAAAGCTAATAACCTATTTATTCATTCTTACATATAGGTTAAGAAAGTTATTGACCTAGGCCAGGTGCTGTGGCTTATGCCTGTAATCCTAGTACTTTGGGAGGCTGAGGTGGGCGGATAACCTGAGCTCAGGAGTTCGAGACCACCCTGGTTAACACGGTGAAACCTCGTCTCTACTGAAAAATACAAACGATTAACTGGGCATGGCAGTGTGCACCTGTAGTCCCAGCTATTCAGGACGCTGACGCAGGAGAATGGCTTGAACCCGGAAGGCAGAAGTTGCAGTGAGCCAAGATTGCATCATTGTGCTCCAGCCTGGGCGACAGAGCGAGACTCTGTTCCAAAAACAAACAAACAAACAAAGTTGTTGACCTACATGGTGAAGCTCCGTCTCTACTAAAAATACAAAAATTAGCTGGGCGTGGTGGCAAGCACCTGTAATCCCAGCTAATTGGGAGGCTGAGGCAGGAAAATCCCTTGAACCCAGGAGGTGGAGGTTGCAGTGAGCCAAGATCGTGCCACTGCACTCCAGCCTGGGCGACAAGAGTGAAACTCTGTCTCAAAAAAACAAAAAAAAAAGCAAGTTATTGACCTAACTTTTTTTTTTCATCAATCAGAGTAACTGTGATACTGTATCTTGATCATGGTCAGAATCACTGGTTTGAAGGATGGATGAAATTAGTGTCTCCCACGTGCCAGGCACTGGGAGCTAAATTTAGATATCAAAGTTACCTTCTAATTCTGGATGCTTTAATAAACTTTTGTCCTGGGGCTAAGTGAGACTCATTCTGACCTTGGTTTTGATTAAGAGATTTGGAATTTGTGAGAACATAGTCTTGTAATCTAAAACAGTGCCTAACTACTAGTGGTTTATTGGGAATTGTCCAAGCAAATAATTACAAAACAGAAAAGGAGATATTCCACTGGCCGTTTCTAGTACTCTGTGCTCTGTCCTGCTTCACAGTTACTCACCAGTGGTATCTAAGTTGACATTCAGAGAAAGTTTGCAATGGACAAAGCTGTTTCTTGGCAGTATTTTCACTCTATTCCTCAGCCCCTTTCTACCTCCTGATTCTCTCTAAAGGTCTGTTGGCATTATCAGCTGCTCAAACCATCCCAGACTGTCCCTGGGATATCCTTTAAAACATCCCCTACATGACAGGTGTAGGTGACTCCTTCTTATTCTTTACTCACTGCCCTAGGCAGCCCTCCTGTCTCTTTGAGCCAGGTATTGACACTGTGGTCTTATTTCTCCTTGTATTTATTTGCCATATCAAAAAACTTACCACTTTATTATTTTGATAGTTTGTTTATTGCTTTTCTTACCCATGAGTTTCATGAGGGCAGAGATTCTGTTTTTCTCTGATCATAGTAGATGATCAGTAAATGTTTATAGAATGACAAAATGAATTCCTCCTTAGAGCAAATTCATGCTAAGATGTGGATAACCAACATAGTTAATCTTCCCAGATGTTTTTGTACTTTCTAAACAAAAGGTCAACTTCAAAAACTAATGTGTTGTCTTCAAGTAGTGTAACAAGACGGAAAAAAATCATTCAAGCACTGTGAGGAAAGATATTTTGGAGTACAGGAATTTCTATAAAAGAGTACTATACCATGTGAATGTAAAACCCCAGGGAAAAGTATCTGCCTTAAAATTGTTGCTGTTTTCAAAAAGGAAATCATCCCATTTTTGAACTCACCAGTTCTCTATAATTTTCTAATATTTTTTTCAGAGCAGGTCTTGTGGGAGGGCCATGGAAGACTCCCATGGTATGAGTGTAAAGAAAGATGACATAAGACATAAGTGATAAAGGGACGTAAGTGATTGTTTCCTTGTACTGTATAGGGACTTCTTGTACTGTCTGTCCTTTATAAGGCAAAAGCTATTGTCCATTGTGCTACTGTCTCTTAATTGTTGGTTTACTTAACTAAGAGTTTTATAATCCTAGTAAAAACTTAAGAGTTTTAGGATGTTTGGTCTGTTGCTGTGTTTGTTTAAAAACTCCTGGCTCCTTTTCTTTAACGCTGATGAGGTAAAATGCCCAAGTCCTTCCGCACAGCAGGGGGTGGGTAATAAGTTACGGTTAGACTCAGCAACTCTGGGCATTGCTTAAATATATAGGACTTTCAGCAGAGCCGCTTTCCTTTAAGCACATTCCATGGAGACAAGCTTAATAGAGTTCCATCTGGTCAGGGAGAACCACTGTTTCCGAGACTGGACAGCCTCTGCTCAATCTCTTCATTGAGTGGCTTTTAAAAATTAAAAAAAAAAGCATATACACAGAGAGAAAAAATAGAGGAGAGAAGGGAGAGAGAAGGAAAAAGGGGATAGAAAGTGAAGGAGGGAGAGGAGGAGGAAATCAAATAAATTCTTTTGGCTTTTTGTTTTTCTTCCTAACTATTCATAAGTATAGGAAAGTAAGATATATGTTGTGATAGAGAAATTGGGAAGATGGACTCATTCACCGAGTAGACAAACCCTTCTTAGGCCCCTTTAATGTGCCAAGCATACTATGTGACAAGAATGGCAAATAGCATAAAATTGTAAAATTGAGCAGGGAATCAGTCTCGTTGACCACAGAGGGTATGGGGTACTCTAGGAACAAGAAGGAAGATGAGTTCAGAATCAAGTTTGAGCACTGAGTTTTAAAGGTCATCCCCTAGCTCCTGCTAATCAGACAGGTCAGGTGTTTAGTTAGGTCTAAAATGTATTAACTCACTTGCCCCCAGAGTCTCTGTTTTGTTAGTAACTGGAGGTGCTCTGATGCAGCTGACGTTGGCCAAACTGAGGAGGACTCTGGACATGAATTCCCAGAGATGCAAATTGCCTCTCAGACCCTCCGGTTCATACTTTAACCACCTCACTGTAGCACTGCAGTGACACTCTGGAAGCCTGGAAAGTGACAGGCAAAAGCAGAGAAGGAGCTTGCTTTATGAAGTATCCTGAAGAAAAGGTTTCCAGGTTTTCGTATTTTACTCTGTTGAAATTGTGCCTTAATTTTAAGAAAGATATCTATTATTTATAGAGTAACAGTTACATTTTAGTTGAACTCTGGTGACCTATATTTTCCTTCTTGTGTTCCTTATGGGGTTTTACTTTCCACGTGCATCAGTATTTTCATTTGTACCTATGACTCTCCTGGGGATTTTGAAGATTGAAGAGATAACATAATGCTGAGAAAATATTCTGAGCACCACAGAGTTCAATAAGAATACGTAAGACACATGAGTAATTATAATAGTAGGAAATCCACTGCTTTTTTGGAGTAACATGCCAAAAAGTATAAAGTTTTATGGATAATACCGTATATTGTTACTATTACTAGCAATAGTAATAATAATTTACTAAGTACTTACTATGTGCTAGATATAATACATATTTTTCCATTGAATTTTTAAAAGAAATCCATGAAGTTGAAACATGTTTTCCAGATGAAGATGCTGAGGTTCTGAAGAAAAGGTTAAGTAACTTGCTTAAGGTTTTCTTCCTCCACATCCCATGCTCCGACCCACCACCCCACCCATACTTTATATCCCTATTTTATGTTGCTACCTGTTCTTTTTAATGCTGACCACATTTCCAGAAATGCACTAAACTACCAACCTTAGCTTACTTAATCCTTCTGGCCAACCTTAGGAGAGGTAGGCATTGTTTTATTTATTTATTTTTTGTTTGCTTTGTTTTATTTTAGCATTTCTTTTTTTTGTATGAGACATGGGGCACATAGTGAATAAGTGACAGAAGTGGGATTTGAACCCAGGATGTGTCTGAATCAGAAGACCTTGGCATTTACTATTATGTTGTCTTGGAACCAAATCAGTTCATGCTCAAAAGCTCTCAGTGTTTCCCAAGGCTCTTTGAATGAACTTCAGAGTCCTTTATGCACCTTACACTCCCTACATAATTTGCCTGTGCAGAATCTTGTAGCTTTCTCTTCCCCAACCTCCCCCTTGTTTGCTCTGGTAGCCCCACTTGCTCTCTATTCCTTGAACTGACCAAGCACTTTTTCTTCCTTGGCCTGTCCTCATGCTGTGCTTTTCTGTCTGGAGTCAATCACCTCTTTGCCTCCTCTTCTTCCTTTTAGTTTAAGGGGTGTTCCCTCTGGGAGGCCTTCACTGAGCCCCAGTCTAGGTGCGTCCACGACCACATTCTCTGTGAACTGCTGTTGGGTGATGTCTGTCTTCTGACTATCCTGTAAGCTCCATAAAGTCTGAAATACCGTTGACTGCTGTGTTCCCAGTGCCTGGCACATGGTAGGCACTCAACAGATCTTTATTGCCCAATGCGTGGATGGAATGATCGTCTTGAAATTCTAGTTCACCTGGACCCCGACTCCACCCTCCTGTTGCTGTTTTTGTTTTCCTCTCTACTCCCTTCAGCTCTCTTCTTACCTCTGCTCCTGGAAGTTTACGCCCGTGGTGCCCTCTCCAACTACTTTGGAGATGAACTAATCTGATCCCCAGCTAGATATTAGCCCCTTGAGTGCATCACAGTGTACATATTTGTTGGATTGAAGCAAATTGATACCATAACTCAGTCTTAAGAAGGTTTATTTCACAAGGGTCACAAGAATTGAATCAAAGGGCTGCCTCAAAAGTTTCTTTTCTGCTAAATTACAAATCCAGACTTGGCCAAGACTGTACCTAGAATGGGCCAATTTAAAATAAGCTCATGATTTGATCCTACTCCTGGCGAGGAGTAACCTGCCTTTCAGAGATCCCTCCTGGTACCTACGCTGGGTAAAAAGATTAAAACAAAAAGACTAGCTTTCTCTTTTTGGTGTAAACTTTCTTAGCTGCCATGTTGTTGAAAGTAGCTCAGGAATTGAGAGCTCAGGCACTGACCTCTAACTACATGGGTTCAAATCTTCCACTACTTATGGACTCTGTGTTCTTAGGCACATATTAGGTCTTGGTTCTCTCATCTGTGAAAGCTCACAGGTTTTTGTGAAGTGTAAATGACATGACACATATCAAGCATGTAGCAGGGTGCCTGGCACATTGTCATTACTCAATAGATGATAGCTATTATTTTTATTATAATATTTTATACCTAAATGATACTCTGTGTTTGGAGAACATTTTCACTTACCCTGTTGTGTAGATGGAGAGGCAGCCCATAGGAAACCCATATAAGTGGTCTTCTTTTATAAATAGAGAGGCCACGTGTCTCCAGTGTCATTTTTGATAGGCTAGTTCTCAGTCTTTAATCTCTTATTTTCTTCAGAAAGATCCATAGCATGATAGAGAAGAAGATAGGAAAGCTGGTGGGTCAACAAGCTCATCTCTCACCGGCATGGGCTTCTGTCCTTATGGTCTATTTCCAGTATTGTTTCAGTTACAGTTAAAATTCCCTCCAGCATCTCAGCTTCCGACACATTTCTTGGGAAGCTATTCTTTTAACATATTGCCATTAGGAATTTTTTCTTGATATAAAACCTGAATTTTCCTTTGCTTAATTTAATCCCTCTTCACATACACCTCGGACCTCTTTAAATAATTCTTTTCCCTCCCTGCCATTTGCACCTTTCAGTTACTTGTAGAGAGTTGTCATAGCTCCCTTTGGGCCTAATCCTATCACTGTGATTCATGTTGGGCAAGCTGTACATTTTGTAATAGTCTATGGGCATATTCTAAGAATGCTGTCTTGCTGGAATAAAAGCAATTCTCCAGTGATATTATCCAAACCTTATCGTCAATAACAGCTACTAAATGTGAAACAAAGCAAGTGACTTTTTTTCTGAAAACAAAGAAGGTAACGAACAGGAAGTGGTGTCTACCTTTTAATATTATTATTCTTATCAATTATGAGAGTGCCTCGTTATCAATAATGTAGTATAGAATTGTCTTTATTTAATCTATAGCCTATACATACAGAAGGGAATACTACATGTATACCTCCAAATGGCAGATAAACCAAAAGAAATTTTGTTTTTTAAATGTGAAGTGTGTGTGTATGTCTGTATGTGTATTTGTGCACACATGTGCATGTGTGTCTGTGAATGTGTTCTTCTGGGACTTTATACAAAATATTGAAGGAGAAAAAAGAAAACTAAATTGAAGAGACATGAGAAAGTTGTTGAGCTTCACCCGTTATAATGGGATATGGACCTCTTCCCAAGACTTGAAAGCCACAACCCTTCCTTTGTATCTCTTCCAGTCAGAAAGGCTGAGATATAAGGAATTTGAAAATATGCATTTGATACTCAACAAGCATCTCTGATAGGTTGGAAAATGAAGAGGAGGTTTCATGACCTGCGAGTACAGGAGGCAATTATTTTCTGTTTTCCTATTGCCTTTAGTTGCTCCGTGTAGCCACTGGCAGGCAGGGAAGAACAGGGAATATCGCTTACGAATGGATTTCTGACTCTCAGGCAGTTCACCCTCCACCTTGAGACAGTCATAGAATATTAGAACTGCATGGATAGGAAACAGTATAGAAATCTAGTCCCTTTTGAACTTACCAAGAAAGGAAACGAAGGTTCAGACAGGAAGTTATGTATTTAAGGTCACATAAGAAGTTGAAGCAATGTGTTGTTTGAGCCCAGGCTTGTTTTCCTTGTTGTCCAGGGGTCTCACTACTAAAACTCACTCCTAGCTTGATATTTATATTAAACTTAATAGCCCATCATGACAAGTAAATTGAAAAAATAGATTGAAATGGGTATGAACTTTCTAAAATAGATCTTTTCTAAAATAGATCTTTTTAATCATTATAATTTGTGAGTTAAATGAGGGAACTTAGATGTTACTTAAGTTGATGA
The DNA here is from genome assembly GCF_000001405.40 of Homo sapiens. Taxonomy (NCBI): domain Eukaryota; kingdom Metazoa; phylum Chordata; class Mammalia; order Primates; family Hominidae; genus Homo; species Homo sapiens. The sequence continues at coordinate 25,257,168 of NC_000018.10, read as the reverse complement.
TCAATTCCACTTTCCTCAAAGCAACAGAAGTGTTCCTAAAACTATGAGTACAGTGTATTTACCCAGGGAGTCCCATCCTGCGTTGCTACCCCAGTGATCTACGGTAGTCTCCCCATCTAGCCTCATTTCCTGCTAGACTTTTCTCATCTCTGCCTTTCCTTGTGCTTTTGACTTCGCCCAGAATGTTCCTTTCTTTTAACTACATCTGTGGTGCCTTTATTGAAGTATTTTTTGCCATGGCCGTCTTCAGAACTCAGTCCAATGGCATGCTCAATAAATCTGGACCATTTAACCACCTGTCCTTCTGTGAGATGCTCTACACCTTGTTCTGCCATAGTGAACTCAGTTTTAATGTTTTTTTTTTCCTTCAGCTGCACACACACTTGTATTTCTGACCCAACACTGTTCTCCTTCCTAGCTCTGTTCTTGTCTTTCTTCCTTAGATTGCCCCATTTCCTCACAAAGGACTGCAGACTAAGAGCCTCTTCAGAATTATCTGGCCTCTGGGATCCCTTCCCCGCACTTCGCTCCTGTAGGGGGCCTCTTTTCAAGCCTTAAAGTCTTGAGCGTAGAGTCAGAAACTCTACTTCTGTCACAAACCCATCTGAAATGCTCCATTTGGAATGCAACTGCATACTCCAACCTGACATAACTGCTCTCTCCTTGGAATCGTCACTGTCTTCTTTTAAGGCATTTATGCTTTTGTTGGCATCATATTTGCTTATGTTTTGTAACTGCTAACTTAAAAAAATTAATTGTGGTAAAGTATACATAACATAAAATTTTACATATCCAAATCATTTTTAAGTGTTACGTACATTCACATCATTTGTGCAGCCAATCTCCAGAACTCTTTTCATCTTGCAAAACTGAAACTCTATACTCATTAAACAATTCCGCATCTCCGTCTCTCCCCAGCCCCTGGCAAATACCATTCTGTGTTTTGTCTCTATGAATTTGACTACTCTAGGTACCTCATATAACTGGAATCATATGGTATTTGTCTATTCATATTGGCACTTTCCACTTAGCTTAATGCCTGCAAGGTTCATCTGTGTTGCATCATGTGACAATATTCCCTTCTTCTTTAATGATAAATAATATCCCATTTTACATATATATATATCATATATATACCATATATATACCATATATATATCATATATATATACCATATATATACCATGTATATAACATATATATATACGATATATATATATATGCCATATATATACACCACATTTTATTTATCCATTCATTCATCATCATTCATGATGGAAGGTTGCTTCTGCCTCTTGGTTCTTCTGAATTATGCTGCAGTGAACATGGACATGCACATACTGTCTCTTTGAGACTGTGCTTTCATTTCTTTTGAGTATATGTCCAGAAGTGGCATTGCTGGGTCGTATGCTTAACTCTCCTAAATTGTGAGCTGATACTATGTTACGAGACTTGAGACCAATGACTGGGTCATTTTCATCTTCATATCTTCTTAGCCTCTATCACAGTGCCTCATCATGGTAGGTACTCAGAAGGTGTTTGTTGATTGAGCAAATTGATAAATCAGTGAAGCAAATGTGTTACAATATTGAATGTAAATGACTTGTATAGATTAAAATATTTACTTCTTTTATATCAGAAATAAAATAGGGAAAGAATATATAGAAAAATACATTCAGTTACTACATATCTGAAAAACGAGAACCCAAGAGCACTTTATGCATTCTTATGTAGTGATTATATTGGTAATTTTATGAAAGGTGGTTGCAGTTTTATACAAATTTGAAGGGAAAAAGTTAAACTTTCCACCTTCCTTTTTACTTTGTATGTAAAGTATTAAGAAATATAACCCATTACCTACTAAAATTCTCAATTGTTTCCAGAATAGTGAAAGTAGCTGTTAACAATAATAATTGTAAAAATATAAAGTAATCTCAAACAGGTTCATGTTTTGTGTAATGATCAGATAACATGAGTAAAAGCAGCAATTATGTGTTTCTGGTCCACACTGGAGGTGGAAAACAAGAAAAGCATATGCTACAACTGCATATTATTAAAAAGGCAACGCTTTATATTTACTTTGCACTTAAAAGTTTGAATGATCTGGGTAATAGAAATAGACAATACACATGCTTTGGAATACATTAAAATTGCACATACAGTAAGACAAATTGCTATTTTATAGCCTTTCCACAATGTAGCAAATTTGTACTTCTGGCTTAACTCATGATAAGTTTGCATAACATTTACTGGGGGTTTTCACTGCGCTAGTTCATTTTTCAGACTCTTTCTTAGGGGTGGTACCATTCCATTATAGAAGTCCAAGGGTCTGTGTATGAAAAGAAAGGTGGGGTGGAGAAGAAATCTGGGGACAAAGATCTGTAATCAAACAAGCTACATAAACCTCAGCGGAAAACAGTGGGTATCAAATAAGATTCAGAGAAGACAAGTCCATTTTTACAGTGGGCTACTCCCATGGGTACCCATTCCCTGTTCTTACCTTGCTTCCTTCTTTTATGTCTAGGAGATCTCAGGAACTCAAATCCTGTATTACTCCATATTCATTCAGGTTGGGTTTATAGAAGCTACCTTGATCTAGTAAATTACCAGGGAGAAGGACTTTGTAAATCAGCCACAACCACAAATCAACCAGCATCTGCAAAGAAGAAACTTAATTGATTTTAAAAGATATTAGGCTACAGATAGGTGAGAATTTGATTTAAAATCAAAATTATAGACAGCTGTCCTGGGTAGTAGCTGATGGACATGTTGTTATTTTATTGCTAGGGAACATTTTTTCTACCTGGTTGATGTAGTTTGGCCCTATCAAGATGGCACTGAAATGTGTTAACTTAGATAGTGTACATGCTTCTACCTGTAAGACAAAATAAGTATATACCAGTGAATACATCTTTTGTATGCATTTACCTTGCTTCATTGATTTTTATTGCATGGTGCAGCCAGCCTTTACTGTCCCACAATTATTCCCCAGTATCCATATATGCTGGTGAAGTTGATATAGAGCCTAGAACCCAAAATGAAAAGACTTCATTACTATTTTAGGACTTTAGGCAAAGAACTTAATTTCTCTGGGCTGAATAACAATGTGCTGGACAAGTTGGTTTCTGATGCTGCTTCCCGCTGTAAAATTGTACTTTTCTCTGTGACAGCATCAGACCTTGTTCATGCCAAGTAAGATTACTGCATAGTCAGAGTAACTGAAGAGTTGGGCAAGGATTTGAGTTCATATCATGTGTAAAAATTATCCAAGAGAAGTGTAAGGTGCTTGCAAATAGTTCCCCCCCACATCTGCTATTGAACCCTTTGGAGGTATAGTTCAAACCAATACTGTGTTGTACAGTGCCCTTAATACTGATTTCCAATTTATATCTGTATTTCTCCAGAGGACCTGAGCAAATTACATGCTGATCATTTCTTATTAACCATATTTTTTATTATCCAAATGCTGCCTCTCATTTAACTTTGACTTATGACAGCTCCATTGTATATCAGCAAATACATTTTTTGAAGCACAAAATCTAAATGGAACCATGTCTTTTCCTCATGAAATATGGAGTCTTTTTTATTCAAAAAATTTAAAATCCCAAATATATACACCACTTTGAGCACCCCAACTTTTTTGAAGGAGATCAAATAGAATAAATATATTCAAGTTTGCTACATAGAAGGTAAAAGTAGTTAGTATAAGTCACAAAAATATAATGAGTCTAATTCTTTTAAACTCCCAATTGTTTCCCCTAAATTTTCCTGAATGTGACAGGCTTCCCTTCAAGATCAGTAATGTCCCAGGAATGTGGCAGTGCAAATAAATGGAAATACCGTAGTGATTTGTACTTCAGGGGTTAAGGGTCTGGTGCCCAGTCAGAAAGGGCTTGTGCCAGGGACCAACAGTATAATTTGTAGAAACACATATTCTTGGAATTTTTGGATTCAAAAGGAAAATTCTTTTTTGCTTTTTTGTGTTTTGCTATTATCTTAAGAGGTGTATGGATTTGATTTATGAACAAGTACTGCTGTAAATAATAAAATAATAAAATGGCATGTCAGCAAGGGATAAAGAGTTACTTACAGAAGTTAAAGTGAAATTAAATAACTCTTGAATCCATTTGTAAAAGTGCCTGTATTCTCAGTTGAATGGTAGTAACTACTGCGTGAAGGAAGTTGGTTTGCCTTATGGATAAGGTTTTTATAAGTACTTAAAATGGAATTAGCATACACCCTTTAACCATGCTGATTTTTGTTTATCCCTGCAACATATTTTGAAAGCTTTGCTCTCCTGTATAAGCCAGTAGAAAGCACAGGCACTTGCACAGCATTTAAAACTCAGATATAAAGCATTTCTAGCACATTATGGATGCGCTATGGGGTTTGAAGTTAATGTGAATGTCAGGCCAGAGAGGGGAGAACTTTATAAGATACTGAATAAGAAACTCCTTTGCCATTTACTATGAGATGAGAATAAAAAAGGAGGACACAGAAAAGGCAGCAATTTTAACTTCTTCAGATATATCCAGGGAAAATACCTTGTGTTAAAAACAGAAGGAAATAGAAAGTGTGTAGCTGATTTCCTAGCCTATGGTATTTTATGATCTGGATTGCTTTGTTCAAGAAAAAAAAAAAGGTAAATAAGTTGCAATGTAGTCCTCTGTATTTTTCCGTGAAGTATTAGATTTTTGTAGAATATGTGCATAGTGTTTATGAATCAGAACCTGAATCATAAATAAAATGTTAATTTGTAGACACATTTAACTGTGGAGCAGATGGAAAAATAGGTATGTGTTAGAAAACTAGGTATTTGCAGAAGCTAATGAAGTTAATTGGTCTCATTTGACTACCTTATTTTCCCAAACCCCCTAAAGACTGGGCTTTTTTATTTCTTTAATTAAAAATGAGTTTGGTATGTTAATATTATAACCTTTCATATTTTCCTAGTTTTCTATATAAATGTCTTATTTATAGAACCGCCCTTAGGAGTCCAGTATTAGTAAGAACATTAGTAAACTGGGAGCAGTAAGAGGGGTGCTAATGCTATACAAAAGCTATTAGCCACATACATTGCTATAATATGTGCTTTTACACCTTATTATTACTTCCCTGTCCTGTTTCTTTTTGATTACATAGAGAAAGATCTATTTTCCTTTAGCTTGAAAACGGTACAAGTAGAAATACATAAAATAATGATTGTGGAGCAGAATTTAATTTTTAAATATCAGTACTTGAACATATTTTGATTGGGTAAATTACATGGTAAACTCCCATTGAACTATCACCAGTGTGAAATCAGAGAAATCACAGCCCTGAGTTAATCAATACCATGTGTGTAGATAATTTTCCCTGAATTATTCCTTGTATAAGGAAAGGTTCAAAATCAAAATATTTAGCTGTTCACCGAAGAGTGCTTTTTAATTAGAGCTTTATGTTGCGGCTGCCACGTTGGCCTGTATAGTGGATGCTGAATGTAGTGGTGCATACTGCAGAGGGTTCTGGGACATTGTTTCTCTAATGTCATCACTAACATATTGCATTTGTATTGATTGTCTATGATTTCTGTATATGGATGATTGAGTTTGAGCAAACTACTTAGGGTTTCAAAGGATTTGGATAATGTTACACTGTAGGGCTGGAAATCTCTTTGAGTATTGTATTGCAAAGGGACAAAGTCATAGTTTCAGTGCATTTATTAGGCCCCTGCTGTAGAAATAGGAAGAATAAACCATCTTTTTAAAGTTAAGAGATCTTGGAATGGGCAATTCTAATAAATCCTGGGTTTAAGGAGAATGGTACGTGCTGTAGTACCGAAGTTGTTTATTCATCTGGAATGTATTAGAATCTTGATTAATAAGAAGACATCTGCAGTTTTACATAAAAAGCAGAGCAGGCAGTTTGGCAAATAGAAATGAGAAGGGAAAAAGAAAAGCCAGTTCCATCGAATGCTGTTGTTTCATTTTGACCACCAAGCATTGTTATTCCTGATATCCTGATAGTATATAGCAAATCGGCATTTTCTCCCTGCAGAACTGCAGCAGAGAATTAAGATCTGTAGTTTTGAGAACAGGTAGGTCCTTTTAAAGGCTTACATGGGAAATAATATTTGTCATTTTATTTTAGAAAACCCAAGTGGAAGAAAGACAAACCTCAGTTATTTGAGTGTTTCGTTTACATGATGTCAAACATATATATGGATACTTGCAAATCTAAAATTTAACATCTCATGGAATATATTTTCACTTTGAATATATTTTTCTTAACTTTTCACTGAAGAATGAATCACTTAAGAATCTCTTACCCTCACAATCATTTTTTAACCAAATGGAGAGACATGATTTTTACATGAGACATTTTAAATTTCAAGATGGCTAAATGATATGTTGGAAAAGACCATGGAAATTATTGTGTTTGAGGGAAATCGAAGCCAAAGCCTGTAAAATGTGTATAATTCATATATCAACAGGATGGCTTCCTAAATTCTCGGGCATTTTTCAAAAGGGAATGATAACATCGGAGTTCACTATTTGGAAGATAACACATTTGGCAGCTAGTTTCTGAAGAATCTGGCACCCATACAGACATTAATCTCTAAGGCCAATAGGTGAAAGATTATTACAGTCTTGCTGAAGGCAGAAATTCATGCATATTGCAGTCATTCTTATGGGAGTAAAAGGAACAAATTCTGACCAGTTTAAAATATGACAGTTTTAAAGAAGGACCAAAACTAAGGAAAAATAGCTTACTTCAGATCTATTCCACAGTAAATATGGCAAACAAGTTGCTGATGATAATTTTTGTATCTGGTATTGGATAATTGCTGAAAGCTGAGGGATGGCTCTTTTTAGCCACCCAGTCCCAGACAGCTAAGTAATATAAAACAGATTCTAAAAACAGCCTTGCTTAATAGGAAAGAGTGTGAGATTATGTAACTTGAAGGGCAATGGACAAATGAAAAATGATTTTACATTTTTCATTGGTGGATCACAATGTCAGGAGATCGAGACCATCCTGGCTAATACGATGAAACCCCGTCTCTACTAAAAATACAAAAAAATTAGCCGGGAGTGGTGGCGGGCACCTGTAGTCCCAGCTACTCCCGATGCTGAGGCTGGTGAATGGCCTGAACCTGGGAGGTGGAGTTTGCAGTTAGCCGAGATTGCGCCACAGCACTCCAGCCAGGGCGACAGAGCGAGACTTGGTCTCAAAACAAAATAAAAGAAAAATTATTTCACAGTCATTAGCAGAGTTAAATTTATGTAATGTTAAAATATTGGTTATTTCAGAGTATGATTGTCAGCTTTCAGCCTCTGTCCCCTGCAAGTGTAATATTTTAGTAAATTTTAGGCAGAGTACAATTCTTTTATTTTAGCAAAGACAACAGAGATAGAAAGTAAAGAAGACCAGGAATGGTGGCTCAGGCTTGTAATCCCAGCACTTCGGGAGTGTGAGGTGAGCAGATCACTTGAGGTCAGGAGTTCGAGATCAGCCTGGCCAACATGGCAAAACCCCATCTCTACTAAAGGCACAAAAATTAGCTGGGCATGGTGGCATGCGCCTGTAATCCCAGTTACTTGGGAGGCTGAAGCAGGAGAATCACTTGAACCCAGGAGGCAGAGGCTGCAGTGAGCCAAGATCGTGCCACTGCCCTCCAACCTGGGTGACAGAACAAGACTGTCTTAAAAAAAAAAAAGAAAGAAAGTAAAGGCCCGGCGTGGTGGCTCAAGCCTGTAATCCCAGCACTTAGGGAGGCTGAGGTGGGTGAATCACGAGGTCAGGAGATGGAGACCATCCTGGCTAACACAGTGAAACCCTGTCTCTACTAAAAATACAAAAAATATTAGCCGGGCATGGTGGCGGGCACCTGTAGTCCCAGTTACTCTGGAGGCTGAGGCAGGAGAATGGCATGAACCCAGGAGGCGGAGCTTGCAGTGAGCCGAGCAGTGAGCCGAGATTGCACCACTGCACTCCAGCCTGGGTGACAGAGCGAGACTCTGTATCAAAAAAAAAAAAAAGAAAGTAAAGAGGTATGGTACCATAAATATTTATTCTTGCTATGTGAGAGAGGGTTGTTAATATATAAGACAATGCTGTAATTCAAGGATTGTCAAAATTTTATTATGGAAGTCAGCATAGTAAATATTTGAGGTTCTGTGAGCCATATGGTTTCTGTCACAACCAGTCAACTCTGCTGCATTGAACAACTCATATTCAATATGTGAATGAATAAGAATGGCTGTGTTCCAGTAAAACTTTATTTACAAAAGCAAGAGCATTTGGCCTATAAGCCGTAGTTTGTTAACCTCTCTTAAAATAGATTAGTTTAGCATTTAGTAGGTTCTCAGCATTTAGTAGGTGATTATAATAGTGCTCAGTACTTGAGTTTTTAAATAAGTGCGCACTTGTAGTTGTATCCCTGTCTGACAGAAGGAAATTTGTGTGCATATGCCAGTGCCTGCAAGGTCTTACATATTTACACTGTTATTAATGACTAATTAAGTAAGTGGGAAAGGTGTGTAAAGGTTCTTTATCTAGATAAAGATAAAGTTCTTTAAATAAAGCTAGAAAAGTACACAGGATAAGAGGATTGTTGTAAATATCAATATAGCTTTTCAAATTAATATGCTAACTCGTGTTATTTAGAAAACCATAAGGTTATCTTTGCCTAAATGTCATGATGAAGAAGTTTACGTTTTAAGACTGCCACTGCATAAATGATAACATCATAATATACATTCAGTGTTGCCAAGTCTTTTCCAGGAGAGGCAGGCCGAAAGGCAGGTTAGCATGTAGAATCATTCTTGCTTCAATATTCTGTTGTCATTTTTGCAGATGTTCTTCCTGGGTAAAGCTCCATTGGTGTATAACGTTGTATTTCAGATTCAGAGGTGTTGTTGCTGACCTAGAGTCTGTGGGACATACATGTCAAACTCCTTTTTTATAAGGGTGCCTACTTTGTTCTAACCCAGCCAAAATAGAGTCTTCTTTTAACCTTCCTATCAGACGTGTGTGTGTGTGTGGTGTCAAGATAGCTGACTTTAAGTAGAAAAGCAATCTGTAACATTGGTATTGAGTCCTGTTGTTTCTGACATTTGGATTCAAAACTATGATTTTTATCCTAATAGTCTTCTTGCAAATATTTGCAGTAAACCAACCATATAGTGACTAATAGTGTGACAAATGGCAGGAATTTGGGAGGAAGAGACATTACAGGCATTTCTCCTTCCCTCATCATATATAATTAGTCACTGAGTCTTTTGGATCTATTTTTCTAAACAAATGAATGCATTTCCTTCACTCTGTCACTGGGATACTCCTTCACTTTAGGTTTTTTTGCCTCTCACTGGACCATTGCCATAGCCTTATAAATGGACTCCCTGCCTCTAGACTTCATCCAGTCCCTCCTACTCCAAAGGGCTCTGGTGAAAACCATCTCTGCTGATTGAAATCCTTCAACAGCTCTGTCTCTGCTGCCTGCAAATAAACTTGGGGCCATAAGCCATCATGATCGGGCTCTACTTCCTCTCACAAATTCTATGTTCTAGTCCAGTGGCACTTGAACCTGGCTGTAGTGTTGCCTGAGAAACTTCAAAAAAATACTAATCTAAACTTCACCTCTAGTCCAATGCGATAAGAATTTCTAGGAGTGGAGTAGAAGCATCAATATTTTAAAAAGATCTCCAGGCAGTTTTAATGTGCAGCCAAGGTCAAGTTCCTCTTTGTAGTCATTTTACACCATTGATTCCCTGATCACAAATGTTTGCATTTGTACATACTATTGTTTTCCTGCCTGGAAAACTCCTGCTTATTCTTTAAGGTTCAACTCAAAGAACACATCCTTGGTGGCTATTATATGTTCGACAAGATTGTTTTCGTGCTTCTTCCACAGAACACCCACAACATTTCTGTAGAGGGGTCTATTAACATTCCTGATTTCCTTGCCTTGTGATCATATGTTTACATGTGTGCCTCTCCCATTCATTAGTCAGTGAACTATTCATTGTAACCATGTATTGTGTCTTGGTCAACTTTGTATCTGCTGTGCCTCTTCTGGGTCTCATCCATAAATGGGTCATCAGAATATCATTATGGAATTGATGACTGCATCAGAAGAGCAGGACTGGGGTGGTAGCTAGAACACACCTGAAAATGTATTCACTAGTTCATTCAGTGGGCTTCAAAATTATCTTTGTTCCAATGGAATATTAGGTAAAAACAACTAGTCTGGGAATGGGTGTTGTCAAGCAGGAGAGTCCTTAGGATGAGAAGCACTATGGAACCCCTTCTGTGGGTTGGCAAATACAAGGTCATGTGACCACAGCCCAAGTAAAGACTATGGTCAAGATTTTGGGCAAGAGAGGTGACAAAGGGAAGAGAGAAAACATCAATAATAATTGAACTGAATCCTCTCTTAGGTGGGGAAAGGAAATCAATGCTCACATTAAATTGGCTCTAAGGTAACATATTAGCAATGTTAGCAAACCCACAGATAAGACTGGAAAATTCACCAGAAAGCAAAATGTTACTTTAAGAGAGGGTGGAGGGTGGTGGAAAGAAGAATGATGCCAAAGAGCCCAAAGCAGTAACTGAATAGTCTTAACAATAGTAGCTACATTTTGGGGTTTTGATAAGTCTTTGCCTACAACAATATAAAATATAGTGAACAGATTAGTTGGATGGGGGAAAAAGGAAAATAGGATCAAACAAAAAAGAAATCTATATAAGAGAATGATTCTTGTCTATTTTAGAAAGTTAATCTATCCCTACAATTGATTGTGGTGTTATACGCACTGAAACAAAGGGACCTTCTACATTATGAATATTCACAAAATATGAAGTGTAATAGCTTTTGAGCAACAAACTCATTTATAGCTATTTTAAAGCTTTTTTTCATAAAGATCATAAGACTTTCTTTTTTTTTACTTTATTTATTTATTTATTATACTTTAAGCTCTAGGGTACATGTGCACAACGTGCAGGTTTGTTACATATGTATACATGTGCCATGTTGATGTGCTGCACCCATTAACTCGTCATTTACATTAGGTATGTCTCCTAACGCATCCCTCCCCCCTCCTCCCACCCCACTACAGGCCCTTGTGTGTGATGTTCCTGTGGCGCAATCGGTTAGCATGTTTGGCTGTTTTCTTTCTTTTTTTAAGAGAAGGGTCTCACTCTGTCACCCAGGCTGGAATGCAGTGGCACTCACAGTAACCTCAAACTCGTGGGCTCAAGCAATCCTCTTGCCTCAGCCTTCTGAGTAGCTGGGACAACAGGCATGTACCATCACATCTGGCTAATTTTTAAATTTTTTGTAGAGATGGGTCTCACTATGTTGCTCAGGCTAGTCCTGAACTCCAGGCCTCGAGCCATCCTCTTGCCTCAGCCTCCCAAAGTGCTGAGATTACAGGTGTGAGCCACCACGCCCAGCAGAGCACAAGCATTTTAAAAATGTAATATGTACATTTTAAATACTTCTGTACATATTTACAAAAAACCAAGAGTGGGTGAAGAATCACATTTCATACACCTTTGATCCCAGTGCCTAGCAAAATGCCCGTTTGATGAACAAATGGGTAAAATAATGAATGAATAAACTTGAATACAAGTTACAAAAGCAATTGGGACTGTTTTGTCTCAAGTAAGCCACCTTCTTCCCTGTCTTGCATCATCCACCTAGCTGCAAAGTGAACGCATGAAGCTTAGACTAAAAAGCATATGAGTGTTTGGGTGATAATGATGTGTCAATGGAGGTTCATCAGTTGTAGCAAATGTACCATTCTGGTGGGGGATGTCGATAATAGGGGAGACTATGCATGTGTCCAGGCATGGCTATATGGGAAATCCCTGTACTTTCTGCTCAATTTTGCTGTGAACCTACAGCCAACCTAAAACATAGTTTATTAATAAAAAGGACGAATTCAAAGATGTGTAGTCAAAAAATTATGCATTCTAAAAAGTATTCATTGATGACTCACAACAAAATTAATGGGATTTTTAAAACTCTCTTCCTCAGAACAGGAATGCTGAGGCTAAACAACCTTGCAAAAATGAGATCAATGAAAATTTGCTATAGCAAAGTTGATTCATTTGTTTTCCTCTATTTTCAAAACCACCAGTTAAAATGCAGGCAGTTCCCAGCTTATAAATAGATTATCTCCCAAAAGTTAATTTAATAAGCTGGTTTCTTGGAATTCACCACACATTTTCCAATGGAGCAGTGCAGTAAGTGGGAATTACATTTTAAGGCTAGCCCACAAATATATTTAAATATATAAGGTTGGTAGAACAGGGCCACAGAATGCAGCTATGCAGTTTGTGAACTGCACAAACATCCCCAGCAATGGGGTGAGGAGACAGAAACCTAACAGCAGTGCTTGCAGTCACGACCAGCAGAAGAGACACTTAAAAAAGTCATCTGTGAGGAGAGTACCTTTTGGAATTTCTCCTCTTAGAGGGGATTGCCTTTTGCAGTTCACATAAAGATACCTCTGGTTTGTGTTAGAGACCGCTGGAACAACAGTAAGTTGTAAGCACTGTTTAGATGAGAATTTGAATTCTGAGTTTTCATTAAGGAAATGAGACTTGCATTTCCCCAGGATTCACTTCCAGAACAAAGACTCTGGGTCCCTTTTCCTACATTTCTTGAGCACTGGGAATAGCACCTTTTCTGGCTCCTCTAGAACAGGAGGAGTGGCAGACTGGGGAAGCTGAAGTTTTAGTGGTCAGAGTCTCTGTGAGGTCTTAGGCTTCCTGAAAGCAAGGACTGCTGTGGGGGAAGTAGCTATAAGTACAGTGGCTCTTAAAGGAACTCTGATCTTTGGATGTGGGGTGGTATAAAGGGTGAGAGTGTGTGTGTGTGTGTGTGTGTGTGTGTGTGCACATGCATACACAGCTTGTGTGTTAGAATGTCTCTGGGAAAGTTGAAACCAGGAGAACTTCTGCACTGGCAGAGTAAAAACTGCTGGTGTATGGTGGGGTCCCCTGGACCTGCATCTGGTGGAGCAGGATGGCTATGATTTCCTTACTTACCACTATTGGAAGGAAGGTAGTCTTGGAGTTTCTCAGTGGACTATGGCAAGGACTCAGCTTGGGGAGAGTGAGAAGGTGAAGGTGTTGGTGGTTCATTTGTCTGTGTCACATGTAAGTTTGGTGTTCTGAAGCCAGTGAATTTATGCGGTTGAACAATAGATTCATATCATCACAGAGCTGAGTTTAAAAATGCTATGAATCAATGTGCTCTGTTTTCATTTGCTTTTTCTAAGTATTTTGGTATTGAGAAAACCCCTCCCCCCAAAAAACATCAAGTCCTCAATTTTACATTACAGTGAAGTTCTCTAGACTTAAGACCAAGTTACATTAATTAGAACTTATTTCAATAATTTTAAAAAATTTATGAAAACAAGACACTTAGTGCCCACTTGGATGTGCCATATAGTAACAGTATTAATCAGTTGAATAATCCACATTAATCAGTCCTGCGTTGAAGTAAAATTATTAATCAGCTTGATGATCTAAGCAATCTTCTGAGGAAATGAGTTTGTCTTAGAATTTAAAAAGTGATCATGGAAAAGTTAGAAAGAGTGAGAAAGGAAACGAAGAAGGATACTCATTTCAGTTTATTTCAGTTATTTTGACACCAGATCTTCTGCTGATACAGAGTGACTCTGAGCTTTGATATCCAGTTCTGAACAAGTAATTTCCTCTTTTAATTGTGTCCTTTTCTGCCCAGAGAGAAAGTTTTGTGGCAAAGTGTCAGTGGCTGGGAAGAGCTACCTCTTGAGTTGTCTCTTTAACCCTGAGGGAATGAAGTTATTTTGGTATAGCATGTAAGCTGAGGCCATATGTGACATTGAGTAGACGTAAATTGAGGCATGATACCATTTAATTTGGCTTTTTAAGCTAACAAAAGGACAAGGAAAAAAAAGTCAAACCAGTATTGACCACTGTGAAGAAAAGATGATTGGTTTGATATAAACGTTCAGAGTTCCACAAATAATGTGGAAACTTAACCATAAGGGAAAATTGAGGTTATCTAATCAGATGAAGCATTCCAAAATCTACAGGTGATCTCCTCAAAATCACTGCAAACTCTGTTGAGAAAGGCAGACTTGGGAATAGAAGTTGGGAGTCAGGGAGTGTTACAAAAGAAACATTTTCAGAAATTCTTTTATACCAAGGGATGATTATACCAACAGCTGATTTGGGGTTCTTTTGTTGAAGAAACCCAAAATCTAGTGAGAACGTATTGTAACACGATGGCATTGCGTATTTGAAGTGGAGTCTCATCAGATTATGTCCCCTTTTAGTTGTAGCCTGCTTTGACATTCCCCAACCCCTCTAAGGGGGCTGTGATGGCTTTGCACCAATTTTTCAGTTTGTCCTCTCCCACTCTCTCCATTTTGGTATGTCCTTTGTATTCACAGTATAGAACAAGAATCACCCACTACATTCGATAGCTAAACAATGAGAAAAACCAAGCAAAACAAAATATGTTCAAAAACAGGCCTTATTTGTTTCCCAATTTTAGCATTCATCACTGCAAAATTTAAATCTTATACATCTAAATAATTGAATTCTCCCCAGTAAGAAAGGAATTACAAATTAAACTCATTGTGCAAGAAAAAATAATATATTCCTAGATCAAGCAAAACAAGCAAAAAAAATATATAGGATGTAGCAAATATATATGCCATGAAAGTTGGGAGTTTTTTAGGTGAGAGTTGGTATTTGGAAGTCAACACCATGATCTTTGAACTTTTTGATTACGTCTCTTGAAGGCTGAAAATTTGTAGGGTAAAATTTTTAGTTTCACCCTAAAATTTCCTCTTGTGTGGCTTGGCAAATGTGAAAGTTTGAGAACCTCAGAAAAATCATGTTGAAAGAACCTGCTCAGAAGAGATCGGGGATGTGGATTTGGTTGATGACACAGGCTATTGAGTCCTTACAGAGAATAGTTTGTCTTCCATTTTTAGATGGCTTTAATTCCTCCAAATTGCTCCTTGAATAATAGGAAAAAGGCAATTTGAATTTCAGTGACAGATTGGACATAACAGGTTGCAACTATTAGGTCTAATTTTACCATACTGAGAAATAAAATTGCCTAAACATAAACATCGATCACTGATGCAGTAAATTAATTTGTACAGAAAAAGTAGTTTAACTGCAGTGTACATTAAACATTGAAAATTTTCAAAATTACTGCTCTCTGAATTAATTTGTACACTTGTTTACTTGTTAAAAGCACGCATACATTCTTTTTTCTAAGGCAGCGTGGGTTTGAATAGAATAAGAAAAAAGTATAAAAAGTGAGAAGGAAAAACAGAGATGTGGAAGGCACACAGATTGGCCTGAATACTTACAAATAATGGTTTTTCTTTCAATTTTGTTTTTAAGTGCTCTTTAGAATGTGCATTGTTTTTGAATCTGTCCATAGGATACTAAAGATGTGCACATTTTCCCCCTCATTATAACAAAGATAAATGTGATGTTTTAATAGCCTTGACTTACGTTTTGTTAAGAATTGAAGGTAGGAGTAATTAGAAGAGTTTTATGGTTTGGTTTCTTGGTGAGTTTACATTCAAAGGTGTCCTAAGGCTTGGAACTGTTACATTTGTATTCATCAACAACCTGACCCATGCATTTCTTTATACTTAACCATTTAAAAAAAATCAGCGAGCATGTTTGCATTGTTCCCTGTAATTCTATTATGAGGAATGCATGGCAAAGTTTGGATAGTATCTTTCTAGATTGTTCGAGCCACCATGGAACTGGAGCTGGCAATGCGTTGTGGTTTGATAATATCTCCTGCCTACAGTTTTCAAGGACAGTGGTTCGATTCAAATACAATTCTGATAAGTGGCAGGTTTTCGTGTCTTTAATGCCTTGACAAGGGCATCACTCTCAGGAGAGGGAGGTGAAACCGTTTGGACGAGGATTCCATTCCTGCTCCTTTGTTGCTGACACACTAAGATAATGGACAATTAAGAGAGCCTTCACTGCAGGTGAAAGTATGGGGTTATCACTAATATAAAGGAGCCCATGGGGTGCTGGGGTATGAAGGAGAAGAGGAATGGGAATTTTTAAAGGGAGTATAAAACACACAGATGAGACGCCTAATAACTGTTTACATATTGCACTTTTACCTGTGATAATGGTGAATGATTGGAGTGTTCAGTATTGCTTGCTCTAACTTTTTTTTTTTTTTTTTTTTTTAATATCTGGTTCATTGCATATGACACAAAGTAGTGCAGAAAACTCGCCCCAGTGCTGGCCTGCCTGTCGAGGGGTAAGGGAACCTGGATAAGAAAGAGATTTGTTTTGTGGAATCTGTCTTTTAGACCAGCTTCCATGGGGTTTTTAATCTAGGGTAGTGGTTGTGAACCCAGCCTGTACCCTCTATGGGTCTTAACTCTCAGAGAGTCTGATTTAATTGGCCTGAGGATGGATCCAGTATGTAATTTTAAAGGCTCTTTGGACGATTCCAATGTGTACTCAGAATCAAGGGCTATCATTGCTGAGTTTGTAACAGAAGATCAAGCTCTTCAACACTCAGGCTCTCTAGCAGATTGTGTGATGATTTAATAGGTTTGAATAATAGTGTCTGTGTTGCTGTTACAGAAGATGCGTGCTGCGTATGCTTCTGACAGCCCTCTCGTGTTTATGTCAGTGTCGTGGGCAAGCATTCAGGCATATCTGGGGAGAAGTTCCTTGTCTCTTGACTACTGTTCCCCACTTTCCCTTACTCTCCTTTAGTTTCTGGGTTTTGTTGTTGTTTTTGTTGTTGTTGTTTTTCCTTATAGATGTTTGAAGCTACCACTTCCTGTGAGATCATGGATAAGTCACCTAAGAGTGGGGAGGAGTCTGATAAAGGCAGAAGTGCCTCATGTGACGTCAGTGTCCAACAGTGACCAGCAACTTTGTCCCTAGTCTTCTTACTCTGATGGGGGAGATGGGATGTTCTGTATGCATGGAAATTTGAGGGGCACTTCTGATGCCACTTAGGACTAATAAAGGTGAGGCAGTCCAGAGTATTTCAAAACGGAGTGCAGAAGAGGTTAACTGATTTTCTTTTGACTTACACTATCATTTGTCTTTAACAGCCCTGAACGACAATAGAGTGCACTGCTTCTGATAAGTATGGGTTCTCCTCAGCCTGAAGAGATGTGTGTGATAAGATAAGATGGCTTGAAAAAAAAGAGAGCTTGAGGGAAAGGGACAGGAGGAGAGGGAGAGAGAAAATATGTTAACTGCTTTGACTGCAAAATACCCCCTGGTAGCCAGAGATAAGACACCTTGAGCTACTTGGAAGACCTTAAACAGGATGTAAATGAAGCCAATAAAAATCACTTGAGATCAAGCCCTCCTTCTCCTCCCCCCTCCTATTTCCAGCTCTGACAACAGAAGGCTTCATTTACTGTATGGCATACCACACTTACATTCTGAACCCCGGAAGTTGCAAGAGACTGTAGCCTGTTCAAAGAACAAAGAATTTCTAGAGAGGTCCAAACTTGAGGCATTTAATCAGCAATTCTAGCATCGCCTCCCTGAGTGGAAAAAGAAAGTATTGCTGAATATAGGAAGCTCCCTTCCTCTTTTCTCACTTCTTACTCCAGATATTCATTTGCTTTGTAGTTTTGTGACAACCTTCTTTCTATGTTGAAATGGTTGGCAGGATGAGCTACCTTTGATAGTGTATTAATATTTCCCATCTAGCTAACGCAGCTTGAAAGTAATCATCAACAAAAGTTTAGCAGACAGACTTTTTCATGTACACACTTGAAACACGGCTGTCTACTCAGAACTATGTTTCCTAAGCATGTAATACCAGGCTTTATGTACTTGGAACTGTATAACTCTTTAAAATGGTCACTCTTTTTCTGGAAATGTACAAGCTGCTGCCAACGCTCTTACAGAGAGGAAGTTACTTGCAGGAGCTAATTGAGTATTTCACTGAAAAGATTTGAAATATGGAGTCCTACTCAAAGTGGGAGGGGGGCTGTTAAAGGATAGGAGGGCAAAGAATATAGTGATCTAATTTTCTTTCTGTAAAAGCTGCTTCTTGGAAGAACTGGGATTCAATTTGGTCTTTGAATAAGGGCGAGAAAGCCCTCCATCAATGATGTTCCATTACAGAGGAGCAAACACGGGAAAGGCACAGCTGAGTGCAGCAAACTTCAAGCAAGGACTTAGGTGATTCAGGGGAAAGAAAAGATTCTAAGGTGATTCTCAAGCTTGGGAATGCAGGTGAAGACTCAGGAAACTTGCTAAAAAAGGGAGATTTCTGGGCCCCATCCTCAGAAGTTCAGTCAGGAGGCGTGGGGTGGAGTCCAGGTGTCTGCATTTTAAACAGGCAGTTCAAGCAGTTGGTCTGCTAGTGATTGGTGGATTAGACTAAGAAATGCTGCCCTGTGTCATCTGGCTGTGGTAGAGGGTCAGCCTTTGGTTTTGTTGTGTACAGCCAGGATAGCTGGAATGATAATTGAAGAAGGGTAGCTTAAGGGATAGGTGAGAAGGATCCTTCATTTGAATCAGTGGCAGGGAATATGTCCCTACAGGCAAGGGTGTGAGAGGAAAGTAAAGCTGGCCACAGTGCCAGTTTGACTGTGTCTTTTTTTCTGCTTTGCTTTGTCAATACCTGATCCGACCATACCACCCTGCTCAAAGCAGAGGATGGAAGAACAGGAGAGAGGCAAACAGACCCACTGTTAAGGAGATGTGTATATATAGGATTTTTCTGGTCAATAGCCAGCAGTGAAATCAAATTAAGAAATTGGCTGTCATGACTTGTTAACAGAGAGTTATAGGTTTGTAGAGTTGTTAGGCAATTTTTGTCTTCTTCTGTATATGTGTGAATACATACATCAGTTAGCATGAATTGGTTTAGTAATATGAAAAACAATGAATTTTTTTTAAAAGAGAAACACTATTAAACACCACTTTAGGTTTATTCATTTACCCATAAAAACTCAGCATTTGAGTTATTGTTGTTGTTGTTTTAGTGGAGGAGAGTTTGGGAAGGATGGACTTTGAGGGTTTTCTAATACGTAGAGCCAAGGTGCTTGCCTCGGCACTGGAGATTTGGATGTGGGTTTCAGTGCCACTGTCAACTACTATTGTTAGTACAAGATTATAACATGTTACTCATCCTCGTTGACCTATTTGTTCATCTGTAAAATTAGCACTTTTTTTCCCCTAAAGGCCCACATTTCTCACAGGTCTTAAATCTTATGTTTCATATATATACATGAAAAGTTAGGAATGACAGCCTTGACTTTCTTTTCTCTGTGTAGGCTTCAATCACATTCACTCATTTTCTTTCCTTTGAGCCCTAAAGTCAGACCCAGAGGTATGCACAATCCATGCCAAACAACAGGCCATCTTAAGAGAAAAGAGCAGAGCTCAGATGTGGGAGGAAGCTTTGTAAAGATTTCAGAGAACAGCCCTTTGGTACAGACAGTATTGAGTCAGTGAAGATTCTAAAACTGTGCTGGTAGGTTTTATATCTTTGAATATTAGCAATGTGTCTCATTACTGTGGCCACACTACCTTGGATTCTTTTCTTATACATTATTTTGTTATTTTTAAAGTATCTTGGATGGAGGCAAAGTAAGATGCTAGTATGTGGAGGTATCATGGGGTTTTTGAGGCCTGATTTTGTCACAGGTGTTGGAATATTTGCCAAGATGTATCATCTCAGATAATATGTGTTATTTATATATAGACACATATATATAATTTAATAAAAATATGATTATAGATATTAATCAGTAGAAAGTAGCGTCATAAAGTCTTCCCTTAGAGACATATTTCATTAAGACATGATTGTACAGATATTTAGTCCTATTAAGTGTCAAATTACTACGATTAGCACTTTTGTAATGAGAGTTACCTAAAATATTTGAAAAACTACTTTGGCATAAATCACTTAGTCTATTCTGAACATTTAGTCAACTGTGGATAAAAGCATGCAAGCGTACACATACCGTGTGCCACAATTTTAACTGTACTGGTTCCCATAAATAAATTACCAGGGCTGTTACCAAGAAAAAAATAATGAAATGAACTGGCTTGGATGTTATCATCATATTCATTCTAAGGTAGAGATTCTAGGGAAGAGAAAAATCAAACCAAAAGTGAAAAATAAAACATAAAGGGCAAAGAGGGTAACTGGAAAGTCCTCAAATTGATAATTCGCCTTATTTTCAGAATGCCTCTTTTATATTTTGCTGAATTAGCAAAATTATAAATTTAAAAACTCTATAAATACATGTACTTAATATCATAAGACCTGTGTAGAGATACTTTGTCATACCCTAACTAAAGATGATTTTAAGAAAATAGCTTTGGCTTTCCAGTTTATATAGTACTTTTATAAACATTATCTCATTTGAGATAAAGGATTGTCTTATATCATTTGGGTTACTTGGAATCCAATCTCATTTTTCCATTTCAGTTTTACCATGTAAGTGTTAATGTGAAAGGTAATAATTCTGTTGAAACACTATAAAAATTCTATTGTATAAGGCATATTAGTGATTGGCCCTACTGTAGAGTCTTTCTTATGCATGAAGTCTCAAGATAGTCCAACATCCCTGAAATGCCTTTTTAATTTTTTTTTTTTTTTTGAGATGGAGTCTCACTGTGTCACCCAGGCTGGACTGCAGTGGCGTGATCTCGGCTCACTGCAACCTCTGCCTCCCGGGTTCAGGCAATTCTCCTGCCTCAGCCTCTTGAGTAGCTGGTACTACAGACGCATGCCACCACGCCCGGCTAATTTTTTGTATTTTAGTAGAGACGGGGTTTCACCATGTTATCCAGGCTGATCTCGAACTCCTGGGCTCAGGCAGTCTGCCCGCCTCAGCCTCCCAAAGTGCTGGGATTACAGGCGTGAGCCACCGCGCCCAGCCCCTCATCTCTGAATTCCTTAATACCACTGTAGCATATAATTTCCTCATTAAATGCATAAAACTGAGGAGCAGACAACAGATACTACTTTGAGTTGCAGCTGCTGGGTGGTTGGCTGGGTGTACTCACTAGCGATCTCAGTGGCTTTTTCACCCTATGAAAACAGCCTGACAACCTGTGTGAGTCAGTCTGTGCTTTAACAAAATTCAAAATGATTATTTGCCACAGACCTTAACAATTCCTATCATTTGTTAGACACATGTATGTCCAAATCAAGAACTGGTACTGAGGTCAGTTGTAATACAAAGGCATATGGATAATTGTAGTAATAGTTCCCCCCTAATCTTTGTAACAGCTTTTTCTACATTAGCAAACCATATTTATCACTTTACTGCACAATGAACCCACAGGGGGTGCTAATTGTTCATTAATTAAATTTTAGCCTTTCAGCACTTTTGTATTCTCTAGTGGCCTTGTCTGCAGTGAAGTATACAGTGTGGCCTTTTCAGGCTGCCGAAAATTCATGTTGGCGTTACTACTGCCATGGTTATAATACAGGTGAAATTCGGCTCCAATAAATACCATTTCAGGACTGTTATAATTCCTGGTGACTGAAAGTTTTCCGGCCTTGGACCAAAGCCTACATGTTGGAAAAATAGTCAGTAAAGTCTAGTTTAACAAGACAAAACATTCTGTTAGACCAGATGCTGCTTTGAAATAGAATTTGATTTCGTTTTTTGAAAATTCTGGTGGTTTATGGCAGTTCTTCCAAAACCATTAACGTGGTGAAATGAAGTTTCTAAGATCCGTCATTCCCTAACGAAGCCATTTCCGAACTTAGTTTTCTCAGTGGAAGAATCCCCTTTACCTTCTGCTTCCCCAGTGAAGAAGTTAATTTAAAATCACTAATGATTAACTTGGTAGCATTGAGAAATTTACTGAGTATTTTTAAAAAGTGTAGGTCATCCTTCAAAGCTCAGTACGTATATTTCACACTGGTGCAAAGGATTTTGAAGTGAAATAGAATTGGCCTCAAGGACTTTCTAACTAAGCCAAATAGTCACTTATAGAGTGGTGCTGGCACTATGGAATGTGGCTCCTGGACTTTGAATGCAGGCCCTTTCGTTGTGTGGACTTTACAACACTCATGAATTAATCACAACTGGCCAGTGTGTGTAGCTATTAACCAATGAACTGCTACACATTGATTTTCAAGATATCTGTGAGTAGCATTCAGAAGAGTTTTTTTGGAATATTTTTGTTTGTTTATTTTTATTTATTAAGACTGTTATTTAACAAGAATAATAATATTGTTAATAAATTAATCCATATTAATTTTATAATGATAATATTGTCTATCAAATTGTTATTTAAATAATATTGTTAAATAGTAGTTCTTTATTTTTGTTTATTTTTATTTATAAACAGAAATGCCCTTTAAGTCATTAAAAATTTTTAGAATCTCAATATGAAAACTGCAACAACTAAATTATCGTTAATTTTGATTCCTTTCTGCTGTTCTCACATTTATGAGTTATCATTTACCACTTATCACTTATAGGTAACTTTGGCTTTCATAGCAGTAGTAATAATGTAATACATTTTTAGATTTTAGCAGTACAGAAAACTCCTTCATATAAGGTCATGTTTGAGTCTTATAATACCTCATATGTTGAGGCAGGCCGAAATTTTTCTGATATTATAGACAAGGAAATCAAAACTTCAAAAAAAAAGTAGTTTCTAAAGTTCACAAGCCAATATTAGACCTGAACACATAGTAGGTGCTTAATAAAAGTTGATTAAATCAATGGATTAAAGCAATGAAAAACTGCTTTAAATTCTTTGTGGTATGAGGTCATATATAAACACAAGAGCACATAGTAACTAATAAATGCCTTCTAACTCAAAATAGTAGAGAATAAAAAGAATACAGACTCAGGAAATCCACTCTGGTGACGTCTGTCATTATTCAAGAAAAGATCAACATGTTAAACGGTTTAGAACACCCTCAGTCACGGCACTGTAAACAGATGTGTAATACACAGTTGCCAATTATTGAACGCCAAGAGGTGGGTGCTTATCATTAGTTATATATATTTTTAAGTGAGCCAAAAGATAGAAAAAGAAAAGCAATTCTCACCCCCCACATAATTGGAAACCACTTTTCCTTCTGTCTGGCTTCAGAAACACAATGTCTTGATTTCCGTGCGAGAGAGGATGACTGTTCTTTAACTGGTTTCACGTCAGCTTTTTCCTCTGATTTGAGAGGTGGAGTTAAGTGTGAACTGCTTAAGAATGCACTGTTTTCTATTTAATTTGGCTGCGGAAGATGGAATTCATTGAGCTCCGTCTGTTCAAATGAACTTTAAGCAACAGCAAGCAAAACATTTATACTTCTCCCTGCACATGCAATCGAAATGTGTCTGGTGAAAGAATGGATGAAAAGCCCAGGATTACCTAAGGAGAGCCATGGAGATGTGATAACAACTCCTTATCTCTTTGTTGGCTCATCTGAAGTGTTAAAGTGTTGTTGGGGGAAAGCGAGCCTCTTTTTTACTAGGGAGTATTGAAGGCAAAAAAAAAAAAAAAAAAACCTCTGAGCTTGAGCTCTGATATCTGGAATTCATCTTAAGACTGTTAAAAAATGTGCACCACCAACTCCCGCTCTTCACAGCTGCTGTTATTAATGGGTGACCACCCTTCTTCCTCATAACCTAACTGTTAATTCATTTAATTGGTCCTTCTAGAACAGTTCAAAATATTACAGAATTTAAAAGCATCTGTGAATTATAAATAATTTTAAAGTTCACATTTCTCATTTGAACACCCAGTAAAGGGTATTCGTTTTCAAGTAGTTAAATAAGTTATATGACAAAGGAGTGAATTTAATGTGGAGCTGTTGATTTTTTTTTTTTAAAAAGAAGCATGATAGCTATTAAAGTTACAGCTTTTCTAAAACTGTTGACATTTCTATGGAGAATGAAGGGAAGCAATTGTGTAATAATGTATAATAGTTTTTTTTTAGCATGACCTTATCTTTTAGCAATTTAAATCATTGCTTTAAAAATGTATTTTGTAATTTGGTTAGAAGATTTTAAATATGATGGTGTAAAATTGTTACTGTGTTGGCATTGAAGTAACATGTCAAGTACCCTTGTTACCTGTGTCTATTAAACATGCATTTCAAAATATTGTCCTCTTTAAGTAGAGCCCGACTTCTCTTAGTGTTTGTGCACACCTGTGTATCTCCCCCAGGAGTTTCAGCTTATGTTAAAGTGTCTCAGGTAGCTAATGACTGAAAAAGTACTGTGAATTCTATTTAGTAAGAAATTTCAGAACTGCTCCTATAGCCTGCTGGCAGAAGTAAACAATTATGTAAGGCAAGTGGGGGGAAACCTGAAATTTTGTTGGTCTCAAGTCTTACCCTATTGTTTGAGCCTCAAAAAAAAATTTACTGAATCAACTTACCATGTTGCTAAATAATGCAATGATTGTATTGCTCGTGTTTTAAGGAGAAGAGAGGTATAAACCGCATTCTTGGCCTCAGAATTCCATAGAAAAACACTTGTGCCAAGGTTACCTGCCTGTAAAGACCCAAGATTATATCCCATGTTTGATAATTTAATGTTTGGAACATAGTAAGCACAGATTTATGGTCTATTAACATTTAGGTATCACCAGCTATTTATCTTTTATTTTCTTGCTAGCTGCGTATACAACTGTGAAAGCTTAAGGCACTGTAGATTGCCATTGGGTCAGTCCTTAAAATTAATATTCCTGAGATTGCATTAAAGGAAAGAAAATATTAAAATATGTTTATGCTATATTCATAGAAGCTTACACATGGAAACAGAAATACATGCAACACATATAAATCTTTTTGTTTACATATGCAGCTTTTCTTCCAGCCATGATAAGGTGCCCTAGAAACATTCACTAGTCTTTGTAACACCCCAGAGGGTAAGTAGCAAGAATTCTTATCTTCATATTGCAGGTGAAATACCTAGGTAGGGGCAGATTAAATGACTTAGCCAGGTCACTCTCTAAGTCAGTTATGAAGCTAGAAATAAAACTCCAGGATCTTGACTTTTGGTTCCTACACAAGTATCAGACCCATCAGTATTTGTGCTTCTTCTCCTCACTTGAAAAGTAACCATTGATGTAAATCCTGTCCCTGTTAAGGAAATCTTGCTGTGTGGCACTAGCACACATGATACTGAGTCCCCGATGGGCAGTTAAGAGGGTACTCTGCTGTTGCAGTGAACAAGCTCAGGTAGCAAAAGGATATTGTTAAGCCAGTTTCTTGCAGACCAGGCCCTATGAAGAACATTATCAGAAGTTTCCATAACTTCAGAGAAAGTATTTTCATCTACTTTCTTACATTAGTTTCTCTTGAATAATTTCAGATTGCCCCTAGTGTTGGAATCAATCTTCTGAAAGGCTTGGTCCCTGTCCTCAGGAAGTGTATGTCCTACACAAATTAAGACCCGCTTAATCATAAACAAAGTAAGCATTAACATTAGTCTAGCCCTTCTGCACATATTCTCTTCCTCTCTCTTTGATCTTATTTTCTAATTTCTGGCTAATTTGATTAGTCTTGAACACCAGCGAGTGGCCAGAACCCTCAGCATTTCTCTTCCACAATGGCAGGCTGTAAACAGACTCTCAGACCCTCATTTGCGTGCTTGTCTGTCCATCAGCAGGAGCTAGGATCAAATCACGTCCAGTCTCTGCTTCCTCCTCCCCAGGTTGGCACACGAGGGGCTGATGGCTCACGTCACAAAGGTACTCTGTGTTCTGTTGCCTTTTTTCTGTGGAATAACTCCTTCTGGTATGACTTCACTTTTCTGTTAGTGAGCACTTTCCCCCATAAATATGCCTGAACAGGTGTTACTCTGCTGCTAACTGAGTTTCCAGCTGTCCTCCTCCAACACAGACCCAGCAAAATCTGTTGTTTCGTCCTTTTAGGCAGACTAGAGAAGCGCCTAGCCTGAGATGGAGGTCTTCCTTGCAGGATATGGCCGTTCTGCTGCCAGAAGATGGTCCGGAAAGCCTGGCTGGCTAACAAAGACAGGCCTTCAGCGGCTGGGTGTAGTTCCAGTTCTGCATCCCCTTTGGCAGAAACACAGAGGCTGCTGCAGTGTGGCCAGCCAGCGAAATTAGGAAATAAGGACCTCTTTTATTTACTCAGGCTGCTGAATCATGGGCATTCCTGTCTGCTTGGAGAAAAGTCAGGCGGCTCTACTTTCCACTGAAAGTCTCAGGAGTGTTGGAGACTTTCATCTCGGAGTGTTCACACACTTGTTTTAATGTGCTTTATGGAAATGGTGAAACTCAGCAAGTACAGTTGCTGTAGAAAAACATCTGCACTAACCATGCACACACATTTGCATCTTTAAATAGACTTTTTAGGCCACAGAGCTGGTTTCTAGCAAAGCTTTTTCGGCAGTAAGAGCTACAGCTCTCGGAGAGTCAGCTCAAGTGAAGAGACTGGTTTCAAAAATTAAAATTTAACATGGACATGTTAAGTACTTCACATTGAAATGCAGAAAACTTGCCATCACCCAGAAAGACAGTCCCTGTAAGTAGCACTTAGTGCCAAAGGGAAAAAAAGTTAAAGTTGATTCAGGAACCTGAGTTGAAAGAATCTTCTACAGTTTCTTCCACGTGTAAAAAGAAATTGACATCGTTTAAACCTATATTCACCATTTAAGCTTAGTTTGCACTGTGGCTGCCAAAAAGCCTAAGTTAATGGGGATGGATAACTCTCAAAGTCTTAGGTAGACCTCAGAGTATGTTGGCGGGGAGACCATCACCACAAAAGTCTTGGAGGAGTCTGATACCTGAAGAGTGTGGACCAACCCGCTTGGAGTAGTGAGTCCCTGTGTGTTCTTTGGAGAACACAATCCATTTACAGTACTGGCAAATGAGAGTTTTTACATTTTATATTTTAAAACAGAAATCAGCCTTTCAGGGATGCTTTATTTATTTTTCTATAAGTATTATTCCTTGCTCAAACTATTTACTTCTGCTCAATCCCCACGCCTTATGACTTCTAGAGGGGGTGTTGTGTAATTTCCTTTACAAAGACAAGTAATGGGGACTGGAGAGAAGAAAGAAAAGGTTTCTGCTCTCTTGAATCCTGGTTAAAACCTTGATCCTAACCTTCAGCTCACTTGACGTGTCACTGAAATTTACAAGCTTAAGAGAACAGTTATATAATAGATATAGTCAGGCATGGACCACAGACAAGAACCTGAATTAAGCCTGGTGTTAGGGATTGCATAATTTTTATAATGGTCCATTGCTCTATAATTCTTTATGTATTTGTAAAAAATATATCATACCTGGACACAATCTGCAATTTAATTATAAATTCACTTGCTCAATTTTCAAGCTCAATAGTTACATCCTTCTAGGCTGGATGCATTACAAATTCTGATTCACTGTTTTCCCCAAATGTATAAATGAGAAGATGTGTTTGAAAATATTTTTTAAATGAAATAGCAGGATTTAAGCCTAAAAGATAAATGTGAAATGTGGTAGATTTTACCTAGAATGTTGAGTACATTTAATAGATGGCCTTTTTTTTCAATTAGGGTAAATATTTGAAACCTTGATTTGTTTCAGGTATATTAGCTTTAGGTGACAACACTTTTTTAAGGGGAAAACTAGATCATTATTGAGTTTTTTTGCTTTTAGTTAAATTTTTTTTTTTGTATGTTGAGTGGTGAGTTGAGTTTATCTGCATATGTTCCTGGTGTATTCACTTTAAGTATAAATCACATCCACATCCATCAGACCCTTTCTTATGCTGGAAACATGTTGGGTTATAGAGTCCTATAAATGAGGATGCAAAATCATGCGGTTTTCAACTTGTATGGCGAAGCTTTGTTGCAGTGGGCAAGGATCCAGGAATGGTGTTTGGTTGTTTTCTCAGAGTGAGAGGGTTGCCATCTGGCATTGATAGTGAGATGGTGTTGTCATCAGTTTCTAGATGCAGGAAAGGAATGATCCTCATCTGTTTCCTGTGGATAAGGAAGAGGCTGACAATCTAGTAAAATCTTGTTACCTTAAAGAAAGCAGACATGGAATTCGTTTACATAATGCTCACCAGTTTCTACTTTTATATTAATCATTTAGCTTGCTAGTGAACTTCAGCTTTGAAGAATTTAAAAACTTATTTGAACATACTCTAATTGAATACCATTAGAATATTCTAATAATGCTCTAACTGAGCCTCTTATTCTAACTGAAACACTATCCCCACCAGCTCCACTCCATGGTCTTTACTTGTGTGTTTTTTTGAAAAATCGTGCTCCTTTGGAGAGTGGAAAGCTTTTAAAGTTTCTTCTGATCTTGAATAATAGGTTATGAAAAGCAAAAAAGAGGTTTCACAACCTGCTTTGAGATGGTCTTATTTTCCACTTGGATATCAAGAAAGCAACAGAAATAACAGTGCACGTTTGCTAAGAACATAGTTTTTAAAATCACCTAATATAAGGTAACATTCCTTTATGGATAACTTGCTAAGTTTATATCTGGCTCTCAGTCTTGTTTGTCTTCTTTTTGTCACTCATAAATCTTTCAGCATTTACCATAATCATTTATCACTTTTCCTGTTTCCAGTTTTTCACAAGTTGCTTTGTCTCTGCTCACCTCAAAGTGCAGGTCCTGTTTAGCTAAGGAAGTTCAGGCTGCTGAAGCTTTTGCAAAAGGAAGATATGGTGGGCCACCTCTTGAACTTTCCAAACAAAATACACTATTAAAATCTGGCCCTTGTGAAACTCTCATTTTTTCTTGATCCTAGCTGATCCTAGCTACATGTAATATCTAGCAGTACCCTTCTAACATTTAATAATCCATTTTCTGGCCTATGGAATTCGAATTTCAGTTATTGAAGAAATCCTGGTTATCTTTCATTACACAAGACATAATTATTATTGTGTTTTCTGTCTTCTTTCATGTGCTTACTTTTTAATATTTTTTTGCTGAAAGCAATAAGGTCTGTATCAATAAGAACCCCGTAACAGATTTTGGTCTGCAGAATTGCCTTTTTATATAAAAACAAGCAAAATGCAGAGGGAATTTTTTATTAAATATTAGACATCTGGGTTGACTGCATTAATTTTAAATCATTCCCGTAATATTTCCTCTTTTCATTTGGTTCTTCAGATGCTCACATAATATGCAAATCATTTTAGAAGGAATACAAAAGAAACATTAAATATATTAAAATCTGCATTTTAATAAAATTGTCAATGTGTAATATATACCTTGCTTCTAAGGAAGAATGATAAAAAGTAATAAAAGGGTAATTTAGACATAGAACTATTTAATATCCTCTTATATTTTACAACTCAACAAAAAGTAAATGCAGAATAACTGCTTTGGGCTCAGATTTGAAAATGTCTCACTCAAATATTCTCTCTTTTCATTTTGTTTTTTCTTGAAAGATTCAAGAGGGCCCAACTCTGCGTGCTGGTTGAAATGCTACGGTAAACTCACTCTTGAATCTCAACATGTCAGATGAAATTTGTCATTGCTTCTTGTTGCAGATGGAGTGGATGTTGAAGATGATCCGACTTGCTCTTGGCCAGCTTCCTCACCTTCTAGCAAGGATCAGACTTCCCCTAGCCATGGAGAAGGTTGCGATTTTGGAGAGGAAGAAGGTGGCCCTGGGCTTCCATACCCGTGTCAATTCTGTGACAAGTCGTTTAGCCGCCTCAGCTACCTAAAGCACCATGAGCAGAGTCACAGTGACAAACTGCCTTTCAAATGCACCTACTGCAGTAGGCTGTTCAAACACAAGCGCAGCCGAGATCGCCACATAAAACTCCACACCGGGGACAAGAAGTACCACTGCAGTGAATGTGATGCTGCGTTTTCCAGAAGTGATCACTTGAAGATCCACTTAAAGACTCACACGTCCAACAAGCCATATAAATGTGCCATTTGTCGCCGTGGGTTTCTGTCCTCTAGTTCCTTACACGGACACATGCAGGTTCATGAGAGGAACAAGGACGGCTCTCAGTCCGGTTCCAGGATGGAGGACTGGAAGATGAAGGACACTCAGAAGTGCAGTCAGTGTGAGGAAGGCTTTGACTTCCCGGAAGACCTCCAAAAACACATTGCAGAGTGCCACCCCGAATGCTCCCCAAATGAGGACCGAGCGGCCCTCCAGTGTGTCTACTGCCACGAGCTCTTCGTAGAGGAGACCTCCCTCATGAACCACATGGAGCAGGTGCATAGCGGGGAGAAGAAGAACTCATGCAGCATTTGTTCTGAGAGTTTCCACACAGTTGAGGAACTGTACAGCCACATGGACAGTCACCAGCAACCGGAGTCATGCAATCACAGCAACAGCCCTTCCCTGGTCACGGTGGGCTATACCTCCGTGTCCAGTACGACTCCAGATTCCAACCTCTCAGTGGACAGCTCAACCATGGTGGAAGCTGCCCCGCCAATCCCAAAGAGTCGAGGGAGGAAGAGGGCCGCTCAACAAACCCCTGACATGACTGGTCCCTCGAGTAAACAAGCAAAAGTTACCTACAGCTGTATTTACTGCAACAAACAATTATTTTCAAGTCTTGCAGTTCTGCAGATTCACCTGAAAACTATGCACTTAGATAAGCCAGAACAGGCCCATATTTGTCAGTATTGCTTGGAGGTCCTGCCCTCACTCTATAACCTAAATGAACATCTTAAGCAAGTGCATGAAGCTCAGGACCCAGGTCTGATTGTTTCTGCCATGCCTGCCATTGTCTACCAGTGTAACTTCTGTTCCGAAGTTGTCAACGACCTCAACACTCTTCAGGAACACATCCGATGTTCTCATGGATTTGCAAACCCTGCAGCTAAAGATAGTAATGCATTCTTTTGTCCCCATTGCTATATGGGGTTTCTCACTGACTCTTCCCTGGAAGAGCATATTAGACAGGTTCATTGTGACCTCAGTGGCTCCCGATTTGGGTCTCCAGTGCTTGGGACTCCCAAAGAACCAGTAGTAGAAGTCTATTCTTGTTCCTATTGTACAAATTCGCCAATATTCAACAGCGTTCTTAAACTGAACAAGCATATCAAAGAGAATCATAAAAACATTCCCTTGGCCCTGAATTATATCCACAATGGGAAGAAATCCAGGGCCTTAAGCCCCCTATCTCCTGTGGCCATAGAGCAGACATCTCTTAAGATGATGCAGGCAGTAGGAGGTGCACCTGCACGTCCCACTGGAGAATATATCTGTAATCAATGTGGTGCTAAGTACACATCCCTAGACAGCTTTCAGACTCACCTAAAAACTCATCTCGACACTGTGCTTCCAAAATTGACCTGTCCTCAGTGCAACAAGGAATTCCCCAACCAAGAATCCTTGCTGAAGCATGTTACCATTCACTTTATGATCACTTCAACGTATTACATCTGTGAGAGTTGTGACAAGCAATTCACATCAGTGGATGACCTTCAGAAACACCTGCTGGACATGCACACCTTTGTCTTCTTTCGCTGCACCCTCTGCCAGGAAGTTTTTGACTCAAAAGTCTCCATTCAGCTCCACTTGGCTGTGAAGCACAGTAACGAAAAGAAAGTCTATAGGTGCACATCTTGCAACTGGGACTTCCGCAACGAAACTGACTTGCAGCTCCATGTGAAACACAACCACCTGGAAAACCAAGGGAAAGTGCATAAGTGCATTTTCTGCGGTGAGTCCTTTGGCACCGAGGTGGAGCTGCAATGCCACATCACCACTCACAGTAAGAAGTACAACTGCAAGTTCTGTAGCAAAGCCTTCCATGCGATCATTTTGTTAGAAAAACACTTGCGAGAAAAACACTGTGTATTCGAAACCAAGACACCCAACTGTGGAACAAATGGAGCTTCCGAGCAAGTGCAGAAAGAGGAAGTGGAGCTGCAGACTTTGCTGACCAACAGCCAGGAGTCCCACAACAGTCACGATGGGAGCGAAGAAGACGTTGACACCTCTGAGCCTATGTACGGCTGCGACATTTGTGGGGCAGCCTACACTATGGAAACTTTGCTGCAGAATCACCAGCTCCGAGACCACAACATCAGACCTGGAGAAAGTGCCATCGTGAAAAAGAAAGCTGAGCTCATTAAAGGGAATTACAAGTGCAACGTGTGCTCTCGAACCTTCTTCTCCGAAAATGGCCTCCGGGAACATATGCAGACCCACCTAGGCCCTGTCAAACACTACATGTGCCCTATTTGCGGAGAGCGGTTTCCCTCCCTTTTAACTCTTACTGAACACAAAGTCACGCATAGTAAGAGTCTTGATACTGGAAACTGCCGGATTTGCAAGATGCCTCTCCAGAGTGAAGAGGAGTTTTTAGAGCATTGCCAAATGCACCCTGACTTGAGGAATTCCCTGACAGGCTTTCGCTGCGTGGTGTGCATGCAGACAGTGACCTCCACCTTGGAACTCAAAATCCATGGGACGTTCCACATGCAAAAGACAGGGAATGGGTCTGCAGTTCAGACCACAGGGCGGGGCCAGCACGTCCAAAAACTGTATAAGTGCGCATCTTGCCTCAAAGAATTCCGTTCCAAGCAAGATCTGGTGAAACTTGATATCAATGGCCTGCCATATGGTCTGTGTGCCGGCTGCGTGAATCTCAGTAAGAGCGCCAGCCCAGGCATTAACGTCCCTCCCGGCACGAATAGACCAGGCTTGGGCCAGAATGAGAATCTGAGTGCCATTGAGGGGAAAGGCAAGGTGGGGGGACTGAAGACACGCTGCTCTAGCTGCAACGTTAAGTTTGAGTCTGAAAGTGAACTCCAGAACCACATCCAAACCATCCACCGAGAGCTCGTGCCAGACAGCAACAGCACACAGTTGAAAACGCCCCAAGTATCACCAATGCCCAGAATCAGTCCCTCCCAGTCGGATGAGGTAACTCGCCTTTTTTAATGTTTGCTATTTAACCTCCTCAAGAAACGGTCCCTGCTTTATGTTTACACTCTCCACAGCTTTATTTATTGTCATGGGCCAAAAGATGCTTAGATTGAAATGCAGTGGGTTTCTTTTTCCCCCATAGCCATTAGCTAGCAATTACTTGCTTCTTGATAAGCAGCATTTTGGCTTGAATGGTGCAAAATAGGACTAATTCCAGTCTCCCTAGGATATTGTCTTCTCTATGACTGAAGAGACC
This sequence comes from Homo sapiens, assembly GCF_000001405.40. Lineage (NCBI taxonomy): Eukaryota > Metazoa > Chordata > Mammalia > Primates > Hominidae > Homo > Homo sapiens. The sequence goes on along the minus strand of NC_000018.10, from coordinate 25,224,085 downwards.
AGCGCTCATGCCAACACTACTGAGATCTGGAATCTCAGCATAGCTTCACCGTGAGTTGAAATCCCCAGCTATGACTTGTGTGTATGGCAGAGAGATAATGACTCAAAAGTAAGATGCTATGAGCCACCATGCTGGCTTAGAGTAAATTAAAAAGAATATATATATTTGGGGATAACAAATTGGGTAGGGGTGGCTTTTTAATGCCATGTTGTCAACACTCACTGTTTTTCTTTGTCTTCTGGGTAGAGAGGAAAATACTTCCTCACAACAGGATTTTTAAAAATCCCCTACATTTATTAAGCACCACATGCCCATTATTCTGTTTAAAGACACTATCCCTGAGTTTGAGGCCTACTCTCTGGGTTTCAAAATCAATGTGTGCGTTTTTTTTTTTCTCCTTAGTTTCAGAGTAGTTTTCTGCTTTCTTTGCCGTGACGAGTACAAAAAACAAGTTCATTTATAATGAAATCATTTCATAAGTCATCATTTCTTAGTAGCTGAGCAGAGGATGGCTCATTTTAATATTTCTTTATGCTTTATCACCTGGTTTCTAAAAGCTCTTTCCACTTCCCTACCTGCCCCTATCTGGAGATCCATCCAAATGAAAACCCCAGGGAGATCCTTCTCCCTTCAGTTTGGGGTTACTGCATTTTCCTTATCTTGTCTCTGCACTCACACCCTGGCGGAGGCCCCCCTGTGGCTCCCTGCAGATAGCCATCAGTCAGCTGGCAGGGGCGGGCTGAGAAGACTGAGACAGAGCCTGGCCTCACAAAATGTGGCATCTGTGTGGCAGGCAAACTCCCAAACTTTGAAGCCACTTTCCCCCTTCTCCCCTCCCCAAGTAAATCTGCACTTTTCTCTCATTTAAATACATGAAATCCTTTCAAACTGCTGAGGACAGCTGGAAGAACATAGCTTTGATTATGGCTCATAGCTCATGGGTTGGATCAAATTGTTTCTTTTGAAACAAATATTAGTAGTTAAAAGCATATGAAATGAGGGTTTTCCAAGTTTTTACTTCGGAATTTTTTAAACCTATAGAAAAGTTAAAGGACCAACACAGCGAACACGTATGTGTGCCTGTGTATGGGTATCCCCAGGTCCTCCAGATAAGAATATTTTGTAGCGTTTTCTCTCTCTCTGCACCCCTTTTTAAAATCAACTTCAGCCACATGAAAGAAAGTTGCAGGTATCATGACATCTCCTAAGAATAAGGGTATTTTTTTGTTCAATTATGACATCATTAGCTAAAGCAATTCACTAAATTAAAAAAGGAAATTAAGTAATCCCATAATATCGTCTGTAAGAGGTTCATATTTAGATTTCCTCAGTTGTCCCCAAAATGTCTCATATTTTTAAGTTTTTGAATGAGAATTCTGAAAACATTAAGGCAGAAAATTACTCTTCTCCTTTGTTTTTATTTTGTAATGCTTAACATATGCCTACAAGAGATTGATACTCATGTTTAATTTACAAAGTGTGTAAAGTTGATTTTAAATGACTGCATTAGTCTGTGTGTCTGTGTGTGTGATTTTGGTGTTGCTTGTGCATTTTAAATGAGGCATAGCTGGACTCTCTTGTTTCTTAGTAGATTGTTTATGAAAGGGCATATGCCTGTGTCTTCTTATCTGTTCATGGTTTGTATTTTCTGATATTTATAAATTGCTGTAATTATAATAACATCTAAGAGGAAATATTTCAAAAACGAATGAGGACATATAAATAGTATTTACACATTAAGTTGGTTAGAATTACTCGATGAGGAGAATTTATCATTAAGGCTCGAATGACACCTAAAATCTTAGTGATATTTAGAAAGCCTATCTTTATCCTGCACTTACATAGGATAATACTTCAAATATTTTTTAAAATACTTGTTTAAGTTTTACAATTGCATTTTTAAAGTACCTAATGACTAAGGGTCAAAAATGACTATGCAGTCGAGTACCTCCCTATGAAACCTGATTAATAAGAGCTTAGAGTGGTATGCTTAATTGATGAGATATTAGGATTTAGTTTCAAATATTTCTTAGTGCCTCAAAAGTTCACTAATTTGTTCAACATTTTAATCATCGTTACTATCGCCATTTTTAAATTCATCATACTATTTGTTATAAAATTTTGTATGATACTCTCTACAATTAAATATGTACAATATACCATATTATTTAGACTAATATAGAAAATTATCTAAATATACACAAAGTTTTACAAAAAGAAGCCTAAAAATAATATGTCAGCAAGAAAAATACAAAATAAATACTCATTTGTTCACATTCTTTGTTAGCCAAGTTAAATTTCTATAAGTTCTCATTTTGAGGAGTTTGTGCATTTTTTCCAGATTAGGTAAAATGAAATGTTATTATATAAGTCTTTGTCAAAAGACAGGTGTATCATATAGGAATAAATTTTATCACAAAAAGAAATGTGACATATATGTCTATTGACTTAGATGCCCTAGGTAGCAATTGAAGGACTTAGCAACATAGGTGGTATTTTCATCTCTTCTTCTTGCTGAGGCTTGAGACTCCAGAAGTGAAAAGAAAATCACAGGAGATAAGAAAACCTGGATACATAGGTATGGTCAAGAACAAGGTTAGATTTTTCTGGACCATGACTTAGAATTACATAGAATATCGGTAAACATTTGTGTCCATCTTTCAAAGACTAAAAAGAATATTATATGATTGAGACTAGGTAGGATACCTAATTAAAAGGGATTTAAACTTAAATATAAATCTGGGGAGGATAAGTACTATATAAAACCCTGCAATCCAAAAAATGGATGAAAGACAAGGCATGCAACACTAAAAGAAGGATAATTGTTGGTAGCTGTTATGTAATAGAGAGATTTGAAATCGAAGGCAGATCTGAGTTTGAATCCCATTTCTTCTGCCTAATGCTTTCTGAATTTGTGAAAAATGTTTTCTTTGTGCCAGAATCCTCAGATTATTAATCTAAATTTGCAGTGAAGATTTTGTTTTGAATAAAATATTTTGGAGAACCTATTCATTTTTCTTTGCTCCTCAAAGGTTGAGTGTGATAGAAATTTACACATAACCTACAATAAATGATTCCAGGGATGGTAAGGTTAACTGGGGACAGGAAGAACACTGGCCCTTTAGCTGTTTCCACACATGAAGCACCTTGCAGTTATTGACATTTACTATACGTTGAATAAATGTTGATTCTTCTGGAGTTCATGGGCACTGTCTACTCAGGGGCTGCCCCATCTGGACCTCAGAATGTTGTCTCATGACTTTGAAGTTCTACAGTAGATTTTGGAAACACGTATTCTTCTGCCTCCTTTTTCTAGTGTGCTTCTTAGTCAAGTTTCCCTGAGCAACTATTTACTCACATTTCAATTCACACTGTCCTCACCAGTCCTTTGAAATTGCTCTTGCCAGCATTACCATTATCCTCATGATCTCCATGTCGCGAGATGTGCATAGGGTGCCACAGAATCAAAATAGAAGGAACAGTGTAGACCATCTGACTCAGCCACTTTATTTTACAGACAAGAAAACAGGGGCGGGTAAATAGAGGATTGTCTAAGATCACACAGCCAGTAAGTGGTAGGCAAGGGGTTAGAGTTCAGGTTAACTCCAGGTTCAGGATTCTCTTTCCACAATCCCGTGGCACTTTCCTCTAGCTGCAGTTGAATCCCCGTCTTTTCTACAGCATCCTCTCGGTACTCCTGTCTTCTTTCTCTTCTCCTTCAGTTCCCTCACCCATTGCCCAGGATCTTCTGCATTCGTCACTTTATTGCAGCTGACTCCAAGGGCTCTTCTGGCCTAATTGACCAATGCATTGTACTTAGAGAAACAAAAAGATAGTATATCTTAGTTATTATTGTCTCTAAGCACTTGTCACTGTTGGCCAGTCCACTTTTATGGGGCCTCTGTCTTCCTTCCTGGCTTCCTGGTTGCCTCTGTGAACGCCCTGTGGCCTCTCCTTCTTTTGCTAGCCCCTTCCTGTAGGTTTGTTTCCCCCTCATTGCTCTCAGTCTGCATATCCCCTCCATGGGGCCTCCTTCGCTCCCAGAGCTTGAACGACCACCTTTTACTGACCGCTCTCCAAATAGTGTATCCAAGGGACAGGAGGGGACCTTTGGGAGCTGGTGGGAACACTCTTTATCTTGATGCCTGTGGTGGTTACGTGACTGCATGCATTTATCAGTACTCAGCAGATTTAAAATTGGTTTATTATTTTTATGGGGATTACACCTCAATGAAGCTAATTTTATTTTATTTTATTATTTATTGATTTCAGACAGGGTCTCACTCTATCATTCAGGCTGGAGTACAGTGGTCCAATCATGGCTCACTGCAGCCTTAACCTCCCAGGCTCAGGTGATCTTCCTACCTCAGCCTCCTGGGTAGCTGAGACTACAGGCTCATGCCACCATGCCTGGCTAATTTTTTGTATTTTTGGTAGAGACGAGCTTGCCGTGAGGAGTTCAAGACCAGCTTAGGCTCAAGCAATCCACCTGCCTCAGCCTCCCAAAGTGTTGGGATTACAGGCGTGAGCTAATTTTAAAAAGCAATGATGTCTCCAACTCACATCTTTGCTCTGAGTTTCGGACTCATATAAACAGCTGCCTGCTACACGTATCCACTCACATGTTCCCTTGAACTTCAAACTCAGTGGGTCCCAAATAGAACTCAGCACCTTTTCTCTAAACCTGCATTTTTTCTTATGTTTTCTATTTCACCTGTAGGTCCATCGATCTTCTCAGTCACTTCCTTTCTACTCTGCATCATTTGGTCATCAAGCCATCTTGACTGCAGCTCATATGTACAGTTGACTCTTGAACATTCCAGGAGATAGAGGCACTGACCCCTCACTCGGTCAAAAATCTGCATATAACTTTGACTCCCTCAAAACTTAACTACTAATAGCCTACTTATCGATAACATAAACAGTCAGTTAACACATACTTTGTTAGTTATATGTATTACACACTGTATTCTTACAATAAAGTAAACCAGAGAAAAGAAAATACTAGTAGGAAGTCATAAGGAAGAGAAAAATCTGTCCATTAAGTGGAAGTGGAGCATCACTGAGGCCTTCATCTTCATTGTCTTCAAGTTGCGTAGGCTGCAGAAGAGGAAGAAGAGGAGGGTTTGGTCTTGCCGTCTTGGGGGTGGCAGAGGCAGAAAATACACATATAAGTGGACCTATGCAGTTCAAACCTGTGTTCTTTGAGGGTCAGCTATTTTTCTTTTCTTTTTTTTGAGATGGAGTGTCACTCTTGTTGCCCAGGCTGGAGTGCAATGGCGTGATCTCGGCTCACCACAACCTCTGCCTCTCAGGTTCAAGCGATTCTCCTGCCTCAGCCTCCTGAGTAGCTGGGATTACAGGAATGAACCACCATTCCCGGCTAATTTTTTTTTTTTTTTGTAATTTTTAGTAGAGACGGGTTTTTTTCTCTCAGACAGGGTTTCACTCTGTGGCCCAGGCTTGAGTACAGTGGTGGGATCATGGGTCACTGCAGCCTCAACCTCCTGAGCAATCCTCCTGGCTCAGCCTCCTGAGTATCTGAGACTATACAGGTATGCACCACATGTCCAGCTAATTTTTTTTTTTTTTTTTTTTTTTTTAGTAGGCTCGAGGTCTCATTATGTTGGCCATGCTGGGCTCAAGTGATTCTCCTGCCTTGGTCTCCCAAAGTGCTGGGATTACAGGCGTGAGTCACTGCACCCAGCCAACTGTTTTTCTTGAATCAACTCCTCCCACCATCCCCTTACCACGTTTTAAGTTCAATCTCTGATCTTCTTTTCCTGAGCAACTGAAGCAGCTTCATTTGGTCCTTCTGACTTGAGTCTCATCATTTTCAAATCCATCTCCACACCACTGCCAGAACCATCCATCTAAAACACAAATCTGTCTAGCATGTCCCTTCCTATTTGAAACATTGTAAGTGTTCTGCTCCTCCATCCCCATAGGATGATATAATAATCCTTTTATTGTGAAATACAGGACCCTTCAGGTTTCGGCTTTCCCTTCTTTTCCCTGCCCTCTCCTTGTTCTATAATTGGAAGCACTTTAATTAACCACACATAACATATTGTCTCTGTGTCTTACTGAGGCTGTCCTGTTTCTTCTCCCCAAATAACCTCTCTCCTCTTGACTGTCTTCCACCTTCCAGAAGGCTGTCCAGCTTATCCTTTCTTTGGAGATCAACTATTCTAGAAGGCCGTCTATGAGCCTGACTCTCCATCCCAAGCATCTCCCTATCCCCTCAATGCCCTGTGCAGATAATATGGAGTAAATATCACGTGAAAATTGTTACACTGCTTTGTGATTATCTATTACATTGTCTTTTCCTCTGATTAATTTCCTGGGACAAGAACTTACTCAGTCTCATATTCTTGGTACCTCTGACAGTGCCAGGCCCATATTAGGCAAAGGCCTCACTGCATGGGTATCATGCCATGGAGCTTGAATGTGCCTGGTTGCCCTCCCAAAATATCTTCTTATTTTTGCAGGACAAATGACCACCTAGATTTTTCATCCAGGAAACCTTTGTCTGAAATGTCGTATGTATACCCTAGACTCCTGGTTCTCTCTCCTGAAACGTTTTCCTCTTCCAGACTTCCATCATTTTAGTAAAGGGAACCACTCTACACCCAATTACTCAAGCAAGAAACCTGTGAATCATTCCTCATTCCTCTTTTCTCTCATTCTCCATGTTTAATCCATCAATGAATGCTGTTGATTCCACCTCCAATAAGTATCTTCAAATATCTCATCCACTTCTGTATACCTTCAAAGCCAGAATTTTAGTCTAGGCTGCAATTGTTTCTCGTCTGGATACCGCAGTAGCTTCCTAACAGATCCTCTCCTTCATCTTCTGCCTACTTCCAGTCCATTCTTCATGCTGCAGTTGGAAGCGTAGACCTGTAAATTAAGTGAAGTCACTTAAAATTTTTTCGTGGCTTCCCACTTTCTCAAATGAACCCCAACGCCTCACCAGCTTACAAAGTCATGGGCTCTCTGGCTGTGGCAGGCTATTCTCACTTCCTTCTGGCGACTCTTCCTTCTTAACTCTGCCCAGATCCTGAACATGTGCTGCTTCCCCACTTTATCACCTGAGCTGCTCTTCCCAAACAGCCTGTCTGTTCTGCTGGCTCTTTCTCGTCTGTCAGGTTGGCCTTCCTGAAAACCTTATCAAAGGTGGTCTGCCCTTTAGGATTTTCTTTTAAAAATGTCATTATTTGTTCACTCGGCCGGGCATGATGCCTCATGCCTATAATCCCAGCACTTTGGGAGGCTGAGGTGGGAGGATCATTGAGGCCAGGAGTTTGAGACCAGCCTAGCCAACACAGCAAGATCCTGTCTCTACAGAAATGAAAAATTAATCAGGTGTGGTGGTGCACACCTGTAGTTCTAGCTACTCAGGAGGCTGAAGTGGGAGGATTGCATGAGCCCAGGAGCTCAAGGCTGCAGTGAGCAGTGATAGCATCGTTGTACTCCAGCCTGGGCAACAGAGTGAGACCCTGTATCAAGGAAAAAAGCCCTATTTCGTTCTTCTCCTTTCTCATCTCTGAATGCCCATCAACTTATCATAAGGGCTCAGTAAATGTTAGTTGAATAAATGAATACAGTGTAAGTCCTTCAGAGTAACACAAAATGGTGTATACTTTATTTTCAGTTACATCTAGTTACTAATACATATGGGTATAGGTCATTTAGCCTAAAACTATTTTAAAGTTAGGTTTGATCTAAAAATATTAAAATACAGTAAAAGGTTTGAAGTTTGTAACAATCCAAAGTTCATCTTTAATATGAAGATCTGTTTTAAGTGTCTTAGAATCAATATTTTTTATGGTTTTTGTATGGAAGATGGAAATGTGCATGATGACAATTCAGAGCCTACTCAAGTCCCGGAGTTCTGTTTTGTATTGTTCTGTTCATCAGAATTTCCCTATGAGGCTGAAAAAAACAGGTTGATTAAAAAATATTTTAAAGTTTTCAAATTTCAAATTGCTGATACTAAGTTTTGCTAAGTTAATTATGCAAAGAGCAAAAACTAAATGGGTTAAACTCCCTCTAAAGAGACAGTATTTAAAAAATTAAATAGAAAATTTACAGGACCAAATAAATTGATAAGGTTCAAGGTGTTCTTCAAAGACAGTGAATTGCTCTGCCAAGTCCAATCTGTATTGTTGTTGTTGTATTCAATATTTTTTTGCCATCTACAAAGTAATAGAACAGGGAGTCAACGGCCCTGGCACCAGTACCATGGGTTGGAATGTGGGAGCAGGTGCCTTGCATCCACGCTTTCTACCCAGTTCCGTGATCACCTGATACTGACCATTGCCCCCATTATTGAATTTGCTGCATCTACCATTCCTAGATTTTCTGTACTTACCTCCAGTTCTAGACCTTTTGTTGATATTTTTTATATGGTTACAGTGACTTTTTAGAACTTATGAAATTCAAAAATAGGAATGTTTTTGTATTTCAAATTGCTGATTGCACATAATAACATTTATCCTTTTGGTACTAGGCCAAAGGACTTTGGAATCATCTTGTGTCATCATAGAACTCTGTCTAGGAGAAACATTTCACATTTTTGACTGAGATTTTGTCAAGATGGAGATTAGTAAATATCTAGTCAGGATGATTTTAAATGATGAAAGAAAAGTGAAAGCTATATTCCGGATGTCTGGATCTCTTATTACGGTGTTGCTCTACCTACCACATGATGTAGATGTAGTTTTCTAGTACATGTACTTTGTATTTCTAGAAATTTAGCAGCCTAATTTTAAGAATCTTGCCAAAAGCTTTTAAAAAGCCTGAATAGCTGGTTCCCCTTATTTATACTTTTACAAACCTTTTTATGCTTTTTTATCTTTTAAATGTGCATGTTTCTAAAGGTTCTATTCTTAACCTACTTTTCTATTCTGAAATAGGAATTCCTATTTCCTATTACCTCATTATTATCCCATACAAATAAGCAAAATATGAAGTTTCAATTCTCAACTTCTGTTTAACTCCCAGTCTTAAATTTTCAGCTTCCCTTTTCACATTACCAGTTGAAGCTTCTGCTAGCCCTTTAATCAACTCCAACTATAATTTCATTTTTCTCCCATTTTGGTTAGTGTTTCGTCTTTCGCCTCGTCATTCTGCCTGAAACTTTGTTTCTGTTTCCTATATGTTTCCTGTTCTCCTAACCTGTTAGGGCAGTCACTCCCCAGGAGCCATTGATTATTCTTTTGTAATTTCTCTTCTATCTGCATCTCCTGCATCCTTTCTCCAGGCCAAACTATATTAAATCTCAGCTGGTCTCCTTCACGTGCTTCCTATCATAAAGCTTATCTCAATAAACTTAAAACCTGAGGATCACACAAATCAAGTTCTCTGACTATAATACAAGTAATTTATAAATGAAAAGGATATCTTAAAATCATACATTTTAAAGTTTAAAACATACATTGAACAAAGAAGGCATAATATAGAAATTAAAAATGCTGAAAACTGAAGGATAAATACATTTCAAAAGTTTCGAGATATAACTAAATGCACCACTTAGAGGGATAGTTGTTAGAAAATATACTTTAGAAAATAAGGAAAGCATACTATCACTGAGATATATCAACTTAAGATAAATAGAAAACAAAGAAACAATGAACAACAAGGAGGCCAAGAAAGTGAAAAGTTAGTTTTCTGAAAAGACTGACAGAATTTACAGACTTCTGGTGAGATGAATCAGTAAAAAGAACCAGAGATAAATAATATTAATAATGAAAAGGGGAGCCTTACTTTGTACTCGCAGAAGTTAAAAAGCTAATAGGAGAAACATTACACATATCAAAATAACTATAAAAAGAATGCAATAATTCTTTTTTTGAGAGAATGAGGAGCAAAATGACTTTATTCATGTAAAGTTTAAGAATGGACAAAACTAATCTGTGATGATCAAAGTCAGAGTAGTTACTTCTGGGATCGTGTCAACAGGGAAGGAAAAGCAAGGCGTTACCTGGATGCTGGAAGTGTTTCATATCTTCTCTATGTGTTGGTTATCCTGGTGAGTGATATCTGAAATTTCACCAAGCAGTATACTTAAGATTACTACAGTTTACTATATGTAAAGTTATTTCCCAATTAAAATTTTACAAAAAATGCCAAATGAAGATAAAAGAAGAAAAAATAATACTATGAGTAACTTTATGCTAATGGTAGAGAATTTAAGTTACAGTATATAGAAACCATCTTAGAATAATATGTTACCAAAAATGGCTCAAGAAAAAAAGAGAAGTATAGTGATTCAATAAACATTAAAGAGTTTAATAAATTGTTGAAAATCTTTCCTCCAAAGAAAATATTAGGCTCAGGTGGCTTTCAAAATGAGTCGCCCTAAACATACACATAATTTCAAAACTGTGCAAGAAAATACAAAATGAGAAAATACCTTTGTTCATTTGATGAATCTGATATGATCCTGATATCAAAACCAGACAAAAATACTGAAAAAGAGAAATGTAGGCCACTTTTATTCATGATTTTACATTTTAAAATTTTGAACAAAGTATTAGTAGCTAAATCCATGTATAAAAAAGAGAATACATTATGATTGAAATAGGTTTATCACAAGAATGCAAGGTGGGTTCAATTTCAGGAAATCAATTAATTTAATTGACCACATTAACAGATTAAAAGAGATAAATTATATTTTTATCTCAAAAGTCAATGGAAAAACTGTATTTAACATATTTTCATGATCAAAAAAGAACACTAAACTAAGAATAGGTGGGAATTCCCTTACCCTAATAAAAACTTTTTAAAATATTATCTTAAGCAAGCATTATAAATAATAGTTACATATAACCATTATTTTATTATATAGTTATATATTTTATAATATAATTATAATGTAACTATAATATTATCATTATAATATATGTTATAATGTAACTATATTATTATACTGACAATGTAATTTGCAGGGAAATTTTAACTAATATTTTATAACTAAAATTACTATTAAGGCATGCTGGGTGATGTAGCCTGTAAGCTAAGATAAAATCAAAATGAATTTGAGTATTAGAAAAAAGTAGCACAAAAATTGAAAATATACAGATTATAATGTCATATACAGGTAATATATTTGCATGTAAAACGACACCCAAAGAATCTAAAGACAAATTATTACAATAAAACTTTAGCAAAGTTGCTGGGTACCAAATCAACACATTTAAGTCAACTGGATTTTTATTCACTAGCAAAACCCAGAAAATACACATTTTAAAATAATCCTACTTATGATAGGGAGAAAAAAATAGGTACTTAGAAATCAATCTTACAAAATATATAAGACATTTATGGAAAAAATGATAAAACATTACTGAAATATTTTAAAAGACTTGAATAAATGATCAGATATAACTTGTTCGTGGAAGTTATAGGAAGACTCAATACTGTAAGTCTGTCAGTTATCTCTAAATTGATCTATAGATTTAGTGCTATTCCAATGAAAATTTCAACAGGTTTTAAAATATATGTTTCTATACATATATATATATATATATATATATATATTTTTTTTTTTTTTTTTTTTTTTTTTTTTTGAGACTAAGTCTCACTCTTTTGCCCAGGCTGGAGTGAAGTGGCATGATCTTGGCTCACCACAACGTCCACCTACCGGGTTCAAGTGATTCTCCTGCCTCAGCCTCCCAAGTAGCTGAGACTACAGGTGTGCGCCACCATGCCCAGCTGATTTTTGTATTTTTAGTAGAGACAGGGTTTCACTATGTTGGCCAGGCTGGTCTCGAACTGCTGACCTTGTGATCTGCCCACCTTGGCCTCCCAAAGTGCTAGGATTACAGGCGTGAGCCACCATGCCCGGCCATTAAAATATTTTTTATATATTTTTATATTTTGGAACTTGATAAGCAGTTTCCAAAACATGTATAGAAGAATGAAAAGTCACATGACAAAGATATTCTTGAAGAAAAAGAATAGGCAGAGAAAATATTTGTCCCATTTTCTAGTCAATTTATAATAAATCTGCAGTGATTAGGATTATGCAGTGTTAGTCCACAGAACCACACAGAGATTTCTCCAAAAAGGATATTACATGTATAAAATTCAGTGTAGAATAGAACTGCCTTTGCACATTAGTGGGGAAATGGATAAACTGTTCAACTCATTATCTATATGGAATAAAATAAAATTGAATCTCTACTGACATGTATAAAAATTAGTGGTTTAAAGACAGATGTGTGAAAGGCAAAACCATAAACCTTTTAGTAAAATAAAAGAATATTTTTATCACTTTCTATAAGGGAATTATTTTGTAAACAAGCCCACACAATATAAATCACAAATAAAATATGTTCAGCAACGTTAAAAATAATTTATGTTTACCAAACATCATATAGGGAGTGAAAACAAAAGCTACAGGTTTATAAAACAAATTTATAACACATAACTAGAAAAATGAATAGTTTCCAAAACTATGTAAGAAACAGCTAGAAACTGATGGAAAAACGCAAACTGCCATATAGGAAAATGGGAAATTGACATGAACAGAATTTCACAAATAGGAAGCATGAAGGTCCAGTGAACATGTGAAAATATTTATTCTCATTATTAATATAGAAAATGCAAATTTAGAGAAAGAGTAACGGATTGTCTGGGAGGGCTGCATAGGAGGCTGTGCAGGAGTCCAGGTATACAGGTGTTTAACAGTTAACTCTTTATACATTACCTATGTTATCAATGCTCTATAAGCATTTAATCTTTAACATAAAAACAAAAAACTCCCAAAACTCAGAACCCTAAGTATATAATCAGTATCATTCACCATAAATAGAAGAATGAATACAAAATGATATTCTAAAATTTCTAGCCATATATTCTAACCCACAAAAGGCTCTGAGCCTGAAACCTGTTCATTACTACAAGTTTATTAAGTGTTGTAGAGGTATTAAAGACATATTAGCATCTCAGTTAATCTTTTTTCTCTTGTTATTGTGATTAGAGCAGTATCCATGTATTACACTTTAATGGGTATATATCTCACACTTTGGGGAATATTAGCATTTAGCATGAACTTTTTTATTCCTCATCTGGTACTTCAATTTGTGATAACAGATTTATTAATTCCTGCCATGCACAAGGCATTAGCTATCAGGTTTGTAAAGAGGAGAAGCTTTATACAAATATGGTTATTTGGATACATGTCTTTCTCCTCTGTGTATGTCTGGCAAGCTTATGTGAGAACAGGGAGACAGTATGCCTGGAGCAGAGTGAGCAGAGGACAGAGTCGTGGGAGAGAAGGTCAGAGAGCTGGAGAGAGGGGCAGAGGCTGGGCTTTGGCTTGGTAGCCTCCGTGGGTCCCCGGTTAGTTACTTGTATGCCATAGGTTCTTTGTAAACACTTGTAAATAATTGAAGCCTGGTAATTAAAATATTTGGAAAATGAAGCAAAGAAGGAAGCATTTCTCTAAAAACTAAATAATAGTACAGGTTCTCAGAGCCACACATGAATAGAACATTAGACACCTCGTAAGTATGTGATATACTATGCACTTCATGTCATAAAGAGATTGAGTGGCAGGCGAAGTCCTATAAAAATCCCCATATCAAGGCAAATAATTTATTTTATTGAATTAAACATTGTATTACATAAGCAAACCTTTAACTGAGTCTGTAAATTTTTTGTTATAGGGAGATTGCTGCTGTGGGCATGGGGAGTTTAAGGATATGCAGCATAGTATAGTAGAAGGAAAGATTGTCCTTAGGGAAAAAAAATGAGTTCATGTAACAGTTGACAGGGTCATCTATGTGATCTCAGCCAGTCCTTCCTAAGCTTCAGTTTCCTTGTTGCTAAAATGGGCATTCAACATACTTTACCCTCTTTATAAGGTATCATGAAAAGCAGATGGCATAGTCTATGAAAATTCTTGCTAAACATGAAGCACACTACCAATGTCATATGTGATAAATCATTTATATAGTATGTAATCTACACATACCCCTATTATGTATGTATTATGTATACATATATTTATATAATTTTTTCAATTTGTTATTATAATGTAGAATTATTTCATCTAATGCTAGAACTATAGCTTATTCAGTCAAAGTGCATCTAAATGAGGAATCATATTTCCACAAAGTTGATGAAGTGGAAAAAACATAGTTTAGTCTTAAAATCAAACTTAAAGGCAATGAAAATCAGGGAGCAAAAAGAATGTAAAGACCACAGAAATAAAATGTTACTTTATTTGAGGTCAGAGATAGTGTCAGGTAGCAATACATATAAAAGGTAGAAACGCATATAAATAAATGAGCATATAGGTGACAAATATAATCACAGTTAAGAAAGGAAAAATGCTCAATAGTATTATTGGATTGCAAGGGAGTTAACAACATCTTGGAGAAATAACATTTAAGTCAAGTAAAAATTGGACATGAAAGGTTTAGTAAGTGAATACCAAAATCAGGATTTCTACCCTCTAATCCTAGGAAACAAATGAGTAGCTTGAGAAGCAGTTCGTTTGAAAGGGCTATTACTTGCCCAAAATCCACCGACGATGCCCTGTATGAATCACATACACAGTATTTACATACTGGGGGGAAAACGTAGTAAAAATTGTCTCTCTTTTTGGCCACGATTTGTAATTTAGATGTATAACCTCTTTATTTTAAGAATAGAAACTTGGCCGGGCGCCATGGCTCATGCCTGTAATCCTAGCACATTGGGAGGCCGAGGTGGGTAGATCATGAGCCTGGCCAATATGGTGAAACCCTGTCTCTACTAAAAATACAAAAATTAGCCAGGTGTGGTGGCGCGCGCCTGTAGTCCCAGCTACTCAGGAGGCTGAGGCAGAAGAATCGCTTGAACCTAGGAGATGGAGGTTGCAGTGAGCCAAGATCGCGCCACTGCACTCCAGCCTGGGTGACAGAGCGAGATGCTGTCTCAAAAAAAAAAGAAAAAATAGAAACTTATATTTTAAAAATTACTACTAAGTAAGCAATTGAGAGATATTTCAACACAAAGATACGCCATGATTTAGAAGTCGAGTGGCATCGTTAAATCTAACTTGACAAAGTCTGCTGTTAACATATTCATTTTAAGATAGATCTAAGGATTATCTTCGAAATTTTACATTTAAGTTCGGCTTAGGCAGTAGGAAGCAAAAATAAGCTGTATTAAAAGCTATTGATACAGTCCAAGCAACGTAGCAAGACCTCGTCTCTACTGAAAATTTAAAGAAATTTAATGGGTTCAGTGGTGTGTGGCATGTGCCAGCAGTTCAGCTACTCAGGAGGCTGAGGTGGGTGTGGGGAATAAATGAATGAATGAACTAAACTCAAATTAATCTAAACAGTGTAACAAGTTGGTTTTAAATGTTTTAAATTTGGCATAACAAAATAATATTGCAAAAGCTATTGATAAATATCTAGAAATTGATAATTATAAGCAGTGACCACATGTTTGATAAAGGTCATTTTTTTCAAAAAAGAGAAAGTAAGAGGAGGAACAGAAAAAAGGAAAAAAAGAAAAGTGGGTTTAAGGGAGGGAGGGAAGGAAAACTAAACGACCAGGTAAAGTAGCTGAAAAACTGGCAGGAAACCCCCTAAGCTTAAAATCTGTACTTACTAAAACTGGAGAATTAAGATAGTTTTGATGGAAAACAGATTCTTTTAGCACCATAATTGTTTCTAGATTGATATTATTTTGTTATACAAAATTTAAAATGCTGTTTAGATTGAGTCTAGTTCATTCATTCATTTATTCAACAATTAATTGAGTTTCAAATGTGTGGCAAGCATTGTTCATAGACGTTGGGCACAAAAGGCAAACATAGTTGTTGCTTCATGTTTCTCTCAGTAAAGAATTAAACCTATAAAAAGCAAATATATCTTCAAATAGTGATTCCTATGTATATTAAGACTGTGAAGAGCTGGCAGGATTAGAAGTAGGACTATGTTTAAATGTCTAGTAAGGCTATTCAACAGTGATATTGCAACATGTCTTTTAAAAGAATGACTGATTTGTCACCTGGATTTCTAAAGAAAATTAAAAAAAAATCACGGTGCTTTCCTTGCAAGATGTCAAATTTGATATTATCCTTTTCTTAACACTTCTCACCTTTCATATTATATACTGTGGTAGAATGTTCTCAAGGAGCAGAAGCTTGGTTGGGAAAGGGCCCCCTATTTTTCCAGATTATATTCTTAGACTTTTTTTATTTGGAGAATTTCTAGCTTTATGCAATATATTATCAGTAATGATTATGCAGAACTTTTTCAGTGCTGCAGTTTAATCTTTCTGGGATGACCTGAAGGGGAACTAAGAGGTTATACCTGGTTGTATGATGCAGAATCTAGGTGTGTTTGATAACAGCAATCTGGTTCCCTCCATCATGATATTCTGAAAACGTTTACTTTTAGGTGTACATATAAAAAGCTCACATCAGTTCACTTCTGTGTAGTTCATGCACCCTTTCACAAATGCTCTCTGTCAGGCAGTGTGCTGGGTGTGAGAGCTTAAGAGAAAACTAAGACGTTACTACTTAAGTGACAGGAAACCTTTGAATATAATATGCACATTCTATGCGCTGAAAGTGTACACTGGGAAATGAAAACCCTCCAAGAAGGCAGCGGTTAGTAGCAAGAACTGGCGATGGAGAGGCGGTGCTGGAGAGTCGGTCCTGGAGTCCTGTGCCCCGAGGAGCCCCGATGAGTTGCAAGCATCACAGATAGCCAAGATGGCAATAATAGCAGCTCCTTTTTGTAAATGAGCCGCCACACCATGTACATGTGGATGTTTTCATGGCAGTCTGGGGTCCTAGGCTTGCTAGGTTGGTCACTTTCTGTGAGTCATGGGCAAGGTCAGTCCATCTCTCTGGATCTGTTTCATTGTCTGTGAGGAAATTTGAAATAGATGAACTTACTTGTCCGTTTCAATCCTAAAACTCCACAATACCCTATATAAGCTTGGCTATTACCTTTGGAAATGCAGAGAATATGGGGGCATTTTTTTTCCTATTTTTCAAAAAGATATTTTCGGGATAATGAATGGGGAAGGTTTTGAAAAATCTAGATAATTTTAGTTAAATCAAGGGGTTAAAAGAACCCTACCACTTGCACATTTGTATACATTGTAATTGCACAGCATGTTCTAGAATAGGTAAAGTGAAAGAAACACACCTCTGTCCTAAAAAATTTACTAAGAGTACAAACAACAGGAATAATAAAGTCAGCACCCACAGCATTGTGTGGGTGTAATTGCTAGCAAGCTTTCTGAAGCAGGTGGGTTTTAGAAGTGATTTGAAGGAGAAGAGAAGGGTGGTCTGACATGCCTCAGTAGGAAAGCTGTTCAAGTGGAATGGATGGATGAGAAAATGCAAACCCAGAATAAGAATATGGAGAAAGAGAGAAACAAAGTAAGAACTGCTAAGAGAAAGGGGGACATGCATTAAAATATCTCAGCGGAGATAAAAGTTATAAAGAACAAAGGTAATTTGGGCACATACATGGATAAATGAAATGATCTAGTATAAGACAAACCACATTTTGTAGGTAAGACACAAAAACTACCAGAACACGAGGTATTTCTTTGACAGAAGACTAGCTGGAAGGATACATTAGAGATATAAACAAAAGAGAATGACTAGGACTCCACAGGAGCCTTCATCTAAAGAGAAGTAGAAGGAAGCAAAGATTTTTATTGCACAGTGAACAGGTATGAGTCATTTACATATTAATTTGTTATGTGTAACTAATTATGTATTGCAGTAGATACAAAATGGGCCGGGCGCGGTGGCTCTGGCTTACACCTGTAATCCCAGCACTTTGAGAGGCCAAAGTGGGCGGATCACTTGAGGCCAGGAGTTCGAGACCAGCCTGGCCAACATAGCAAAACCCCATCTCTACTAAAAATACAAAAAAAAATTAGCTGGGCGAGGTAGCTCATGCCTGTAGTCTTAGCTACTCGGGAGGCTGAGGCAGGAGACTTGTTTAAGCCCAGGAGGTGGAGGTTGCAGTGAGCCGAGATCGTGCCATTGCACTCCAGCCTGTGTGACAGAGCGAGACTCTGTCTCAAAAAAACAAAAAAACAAACAAATTAAAAAAAAATGAATAAGACAGAGCCTTCTACCTAGCCTTAAAGAGCTTATAGCTGTTCAGGATCAGTTTTATTGAAATAATTCTGATACAACATGTAAACGAATTATAAGAGAATTTTTTAAATGAGATAAAAAATTTGTCTGTTTTATCCTTTTGAAATTTGTGATGACTTTTTATTAAATGATATCAAGTACTCATAAAATGAACCAATCTAA
The DNA here is from genome assembly GCF_000001405.40 of Homo sapiens. Taxonomy (NCBI): domain Eukaryota; kingdom Metazoa; phylum Chordata; class Mammalia; order Primates; family Hominidae; genus Homo; species Homo sapiens. Next base: position 25,205,781 of record NC_000018.10, on the reverse strand, counting down.
TTTGTTTTAGGACAGAAACCATATACTTAGGAAAGTATTTCTTAATGGATTCTAAAATACTTTATTCTCCCTAATAATTTTTTTCCTAGTTTATGGTGGGATTATAAGTTATACTACCACTCTTCTGGATGGGGTCTCTCTGGGCATGTGATGTGATTTGATGGTGATGCAGTGTGCTTACATACTGTCGCTACTCCTTCACCTCTCCAATTGTCCATCCTTGATATCTACCAGCCGTAGCTCCTTATTTTGGTAACAGTGAAACAGAAAGAAGTTTCAATACTTTTTAATGAAAACAATCAGATGATCAGAATAATTGATGAGGAAAATAGGCCCTAATTTTGTGTAACCCCAAATTTTGACTTCTCTTTTCCTTCTCAGGTTTGTTTCTGAAAGAGTGATTATTTAAACCCATATTTTCCCACCTTCAATTTCTTACCTTTCTTGAATGACATGAACATTTATAAAACAGTCAATGTAAGAAGTTAACTAGAATTTACTATGAATTATAAATGTCTTCAAATAGGAACTAACAAAATAGTATAGCCATGAGTAGCAAGAGACAAATTCCTTTTCCTAGCTCAAAAATAATTAGCACATGCTCTGGTAATTTTTTTTTTTTTTTTTTTTTTTTTTTTTTACCTTCACTACGGCATCAATTTAGTCTGTTATTCATCCTCTTCCAATTCACTGATTTCTGGTGCTGTGTAAGGGGGTAGGCAGTTTTGCAAGCAGAAATAGACCAGTCTTAGGTAAGTACCTTATGAATGAAGGTGATGGATTTAGAATGACTCATTAGATTGTCCATTCAACAGTCAGTAAACAAAATGTATTGACTGCCTACTCTGTGGAAAACACTATGGGAGATTTTATTCAGGTAGATTTTTTATGGCATAGAAATAAACAGCAACTGAAACCATAACATTAAATGAGATGATCTAGATGAAGATACCTTATTTGGAAGGTCTCAGTGGACTGTGTAGGGAGGGACATGAGTTGGTCCCTTGGAAGAGACTCCAAAATGTGAAGGAGGAGAGTAAGCCTAATAAAGCATCTCTCTCCATGGGAAACTTGGGCACAGTTTTTTCAGTGTTTAATGTGAGACATCAATGAGTTCAAGTGTGTAGAAAGACAAATTTTGAAGAAAATTTGTTAGGAGACAATTTTGAACTTAAAAAAGATTATTTGTTGTTCTTTATTAATTTTAAACTTAAAGTAAACATTATTCTTAGAAATAAAATGACTCTTTATTCCTAAACTTCAAGGTAGTAAATTCCTTCCATGAGACATGTTTGGTATGATCCATGGAAATGACTCCATCTTTAACACTGAGTTTTGCTTTTAATGCATACCTGTCAGATTTTTCTGAAGACTCCACTCAATTATTTCCTGGTTTTTGACTATTGGGGATACCTTTGAAAATAAAATATTTTAATACTATTTTATCTAATATTTAAAGAGAATTCAATAAAACATTTTAAAAATGGCTCAACTTTTTTACTCAATTATAAATGTAGTAGTAGCTTAAATTTATATCTTCATGGAGTTTAGGGTTTTATTTGTAAAAATAAATGTATTAGATCATTCTTGCATTGCTATAAAGAAATACTTGAGACTGGGTAATTTATAAAGAAAAGTGGCTTAATTGGCTCACAGTTCTGCAGTGCTACCACCTGCTCCACTTCTTGGGAAGTCTCACGGAGCTTTTACTCTTGCAGGAGGGAAAGCAGGAGCAAGCATCTCCCATGGGAAGAACGGGAGCAATAGAGAGTGGCGGGGAGGTGCCACACACTTTTAAGTGACCGCATCTCGTGAGAACTCACTCACTGTCGCAGAGACAGAACCAAGCTTTGAGAGATCCACCTCCATGACCCAAATACCTCCCACCAGGGGCCACTTTCAGCATTGGGAATCACAATTCAACATGAGCTTTGGTTGTATCAATAAATATACTTCATATACTTAAATAAATATTTTTTCTCCCTGGTACTATAAAAATTGCAACTCAGTCATTTAAAACAAGTATCTATAGGTTTTTTCTTTTCTCTTCCTTTTCTTGTCTAGTCAGTTGGCCAGAAGCAATCTTCTAATTTAGCCCTGGCTCTCTTCTGAATTGTCTTTCTATTTCCCACCATCTGTAAGCAACTGGGCTGGCATGTAGTAGATGGGGTCTCACTCAGTCTGTCCCCCAGGCTGGAGTGCAATGGCATGGTCACAGCTCACTGCAGCCTCAAACTCCTGAGCTCAAGTGATTCTCCTGACTCAGTCTCCCAAGTAGCTAGAAATACAGGCACAAACCACCACACCTGACTAATTTTTTAATATTTTGTGGAGATGGGGTCTTGCTACCTTGCCCAGACTAGTCTTGAACTCCTGGATTCAAGTGATCCTCTCACCTCTGCCTCCCAAAATGCTGGAGTTATAGGCATGAGCCACCACACCAGGCCTTGTAACAGTTTCAAACTCAAGAAAATTATTCCCATTTTAGACCTCAGATCACGTCCTATCTCTCCCAGAGAGTTTTTTCTAACTCTTCCAGACCATATTAATCTGTCACTCTCTGACATGTTCTGTCTTCTCTTTGCAATACACCAAAATAGGCACTTGGTTCTGAACTGCTTTGCCATGTCATTTAGGCAAAATACTTAAAACACTTTAATGTTTGTGTGTTTTATTTCCCCAATCACATTGTAATGCCTTGAGTTTAGGGATCACGGTTAATATCTCTTGGTTGTTGAGGTGTTGCCATGTGCCAGGCATGATGTAAAGTGTTACATGGATTTTTTATCAGGACATTCACCACCACTGTAAGACAATAGCATCCTTTTAACTGTCACAAGAATACAAATTAGAATATTGATACATTTGTTTTTCAATGAATTATTTGGGCTTTTCATCATTAGTGGCTTTCATTACATTTCAATAACCATTTTTTTCTTCTTTCTTCAGTGACTTATTTTCATACAAATTCAGAATTACTTAGAAAATGACTAGGCTAAATTAGTAGAATGTCTGAGTTATTGAGCATTTGTGGAAAGCTGCTGGCTTATTACTTTCACTCACATGTAGTATCCATTTGCTTGCCAACAAAATACTGGTGCTACTGCTCTTAAATATATATTGCATTTGCGATTAATATATTCATTCTTGGGATGGTAATGTATATTGCTATAGTCCTTGAAAACAGCTTTTTCCTCCTAGCTAACTTAAACCTTTTTACACATTCTTAACCGCTTCTCTCTTCCCATTCACCCAACCTTGTCACCAACTTGTGATTTTATTTGTGTTATTAGTCGTCTCTTGGTATCCATGGGGGATTGGTTCCGGGATGCCCTGCGGATGCTGAAGTTCTTTATAAAAACATGTACATGCTCTCATATACTTTAAATGATCTCTAGATTACTTGTGATACTGAATATAATATAAGCGCTATGTAAATAGCTGTCATAATGTATTGGTTTTTTATTTGATTATTCTTATGGTATTGTAGTATTATTTTTTATTTTTTCAAATTTTTCAACCAGAGGTTGATTGCAGATGCGAAATCCACAAATATGGAGGGCCAACTAATTTTTAAAGCTATATTTAATAAACATTTGTTTAACCCTTGTTAATTGTCATGAAATTTAAATTAGTGGATTCGAGTTGAAAGAAATTTTAATGTGGTTCCAAAGTTCACTTAAAAGGGTGAAAACTACTCACCTTTGACAACAGACAGTTTATATCATATTTTATTCCATCCCCATAATAACCTGTCAAATAAAGAGTAATACAGGCAGTAAATAGTACCTTTAGTAAATAAGTAAGCATTAAAAATTACTGTTTAGTGCAGGTGTGCTACGTGGTAGGCATGGTACCAAGCACTTTTATATAATTCTCACTTACTTTTCATATCGACTCTAAGATGTAGGTTTTATTATTTTTTCATTTGCAGAGAAGGAAACTCAGGGTCATTTAATGATTTGTCACACAACTAACTATACAGCAAGTTAGTATTACAGAAAGAAAATCTAGAGATTCTCTCCTACTAAGACTGCTGGATATATTTGGAATGAGTACTTTACAGCATCATTGTACAACATCCTGATTTCAGGGTTGTGACCAAATCTGACACTCGTCCTTCCTTAAAAGCCTTGAAATAGAGGGAGCTGAGAGCTATGGGACATCCTGGAAAAATGGCTCTGTAACTTTGGCTTTGATGTTCCAAACATATAGCAATGATTGATAAAATATAAAGATAGAAAAACAAATGGACTTAGTCAAGTCCAAAACAGTTCTTCGTCTTTGAGATCCAGAAACCAAATAAGAAAACCACATGGTTATTAAGGCTAAAGCCAGGGGTCTGCTGAACATTTTCCAGCAATAGAAAGTGGTAATTAGGGTTTAATCCCTATGGAACAAATCCAGATCCACTATTTGAAGCAGGGCCTGGGAGGAAATTTCTTGTTCACAGCAAGAGACTGGGAAAAAGTAATTCTGTTGACCACTACCAGGAACTAGGATTTTTACCTGGAGGATTGAAGGAGTAGGAAGGAAGACACGGTTTTGTGACATAAAACTGAATTACCCATGTGTTGCCTCTGTGATTTACCTTGCAATGTCTCTCTATCCCTGCAGCACAGCAGATAGGCAGCAAATGCCCCTCTGAGACCCAGCTCTGGTACAGTAGCCTGGGATGCCCTAGTAGAACCAATGGCGAAACTACTAGAAAGGGAGAAATGAGCACATAGAAAAAAAAAAAATCACTACAAATGGGCTTTCAACCAAGATTCCAAAGTATGTGAATGAATCAAACACTAGTAAAGCAGAAAAAAAAGAAGAAAATAATTATTTTGAACAGTCTGACAAAGACTTTGAAATAAGCATGTTTAGAAGCTCAGAAAGATAAATGAAGATATGATTTCCACTGAAAAGAGTGACAAATTATGAAGCAAATCCAAGCAGAAGTAAAACAAAAGCACTTGAACGTTTAAAACTAGAAATGTTGGAAATGAAAAATAGTCATTTTAAATAAAAGCTTTGCTAGATAGGATAAACTCTAGACTGGTCAGCTGTGAAGAGAGAATCAGTGTTTTGTAAGAGTACAGAGAAGATGATCTAGATTAGAACATAAGAAGACAAATAGATTCTTAAAATATGAATGAAAGGGCAGTTAAAATACATGGAGGATAGACTGAGAGGCTCCAATCTGTGTCTAATAAGGATTCTGATAGAAGTGAATGGAGAGTGTCTTAGATAGACTTAATAACTGAGTGATTTTAATCACTGAAAATTTTAAGAATTGAGTACATAAGTGAGATCTCAAATTGAAATTATTATTTTTGTATTGAGCAAGACAAATACACGTAAAGGTACAGTTTGAAACATGGCCAAAAAAAAAAAGAAAACTGCAGAACACTGAGGACAAAGGGAAAATCTTGAAATAGACTAAAGGAATTAAGAGCCAATTCTATCCTATGAATCTTAGTCAAGAGTCTGGGACTGGGAGCCTAAGGCTAACGTGGCTACCGACAGTTCCTTCGCTCTCGTAAGTTACTTTTCCTACCATTCCTGGCATTGTCAAAGACCAAAGCACTACTTAATTATATGGAAAACCTCCTTTTGAAATGCACCTAAAATGTAATTGTAAATTTACCTGCAAATGACCAGAATATAAACTGTGTTAAAATCCAGTGTGTGAAAGACAGTAGAATCCTGGCTTGGTTATACCTGTATGACTTTAGCCAAGTCACTTAATTAATCTATAAATGAGGATAATAATCCCTCCTTTATCTACTCTTAACAGGACTGTTTCAAGGGATTTTTTTTTTACATACAAGTTCTTTATAGACTAAAGTATGAAACAGTTTATAAAATTATGTGAGCTATGGTTCCTGACTTCTTAGAGTTTATATATTAGATTTATGTAAAAAACAAAAACAAAAACTTCACAAACAAATACCAAAATGTTTGCAAAGCTACTTAAAACAACTAAGCACAAATTATTTTTGGTGCATATCAAGTGAAGGAGTCTAAAGTGAATAGTGGAGATGGGGTTAATCAGGTTAGGTTGAGCTTCTAAAAACTACATGTTATGAATTATCCTGTTCATTTTTTCCAGTTTTTATGAAAATGTTCATGTATACACCTAGATTTTATGATGGTTAACATGTAGCCATTTACTTATATATGATTATATATGTTTTTTTCTTGAAACTTTTGAAAGTAAATTGCAAATATTTCATCCCTAAATACTCAGTATGCATCTCCTACCAAAAAGAATGTTTACCCACATGACCCCAATACCATTATCACATCTAAAAAAGGTAACAATAACATCCCGATAGCATCTAATAATCAGCTGATAGTCAGATTGATATCTAAATTATTCTCAATTGCCTCAAAAGCCTTCTTATAGCTGTTTCCACCCCCTCCCCCCAAATCAGGATCCACACATTACATTTGCTCAAGTCTTTTTCAGTCTCTTTCATCTGTTCACTTTTTTTTTCCCATGACAATAGGCCATTTCTTTTGAAGAATATTCTGGATTTGAGGGTTTTTTTTCCCCCTCATAGTAATAGTTGTTCCTCTTTTCAAAGACAACAGGCCATTTCTCTGAAAGAATATTCTAGATTTGCATTTTTTTCTCATAGTAATATTTGTTCCCCTATGCCTGTATTTACTGAAAACTGGATTGTTAGGCCTAAAGACTTAATTAGATTCAAGTACACATTTTAGATAAGATACTATATTGGTGATGTATACTTCATATTGCAACTCATTAAGAGGTACACAATGTCACGTCATTTCCATTCTTAGTGATATTAAGCTAAATAGTCTGGTTAGAGTAATTACCATCAGCTAAATGTAAAGATATATCTTTTGCTTTGCAATGATCAAAGGATGGAATTTGAGTATCTCAGAATAACCTGTCTTCTACTAGTTTCAGCATCCATTAATGATTATCCTGAACCATTTTATTTGGCATTGCAAAATGGTGAATATCTAATTTTGTCATCCCTTCTGCTGTCATTCTTCTATAAAGAAAAGCTTTCACTCATCAAATAGGCACGACCTACACTTCCTCCTTAAAAAAGCAAGGTGCTTCTGACCCTTTCATTGCCAATTTTCAGAAAAAGAAATTGATGTAATAGTCACCTCACATGGTAACAACTTAATTTTTTTTCTTTTCTGTTTTTGAGGATTACTATGCACTGATTTTTTTTAATCTATTCAGTATTTTGGTAAAAGAAATCAAAGCAGTTTGATTTCTACAAAGTATAAGTTTTAATAATTATTATTTTAAATTACTTTTTAAAATTTGGTAAGACTAAATGTGAAGTCTGAGTCCTAATGGATGGAATGGAGGGGAATAGGGTTAATCAGAATAATTTTTTAAAACTATATATTATTAAGCATCTCTAATCATTTTTTTAATTTATGAGATGTTCTTTTTAAAAAGTCTCTGAGTACCTTAACCAGAGTGTAACTGAAAACAAGAATGTCAAAAAGGCACATTTAAATTGTTCTCAAAATCAATCAAAAATAATGAGGTGCTAGGAAAAAGTTGTATCCTTGATAATTACATCTATCAGTATCAGAAAACAAAAGAGAACAATCAGGAAATGACAATCCCACTCCCAAGTAGCACATTTAAAAAGGCTAATGAAAAAAAAAGTCTCTTTTAAAAATGTACTAAATTAGCATTTCAAGTAAATTGACAACTTAAGCGTTGATAAAGGCCAATCTGGGGCCCAAACAATGGAAGTTCTGTTTCTACTTTTATCTGCTTTTAAAAGAAATTATCTCACTTGACTTTTTTTGTTGTCTTTTATATAAATGTAAGTAATTGTCCTAAGGGAGATGACAATCCTCATGTACTCTGCAAGGGTCAGATCATACCTGGAGTATGGCACTTCATTTGGGGTTCTATTTCTTAAAACATTGACCTGGAGATAGGTAACCAGGAAGGGAGGTAATTCCAAGTATTTCTTACATTGTGCCCCTATGTTCAGTCTGAAAAGGGGCTAATGTAATTGTCATATTAGACAATGGATTCAACCTCTTCTTTGTAGCACCAGAGCTTAGAGTTAGGGCCAATGGGTGAAAGTGGCAGAAAAACAGATTTGGGTCTAGAATTAGGAAGAATTCTCTCATAATTTTAGCCACACAGAGGTGGAATAAATTTACCTCCAAGGGAATGAGTTCCCCAAGGCTGACACTGTTCAGAGGTTATAATCCCTTTACTTAAAGATGGTGTACAGGTGTGCAGGGATCTCTCAAATATTTTGCGAATAATCTATAATTATAATGAGATATGCTTTAAAGGTCATTTAACATCAACGTTTTAAAAATTAAGGGTAAAAATGAATTTTACATCATGGCTTTAAAAAGAAAACCCTTAACACATCCCAATTTGCATATCATTGCTTTGTATTTGGGAAATGTGAAAAATATGGTGAAGTAGAGTTCAAGCTTCAGTATTTTAAAATCACGGTTCATTGTTTTTGATCACAGTAAATTCTTATCTAGCCGTAACTTTAGGAGCTTATAGATAAGAATATGGCTTTGTTAATAAAAAATATAACATAGTATTTTAGACACTGTTTTATGAGTGGAGAGAATTAATGTTTGAATTATCAGTAGTGGCAAAAGCATTTTCATTCAATGATAAAAGAAAACTTACATGTGTCAGTTCATTTTGAAGATAGTAGTAAGTGCTGGCATTTTATTATTTTGGCTTTTCAAGTGATTTTATTCTTTATTATTAGACTGGGGAAAAAAAAGCCCTAGTATATTCTGCCAACATATTCATCAGTCATCATTTTTGGAGACAGTTTTCGACATATTGTATGTTTTACTGTGCTAACAAGAGAAAAGACTAGCCATTAAGTTTATGTTTCTTTGTTTTTCAGCAAGGTCACATATCAGGAATAATGCTAGAAGTATGCTAATAAACAATATATAATGTAGGTCATCAGGGAGTAAGAAATATTTTCTAACTAGTTCTAAAGGGAAATAGTGTTAAAAAAGGGATAGATGTTACTTACGTAACACATGTTGCTCTATATGTCACCATCAAAAGCATCTTGTAAACAGCTCGGTGTAGTCAATCTTCCTTGGTGATTGTCAGGGTGTTTGAAGTCCGTGTTAGATTTAGATTCAGCACATTCAGTTCGCAATATGCCTAATGTACAAAGACCGTCAGATGATTTAGACAGCTTCCAATGGAAATATGCCTGTACTTCCGTAGTTTACAAGGAATATTGGCCACTGTTGCAGAAGAAAATATTATGTTAAATTACAATAATTAGGAAAAATTTATATTAATGGCATTTATAATTTTAAATCTTGAATTATGCTAAATGTTTGTGCTTAACTTTGGTTTTGTTCAGTTCTAAAGAACTTCAGTTCCTTAAAATTGATTGTAACTTACAGGCTGGTATTTCCTTATTAATACCATCAGTAAAACAATTTTATATGATTTCAAATGAAACGATAATTCTGTAAAAAACGCTTATAAGAAAATGTCATTTATGTGATTTTACAAATGTAATTTTCTCATGTTTGGGAAATTTTAAAAATGGATTATTTTCATAATGGTTTATTTTGTCTTCCAACATGGTTTTTAATTACAAATATTAAGTTTCATCAAAAAGGAATTTATGTAAGTATGTGTTCTGGAAAACACAGCTAATACTCTATTTATTGAGTTCATCTAATAGGTACTGGGACTCAGTAATAAAGATGTAAAATTATAATGGCTGCTTTATGATTCAGAAATCAGAGAGCCTACTAGCATTTAGAATCAAAAGTATTTCTCTTCCCAGCTGTACAGCACCATGACATCAGGCAAATCTTTCTATTTCTCTGGACCTCAGTTTCTTCATTTATGCTATAAGAATTATAATAAAAATCTTGCTCTACTTCACAGGGCTGTTGTGTAAAATGATAAAATAGTGTTAGAATGTTCATTATGATATTATTTCTTTATAGGATGAGGTACATATTTAAATACTAATGCTTAGCAACTTCTAAAACATCATTTAAATTGTAGACTTTAGCCAAAAATTATATCTCTAAATATTTTAGCTAGCATCCATGAATCTTAACTTATTAGCCGTATTACTTATGGATATCTAGAAGCAACACCCCAGTTATGTTGGTCAGAATGAAATTGTGCCTGATCTTCAAAGACACTGGTTTCTGAAACTCTGTAGATTTTTTTTTAATACGCATGTTTTTTTAAACTGTATTTCTGTAATACTTCTGGTTTTAAAAACCTTCTGTTTTTGAGTTTAGGGATCTTTAAAAATATATTATGCCATAATTATGTGCTTCTGTTTCTTCTAAATGTCTGCAAATGAAAATATAGTGTTGGGATCAAGCCATAAGGTCTAAGTAAGGAATTCGTAGAACTTGGGCCAAGGGGCCCTGTAGTTTAGTTTGTTCCTTAGCAACATAGGTAAGATCAGCATCTCAGAAAAATGTTTTTTAAACAAAGAAACAATTAAAAGTCCATGTGTCTAAGTAACTCTGTTTATACTTGTTTTCTCAGAAGAAGACCTATCAATGCATCAAGTGTCAGATGGTTTTCTACAATGAATGGGATATTCAGGTTCATGTTGCAAATCACATGATTGGTGAGTGACACTCTAAACCTTATTACAGATAGATGTTTCTTCTGCTTGTGTATATCACCATTAAACAGAGTTAAAGATGAATTAATTGTTCAACCATCATTGTTTTTCCTCGGCATGATTGATTTTTTTTTTAATTTCTGTTATTAGTCCTGATAAGGTGTTAGCACATTTTATTTTCTGCAAGGGCTAGTTTAGACTTCTGCAGAGGATTATATATCTACTGCCAGTCAAAACACAGGTGATTAACAAATTAAACTTCTAATCATTTTTGCATTATTGAAAACTAACAGGAATGGTTAATGAACTGGATGTTAGCTTTCCATAGAGTTTTAGACAGGTTTTAATTTCAGAAGTTATTATGGTAATGGCACTGTTGTGCGTTGCTTAAGCATCTTTGTATCAAAATCTAAAGTAGCGAGTTTTTGTGATAGGGAAACATAAATAATTTAAATAGCCATAAAATAGTTTTATATGTATGGTTTCAACAGCCTGGAAATAATCATGATCATAAAGATCATGTAAAGAATTCAGTGATCATTTTTTATTCCCCACCAAATTTTCCATAGATTTTAATAAAAGTAGTTTGGGGAAAGATTTCTGAAATTACTCCAGGCCATTGTTTTTAGGATTTTGCATTTATCACATGGCCTAAAACCAAAAGGATATTTTTTTAACTTATTCATATTGTCCCATTATTTCTTAATTCCTCATGGATTACTGCCTATGTTTTTTAATTTGATAAGCATTTAGTAATAACACTAAACGTTTTACCAGCCAGTTAAACTTTATCAAGCAGATCATTTTTCTACTAGTACAATGACAATTGCTATTACTTTATGCTATTTTTGTTACTCATTTATGTTTTTTATACTATGAGTTTTCTATTTCATACTCACTTCATGGTATTTCATAATACCATAAATAATTATAATATTTAAAAAGTCAAATTAACCTCATACTCTCCTACTATGAAACTCTGTAAGACAGGAAAGAAAATTCAACAGTTTAGACTATGAACTTGTTTTCAGGGGGGAATAAGTTTGATTGTATACTAATTAGAAATATTCTAAGAATGCTTAGTGGAAGGTTGTTCCCCTGTCATTTCTGATCATTAAAGCTATAACAAAACTTCAATTTTTCTTATATAAATTAATGAAGATAAATTCAAAAGCATGTTGGAAAATTGATTGATAATTTTTCAATAGGATGTGCTTTATAGTTTTCAAATGATAGGTCTTCTGGGGGGTTGTTGCTTATAAATGACTAAGAGCTTATTTGTGCAAAATGGAACTTATACATAACAGCTAAAATATTGATCAATTCATCTCTGTATTTTCCAGATTTAAGTATTAATATTATTCGTGATTTCTCATATATTAAATAGTATATCCTTCAATGTGACAATAGCGTTGACAGCTTTAGTGAGTGATTAGAAGATAATGGCAAAATGTAGGAGAGATTCAAATGTTTCCTTGCAATTCCCTTCTGTTTGAGATTGTAAAAAATACCTTATATAAACTTTTAAAACAGCTTTTTAGAGGAGAGGAGCAGCTTAGAAAAAATGAATTCCTGCCAAATGATAAATGTTAATATTTCCCGTCTCTTTATTTCTTGAGTAGACTGTGTTGGTGGCAGTCATTCATGATTCTACCTCATGCTGCACTTTTAGATAGGCTTGAATGAAGGCAGTTCTTAGAAGTCTGCAGTTTATGGGAAATTCAGTGAAATTTTGTGGTCATGCTTCTCATTAGTTCTATTCAATGTAAACTTACTTTTGTTTCTGGATTTATTATTTGTCCCAGTACATAGATGAATATGTTGAATATATTTTCACCACAATGTTAATACTCTTTTGCACATTTAGAATTTCAATTGAATGTTCAGCATAACAGGACTTTTTGATTTTCCAATTTTAGTATCATTTTGCCTATAAACATTAATCAGTTTGTTTTGTCTTCTTTTTAAATTGCTTTATATCATTCCTATTTGTATTTATTTTATATTCCTTGCATCATTAGTGCTTTCCCAAGGCTTTTTCCCTTCTACCTTATAGTGGATTAATAAGACACTTACCTCTTGGGACCTGAGCATTTAACAATTCACCTTTCATCAGAGAAGCACATTCCATTCCTTTTCACAGAGGGTCTAGTTATTTAATATTCATGCCATTTTTAATAATAAAAATATGTAATTCTCTTGCACTTGAGGCCTAAACAAATGAGTAGCATCCATTTAATTGTTTTATTTGTTGACCATGCATCCAAGTCCTTACACCCTATTTGTGCTGTTAGTATCTAGAGAGAATGCAAAAACCAAGGGAGTCACAAAGGCTAAGATACCCCTTTTTAGAATTCCAATGTGCTATTTAGTCTTTCAAATGATGCAGGCTGCATTATTTTGTTAGCTAAAATACCTCCATTGAGGGTAGGTATTTTTAGGTTGTGTATCTGTGTGTGGTTTTTTTTTTTTGTCTAATCAAAAAATAATCTCAACTAGACATTTAATAGAGGAAGGGGGATTAGGGACTATCTGAAAAGCCTCTTACTCCTTTTGTTAAGAGGGTATATAGTGTTTTTGCAGATTTTGTTTTACATTTCAATCAATGTAGAGGAAGGATTATGTCACCTGATGGAAAACAAGATCTACAGATGACCCAATGAGGTGTAACTTTAAATTCCTTCTTTACTCAAGTCATTTGCATTTGCTCCTGTGGCACCTATGTTTGTGTGCAATCTCAGTGTCAAGCAACCGCCACACATCTTTCTGGATGTGCTGGTCTCAGGCTGTTGGCCAGGGACATTTGTGAAAGGGAAATCACCAATGTTTCTACCAGGTACATACCAGAGGTGCTCTTCTTAAGTGCAGTTTTGCAGCAAGGTGTGGACACATGGTCTGAGTTGCGAGAATAATTACTCGATAAAAATGCACTAGGGAATTGACTTATGTCTATTAAGGAAAAAAAGAAAACCTCCCTCTTCACCACATTTTGACAGAGTTTCAGTATGAAATCAGACCAGTGACTATTCAGGGGTTTCTTTTCTTCTTTACACACACGCAAAAAGAGCTACAAAACATTTTAACAGCTTTCCTGGGGAAAAGATTTCCCTCTTTTAAGATCTGTGCCAATGAGAAAATTTTTCCTCTCTTCCTTTGCTCATTTCACATAGTTTATGTTGGCTTTTGACCTGAGAATACAACAAGATACAAGTGTGTATTACGTGCTTTAATTTCCTATTCACCCTTCTCTTTTCTGAAATCAGCATAGTAAATATTTATTGTTATTTTCCTCTCTGAGCTGTCTGTTATTATTATTATTCTTTGGTATGGATTAGCAAAAATAGAGATGAAACAAGAGAATTTAAATGTGTTTAACCCAGCAAAGGGATTGCCTCATATAAAATTATGAGGCTCAACAGCATAGAGTAAATTTGTAAGTGCTCTGAATAAAGGGCTGTTAGGCATCAGATAATATAAAGAGATGACATTGCCAAGAACTATTTATGAGAAGCTTAATTTTTTCACTCTGATAATTCTTGACCAATAATTACCAGCCTCTAATTATCTATTTTAGTTAGAAAGAAATTTCGATCACTATGGAGGTTGGCATTGCAACTAGCGCATAAATCCCCAAAGAAACAAATGTGTTCCAAACAGCCACAAACAACTGTCTCATGAAACATAGTGAGCAAATTGCAAGCGGCTGGTGGTAGACAACCAGCAGTACACTCACCATCGAAGGCCAGTCAGCTTGACAAAGGAATGATCAAAGGGGAGAAATACCATTATCCTTGGAATTGATTACTATAGTTATGGACTTTGGAGGACAAGTAGTCAGGATATAGCTGTGGCCATTTCCAGGCCTCCCTTTCAAAGTTCATGGATGGAGAAAATGAATGGAATAGGTACAAGCCATTTACATAAGGATTATTTTTTAAAATATACTTAGAAATGGTTACTTAATATGTTTTATTTTTTTCATCTGACTAGAGAGACCAGTGTTGTAATGGCAAAATTGTGTCTAAGTGTCAGGATACCCCGTTTTGTAAAAGATAGGAAAATCCAGAAATAGTCACTAATAAACGTGTCCTAGATAGATCAAGTGTAATGTTAAAGCATTTTGAAGAAGCAAATATGTTTGTCTCTTAGAAAAGCAGAACTAGAATTTAGGATTTTAAAGGATAGCTAATAAGAAAATACTGATGCAAAAATACTGACTTTTTATTTATATCTCTAATAAATACTCGGTATTTTATAGATAATCACGATTTTCAAAAAATCAGAAAAAGATTAAGCTCTCTCCAGCATATGTAGGAAGATACGTACTCTATGTGTTGTGTTACACATGATATATATCACTGATGTCAAGGCATAAAGAATGAGTAAATCCGTTCTTAACAGTGTGGTGAAATTTTAGTCTGTTCTTGTGGCAGGTGGCATTCATACTTCCTGCAATTTGTTTGGTGCCCAAGGTCACAAATGGCATTCTTTTCCTTTCATTTCTTTAGTGGGTGGTGTACTATGTGACTAATCTTCATTATTGTTTTGCGACTTTCAGTATCACCTCTGAAGCATTTCAGCTTGAGTGCACTTGCTTTAGAAAAGACTAAAACCAGTATTTTGAGGTTCATAGTAGTTTAGGATTTTATGTCCTAAGGGAAAATATCCAAATATATGGATCTTTGCATAGGAAGAGAAAGGTCCATGTCTCCCTTTAAACTCTTGCTTTCACCGACTGGTTTCAAAAGAATGAATAGAAATGGATCAACAATAATGCCTATATGTGTGGCTATACATATGTGTTTATAATCTCCATGCTATCCTAAGAAGCTCAAAATCACTGAGATTTTTTGGAACCTTGATTTACATTCATTCTAAATGAGAAGATGACTGAACCCTTTTTTAAAAAAAATCCTTATTTGATTGCTTACAAAATTCAGAGAATTAAGAAACAAGCATTTGGTGTTAAATATGATAAAACACTGGCTTATTTCATCAAGAGCTGGATTAAAAAAGATGAAATCTGGGCAGTTTAATGGTAACAGAAAGCTACCCTCATGTGGGCAATGCTGGCTTATTTGAAAAGCCCATAAAGGGTTTCTACATGGACCATACAAAAGGGATACTTTCTCTTTAATAGCCATCTGTACAGGAGAGATGAGAAGTGGGCCAGGTCATCTCTCCTCAGCTGTCATGATATTAACGTAGGTAATGGAGCAAGCTGGGCGTTCTGCTGGGTGTTGTTTTTCATAGATGTTCATCGATTTACACAGATAATTCTATTTATTTCTTAGAGTTGGTCCAAGTGAACCAGGCAGAATAACAAACACCAAAGCATTTCAAATGACTTTATCTTTGTTTATAACGTAACTTTTGTCTAAAAAATTGTGTCACACCTACTGTGCAGATGGCTGCATGATTTGTAAACCAGCCAAAACATTTAAACAAATGTGTGATCTGGGGATAGATTAAATAAAGGATAAAATGGAGTGTGGGCCACAAATTCTAATAATCAGATGATTTTAAGTTGTGTGCAGTGTGGAGTGATGGTCACAGAGATAGCAGGGAACGCTTGCCAATGACAGCAAGGTGCCTTATAGATCTCAGGATGGAGCCTGTGGCCTGGTAGGCCTCAGTTTGAGAACCGCACATTTGCTGTACAGCTGGCAGCTCTGTATGGGGACATCAGATAAAACTTACGTAAAATGAAGTGTTATTGCTTAGTATGAAATTGTTCAGAGAGGGAATTTGCAGACAGTAACTGAAAACAGAATTCATGGTACCAATGAAGCAGACTGTAAATATGAAGAGGGTTTAATTATCTCCACAATTTAGCAAAAATTCAGGATGTATTTAGAAAGGACATACGCGGGCATAAATATAACATAGCTGTACTGCTTACCAAGTGCAAAGAGGGGGCCACAGGAACGTACCAAGGCTCCATATGATCAGCCTTCCTAAAAACAAAGACAATTTAAAAGAAACTCAAAGAAAAATGACTTCTTGGAGGAAGGCAGAGTTTTTAAGAGCTCATCGTGATTCTTTGGATTCTCATTTCTTAAGGAACCTGGGATAAAGTCTTCAGGTCTGTCACTCAATTTCAGGGTTAAGCTATTAAAAGACAAATCATGTGTTTTAGCTTGCGTCTAGCAGCTTTGATTTACAAGAATAAAAAATACTGGCAGTTAGTGTACTTTTTAATTTATAAACCCCAAAGATAGCGTGCTAGACATTTCTTATGATGTTAATTTTCTGTGAGGCTGAGGATTGTGGCTGAGGCCATAGATCGAAGATTCAGTGTCTTATTACTCTTTAGAACACACTGCCCCTAAAGGGGCCTCAGAAAAATGTTGTTCTCAAGGAGAATTACTGGATGCCACCCTGTCGTCCTAGGCTCAGCACAGAGACGCTAGGAAGAGAGGCCCTACCAGTTGGTTACGGCCATGTGACTGGCTGACATACAATGGCAGGGCTTCTGGACCTCATTTTGTCCTCACCTTTGACTTCCGGTAGAATGTATCACTAATGTATCGGTTTTTCACTCACTCTTTGATATGTTCCTTATCAGATGTGGGTATCTGTTTCTGAATGAAGCTTGCAAAGCATTTCCGAATGGAGGGCACTAAAAGTCATCAGTAATACCTAAAAAGATATAGATCCCTGCACAGTCATGCTTGCCCATGCACACACACACATCGTGACCTATTTCCACAGAATCCGTTCACACACATCAAAGGAAAAGGTCTCTGATGACCTATTTCCATAGGTTATTTCCTAGTTTCAGGGCCATTAATAGCAGTAAACAAAGGAAAGGGAGCCAATATGGAGAGTGGGTGTCGAACTTCAGCTGCTCATATTGTTGCATTTGGTGAGCTGATGGGGTTTCGTAGGTCACCTTTAGAATTATGCCTATGACAGCAGTAGCTACCTGCCAAGATTGCAAGGTATCTCACAGCTCTCAGGATGGCGCCTGTGGCCCGGTAGGCCTCAGTTGGAGGGGTACACATTTGCTGTACAGCTGGCAGCTCTGTATGGGGCAGCCGTGTGGGCTGTTAGGGAGCTGGAAAGGAGACAAGCATGAAATTTCTTCTAACCCCAACTCTGTTTTTCTGTACTGTTGGCTGCTTCTCAGTTCCTTGACAAAAAAACCAATCAGGCACCCTTTAATCCGCCTGTGATTACCACTGGTATAAAAAGAGAAGCATAATGAGGAAAAATGCCTCGTTTTGTTGCCTTCAAAAGCCAACAAATTGGAGTTAACTTGACAGGAAGTGGCTTAATAATTAGATTATTTATTTATTCCTGACACATATCCCCCTGTTACTAGTCTCAGGAGACCCTGTAGATGGTACGATTTTCAAGCTGCCATTACTTCGCTGTCTTCTGTGAACAAAGAAGCTACTGTCTATCAGTCAATTAAATGCAGTCTTTAAGCAGAGGCTGCGAAGTCCTCAATGGAGAGAGCCCTGGGACATTGTGGCTGATGATTCCTTTCTCTGTACTGTACATCACACTCTCAACTGCAGTCCCCACAGAGATGGAATAAAGTCATGCATTAAAATATCACTTGTTGATTTGTTTGCTAATGAAGAGCCATTGAAATGTTTGTGTATTTCTATGGCAAAATTGTTGATAAAAGGGCCTGCTTGCCAGCATATTTTAAGTCCATCTGCTGTGAGTGCTTATTTAAGAGTTATTAAAATTAAAGTCAACAAACAACAGAATTAAAAAAAAAAAACTCTGAGGTAACAAGCGTTTTCTTACTATTTTCATCAAATTAAGTGAATCAAGGCAGGAGAAATAGAGAAATTGTATCGTTTAAGTTCACGCTTACATTGCATTAATTCAGACACCTTGTTTTCGCTGACATAAAAATGTAAGTCTTCCTCAGAGTTTTGGGGAACTACATCTTTTAAGTATGAAAAGAGATTACAGTCTCTTTTCACACTTTAAGAAAATAATATTCTTTAGGAAAATAATGTTCTTTAGGAAAATAATGTGCTTAGAAATTTTACTTTTTTCTTTAAGATGAATGGCATTTTTCTAGCGGTTTATCTAACTTAAAGAGCACTTGTACAAGATTTTCCACAGAGCACAGTGAGGCTTTTTAAACCAAACTAATAAAACGCCTGTGAGACGTACATATCAGACACAATCTTGCAGCCACATGGAACGTACAGAAGTATGACTTTTCTTCTCCATTTGTTCCTCTTTATGTTTTCTTCTTTTTCTTTCTTTTTCTTTTTTTTTTTTTTTTTAGCATTACTTTATTTCCATGTAAGTAAGTGGTGGGTGACATTTCTACTAGACAAGGTTTTTATCTCTTAATTCATCAACCTAGTACCATGGAGTGTTCACTGTGTATAAAGCATGTCTTCACTGGAGTTCTCTGGGCTTCTATTAATTGGCTTTATATTTTAAGAGTACATCTGTTATTGAGCTGAAGGTCTGGAGGTGGAAGACTTGGATAATATTCTGACAGCTCTCTGATGAAATATTTAGCTATCGGTCTGTTATTTAAAGGGATAAATTTGGAATATTAAACAGAGGCCACTGAACTTTGAAAAGAGTTCCTTCATTTCATCAGACTTTGTAAAGAGTAAGTAAGGCTTTAACTATAGTTTTCATGATTACCTGACAACATGCTGTAAAGAATTAATTCAAGCCGTCATCAGATGGCTGTATTTCTTATTTCTACCCTGTTATTCCAAGTCATTTTGTTAGAAAAAGCTTAGATACTCGGAGGTGTTCTATAATACAAATGAATTTGAAACCCTTTCATTAATTGGTGATTAATATATTTCAGGATTAGTTTAAGCAGGGCTCTACCTCCTGCCCAGTCAAGTATGTTCTGGTTAATATCCAATTATCTGCACCTTCGTAGTTATTATGTCTTAATATTTCAGATATGATAACCAGAAACTTGAGAGTAATGCTAATGAGAAGCATAGAGCAAGAATTAACCAATGACATACTCAGTGATCCTTGGTGAGGAGAGAATCTCTTTTTTTCCCCATAACACATTGCCTCGGCATCTTTTGAGCACTGACTGAAAAGTAAGACTTTCAATTACAGCAGACAAAAATTAGAAAAATCAGTCGTTCTCTCTTTTCAGTCATATTAACCTGAATTTACAGTGTTATGTTTACCTAAAAACATTATTTCAGTTCATTTTATGAGGGATAAAAATAGAAAACGGAGAGCCTGTTTATATTGTCCAAACAGGAAACATCATATTCTTTATCTTTTCCTTTTAGCAAAGCCACAAGTTGTTACACTCTCAAAGGATGTTTTAATCCAGATTAATTTGGGATCCCTGTAATATTTCACTAAGGAAAAACTTTTTCCTGCTACCTCTTCTTCCGTTTCTCCCCAAATTTAGCACCATGCTGCGTTCAGGTTTCACCTCTGTTTATTTATTTATTTTTTTTACAGGTCAATTCACTTTTGAACAATCTGACTTAGCTCCCACAACCGTGCCTGTTAGGGTGGGATGCACTGCTTCTAACCATGTAGCTTTAAATAGTGACTTTGTGCATTGCCCCTTTATATGCTGTATTGTAATGAAGCAACATCAGTAAATTGCAGTGAAGGGTGATTGTTGCACAGGGATGACAACTACACCTTGGGGTCCATTTGCACCAGATTATTCTTTTTATTGTTATTATTACTTCCCATCTTCTTTACTCTCTTGCTGCCGAACTTACTGTTGGCGACCGGTACAACACAGAGGGCATCTTGAGGAACACTGCAGACATCATTTTTTTCTCTTATGCACATACCAATCACCATTCAATTCCAAAACCAGAGACCCTGGGTGGTTTTGCAGTTCTTTATCGATGCCTCTTTACTTTGTTGACTTCATTTACAATGTCTCTCCTCTTCATCTTCTTAAAAGAACAAATTTACTGTAAATAAAAGTGAGACATTTCTTTTCACCCATTTTGTATAGATGTTATAAATCTGTAGTCAAAATGGTCAACTATTGCCCATCCTAATTTGTCCCTTTCCCCAAAGAGGTTTAATAATTCATTTTAAAATAGAGGTCTAGATGGGATTACTTCTTAAAGAAAAGATTTGTATTTTCAATATCTTTTTAGGTTTGCTTAAGACATAGATAAAATCATTATGAATATTGTATACACTAGTTGTTTTCTTTACAAAATAGCCTGTTTCCCGCCCCTGGTCTACTGTTTTTACCCAGTAACTAATAGCAAAATAATGTGGATTGAAGTCAGAGATTCTGCACTGTTATTGAACAGAATTGTGAACAAGCTTTTAACCAAGGGATAATTAGATGTGTATTTAGGGGCACTATTACTCCTTTTGTTGTCATAATTTTAGTACCTGTGTCCATTTATTTTCAAATTGTTAGTGCAGCTGTTGTTTTGTTTTTCTCTCTCTGAGGCTGGGCTGTTGCGCAGCATTCAAACTAAAATCTAGGATTAAAACTGACACACCTTCAATAGAACTATCAAGTCTTTTAAAACTGGTTGGCCGGTGACGCCAGTCCCACGCTATTCAACCACACACACTTCCAATTGTGGGCCAAAGAGCATTGATTTTTAGCTGTCATTTCTAGTGCACATACTGTAGAATTGAAATTTAAACCTTAATCCACTCAGTAATGCAATTAATTTTTAATGTGCAGTAATACTAATTGAAATAGCCTGAATTTAGTAAGTCACCACAAGACATTTTCAAAAGCAAGAGTCTCCACTGAGAACTGGGAGGACAGATAATCATTGTTACAGTGTTTACAGAATAAATGTGAACTCTGCAGACCTCCAGTAGAAAGGGGGTTTTCTTTAAATTAGTCTATATTATATCTCTTCGAGAAAAATACATCGTCAAAGAGAATTCCTACTTTCTATCTACTGTAACAGGTTAAAATATGCTATTAACTTATTTAAAAGGCATAATTGTAGTTAGAAATATTTTAATGTATACAAAATAATATTCACACTTTTTTTAAAAAAAAGCAATTATGAGTAGGTGCAAATGAAGTCACCTGCCAACAATGTCATGGTCAGGCAAGAGTCTCAGTGGGTAATTTCCTTATATAATTATGTTTTTTGAGATATTATTTCCAGATTCAATGAATATGTGTGCTGTATCAGCTGTCTATAAATCTGTTGCCTTGTTTTGATGTATTTTTGGTGAACCAAAAAATATACCATCCCCTATCTGTTTCAAAGCTATGTTCCTTTAGCTTTTACATATTATTTCAAAATGGCCTTTTAAATGTTTTGTGAAGCTCTTTTTTTCCCTTGCCATAGTAAAGCAAATTTTGAACAGTAAAATCAAATAGGTTTTCAGTCATTTCTACACTAAAAAGGTTCTCTAACCACATTTATCTGCTAGTAAATGAGGACTTTTTAAAATGCATCTGTTCTGCTGATGAATGGGCTTGCGGAGTGTTTCAAACGAGCACCAGCATTAAGTTGAAGAAGGCAAACCCTGTATATCATGCTTTCATGGCTCTCACATTATACTATTTAATATGCCGATAGTACTGTTAAATATTTAGCAAAGTTCCCTTATAACCCTACCATCTATTCAAATGGGATTTTAAGACATTTTTGCAGCACATAAGTAAAAATGATGCTGGAGAACTGGAGGCAGTTGTAGCATGGCTTATTTTCTAAATGAAGTGTAGGGTAACGTGGTACAAATGAGTTCAACAGATTCACACCTACTGAATACCTCAACCAATTTACATTCTTTGGATTAAAGGTTCAAACTGGCTTTCATTTTGTCACTAAGTCAAAGTGCTGTTAGCATTAATTACATAGAGTACTAACTTGACATTATAGCATGTTAGTAAGAAGACCTGAATTGTGATTATTTTAAGCTGTCCTAACATCAATTGAGCTTTATAATAAGTATTTCCATTTTTTTTAACTGAGTAGGGGAAGGGGAAGAAAGAGAGATGAGGGGAAATCGATTTATAGTCCATTCATAGCATATTATCAAATCAAATTAGGATATAGTATATTGAATCTTTTCAGCCTTTAATTTGGGTATGCTGGAGCAAATAATGAGTATTAGACAGATATTGTTGTACACATGGATAATGCATAATGGATCACCTTTATCAGTTTTTCTTATAATATTTGATAGTTATTACCCAAATAACAGTAATTATTCTTTTAATCTGGAGTGAAAATTGGTATCTAGGAGCCTTAGGCAAAAATATTGCCAGTAAATATGATGCTGACTTCATTACTGTCATCACGTTGGTAGGTTTGAATTCACATTTAAACCTTTCCATGCTTATCAGTATAATTAGTTTTGAAGGTGTAAAGGTAAAGACTGGTCGTTTGTTCAGATTTATATGAAATGTGTGTTTGACTCTTCTAGAAGCCTGTTTGCTAGACTCTAATTTTCATCCTATTTTATATGCAGCCAGTGACCACAGTATTCATTCAAACTGCACAGAGACACATCTCATCTGTAAAACACGGCTTGCTGATCTTATTTGCTATTTGTATTCTCATAAGAAGAAACATAGGTTTCATTATGATGCAGTGGAAGTACATTTTGTTTTGAGATTACGTATATCACATATATGTTCATACCAAGAATTTTATAATAAAGAATGAATAAAGGAGATAGCTTTAAGTATACATGAAGGAAAAGGGAAGGGAAGCGAAATGGGCGTCACATATAGGTGTGTTTAATATGCAATGCTTGATGTATGTTGACCTCAGGTTACAAGAGTAGAAAATCCCATTTTCCAGCTTGTTTCAAATATAGTAAAAATGCTGCTTCAGTTGCTTTATGCTACTCACATTGGGGAAGGTGCTTATACTGTGATAATTATCATCAAGGAATATTAATGCGTTCAGCATTTGTAACCCAAAAACTCATTATAGCTTAAGCTGTGCATCATCTGTGAAGAGAGAACTTTGCCAGAATTTGCTCTTCACAGGGGTTGCCTCCTGCTTGCTGCGGAGTGGTCAGAGTACTGCAAGAGGTCACTTAGGCTATTTTTGAAAGCTGAAGTTTTGCAATTTTTGAATCACTACCTTCTGTCCAAAGAGCATATCATTCTTGCCTCAAAATGTCCTTCTTCTAATTGAATGCATGGTAAAATGCAAAATATAATAATAATAAATAAATAAATAAGAGGTAACTGTATCTCATTATGTAGAATTCAAGAAGGTCAGCATATGTATTCCATATCAAGATAATTGAAGTATTGGTGTCTTCTCTTCTGTCATGGAGCAAAGGGATTCATTTACACCAGTTTCCTTAATGCAGGTGCCCTTGGGTTTCAGAGAGAAATGCCCCCACTGGGGCTCCACATTATAGCCCTCTGGCTGGAAATTGTGTAAATAAGACTGCAGGGTCAGCCTTCCTTTTTCGGTACCAGTGTCTATAATTAGTCTGTGACGACAGTCCTTTATATGAGCCTAAAACTGTTCCTGGGATCATTCCTCATACATCTAAGACGTCTATCTAATGCATAGGTAGATATTTTTGCATGTATGTTTAAAATCATTCTCTAGGGGGATATTGACTTGATGGGAACTAGAATCTCTGGGTGTGTAAAGAATCCTATAACTTCATCTGATCAAAATAGCTGGTTAGGCAGCTCCATTATAAATTATAGGTGGTTAGTTTCCTATGAACATTGTGTCCTCACCTGTAGTGGGGCAGCTTGTTGAAAGGGAGCTGTGCGCCTGTGATGTTTTTACGTGATTAAATCCCATTATTTTTCCCCCACTGATCCATTGCTTGTCATTTCCCGTAAGTAACATTGCTCCATGCTGCATGTTATGGTTTGTGTGGGCCAGGCAGAGAGCACTAATACTGAGTTCTATCAGGCTGTCTGGCATTGCAGGACTGCTATGTTTCTGAGGTCAAATTGTGAACCTGGCCTTGCTCCTGGGAGGACTAGAAAAATATGTTTCATAACTTCCCATAGACCTAAGCGAAGAGGAAGAAGGAAAAACATGAAGCCCATAGGCTCAGTTTAGATGAGCTGAAAGGTTGGAATTTATCAAGCAGGAAAGCTGACCGTTGTGTGGGAGGCTTCCTTACTGTGAGGGATCACTGCCGTGGGTGCAGAATCAGTCCTAGCTGAGGCCTTTGGGGGATAGGGTAATCATTCAAATAGCCCAGCAGGCACAGACACACAAGCTGATAATCTGGAGTAAACCTGCTGAAATAGGGATTTACTTACCTGTTAAAATCACTTACATGAAGGAATACTGATAGAATGAGTACCACGAATTCAGGGCAGATACTGTAGGCTGCTTCACTGAAAGTAATTTATGCTGCTGCTGTTGCTGTTGTTGTTGTTGTTGTTGTTGTTTTGAATGAGGCAGAACCTTTTATTTTATGCAGCAGAGCACTAATGCCACAAAATGGATGGATTTCCTGAACCAGAGACAGGTTCTCAATCGTTTTGGGCTGGAATGCTGGCAGTATGGTGGAGAAATAGAGTAGCAGCAGATCTTCTGTAAGGATGTAAACTTAATAATCTTTATGAATTTTGAGTAACTCATAACTCCACTTCCTCACCCAAAGAAGCATTATGAAAAGATTGCTTCTAAATCCTTCAGACGTTCTCTGCACTTATGATAGATGCCATCCTCTTTACCTTGAGGCATTGGAAATAAATGTGGGGTTTTTTTTTTTTGCAAGAGATAAAAACATATACTTTAGAAGGAGCAAATTGTATTTTCATGTTTTAAGTTCACTATTTGCACTGATGTGGTGAGATCCAAATGTGAAGAATTGCTTTTGACATTATTTCTGTGTCTCCTGTATCCCAGAACCACTGCATTGTTATGCTGAAATGTACCATCACATGGGATAAATGTGATGTTGGAAACCTGGGAATAGTATGTATAATATTGCATTCTATGTCCAGGGTGCTTAGGACAATTGTAACTTCTTTAGTTACTAAAACAATTTAACTTATCTTATTAAGGATACATTATCTTATAAGGATACATTAGCTAAAACTACATGTGCATGTGTCTTTTAAGAAAAAATTATAATCTTCCAAGTGTTGTGGGTTTGTTTATGGGCAAAAAAGGGCTTTCATTTCTAAACGAAAAAGTTTTTTTAACTTTCTCTAAAAGTCTGTTTTACATAATCTGTACCTTGAACTAGCACATACTATGTTATATAGTAAACTTTAAAATACATACATCAAAGGTCTTAACTTGCATGACTGATTTCAGAATTCTAATTCAGATTTTCTGTCAGTAACTATGGTTTTCTATTTTTATGGTCCTTTTTAAAGATAAATTTTTGTCGTCTTCTTTGTGTATTTAAATGTGTGTGTGTCACATGCGTACATCTGTGTGTGGACATGTACCCACCGTCAGTCTCTTCCACCACACACTCACTGCTGCAGCACTCCGTGTCTTGTGTTTAGCGTGTTTCCAACAGCTTAGGGAGATGGTACAAAAGTGAAATGAATACTGTGGAGCTTATATTGGAGTCTGATATTTGAAAGAGAGATATTGGAAAAGGATGTTTTTTGGCTTGGCTCCTTTTATATGTAATTGCTGCTTCATTAGGACTTGGAAGAGTTTCCTGTGGTTAAATTTAATCAAATAGCTCAGAATAACAAACTTGTACACTCAAAATTCCAGGACAGTTCTCTATAAGAAGCATGGTTTTCCTAAGTTTAAAACAAACACATATACACACATGCACACACGTAAACACACACACATCACTACCACCACCAACAACTAGTTTGTAAAATGCTGTGAGTGCCATCTCAAACCTAACTCCCTATTGGTAGTGATTTAATAAATGATCATGTATAGAAGTATAAGGCATAAGAGCGAAACCCCATCTCTACTAAAAATACAAAAATTAGCCAGATGTGGTGGCATGTGTAATCCTAGCTACTCTGGAGGCTGAGGCAGGAGAATTGCTTGAACCCGGGAGGCAGAGGTTGCAGTGAGCCGAGATCACACCACTGCACTCCAGCCTGGGGGATAGAGGGAAATTCCATCCCTGCCACCACCACCAAAAAAAAAAAAAAAAAAAAAAAAAAAAAAAAAAAAAAAAAAGGAATAAAGAAAAAGAAGTATAAGTCATAAGAAATACATTTCAAAGGGTTTGGGGTTTGTTTGGTTTTGCACTTGAACAGGTGTCAAGCATTGATTCTCCTGAGCCATGATATGAGGTTGTTATCATTACTTTTGTTATACAGACAAGGAAACTGAGGCGTGAGCAGAACAGAGCTAGTGTGCATTAGTGTACGGAGAGAAACTCACACTTCTTGAATCTGTCTACATCACTTTCAGCTGGTGCAGTATTCATCTCTTCACACATGCACAAGTTGCTCACTGTGGGAGCCTGTGCTGAGGTGTTCTTAGCAATTGCTTTGCTATCATTGCATCAAAGCCTGATGTTGATGTCATTTTCTAGGCAATAAAACCTATACTTGGTTCAGATAAAATTTGATCTTTCCATTAAAAGATTTTTCCATTATATCTTTCCATTATAAGTAAAGACTTAGCCTAGGTATTCTCTTCTACTTTCTTAAAACAAACTACTTTGAAACAGCTAAGTATGCTTCTGCATCAGAATTCTTTGGCAATGGTGGGAAATGGTGGGAAATAGGCAACAAAGTGACAAAAATGGATAAATTCAGGGTAAATCGTCCTGAGTATGGGACATGGCTTTCCATAATACTAATGTGTGAATGAGCAGCATAAAAATGTTCACGTCTCTGCAAAGTAGCAAGTGGTTATGTTCATATCATTTTGAAAGCTGAGTGGATAGATTTAAATAGCAAGAGCTTTGTTCGGAATGATGTGTGGAACCCAGAATCACAGACCCTGCGATACATGAAAACATATGTGCCTCAGTCCTGTCTTAATAGCGCACATGTTGTCTAATTATTGTTAGAAATGGGAAATGGCTTGGAAACCTCCAACATTTCTAGAAGCCTCTTTCTGTAGGTATCTGTATATGAATTCACTATAGGATGATTGGAAAGGGAGTAACGCAGTTACTGCACATTCATTTAAACATGAGAAAGGAATTGACATACTATATGCAGCTTGACAATACGATTTATGATGTTCATCACAGTTTTTTTAGCAGAGTTCCTTTTGAACCACAGAGATAATTTATTAGATGCCAGAATGTGTTATTAGAGAAGGAGTAATGAAGAAGAACACTCTTTTATGTTAATACTTTTTTACATTTTGTATATGTCGCTATGTTAGGCAAAGGGAATTGAAACATGCTCTAAATTCCAGTCACAGGACAAGAACAAAATTGTGCAGGTTTCCTCCCAAAATCCACGAGGAACAATGGCCAGTAAAAAGAAAGTGCCATCTGGGTCTGGATGTGAGGTCATTGCCAACTCTTCATTGGTGCTGGTAGAAAGCTTACAATTATGATGATGCATCCTTGTTTTATAAGTGTTCTTGCAATTGGAGCTGCAAACTGATTTTAGTTTTTATTACAGACGATATTTTTGCCTAGCTAAAAAGTCTGGTCATGTAGTATATATAAGCTTCTCTAAAATGTATTTTTTAAACCAGTCCAATTAACTAGCAGCAAATTTGCTTACTAGGTGTGCATGTAGATAGCAGCCTTCTCAACTCCTGAAAAAAAAAAAAATCCTCACAAAGCAGAAAGTTTGCATTCCTGTAAGTCAGAACGGGTGTAGATTCTTTTCTTGGACATGCTTTATTTTTAAACTCCATATTAAAATCTGTAATGTGTAAGGTAAATGACACGTTTTTCCTACTCAAGTTTTCTTTGAATTCATATTTTGATTGATTTGTGTGATACCATGGGTGCCTATGAATTAGTGCAGAGGTCTCCTGCCTCCCACACCTTCCTTTCTTTGACTCTTCCTCTTAGCCAAGTGGAATTTTAAATTGGTGACTTAAAACCAAATGGTCAGCAAAAGGCTTGATCTCTTCAGTTCAGGGAAAGATACTCTCCCCTGATTTTCTTTGAGGTTCACATCTCTTCATTTAAAACCTTCCTCTGTACCTAGCAGTCATAAAATAGGGTAAGTTTAAAGTGTACAATAAAATATGAGCACTAATAAAACTAGCAGTAAAAAAAAAAATCACTGAAAGTGACATGAAATTTAGCAGGCAAGAGGTTAAAACTGTTCGCTGTGTGTAAAAATTTTACATAGTGAGGTCCTCAGATGTAGAACAGATGTAGGCAGAAGGAGAAGGGGGCTGGTAAGTGCTCAGGTCACAGCGAGTATTGGGAGTAAACACCAGGTTCCACGCCAGCGCCGAATGTTGGAGCCAGCCAGGGAGCGTGTGCTTATGAGTGTGTGCGTGCACGCGCACGTGTGCTGGTGAGCATGTGTGAGTGTCTAGAATTTTCCGGGAGCAGTTTCATCTTTGTCATTTATTCTGTAAGGAAAGCAACACCGGGGCGGCCGACTTGGGCAAGCTGGTGTAATCTGTTGCACTACGCTGCGATCCCTCGGAGCCCCTGTAGGCTTCGCTGCCAGTTGTTTGCCTGCCTCTCCTAGTGGAATTCATTTAAATTAAAGCAGTGGAATGAGGCCCAAGTCCCCAAATGCTGAGTCCCTCTCCTTCATCAGCATTCCAGCGAAGAGAGTAATTAAAGCAAAAATTAATTCTGGTGTAAGCAGAGGAGGCACAAAATAACTGATATTAGAGGCTAGATGATGAATGCCTGGCATCAAGGGAGGTCTCCTGGGAGGATAAAAGATTTCACAGAGTTTTTGCATATCACAGTTTTCTCATTATGAGACCCGACGAAGATTGCTCAGTGCATACATGATGTGTTAAAAGAGTAGGGTGAAAAGCAGACACTTGTTCACCAGATACATCTTAATTAGAGCGCTCTTTAGCAGACGGGCTTGCAAACTCTGGTGATAAATAGACTTTCGAGGGGGAGATGTAAATTTAGAGCGTTGGGGTTCTGGGAGACTTCCTGTTGTTTGTGTTGCATTATGGGGTTTATTGTGGCTCTAATTGCTGCCAGTTTATTACAGATGACACTAGGACATTGACATAAATGGAGCCATAAAAAGACTCACACGGCTATTGAAAATATGCCTGTATATAATGGAAAGCTGCATACTCATTTTGCCTCTCCTAACTGCTCCTTACAAATAAAGTCATAGCTGTATGCAGCAGTTAATCATTTTAAAACTGAGCTGTGCTGTGGTTTCTAGCTGTATTGTGTGTAAGGCATGGGCCTCATTATTTACAGGAATGGTATCATAAATGTGTAAGTCATAGAGCCTGATTTATAAACAATTCATAATTTTGTAAAGGTGGCATTTTTTTCTGCCTCTTCGAAGTCCTAGGAAACTTTCCATTTATTATTTTTAAAAGAATACTATGGCATGTCTGAATTGACCATAATACAGTAGCAAAACCGTTGATCCAAGAAGGTACAAGGTATGATAAATGGCCATTTGATTGTGTGACAGTATGCTCAATTGGTAGGGAGGGAGGTCATTTCACCACTTAAATCAAAGAATTTGTAGTCTATTAAAAGTGACATGTGAACAAGTCCAGGTATCACAAGCTTTTCAGTTTTGTAACTCAACCAATATTTATGCTGACCATCCACGTTTTCTATTCTCAAAATAACTGAGGCTCATTAACAGCAATAAGGGGAAGGAGTGACATGACATTTAAATCCTCCGGTATGACAGCTTTACAAAGTATGTGGTAGGCTCCATGCATCAGTCATATAAGCCAACCTTGCTTGAGTTGATCCATTTCAACTTTTACATTACATAGAACCCCAATGATGTATAAATAATTAGTAGAAAAACTCACATTTATAAAGTCCTAATTTTGCCATGCTGTGATACTGTTTTATCTTCATTCTCCCCAAATTTTCTGATTTCTTATTACTTCCCTGACCCCCATGGATTCCAGTGAGGTTTCCCTGAGGAGGAAAGGTCTAACCACTTATACGTCGGAGGTAGGAATGGCCCCTTCATCATGTCCTGTGACACACAGGCTATTGTGATGACTTCTTAGTTTTTGAATGCCCAACACATAATTGTAATGTACTCAAAGTCCTACCTCCCTCTTCACTTCTGTATTCCTCAGATCACCTTGGAAATTGGTGTAGAATTTCCATTAACATGTTTGCACTTAGTGATTCTTCTAGTTCATTGACAGGAATGGTAATAGTGCTGTATCATCTAATTACATTCGCTTTTACCGCTGGACCTTGGTCATGTTAATGTGGTAAGTATTTTAGGAAAAATGAGAAGACTTGTAAGTACTTAACATTTTATTGAAATTTAATTAAATAGTTAAGGGGTGATTAAAAATCTGAAATTAACACTCTTTAGAAATTAATGACAGTCATTAAGATGTAATGGGGCTGCTCACCAACAGTGCTCAGAAAGGTTGGGGGATTTAAATTTGCATGGGGGTCAGAGCAGTGAAAGATGTTGTTTATAGTCTCCTGAGCCTTGACTGCAATTTTAGAGTTGGAACGAAAGTGATTCTTTTTCTTGTTGTGTTGCCAGGATTACTGTATCTACAGTAATGGCAAGTTACATTGGGTGAGTCTGTGTGTCCACGAAGGTGGAGAGATGACCACGCTTGGCGAGCCTGTGCAGCTGCTAAGCTGCAGACCAAGCTTGCTTCTCTCAGGGCCTCCAAGGACTCCCTGAACCAATCCAAACACTCGCTGTCTCCCCCACCTGCCCTCTCAAAATAAGCAGCAGTTCATTATTTATACTAGCTTGAATCCTGGGTCCCCTTATGAGTAGAGACTAATGTTCACGTGGAATGGAGTGATATAATGTGTAACGATTTTTTGATATGAATTTCCACTCCCTGGAGACAACAGCAGCTTCACCATCACCACCTGACCAGGGTGGAGAGATCTAAAAAGCTAATATGTTGTCTCTGTGGTGGTTTCAGAGTTAGTGCTCCTCGAAAGGAAACTGTCACGGAGAAGTGTTCATCCCAAAAATGTCCTCTGATGTTTGCTTAGAAAGTAATTACTGATCTGATTTTTTGTTTTCCAGAATTCTAGAAAGGTATACATATAAGTAAGCATTCTTATTTCAAATTGATCGATGCAATAATAGTGATGTTGTTTCATTTAAAAAAAAGAATTCAAGTTGATGTGATCACTTCCAAAACATAAAAATGAATTTTTTAAAAAATATGTTAACTCTTGAGTTAATTAGTGCTCTGTATTTTCAGTCTTTCGGAAAACATACTTTTTGCCAGATAAAATGAAAGGAATGAATCTTAGATACACTTTGAGAATAATGATATTTTACAGAGTATTATTGCTGAAGTAAGGGAAGAATAGAGGAATTATTGAGTTAGATTTGAAAATTGGTTTAATAATCTGACAAAATATTTCCAGTGTTTCAAGTGGATGTTCTGTGTTAAAGAAATAGCACTGGAACATGACCCCTTTTTTCTTAAATTTTCTTTCCATTTTCCTCCTTAGTACTATTGGCTAACTTCGTTTTATATTTTTCCCATTCTGCTTTATCTCTTGTTTCCACCTGCAGCCAATTTTCAATTATTCCCCCTCATGCTAGTAAACATGGATAATCTAAAACACTTTATACAAATGATATTCATAAAAACATCCACATACTGCTGTATGATACATTTACAGATACATTTACAGCTCTTCCACCCCAAAATGAGAAGTGCACGTGGGGTGGTTGCCTTAAACAGTCAGGTGACAAGGAAACCTTTCACTCCTTACCAGAAAGCAGCCTTGGGAATGGTTGGCTACAAAGGAATTTAGCAGGGATTGGAGGGGAGAAAGGCTTGGGATGGAATGTGTGATGAGGAAAAGGTGTCCAGGTCAGAGGGATTATGCACAGTTCAAATAATGTGTGAGGATAATCAGGAAGTGACTGCATTTTGGCCTCCTTGGGGGCTCATCAAACCAGCACCTATCCCCTGATTAACCTCTGCGTTCCATCAGCCATGTAAATTAGCACAGGCCCACTAGCCCTGGGCCTGGAAGAAATCAAACTGTGGGAATGTACATATTTTAATAAAAATTGAATATGTGTCCCACAGCATCACTGTAGGACGCACTCAGATTTATCATTCTCACTGGCATCTAATGCATTATTGCTAATTATTGAATCTGGTAAATTTGGAGAAGAGTATAGAATACTTTGCGACAAGAGTTTTGTAAAACCGTTTGCGTACTTCAGTTACGTGAAGTAAAAAGCACCATGCAACTTCAGTTCCTTGGGATTTTTATTCACACAACTTTAACATGATATCTGCCTAATAGTAGAGAATTTTATATGTACAGGTGGATATTGGGTGGTGCATCCTTGAGTAAGCTTCATAATTCATGTGCAAAGCTTGGTTTGGATGATCACATATAACCCAGAAAAGATAGCTGAGACTTTAAGGGAAGATTTAGGAGTCAACGGGGTATGTTACTACAAGAATGGAAATGGAAGTAAAGGAACTCCCTTTCCATTTATATTTGAAATTTGTGTTTAGCATGTCAGCTTTCTACACATTCTCTTTCATGTCTTATCTACTCTAAAACGCATTTAGTAATGTCTATCACCACAGTACCTGGGTGCTTAGGTACTAAAAAGTGCTTTAAGAATGCAATTTGAAGACTGATAAATCAAGTCTGTTTAGCTCAGGGGAAAGAAAAGCTAAGTGGGATTTAGTAGAAGGGAATAATATTCCTAAAAGGAAATCAGTTTGATGCCAGTAAGCTTTTTGAAGTAGAAACTAATTTGAAAGCATAGAGGTCATGACTGAAATGGAGGACTCGACTGGACTATCTCATATTAGCAATTTGAGGGGAAGTTTCTTTAAACACAATAGATGGAATATAGAATAGCTTGCCAAAATCGGCAATAGAAAGAGGCTCAGTGAGCTAGTTGAATTTTTGGAAAGTACAGCATACTGGGGTAGAGCCACAAGCAGCATTTTAGAAGCTAATCCTAGGAGGCGTGAGAAATGTATTTATTGAATGTCTGATATAATTTCAGGCCTAAATGGGTGTATGGTTTTCCTCTCAATCTTCAAATGTTCTAGCATATCTATGCTGTCACTCTCTAAATTTGAACATTAATATGAAGAAGCAATTAATACTCTTTTCAATTAAAACAATTAATACATGTACTCTCCACCTCATGCCCCCTCTTCCCCCCCAAAAGAGAACTGCAGGAATCATATCATATGGTGTGTATCAACTTATATGCTGCAATACTTGAGGAGAAATAAACAATATAACACTGTTTATTACAGGGAGACAAATTACAGTTTTTGTTTCATGTGAAAAGTTTAGGGGTGGCAGCTTGACAGTAAATTCCATTAAAATCTACCCTGCCAGAGAATGCCAAGATTGTTCTTCATTCATTTTAGCATAAGGTTTAATTTTTTGCTGATTTTTAATACCAGTCAGTCATTCTTAGCATCATTGAATTAACTCTGAACCCTATATCAGTAAAGAGCCTTATGTTGCCCCATTTTATTATTACAGTGCAGTGCAGATTAGAATTGCATCTGTTAAGATTATATTGTGTATTGGATTTCAGTAGACAGAAGCACAGTAGTCTCATGAATATAACGGTTGGAGCCAATAACCTGTAACCATCACATACTTGTTCTATTGCAAAATCTGAACTAGTAAGGATTACATTTTGGAAAAGATTATAAATCTGTCACCACTAATCTAATCTTTACAGTGGCTTTGTAACCGTTTTAAGACTAACGATCATTACTTCTCTTGCTCTGATTTTAATCATAACACATATTTGATATTCCATAACTTTCTTTTGTTCCATTAGCACATGCATTATAAAGTGTACAACATTAATAAATAGAGGCATAATGAATGTGACTAATTGATTTTGGCAGTCAAAGACTGGCATACTTTTTATACAAAAGGGAATCCATTCAAAGAAGCTTAACTGCTATTGAGAGCAAGTCTTCGATGCAGTAATGGTTTCTAATTTCGATTGTGTGTGAGGTGAGCAGAATGCAGTTATTCCTAGTAACTCACCACTTAGTTTTTGTTGTTGTTTTGTTTATAATGCTCATTTATCAGATTCTCATTTCCCTAAATAAAAATTTTATGTTTCAGTCTACATATGAATTCTGTAGCACAATTATGAATGCAATTATTTTAAGTTGTCTGTCTCTCATAACTAAAGGTACATGATATAGACAGTATGCCACAGCTTATGTTTTTTGTCCCATCTAACTATATTTTCTTAACACTGACTTCTTAATACTGGAATCAGATTGTCCCAATAAATAAATCCACTGGTAGCAACTGATTTATTTGGACACAAAACAAATTTTTAACTCATAAATGCAAATGCCAAAATACAACATCTAGTAGATGTTAGTGAAAAATTAATTCCTTGAAACTCCAAGGGAGAAATAGGCCTGAATTGTATGATCAGTCTTACCTTTAAAAATGTGCATGGCCTTCAAAGCCAATTTTGCCTCCTTTATAAAATCTTTCAACACTAAATTATGTTACACGGCTACGATTTAATAGTGGACGTGAGATCAAATTGGGTGTCACTGAAGCATTAATCAACTAAGTGTCATTACAGATAGTTAACAACTCATGTGTTAAGCTTTGTCATTTGAAACCAGAGATAGTGTGTACCAACAGACTCATCACTTAGTGTAGTCAAAACTGATTTAGAGAGGATGAAGAATGACTATTGTTAAGGGTTTACAAGAACTAAAATTTATATTAAAAACAACTTTTTACTTTGCAGTCTGGCTCTACGGAAGGACAAAGATGTTGTATTTGGCTGTAATTAGGAAAAACTCTAATGGGAAGTCAGTCATTGCCAAGCACAGTGCAATTGATTTTCCACCAATCAGAATAGGGAATGAGATGCTCTAAGTCTATTATTAAATTATTTATGAAGTCATATTCAATCTGATCATTATTTCTGACATTTCAGGTTAGTGAAGATTTTCCAATCACTGTGAAGATAGGAACCAGAAGGTTGGTTTTGTGACTTGAGCATTGAACGCCGCCTTTGGTGGTTGTGCTTAAATGAGATAAGTGAGTTTTCCTTAAAAAAAAAAAAGAAAGAAAGAAAACTACTTCTATTAACATCTGCAGCTTAACTGAGGTATTGCTAGTCTTATTGACTGTAAACTCTTGTTTATGATTTGAAATCAGAATAATGTTTATTGGGAAAGAATACACCCTAGATCAGTATTATATTGTTAATAAAATGGCTGAGTAGTGACACACTTTAAGTTTCCTTCAGAAAAAGTCCTAATAAGATGCAAAAGTATTTTATAATTGCAGCATAAGTGACTCATACATACCGAAGAAAAACAGTGAAGATTTATAAGGACCTTATTAGTATAGTGAGATTAACCTTTGGATCTCTTACTCTGTTTTTCTAAACTGCTAATCCAGTTACCTTAAACATATTCCACCATCCTCCACACTCTATTCCCCACCCTCATTTCAGTATCCTAGAAGCAACTTCAGGACAATTGCTCTTCAAGAATCATGCAAATTGTAGGTCGTCATTTATTTAAAATATAAGAGATACCGATTTTACCATCTTAGATGTGTCATTTGACCTCTGGTTTTTCGTATTTATAAAGTAAAGGGATGGTATTTAATTATTTTAAACTAGTCTTTATTAAAAAAAATAGTGAAAGTAAGACAAATCTCAACACAAAAATTGCTGGCTTTGCACACAATACCCATTGTTTCATCAATGACTTGAAATTCTGGGCCTGTACCAGACCTGGACATCTGCAGTCCTGTGACAAGATGTACCTTGTATGAGCTGTCCACCCTCAGGAAGTCACTTTGTCATTCTGGGTCAGCTGTTTTATCTAGCAAGTGTGGATTGAAAATACCAGTACTGGGCACTTTCATGCAACTCTCATGAAGATCAATTCAAAAGACATGTTAAAGTTCCTTAAAAACAGTAAAGCAATAGGAAAATAATAGATGTCCAAAAATATATGTATTTTGCAAACCACTGTAGGTTCCATAGAAACTAGTGAGGCTAAATTAAGATGACCTTTTTGTTACTGAAATAGTTGGACAGTTAAAAGGGAAAGCCAAACCACCTCAAGAAGGAAAGCAAAGTATATATTCTGTCCATGGAATTATAATATAGTGCCAGGAAAATGTAGGAGGAATAATTGTGGAAACTATTACCTGTTACAGTTCCTTTTTCTGTCCCTCACACAATATGAAATACACACACACACACACACACACCCCAGACACAGAAACCAGTCATTGTAGGACCCAGTGATACAGTTTGTGTACTGAGTCTCCTGCTAAACTGAGATGATGGGTAAACTACTGCAGCTGGGAGAAATACTAACCTGCCTTCCCAGTTTACTCACACTTAGTGTCGATCAGGTCACACTGACATAGACACAGAGTGGTGTATATGTCAAGGAAGGTACTGTACGTGCCTGGAAGATATCTCAGGTAATTGGCTTGATACTTCCAGCAGGAGTCAAAAGTGTAAGGAATGTGTTCTTACTGTATTTGTAGCTCACGCAGTTTAGTGACTTTGGCACGTTCTGACTATCTCTTTTGTGGAGATAATTGTATAGATATTTAACTGTCTTCTCCCCTTCTTCCCCTATATTTAAAATCAAGGTTTTGCAGTTGTCTATTGTGGACTGCTTTTTGTTGGGAAGTCTGTGCCTCTCCTGGTATGTGTTTGGGACCGGGTGCACACTACACCTTTTCAGTTCCACAGGGATAGGACCAGATGGAAGAATTTGATTATCTAGCAGTAGAGGACCAACTGTTCAGTTGGATACAGAACCGGGAGAAAAGGGTTGAAGAGATCTAAAATGGCTGTCGTATGTGGAGCCAACAGTTTCCGAAGGGAACCAGGCAGGCACTGAGGTGTAGTAATGCAGAATCTCTTCCAAGTACCAGCTGGGGCTTTCAGGAGCCGCTATCCCCACAGCAGACACTCAGCAGGCTCCAAGCAGCTTGACTTTACCATATGTGGAACTTTTTATTCTCCACCTCGCTCCCTAGAGGGACGGGCCACAGGGACACCAGAGGCAGGTGAATTGCTCTTAATGCAGAGCACTAAATCACTGGGTTAACATGAGAAGCCTGGAGAGAGGAAATGGATCTGCAGAAGACTGACTCGGAGTCTCTTAACCTTGGAGCTATTCTGAGCACCAAAAAAGATACCGCATAATGTTTCATTAGGCTTTCACCTTGTGCATACCCTCTTTTATGCGAGTGACCTTTTCATCCTTGTACATATTTTCTAAATGCTTTTAAAAGCCATTCAATACTTCAGAATGCTAACTGTACATTTTTTATTCACACAGAATCATACCTTTAAAGTAATGAGGGAGCGGAACAGCACTGCAATCTGTGATTTGTGGGAATTTCTTGCTTTCTCTCCGTTCAGACACCCCAGTTTGACAGATGGGGCACAAAGCCACAGAGCAATCCATAACTCCAGTTTGTATCATAAATTTTTAGTCCCTCCTCCTCCACCAAATGCCTGCTTAATGGTAGCTAGAATACTCATGCAACAGTGTTGGCATGAATTGGTATAATTTGAGACATTTCTTCATATTGGCCATAGAAAAGCATTTTTTAAATAAAAAGACCAAGAAGGTTTTTGAGGTTTCAAAAATAACAAGCATCCACCTTTGTCCAAAAATAAGACAAAAATACAGATTTACTCAATATGGTCCTTCTTCAAGAATTTTGGTCAGGTAGGTTTTGTGTCTTCCAATTTTACTGGATTTATCTTATTCCTAAAACACTTCTGTCATTTTGGAGTATTTTACCTTTAGAATTAGTATTAATACTGATACCTGCCTTTAAAAATTCAGCCTATTACTGTAGAAGCACTTACATAAAACAAGTGTTTTTTGTATGTTTTAAGATTCTGTGAACTTTGGGCTGGTAAAGAGACAAGCAGCCCACAGAAATGTGGAAAATTGTGAATGTGAATCTGTAAAAATTAAAGTATACTTAAGACAGGGCTTCCAGGTGAACTTTCATGGCACCATATTGATTACCATTTGGTGACCACTTCCCTGTGAGACAGTAAGTACCCATTCAGATGAACTAGGTTCACCTGTGCTAGGAAGAGAACAATTAAACCTCACTTTCTTAAGCCTTAGGAATGTGTGCTTGGCTAAGGCTGAATCAGCAGAAAAGCAGTGATGAGAAATATATAAAGTAAAGCAAATTTAAGTTTATTATTAGTTAATGAAAAAAAGTAATCATTATTTTCCAACACTAATAGCATATTAGCTCAATAATATTGGTTAATCCATATCTTCAACAAATATTAATGTACGAACTAAATCAAATACTGCACCAGTAATCATACAGTTATAGGTGGAGTTGGACTAAACATTAATATCAATATTTAAATATGTGGCGCTGTCTTATAAAAGAAAGCTAATTCTGCCAATTGTCTAGTTATATGTTTTCTATAATAATTCATGTTAACAGAAACATGGATGTTTGTGGCATGATTTAGGGGATTGCAGGCAGAAGCAGCTATGTTCCTACATAGGAAAAGATTTGAATTATATTTTTGTATTAAAAGTCTACAAACAACAGAAAGAAGAAAGATTGACAGTGTACAATATAGTGAAGTGTATTTCTATTACGTCAGTGGGTAATGTGTGCATATGTGTCTTTATCTCTTCTTTAAAAATAATGATTTGCAATCTTTTTAATGTGCAGGCATAATGATCTAGAACCAGAAATATATCCTATGGCAAAATGATAACAAGAATCTTGTTTAAAAAAATCCAGTTAACTTCAGCCCACACATTGAGGCAAATTCTATTTATCTAGTGAATTTCAAATTTACTCAGCTACTTTGGAATTTTGAATATCGTGATAGCAATTCATTCTGTTTATGCTTCCCACTTGAGCTACAGTCAAAGGGTAGAGAATGAAGTATATAGCAACAGGTTTGATTTGTAGAAAAATCTGTACCCTGTGTCTTTTATTTCATTAAAAAGAGTAGAAAAACTTGAATGTGATGGAACAGCAGAGATTGTGTTGAGAAAGTGAGTTTTAAAGATTTTTTTCAAATCTGTATTTATAAAGGAAAACTTTAAAAAATGGATAGCACTTTTGTGTTATATGTGGACTAACCTACCTTTAAGACTTTTTGACAGGAGAGACTAGAAGCGGTTGGTGGTTTCTGGAAATAATGGCTGTAGGCTGTAACTGATGATTTAAGCCAATTAAACACACAGAGTGGTTCTTTTTGGTGTTGTTTGGCAGAAAACGATGAAATGGTGTTGCCTGATAAGGAAGAGCCCAGCGTATGTGTGATTTCTTATGCACATGTGCTAGAATCAGTGCAACTCATAAATTCAAATTACTTTTAAAAGCTGGTCATGATACATTTGCTCATTAACCATATGGAAAATGGCACTCAGGAATTTTCTACAGTGTGTTTTCAAAGAAAGAATCCAATTGCAGGCAGACATTCCTTAGTACAGTGTTTATGCAGCTGTACTTGTGATTAAATTACACCAACTCAGGCCCACATGTAGCCACAGAACTTATTACTTTGAGTACAAAGCACCTTGTAGGAGTATGAGAACTCTCATTGTGATGTTTTTTGGCCTCTTGGCCACTGTATCAAGCAAGCATCAAAAGTCATGCATGTGCTCTGAGGTCTCTGGAGAAGGAGCTGTGGGACAGAACAGAGCTGCTCACACTGTATGAGGAACTTTGACAGTCTACCGGGGGACGGTGGGATTGCTGCTGTCAGCAGTTCCAACAGCGCAAACAGTGTGAAGAAGCTTCCACAGGGATTGAATTACTGAAGACTTCTGCTCCGTGTTTTTTGGTATAATTGAGAGCACAGAGGGAGCTTGATTTCTCTGTCTTATGATTTGAAGGTGAAGACAAGAGCCTGCAGGGCTCTGTCAGAGTTATGGGCATGCTCAACCCAGACTTCAGAAAAATCTAATTCCCATAAAACCTTACAAGGCTGAATTGCTTACCTGAATATAAAAGATTTACTTTCACTGAATCATTTAACACACAACCATATTAATTGCATTTTGAAAAAGAAAAGAAGCATAGAATACAGTACAACTGAAAAACCATATGGGGTTAAAAGAGTGCTTCAGTTTAAAATGCATGTTTGAAAGTGAAACTGGTGTGTACAGATGCTCTGACATACTTAGCCACACACGAACACGAAAGTCATATCTTTCGGAAAGAGCACGACATCGGTGTTCATTATTATCTCTATTGAAAATGAATTAATACCCCTTCCTCTGTATTCTGGAGGGGCAGACCTATCCAGGTGTATTGCATTTATACTGCGCCAGTGGGTATAACTATTATTCTGATTACACAAAAACAAATAAGAGTAAAAAATGCCAGCTGGTCATCTTCTGTCACTTTCAGCATAAATAGTGAATTGAGTGCCCCCCTCCTGGGGGTGCCCAGGGAGGGGCAGCAGTGTGATCTCCTGGCACTCTAACCACCTTTTCCTTCCTTTTTCACACATAGTCTGACCCAAATGCTTCCCTTGTATGGGGAGAAGCCAACCGTGACAACTTAGTCCCAGAGCGAGGGCAAAAATCTCCTGAGATATGCTCCCAAATAGGAAAGGATAGCATTGCTATACCCGCATGCAGTTTAAATTAAACTGATAGTAACACACAGGACTACTTTGATCTTCCTAGTTTCTTTCCGTGCAAAAATGTGGTCAAAATGCATGATAAATATGAAACCTTCTTGAAATGGTAGCTTGCTGTTTGGACTCAGGTGCTGGCCTGGGAGGAAGTGTTTCATGTACAGGCTTTCTTCTTGCAAAATGAAGGTGTTCCATCTTTGACCACCACTTAACCTCATCTATTGGGGTTGGCTCTCCTGCCCTGTCACGACTACTTGGACATCTTTAGACATGCTTCCATCAGAAAGCAAGTTAACCCACTCCGGGGACAGCCCTGCAAGGCACAGAAGCTGCAGGAGTATTTACACAGTTAACCAGCATACTTTATTTAACTATTCCTACTTCAAGCTATTTGGCAGGGAAGTGGGGGGGATACCACCCTAGAACAAATACCAATTGTTAGCTTCACTTTCACATTGCCAGCAAGCAGATCTTTTCCAACTGGGAGTAATATCCTGTTAGCTATGTTTAATTCCTATTTTACCTGGGGGATTGAGAGTACCAAATGATTTCAGCTGCTCAGGCATTACATTTCGATCTGTCCTCTCCTTCTGCCCCTGTCTTTCTCACATACTCCTTCTGGGACCTTCCTATCATTTATAGTGAAAGGACAGCTTTTCTGTAAACCCAAACCAGCAGGCCCTGTTCCGAAAAGGAACCTTCTGATATGTCGCGAGGGAAAGACACACACCTACCATCCCACACACACTGTTCTACCTGTGTTTTTGGCAAAAAGCCCCCATACCTGCAACACAGCAATTCATCCTGCATCAGATCCATTTCTTTTTTTCACTTGGCAAAATGGTTTTGAGCAGGAACGTATGTGTATGTGTAACTTTTGGTTAGAGGCAGTTTACCTTTAGCCATGAAATGGGCACTGTGTACATGGTGTTACCACAGGCGTTCTGTTCCAATTGCATTGTGTCTTAACAACAAAGCCCCCCATGAAACTCAATAAAATTACCAATTTCACAGTTGATTTTCTTCCTGCTCTGCTCTGCAGCCCTCACACTCCTGGCCTGTCTCCACACACTGCAGGGGATGGTGTCGGACCAAACCAATAGCACGGTGCTAAAAAGGGGCTTGATATAAACCAGGCCAATCTTAATTCTAATTAGTGTGTCCAGCAACTTTTAAATCTTTGAGCCATCTTTGTTATAAAAAATACTGCCATCAGCTTATTATGAATAGGAAGAAGACAGTTATCTGTGTGGTTGAGATAGCACTGTTTGATTCAGGCCATACTTGCATTGCACAGAACATATGTGGATCCATTTTATTTATCATACTATGCTGAGTTTTCTCCTCTGATATTATTGACTATGCTAACTTTGATAATTTAAAATCAATCAAAGCTGTAGGACCTACGGTATATAAACCTTGGTTCATTGATTAGAAAGCAAGCATTCTAGATCTAATTCAGCTACTAACTAGCTATGCAATCCTGAATTATAGTCTCTTCTTGCCTGCATCTCTGCAAATGAAAGAGCAAAATACAGATGGAACAATGGAGAAAAATATATGCAAGTGCCATTTTATGTTGATCTTAGATTAATAGTTAAATAATGAACATATTTTAAGGCTTAGGTGAATCCAGTCTTAGCATATTAAACCCTACAGGGCTTGTTAACTACAGACAAAAAAAAAATCTAACCTAATGCCTCCTGTAAGATACAGCTTAAAAATCATGCTTAAATTGTAAGTGTCTTGTTCTGTGATTAAAATACTCCAGACACAGAGATCACTTCCTTTACTTTATTTCAATTACTGCTATTTATTCTTGTAGGAACCACATCCAACCCCAAATCCATGCCTGAGTTGGATATGAATTTTGTCACTGAAGCATCATTGGCAGTCATTTTCACTGCATTTTTACATCAAATAACAGACTGTCTGGTCTGATGGCCAAGCCCTGTTGGACTTGCTTTACAATCTCTAATGTCTTATAGAAAACATTTAAAAATGTATTGGCATGCAAGAGAAGTTTGTTGGATGATTGATTAATCAACTGAATGAATGAGTAAACTTAGATGATAATTTTGTGTGTTGCAGAAATAGATGTAGTGATGCCCTAGTTATTTAGAAACACTGAAAATTATTATAGAATTCCGTATCCATACATTATAATAATAAATTTGAAATATCA
Source organism: Homo sapiens (assembly GCF_000001405.40). Classification (NCBI taxonomy): domain Eukaryota; kingdom Metazoa; phylum Chordata; class Mammalia; order Primates; family Hominidae; genus Homo; species Homo sapiens. Next base: position 25,162,367 of record NC_000018.10, on the reverse strand, counting down.
TCTTGCTTTTATGTCCTTCAATTATTATTCTTATCTTTATTTTGTATCTTTAGTTTGATTGAACCTTATCTATTTTTGCAGTCTTCATTTGCAAGTATCTTAGAATGATAGTTATTCTCATGTATGAATGTTAAGGCCTTTTTTTCCCATCAATTCTAACTTCATTGAAACGACTATTTGTAACATTGAACATTTGATTTCAGGTTGGAACACAGTCATTGTTCTCTTCATGATCACATACAGAGGAAGGAAAATAGGTTCAGGCGAGCTAAAAGAGTGACCCAGCAATGGAGTTTCTCTTGGGAAAACATGAGTCACAGAGGAGATTTAAATTTTCTTACATTTTCTGTCCTGTACTCCACTCCCCTGAGGACTAGGAAGTTTGAAAATCCCACAGAAGGTAGTTCCCATGTGCCCAGGAACCACTGCTTGTCATGTTGTAACCCGCCATCATTGTTAATGAAGTGGTTGGGGAATTTCAGAAGTCTACCTGCTTGTCTGTCTTTTGGGCTAGAAATCAGAATATTAGTAGCAAAAAGATTGCAGTGCCCTGTTAGTCTGAAAATATTGAACAAATCACATCATTTTAGTGCTTAACCTACTCTCTGTACATTAGTCAGCTCTTTCTTGCATTAACTCAAATGACCAGCAAGCCGTTTTAAAAGTTAACGCATCAGTGTGTGATGTACATGCAGTCTTCCATTCATTCAGGAGATTCTGTGATTTTGTAAGTTTCAAATCAGCTCATTGTCTTCAAAAGAGTTTTAAGTGAAATTAAATCTAGTCATTTATATCTGTCTTCAAATAATTATTTTAGACTGTGACTAGTGGGAAGAATTGAGGAAACACACCATTTTACTTACAAACAGCCTTCATTCACAATGCTGGCCATTTCACCACACATCATGAACCTTAAAAGTAGCTGCCAACAACCATTCCCCTCCATTGTGTCCATAAAAAGTGGCATTTCTTTTTCTGGACCCCCACAGCAGCTGTCACACTTGATTTCCATGAGATTTTCTATATGTACTTCCCAAATAACGTTAATTGCCTTAGAACAACTTAAAATCCTTCATGTTGAAGGAAATGTGTCCAAACAAAACTTCCCCCAACCACCGTGTGTGTGGTATGTGTGTGTTTTAGAAAAATTATTAGTGAGCCTGCCTTCCATCAGGTGCTTTGAGGGAGAAGGAGACAAAGGGAGTGTGACGTACTAGGAGGCCTCTGGTTTGAGGTGCTCCCGTCACAAGCCTTCATAATGAGTATATTGCATATTGCCATGAGTTATCATGACTGTGACCTGCCTCAGGAGGTCTCATGCCACATCTGTATTAACAACTGCATCTGCTTCAGGGTCACCTTATTAGCTTGCCACAGCTGAGCCAGGGGCCTCAGGAGGTATCAGACTGGGTCCTCAGGGAGGCCTGGTACTTCTGCTCTCCTTAAATTCAGTTTGGTGCCCAAAATTTAACATCAGGACCTGCTGAATTTTATTTGGAATTATCTACTCTAGCATCTCTTAACAGAAAAAACACACACATATACACACACACATCCCCCTAAAAATTGTCAACCTCCCCAAATGTCATCTCTCATTCCCATTATGGCATACGGCTTGTTTGTTTCACATGAAAAGCAATGGAAATATCAGAGGAAAAGTTCTCACCTTGATTTGTTTTTCTTCTCACCACGGGAATGTACAAAGTGCTGTAAAGAACACAAAACCTAGAGAACACATATGCGCGAACTTATCTGTGGAACTTTTACTTCTAAACCTGACAACGAAGATAGTAAACAAAAATTCATCTGAATGAGTGGTGATGTGTGTGTATGTATATGTGTAATGTGTGTGTGTGTGTGCATAAGTGCAGTGTGTCCATGTATGAAAGAATCCATGAGTGAGTCTTAGCTCTTGCAACCAAATTCCTAAAAAGAGCCCTTTAATCACTTGCTTCAAATTAATCACGTAGTGTGGAATTTGGCCACATGTGCATCATTCATTCACCCTCTGGACAGTAAGAGGGACAGAGAAGCATCAGTTCACCAGGGAACATATCTAGGTCAACATCTTACAGGCAAAATTCCCAGAGTGCACTGGTGGCTGCACTGTTCTATCCTCTGACGGGCAAAAGTTTACCCGATTTCATTTTCATGACTTTTTCATTTAATGTTGCCTTGACAGTAAAGACGAATAGAGTAGTAACAAACATGCGGCTAAAATAACCCCCTGATGGCTAATCCAGATTGTGCCTAACAAAATTCCACCTTGAACCAGAAGAGTGTCCTGGCAGGTGAGTTGTCTGGTGCCTTTGCATACCCTCATCTTCCCATCTCTAGAACTTCCAAAGTATTTCCTTAAGCATTTTCTGATATGATTACAAACTAATGACACATTATTTTATGTTGGCATTTTTAAGGCTATTTTCAGCTGTCATTTGTAGAATACCTTGCACTGAGCTTAGCATGACACATATTGTCTCATTTACTCCACCCGCATAACCATGTGTACTATTATCTTGGTGTTACACTGAGAACACCAAGGCCGAAGGATGCTGAGTAGCTTGTCCAAAGCCACATATCCTGAGTCTTTCTTAGTGAGTGTAACTTTGTTGACCCCGATGTGACATTTCTAAATTTGGCACAGTGAAGTGGCCCCCTTATTCTGTCCAGCCCTATCAAGGTTCACAGCTTCTTTCCTCTCCCAAGTATTAACTGTGTAACTACCAAACTACTCTGAATTTTGCAGTGACCCACTCAATCAGTACCTAGCTGGAGGACTTTCCCTCATCATCCACAGATGTGATCGTTATTTAGTCATCAATCTTACAACCCAAAATATCTATGGTTTTTTTTTGTTAGTGTTAGTCGTTTCTCCTCTGCAGAAAGCAACACTCCTGTTTTTTACATGTTCCCTGGTTTAGATTCTTTTCTCAGCCAGTAATAGCAGAAAACTTAAACATCTGTATGTCTTTCTTTAGATCACAATTTCTTTCTACCCTGCCCCCAGGATATTCCTGGATGCTGGGGTTATCCAAACTTTGGGCAACATAGCAAATAAATGTACTGTGAAGAAAATAAAAAGAAAATTGTCATGGAAGAAACTGTTTACCTCACTTTGTAGAATACACCCCACCATGCCAAGTGAGCACAACTTAATTGATAATGATCAGCTTCTCGGTTACCTTTAACCATTTTCTTGTAACCATATCCTAAAGTTGCAGCACTTTACATTTCACTGTAAAGAAGGCTCTGAATGGGGGCAACCGGGCAAATCACTCTGATGGGCAGACTTGGATAAAGCAGTCTTCTGTGATTTTATATTCTTATTTACCTCTCACACTTTACATGTTTGCTGGATGTTTCCTTCTTTCATTTTTTTGTTTGGTAGTTTTACCTTTCTTTTTTTTTTTTTAAGATGGAGTCGCACTGTGTCGCACAGGCTGGAATGCAGTGGTGTAATCTCAGCTCACTGCAACCTCCACCTTCTGGGTTCAAGTGATTCTCCTGCCTCAGCCTCCAGAGTAGCTCTGATTACAGGCACACACCACCACACCGGCTAATTTTTTGTATTTTTAGTAGAGATGGGGTTTCACCACGTTGGCCAGGCTGGTCTTGAACGCCTGGCCTCAAGTGATCCACCTGCCTCGACCTCCCAAAGTGCTTGGGATTACAGGTGTGAGCCACCACACCCGGCTGGTATTTTTTCCTCTTCTTACCTCATTTCATTTCCTTTTCTTCTTCCTTCCCTGTGTTCTTTAGCATCCTCAACTGTTTTACAGAGTGTCTCTTTTCATGCTTTCGTGGTTTCATGGATAATAGTGTTTCCTTTTCCTTTGAAGATTTCTTCCCTAAAAATCAGAGAATAACAATATAGAGAAGTTATTCCTGTATTTCCTTTGAATAATCTGTATTTTTGATGATTATGGCCAATTGGGAAAATGCAGAATAATTAATTAAAATTTAAATTAATTAAAAAATTAATTACTCAGAACTGTAAGAGGTGGTACATTGTAGCATTTTGGAATGTTTTCTTCAAGTTTTTTCTTTCTTCAGCCTTTTAAAAAATTTATGCAAATATACATGCACATGCATATATACTTTAAATATATATATGATCTTACTATATACAATATAATATTTTAAATGGTTTCTGCTTTTCCTCCTCAAAATTAGTACATAATACACCTATCCCTTTGTCATTAAATATCTTCAAAGATATCAAGTATTTAACGAAACCACAACTATTCTATGAGATAGGTACTACTGTTATCCCCATTTTATATTAGAGAAAACTAAGCACTAAAAGGTTAAGTAGGCCAGGCGCAGTGGCTGATGCCTGTAATCCCAGCACTTTGGGAGGCCGAGGTGAGTGAATCACCTGAGGTCAGGAGTTCAAGACCAGCCTGGCCAACATAGTGAAACCCCGTCTCTACTAAAAATACAAAAAAATTAGCTGGGCATGGTGGCAGGTACCTGTAATCCCAGCTCCTCTGGAGGCTGAGGCAGGAGAATCACTAGAACCCCAGGAGACAGAGCTTGCAGTGAGCCAACACAGCACCATTGCACTCCAGCCTGGATGACAGTGCAAGACTCCGTCTCAAAAAAAAAAAAGAAGGTTTAGTAGCTTCCCCAAGGCCACACAGGTAATAGTTGGCAGGATTTGAACTGAGCAGTTTGGAAGTTCAGAGACTGGTTCTAAATCACTGAGACACAGGGACTCCTTCTTTATATTCTTTATATGCCTTAATGATTGCAAGACAGTTCCTCACACACTTGTGCCCATCTTTGCTTAAGCAATCCACTTAGACGTTTTGCACGGTCTACACTGGACACTGAATTGTTACCAACGTGTTGCTCTTCTAATAGTATTATCTCTGATTATCTCCTTAGGATAAATTCTGTGAGTAAGAAAGTAAAAGAACACTCTTAATGCTCTTCATTTGAACTTTCCCGTTTCTGATCACTGAAGTTATACTGAATCACATCTCTATCTTTGTGTGTGAATACCCATTCCTCATAAACTTGACCACACTAAATCGTAGACTTTTTTAAACAGACATTTTACATTTTAAACCCTCCATCAGATATGTAGCAACAATCTGTCATTTTAATTTTCAATTTTTTATTGTTAGTGAGATTGATTATTTGCTTTTTTTTATTTTTATTTTTGTGAGATGGAGTCTCACTCTGTCACCCAGGCTGGAGGCAGTGGTGCAATCTCGGCTCACTGCAAACTCCGCCTCCCAGGTTCAAGCGATTCTCCCACCTCAGCCCCCGGGTAGCTGGGACTGCAGGTGCCCATCACCATGCCCAGCTAGTTTTTCTGTTTTTAGTAGAGACAGGTTTTCGTCATGTTGGCCAGGCTGGTCTCGAACTCCTGGCCTCAAGTGATCTGCCCGCCTCGGCCTCTTAAAGTTCTGGGATTACAGCATGAGCCACCTTTGCCATTTCTATTTGTTGTTATTTTGGCAAGAGCTCCTTCATGCCTCATGTCCACTAAAAATTGGTTTGCTGTCTTCATATTGATTTCTAAGAACTCTTCACGTTTTAAGACTATGAGATGTTTTGTCTTTCAGAATACTATTTTCCCTTTATTTGCTATTTACCTTTTTAGTAGTGTTTAATATGCATATATTTTTCATTCTTAGGTATTTTTAAATGTAACATATAGATTTTCCATATATATGAAAAACAATTACATATATATGGGGTACTAGTAGCCTTTGCAAATTACAACAGTCATCAGATGAAGAAAATACTCTTGCCTGGATTGTATATATAGGTAATGTATAAAATTTAAGTCAAGATTTCAATGGATTAAACCAGGTCCAGTCTTTCTACTTTGCTCATTAGACTTTTTAAAGTGTATTGAAATATATATGCACATGTGTGAATTTTGCATCTCTGCTTTGAAGAGACGAATGAGCGTGAGAAAATGTTTCTTCTGAAATAAAGAACACTGATGTATAGGTTTTTATGCAGTGAAATCCCCCACACAGAATGCAAGTACCTAGAGGAAAGGCACTGTGGGAAGTTCATAGAAATGGATGCTGATGGGAACTGGACTCTCAATTTGGCTCTGCCATTCTAATTGAGTGGCATTAAACAAGTCCATTTCCCCTTATTTTTTAAAATTGTCTGTATTTAAGGTATAGAACATGATGTTACAAGATAAATACATATAGTAAAATAGTTATAATAATGGGAAAACCTAACAAATCTATCATTTCACATAGTTACCCATTTCCGCCTGCTGTGGTCAGAGCAGCTATAATCTCCTCATTTTAGCAAAAATTCTGAGTACAGTACACTATCACTAACTATAGTCCTTATGTTGTACATTAGCTCTGTTGACTAGTTCTTCCTACATATTTGCTTTATGTCCTTTAAACTTAATATCTTTCCCACTGTTTTATTCTCTATATGTTTTATTTAACCTTTTATTAAGATTACACATATAAGTGAGAATATTCAATATTTTTCTTTTTGTGCCTGGCTTATTTCATTTAGCACAATGTCCTCCTGGTTCATCCATGTTGTACAAATGGCAGGATTGCCTCCTTTTTTTAAGACTGAATAATATTCTATTGCATATATTTATACCACAGTTTATCCATTTGTTCATACATCCAAACATATATGGACAACTAATTTTGGACAAGGACACCAAAAAGACACAGTGAGGAAAGGATAGGCCTTTCCATACATGCTACTGGGAAAACCAGATTTCCATTTGCAAAAGAATGAAATTGGGCCCTTATCTTACACTGTACACAAAAATAAACTCAAAATGGATAAAAGACCTAAATGTAAGACCTAAAACCATAAAATTCCTAGAAGAAAACATTGGAGAGAAGCTCTTTGACATTGGCTTTGGTAATGATTTCTTGGATATCACACTAAAAACCCTAGGCTACCAAAACAAATATAAATAAATAGGGCTACATCAAACTAAAAAACTTCTGCAGAGCAGAAAAAAATCTGCTGTGGAAAAAAGCAACAAAATGAAAAGGGAATTGCTAGATTGGGAAAAAATATTTGCTAACTTTATATCAGAGAATGGGTCAATAGGCAAGATTAATAAAGAACTCATACAACTCAATAGGAAGAAAACATACAACCCAATTAAAAAATGGGTAAAGAACTTGAATAGATGACAGGACTTGAAGTAAACTTCCCCAAATATGATATAAAAATGGCCAACAGTTACAAGAAAGAGTGCTCAACATCACTAATCAAGGAAATGCAAATCAAAACCACTATGAGATATCACCTCACACCTGGTAGGATAGCAATTACTAAACGACAAGATATCACAAATGTTGATGAGGGTATGGAGAAAAGGAAACCCTTGTCTGTTGGTGAGAATGTAGGTTGGTGCAACCATTATAGAAAACAGTATGGATGCTCCTAAAGAAATAAAAAATAGAAGTAATATAGGACCCAGCAATCCCTCTTCTGGCCATATACCCAAAGAAAATGAAATCACCACCTCGTAAAGATATCTGCACTCCCATGTTCATTGTGCATTATTCACAATAGCCAAAATATGGAAAGAACTTAAGTCTTCATCAATGCATGAGTCATCTTATTTTTAAAGAGAAGGTGTGTACTAGACAATTTCTAAGGTCTTGTTCAGCTCACCCTTCTCTGAGTTTATCAAAAAGTGTATTTTATCACCTTTTAGCTTCTAGCTCATCTGATTTGAGTTATTTACAGGTAGATTATTTGAGTTACTTATAGGTGATTTTATTAAATTTCAGGGTATTGAAGGCTAATAAAATTTCTTCCCCCAAAGCACTTGGGATGAGGTTGGTACCTCAACTTATATTAAGAATTTGTTGATTGAGTGATTAAACTTCTGAAGTTCACTTTTGCCTATTTTGCCTCTTTTCCTTCACCCCTACCTGATGGTTCCTTAGAACCATCCCATCAGAGCTAGGTGAATGACTCAGGTATTCACCTATTTTGAGATGTCTCTGAGAAAAATCTTTTTGTCCACATTTCATGTCAGTTGGCCAACTTGTATAAACCTTGGTAATTAATTAATGGAGAAACAGCAATAGCAATTTTAGAACTGGTGTAGAGATTAGCAGCTTCGGGCCACAGCATGTTTCTAATTTAATAATGGCTTTAATAGTTGTAGAAAGGAAGCCTTTTAAGAAAAAGTTCATGTTGAATTTGGGACTTTTTTCCCCAAATAGCTTGAACCAGAATGAAATCAACAATTCTTTCCATCCAGGATACCCTCATTTTACTAATGGAATTGACTATTAGGGAAGAGTAGGTTCAGATTTGGAAGATGGTAAACCATCTGAATGGACACAGAACACAGAACTTGACACTTCCTCGTTGCTTCTTTAATCTTGTCATTGTTTCTGTGACTTCTCCTTTTGCCCTATTCCTGATTTCTTAGAACCATTGACATTAGAACTGGAAATACTCAGGATTGTATGAGGGAGATAAAGTATCTGTGCTTGTTTTGTTGTGTTCTTGATATTACGACTGGTGAACCTTTGTCGCTTCCTTTAGAACTGTGCAAAGGCATGTTGGAGAGGAGAAGGAGGAGAAGAGGAATGGGTTATAGGACAAAAGAAAAAAAAAGCAATCATGCTAAAGCCTTTGAAGTGTTAGACGATCCATCTGCCTGTTAGAGTCTGAGGCTGAATCCCTTTTTAAAATGCATCAAATGTTTGAGTGTGAAGTTCGGTCCTGACAGCATCTGTGATTCTCTGTGGAGACATCCGCAGTGCAGTTTCCCAGATGCTGTCTGTATTCACACGAGAAGAGTTTGATCCAAAGACCTAGCCAGACTGGGACCATGTGGAGTTGAAGTAGACAGGCCGTTTCAGCAAGGCCCTGTGAAGTCTCAGTAGCCAGGCCCCATAAAATCAGAGTGGGACGAGCTTGAGGCTTTTAATTCCAACCTGAAGCCATGTTGTCAAGCTTCTCATTATCCCAGTACCAGAAGGTAATAAGAGAGGGGGCAGGGTAGAACAGGCTTCCCCATGACTTCATAAATCCTGCTTGTGATGAAATGTGTATAGGCAGTGTAGGAAATAAATTTTTAATTTGAAAGCACAGATTTTTATTAGAGAGTTGTAGTATCATGATTTCCATTTACATGACCAAGTGAATTACTTAAAATATTAGTATAAATTATATGCAACTTGAAAGTTTAGCTGACCAACATTCTCCATACTGACAGCATTACGATCCACTTAGTAATAGTACTTCATGTACCAAAATACATAGTAAACACAGCCATCAGCACCATTAGAAAATATACATTTAAAACCTTAAACCTAGCTGTTTCACTATTTGTCAGTAACTATTTTATAAAGATCACAGGGTTTATGTTTTAAGACAAATATCTATACATTTTATGGTGTTTGGGGGGTATTTCGGGTCAGATTTCAGGAAGAGTAACTTCCATCCCATCGTGGCCATCCCCAAGACTCTTGTAGAAAAGCAGTAGCTCTGTAACTTTTGCATTTTATCTCTAGTAATTCCACTGTTTTCATTAATGCCAGCGAAGTATCAAAAATAGAAGACAACACGGAAGAGCAGAAAAAAAGAGATTAAATTCATTCCTCATGAAATTAAACCTGTAGCAGATCTCAGACCTATCTGCAAAACTTCAAGATGTATGTAGTCAAGAGAGTTTTCTGTGAACGGGCGTTTTTCCACTTACCATAACACAATATCATAATTTTCCGGGGTCTCCTCTCCTTTGTACCCGATGTAAAACTTTTAAAAAAATGTTAAATTTTCTCTGGCAGTAAAAATCCCTTGGTAATTGGTTAGACACTTAGGGAGGGGCATTTAGTTTTAGAGATCACTAGAGGATAGCTTTCTTTTCTTTCTTTTTTTTTTCTTTTTTTTTTTTGAGACCGAGTCTCGCTCTGTTGCCCAGGTTGGAGTGCAGTGGCACGATCTCAGCTTGCTGCAACCTCTGCCTCCTAGATTCAAGTGATTCTCCTACATCAGCCTCCCGAGTAGCTGGGACCACAGGTGTGCGCCACCACGCCAGGTTAATTTTTGTTTTTTTAGTAGAGACGGGGTTTTGCCATTTTGGCCAGGCTGGTCTCAAACTCCTGACCTCAAGTGATCCACCCGCCTCGGCCTCCCAAAGTGTTGAGATTACAGGCGTGAGCCACCATGCCCAGCCTAGAGGATAGTTTTCTAAATTGCCTTTGTAGTGTACTAAATAAATGTCTAAACAAAGGTATTCTGATCTTCCGGGTGGCTAGGGCTTCAAAAATGTGTAGAAAGATTCCACAGTGAGGGTTCATAAAAACGGTCTTTTGGGATCATTCCTCATTAATACTCTGGGAGATCTGTGTAGGCAGTGGAATGCTATGTTAGTGCTTATGCTCTCTCATGTAAAAAAATAACCATTTCAAGCCAGCATCAAGAGATCTGCCAACCCCCGTTCCATAAGAAAGGACTGGACTTTGCTTAGATCTTTTGTTCATAGAAGTCATTCATTATTTGTGCAACATGAATCCTCAAGTGAAATCCTCTTTAACTCTGATTGACAGTCTTAGCTTATTTTTGGGGGGCTTTTCTAGTATTTAAACCTGGATCCTGGGCTGTGAAAGAGAGCTGTGAGTTTCTCACTAGTCTGCTTGTCTGAACAGCAAGCTCAGATTCAACTTCTGCATGATGCCTGCCTTGACTCCTTCCTACCCTACTGCTAAGCGAGAAGCCCTAAGGGAGTGGGGTGCAGAGGGAAAGAGTTGAAAGAAACGATAAAAGTCTCGTCCAGACTACTAGCTGAACACCTAAAGACTCACCACCTCCCAAAAGAGCCTGGTCCAGTCTTCAAAGTTCTGCTTAAAGAGTGGGCCATTCAGTCAGTCAATCATTTATTCACTCAACATATCATTGGGGGTAAAAAGATAAACAGAATGTTATTTTTCTTCTAGGTGATAATAGTAACAACATAAATCATTAAAATCTGCTAAGTCACAAGGTGTTAGAAGATGACCAGAAGTGATTAAATGAACATGCCTAAGAGGGTCAAAGAAGGTTTATCAAAGAAACTTCTGAGCAGAATCTTCAATGATGAGTACAGAGTCCCAGGAAGGCCAAGGAAGAAGGATATGAATCAGAGGAAGAGTGTATCTAAAGCATGGATTTCTAAAAGATTCAGGGAGACACTCACTCCTCAGAGACCCTGTTTCCAAGCCAAGGAAGTTGGGTTTTATTTTTAGGGCGATGAAGAGGCTTTGAACAGATTTTAGTCAGGGGAGCAACATAAGACCTGGATCAGGGCCAGGTGCGGTGGCTCACACCTGTGATCCCAGCACTTTGGGAGGCCAAGGCAGAAGGATCACTTCCCAGCTACTCGGGGGCTGAGGCGGGAGGATCACTTGAGCCAAGGAGGTCAAGGCTACAGTGAGCCGTGATCACACCACTGTACTTCAGTCTGGGTGACAGAGCGAGACTCTGTCTCAAAAAAAAAAAAAAAGAAAAAAGAAAAAAAAAGAGCTGGAGCCAGCTGGAGAGTAGAATTGAAGGGGTGAGAGACCACATGGGGGGAAATATAACTAGCCCAAGAGATTTAGAGGTGGATCAGAACTAAAACCATGGGAATGGAAATGGAGAAGAAATGGAATTTAGAAATATTTAGGAGTTATGACCCAATAGATGTGAAAGATAAAAGAGAGGAAGGGATCCCAGGATACTCTGAGTCTGTGTCTGAAATTTCCATTCACTAGTCCACATGGAAAAAAGTCCTTATTCTACTATAAAGTCCTTCATGTATTTTATTGTGGCTGACATCTTCTTCTCTTGGTTTTTCTCCAAGATCAACATCCTCTGGTCTCTTCAAACACTGCTTATATGTCCTGGTTTCAAAACCATCATCACTTCTCCAACTTTGCTCCTTTAGCCTGTACTTATTTATTTATTTACCTATAATTTTTTATTTCTGTAGGTTTTAGGGAAACAGGTGGTGTTTGGTTACGTGAGTAAGTTCTTTAGGGGTGATATGTGGGATTTGGGTGCACCCATCACCGAAGCAGTATACACTGTACTCAATTTGTAGTCTTTTATCCCTCACCCACTTCCCAGCCTTACCCCCTGAGTCCCCAAAGTCCATTGTATCATTCTTATGCCTTTGCATCCTTATAGCTTAGTTCCCACTTATGAGTGAGAACATACAATGTTTGGTTTTCCATTCCTGAGTTACTGCACTGAGAATAACTGGATGGTCTCCAGTTCCATCCAAGTTGCTGTGAATGCCATTAACTTGTTTCTTTTTATTAACCTGTACTCATTTAGTTATTATCTAATATAAGCCAGGGACTTTCATTAATTGTGGGTACAAAGATATACTGAGCATATCTCAGGGAGCTCATGATCCATAGGCAGAAAGACCAAAAACAAGAATAGTTATTGCTCTCTGTTATAAAAAAGTTTTGATGGAGGTGTCTGTAGAGGGGTGGTTCTCAGAATTTTTTCTGCTCAGAGCATATCTGATATCTGTGACTGACATCATCAGCTATCATTGCTCACCCAGGTGGCAGAGTCTCATGAGCACCATTGTCTCATCTTTCATTATGGACTCTATGAGCACCCATTATGAACTACTACAAGATATGAACACCCAGAAGTGAGGCATAGCTTCACTTTAGCTGTGGCCCCCAGCTTCTTAAGAATCAGTGAAGTAAAGGTTGCAACAGAAATGTCATACAAAATTTATAGCATTCTCAATGAGAGTGCTGCCTGTGGGAATGCAGTTAACCATCTATAGATAGAACATCGGGGTGCAACAAGAGATGAGACCAGCTCTTCCATGTAACTCAGCCTTGAGTCTGGTTTAAACATGAGCCAATATAAAGGTCTCTATTAGCCATAAAATATGGGCTTCCTTTAATAAAATCATTGCCTGCACAGATATCTATGATAGTTATGACATCATAGATAATTATAAGAATATCAACCTTATATATTGGCCCCACATCTTCTGGTTATCAAAGCAAATTTACACGTGTTTTACCATTTAATACTTACTATAGGAAAGTTCTATGAGGAAAGAATCATTCTCTACCCATAACACACGCAGACTGAAAGAAGACCTACATCTATGGCTGATTCAATCGTAGCACCTTAGAAGTTACACAGTAGCACCTGTCTTCCCCTTCATACCGCATGGAGGGTCTGCCTCCTGTCTTTAAGGTTCAGCAGCTACATGGACAAAGACCTGTGCCTTAATGCTTCATCCTGTGTGCCAGAAGCAAGACAGCAGACTATATTTGGCCAGTGGACACCCTTCACTTATCTTCACCTATCAATAGTTTTAGGGATGTGGTGAAAAAAGAAAAGTCCTTTCAAATTAGGAAGACATCATGGGTACAGTTCCTCTTCTGTACATTTGTTTTATGCTCCGAGTTCATTTATGTGAGCACACTGAAAAGGGACATAACAGAAGCTGGTACTTGTATAAATAATAGATTGGTTGCTATATTTATAGCACCAAGCTATTATATTGACTAAGGAATAGTAGTCTTAAATAATTGTATCTTTTAGGCATTTCTGATGTTAAGCATTAAAATATCATGTCTTCCCAATCTCTCCTTGAGCCCTAATTTATGACAAGTGAAAAGACTTTTTTTTTTAATTCGAATGCTCTGAAAACCAATCCTTCACTGACTATGACCGAAATTTGTCACTCACAAAACACAGTTATCTTACAGTTTTGCAGCAGGTAGACCTCCCTTTGCTAGTACAGGTTCAGGGTATCTGGAAATAAACTGAACATTTTGCTGAAGGGCTTTTTAATTTCTCATAAGGATTTATCCATTGACCTAGCCTGTTTCCAGAATATTTATACTTAAAAGAAAGCAGGAAGGGAGGAATGGAGGGAAAGAAGAAGGAGAGAAGGAAAAGAACAGAACAGAAACTTTAATTTTTTTAAAACTCAATGCATAGAAATCAGTGAACATAAAATAGATGACAGATGTGAATACATAGTGACCAAAAACTTTGAACTTTATCCCATTTCCAGACCACAAGAATATCCATCCTCTGGTGAGCCTCGTATCTATACTCAATCAGGATAACTAAGAATGGCATAAATAAGTCCTGTGCAAATAATTATGTCACGTCCATTTATGCTTCACATTCATACATGCCCTACTAATTGAATCAAGTGTTTAATCCCAGGATTCATTATCTATTTCCCTATCTAAGTCTTTTTTCCCATTTATATTTAGCACCCAGCTGTCCCCTTCTCCAAATGGTCAACTGCTGTCTCATAAAAGCCTTCAGATTGGCCTCCGGAACCCCTAGCTTTGTGCAGCAATTTTCTCAGTAGGGGCCAGCTGGATCTTGGTGTGTCCCTGCTGCTGGCTTGGAATTGTTAAAGAAAGCAAGCTGCATGGAGATGGGGGTAGAACTCAGCCCTTCCTAGCAGATATTCCAGGTAGAGCCAGGCATGGTGTTCGGTCAGGACAGGGTACGGCTGCCTTTTGTAGTAGTCAGAATAAAGCAATAAAAAGATCAGTTAAAATGCTTGCTGGAAGTTATTGATAGAAAAATTCTTTCTGCACGAAAGATTATAAACAGAGTGTTATCTGAAGATGGATTTGTTTTAATTTGGCATTGATGTATTTGATACCTGGTAGGATCAAAGAAAACAGAATCAAAGGGAGAAATACAAGCAGCCCTGTTTCTCTGAATATAGGCCTCTTTTATAGATATAAAATCTCAGGACTGGAGTGCTCAAATTTATTTGTACTGATGTTTGTTTAAAGATCAATATTAAATAAATTGGTCTGGAAGCTATAGTCATAAAGCAGCTGTCGAACTAATGTAATCCCACAATGCCATTTTGTCTACTGCATGAAACCTGGTTAACTGTGTACTTCTAATAACGTGGAAATCTGTTGAAAAAGAAAATAGCTGAACCGGATTTTCTGAACTTGGACTAACCTGCAGTCAAATGTGAGGGGAATTTGGAAAATTTATAGTTTGGTCCCTTGCAAGATGGTGATTGATTCATTTTTATGGCCAAGTATTAAAGGTTCATATAACCTAAAACTTCCTTATAAAATATGTAAAAATGCCCCCTTAGACTCTATTATTACACTTCAGTATTAAAGGTAAATCTCAAGACCCTTGTTAATGACTGGTTTTGTTGAATGTTGACATTATTATTATATTTCATCTTATTGTTGGCATTTGTTGACTGATTTGTTTTTGATCATTGTCTTTGCAGTTGGCTTGTTAACTGTGAGCTGGGATGCATTGTTGTGTTTATAAACCTCAAATTTTAAAATGTTTGCCCTGCTCTGTATCCTGCAAACTTTCAGAAGAAGAAAACCAAAGCAGAAAACCCTGTGGTCGTGTATCCTATATCTGATGCCTATGTAATCATACTCCTACTATCTTTGTCACACATTTTTGAGCATCCAGTTTTGTTTTATTTACAAACACGTAAGATGTGACTCCTGCTATCAAGGAGCATAGGATATTTATACCTGTATCTAGGTATAAAGGGTTTATCACAATGTAATAAAACATGGGTAAAAAATCATATGAGAAGGATAAATTGTGAAGACAGTGGAGAGCAATGCATTTTATACCACCGAGTCATCAAGGAGGAAGAGGACTTGAACTGGGCCTTGATCTACACCACTGTTTTTTGGTTAGGGAAAGGAGAACTAAACAATGATATGGCATAATTTTCATAGACCCTAAAGAAATAGTTACGATTAACCAGGCCAAGTGGCAAGGGTTATAAAAGTGAAAAACAGTTTTTCTAATAAAGATGGGGGGCTTTTTTTGAAAAGCAGATAGTGGAGTAGCCTTTTTTCAGAGAAACCAATGTCATGGCATAAAAGATGCTCATTTTTATGTATTTTTCTCTATCCTTTCTAGTTTTCTATAGGGCTCCCTGCTTGTTTTCTTTGTTGCTAAATGCTTTTTATATATCCTAGCCCCAAAGGACACCTGGAAGGGTAGTTTTATAAATTGCTTATATGACAACTATGAGAATTAAGCAAGTCTTTTGATTTCCTGGAATTGCATATTCCTATAAATTGCTTATATGACAATTATGAGAATTAAGCAACTCTTTTGATTTCCTGAAATTTCCTGGAATTGCTTATTGTTCATTATCCACTTAGGAGGGTTAGTAAGCTCAGTGGTTAGAAAAACAGGCCTGAGTGTTAGATTAACAAGTAGCCAAAACTCTGCACTTGCTAGCTGTGTGACATGGGGCAAGTGACACAACCTTGCAAAGACTCAGTCTCCTAATCCATAAAATAGGAATAATAATAGCTAACTAATAAGGTTGTTTGAAGGTTGAAGTAAAATAATCTATTAAAAACATTAAGCACCATGCCTGGTACACAATTAAGACTTTATAAATGGTAACTGTTGTCATCATCTCTCTTTCTAAAGGTTTCCCATGTTGTCATATCCTAGAAGGCCTGAAACAGTTTCATTTCCACTTTCTAAGCACTAGGAACTATAGCGTTTTCCAGAAGAAGATTAAACACTAGAAGGGAATAAATTAGATGATATTATTAATTTGTAAAAGTGAAATCAAACCTATGGAAAAGCTGGAATTTCGAATGCTGTTTTTGTTTCTGAAGGCTCAGAGTGTGTTTTGAATAGGTAGAAGTGTAAGAAAGTATTTAGTCTTGTTAACTCTTAAACCAAGTACTTCTTAAGTCTTTTGTCCTTGCTCAAAAAGAGGTTGTTGGGCATCACAATATTGGATGTCAGGATTTGTCACTCGGGTCATTCGTGCTCAGTGACAGACCCAAGCTTAAGTCAAATGGAATATGTCTTTTGAGCACTCCTACCACTCAAATATGGATGAAGTGACATCCGATATGATGAAGTGGAAGAAGTTTGTTTTTTATTTTCATTTTGTTGATGGTTGTGGTGGTGGTGGTTGTGCCATAGGTTTTGCCACTGTTGAGAGTAAACAAAAACTATAGATCGATAACACCAAAGAGGCCTAGGAGGTTAAGTTATTTGTTTTAAAAAGTTTTAACCTTCAAGAATTCAGTACTCTCATCCTTTCAGTAATATTGATGTAAATATTTAGGGAAATTCAGGGATGTCAATAAAGAGGGGGAGAAATGGCAAAGGGAGACTGATATTTCTCTTGATGGCTAACTGGCTTTGTGTAGTTAAGAGAACACATAGTGGACAATGGCCAGAAAAGCCCTGCATGATATTGAAACCTCAGTCTGGTTACAAAAGTCAAGGTTAGCTTCAAGCACAGTATGGAAAACTATGTCCACAACCAGGGCTACAGAGATAGTTTTTTTCAGCATGAAAGGGTGCGATCTTGGAGGAGTTCCACAGACAGTCATCTGCAGCCAGCAGAGCTCTTGCATGCTGGTGAACTTACTTACATATGTGAGTCACACAAAGGGGAGAATGGAGTTCTTTGTTCCACGTCTGTGGGATAACTGAGTTTTGTATGATATAAATGGGGGCTTAGCACTGCAGTAGATATTTTCTTGGACAGCATGTAGGGACAATAGATCTTTAGCCTTTATCTTGAGATTCTAAAATCACTCTTTCCTCCTGCGTTTTCCAGTTAAGCAAAGGCTAACTTTAAAAATGTGAAGATGTTTTCATTTGAATAGTTTCAATAAATATCTGCTTTCCTCAACTTCAAGTGTTTCAGCCTTGGTTTCTTTGATTTTTTTTTTCTTTAAAGCCTTAATCATAGATAACTACATGGCAATGAGTTGCATTTCTTACCTGGGTTTGTTCTATCACTCTGGAATGTTTTAAATGTCCAAAAGTGATTTCAGTTAGCATCTTGATTTAGCATCTTTAAAAATCCATGTATATGTATCCAGTTTATATATTTCTACTTTTCTTGATAAAGATATGAAACTTAAAGTAAAATTGTAGCTGATTGTGCTGAATTATTACTCTAAGATAGATTCATCAAATCTCCCAGCTGTATAAGACAGGGCTTACTAATGAAGTTCCCTATCAAAAAGAAAAGCCTAATTTTGATTTGGCTTAGGTAATGAACTTCTTTTTCCTGGTGTGATTATCTGCATGGGGTGGCTAAAAGAGTAGCAAGAGAGAGTGCGCTCACAGAAGCATTATGCAAAATGTCTTTTGTCTCTTTTTGCTGGGATATATTAAATTTTCAATGTAGTCTATGTAATATAAAATTATGATAATGACTTTTGGCCCACTGTGAAGGCAGCTTGCTGGTCCTGAGCGTGTGTGTCTGGCTTGAGCACTAGGATACACTGTGGGAGTTGCCTTTTCTATTAACAAACCTCTAGATACCTAATGATGAATTTTCTTTCACCAAATGTTCTCCTTTTGTCTAAAATACAAGCATTTTCTAAATTGCTTTTGAGAAAAACAAGAGAGACAGAGAGGTCTATGGCACTAACAAGGGATACTGAAACAAAGCAAAGGATTCAGTTAGCATCATTCTTGTAATTATAAACCAACCAAAAGGTTGTTTCATGTACCAGTGAAAATATTTACTAGCTTATTGGTATAACTGATTGTATCACTTAGTAAGAGGACAAATTGAACAATTGCCTCATAAAATATTTCTGTTGCTTCTAGTCTTGTGAAATTTGATGGCTGAATTTATTATGGATAGTTATCGCAACTTTCTGTCTCTACAGGCCCTTCTAATTGGGGAAAACACGTTGTTTCTTTTTTAAATTTTTAAATAATAGAAATGTATAAAATAATAGAAATTTGTATTTTTGTTACTTAGCATCTTTGCTACAAGGTATCTGAAGAAAGCTTCATGAAGATAGTTACAAATACTATATATGTCATATCACTTTTAATTTTAAAATGATGGTGAACTTTAAACTGAAGGCTAGCAGTTTATTCTAAACAAAACCATCCTTGCCCAGAACAAGACCTTTTGATGGTCCTCAGAGCCAGTTTACAAGATACACAAGAAAATCTATCTCATTTACTTACACACTTCATATTTCCTTAATTTTTCATCTCTTTACTCCTGAAAGCAAACATCTACATGAAAAACAGGACTCTAACTATTGGTAGTTATATCCCCGTCTCTTACCAGCTTGACATGATAATAAATTTCTGTTTAGGCATTCACAGTTATTAGGGAAACTCCTGTGATGTCACAAAGCATAGATAAGATATTTGCTATAAAACTAGCTTTAGAGAAAATCCACTCTTTGATACTATGTTCAAAATGCTAAAAAAAAGAGTATAAATGTAGAAAATATGATAAAAAGTACATGCTGACACTAGATGTGTTATTTCAAAGTTTTGCGGAGCATCAGATGCTTATTAAGTCCTCTAGTTATGGTAGTCTGTGTCAAGGGAAGGTCAA
The DNA here is from genome assembly GCF_000001405.40 of Homo sapiens. NCBI lineage: Eukaryota > Metazoa > Chordata > Mammalia > Primates > Hominidae > Homo > Homo sapiens. The sequence continues at coordinate 25,143,034 of NC_000018.10, read as the reverse complement.
TGCCAAGTATATCTGCATATCTGTTGATAACAACATGAACATCTCTAGCAGGTGTGATTTTGTTTATAGTCAGATTAATATCTTTGGAACTGAATTACCATAACCTGTTAGAATAGTTCATTAAAATTGCTTTTAAAACCCGAACCAAAGGACACATGTGAAATAGGAATCTCTTAAATAACAGTCTCCTGAATTTTATTTCTAAAACTAATAGAAATTATCACAAAGTAGTGTTAATGAATACTTCTGCTACCTTTCTTAGATGCAAAAAATAACTTACAAAAGGGAATGTACAGGATCTATGAAAATCTAAAAAAAAAAATCAAATTTCAACATATTGGTTAAAATGTGTGGCATTTTGTAGTGAGCTGGCTCTAGTTTTTCTCTCTTCTGGGCTTGGGTTCTCAAGGTTCCATTGCTTAGATATTCTAAGACTTGGTAGCCACATCTTTTCCATGAAAGTACTATTCTCCTTGTCATCAGAAAAGAAGTCCCAAGAACTCACAAGGTAGGCAGGGAGGAAGCAGATTAAGAATTAGGTCGTGTGTTAATTAGCTGTCATTCCATTGAAGGCCACTGAGAATGAGGCCAGTTCCGATGATGTTATTTCAATCAGTTTTGTTTGGGAATGAGAAGCCATTTTTGAATCTAGACAATGCTTATGGCAATTGCTTGATCTTCTTTTTTAAAATTAATTTTAAAAGTCAGTAGTGATGCATCTGAATAACCCAGGTGCTATGCCTGGTGAGCTGCCTGAGCTTGGTAGTAGCCAGAGATGGATGAGAGAACTTGAAAGATCTAGGAAATTAGGTTGGTAAAGTCCAAACGGTGTCAGTCTGGTTTATTTGATGAGGTGCTGTGCTTCTGTGACTACTCTACTGCTGAGCCAAAAAACAGGATCCCTTTGGTCCAAGCTCATTCTTCCATATGTTCCCTTTTTGGTGTGATGGGGGAGGAGGGTGGAAACAGCCCTTTAGGAAAAACATTTAGTGTCTTAAGCTACACAAGATGATGTTTGCATAGCAGAAAGACAGTTCTTGGCAGCAAATTTTTATGTTTTTGCCCTTAATTCTGTGTCTGTGTTTTATCAGCTAAACCAGACAGGCGCAAATGAGCAAAAACTTCCTAGCGCATGGAATGTTGGAAAGTTACACTGGTCACCGACAGTCGTATGGTGATGTTTTGGAGAGCGCCATGGCTCTATAATTGGAAAACTGGGGCTTATTTTGTTTATACTCATTAGAGTATTGCCGAAAAAGCTGAGCATGGAGTAATCATTTACAAGATAACCAGGAGGGCAAGAAAGGCTTTAAATTAAAGACACCCTAACCTGTGGACAATAAACACTCTCCTGAAAACTAACCAGAAAATCCCAAGTCAGATGACCAGCCACCTTTGAGCCTCTGTAGACTACAAAGAGTGTAAATCCTGAAGTAAAAGTACACACAGGCTTCCATCTCTGGCAAAGAGCAGTAAGTTATTCGCTTCATAGAGACTTATTCAACTGAAGACTTTTCTTTACATGTAGAACCACTAAGGGAACTCTAGAACCAAATTTCCATTTTCTGTGCTCTAAGGAAGAACGGCCCCCAGGGGATGCCCTAACTTCCAAAGACTATTTCATTACCTAAGGTCTTACAAAGCATGTGGGTAGTGTGGTACTAAAAGGTATTGCATTTTCTAGCACAATTTGGCAGGACCACCACACCTTTTGTGCACATCACATATAAACAGCCAGCTTTTTTTCTTAACTTTTTTCATGAAACAAACACGTAATTTTTAATTTACTACTCAGAGGGTGCTGAGAACAAAATTCCTCTAATTCAGTCAAAACGTTTGTCCAAATAAGCTGAGGGTGCCATTTCATTAAAGCATTGTTCTGGTCACCAACAGCTGGAACCCATTGAGTTGCTGGAGGCACTTGTCATTGTTAAGCTTTCAGTTTTCTTTTCTTTCGATCTGCTTCTTGAGAGGAATCAGGTGAGGCAAGATTCTGTGTAATGGGTCTGTTTGAAGATTTCTTGAAGAAGCGAGAGTGCCTTTGGATTTGATTTTGTTCATCTTGTTGGGTAAATATCTGTGTTTCTGCTTTTTGCCGCTTAGCTTGTCTCTGAAGTAATTGAGTCCATTGAAAGCAGAATGTTAAGCAGGCCTTTGATTTTACTTCAGCCAAACCCATGTGTTTGCATCAGCGATTATTCTGTAATCTTGGCATCATCACAGTTGTATGTGCACTTTGTTTTCTACACTAAAAAATCTTCAGGAATGTAACAGGACCAATACAAATGCCCTCCCTCTCCCATTTTCCCTTGTTGGGAGCTATATCTTAAAGGAATCATTTGTCATTCTTATCAAAACGGCACTGGCCTTCTCCCCTCTGTCTCCCCATGTGTTGAAAAATGTAGCCATTATTATCCCACCCAGTTTTATGCATCTTCCAGATGATTTAACTGAACTGATGCTATGGAGGATATGCTGACTGGCACTTTTCCCATGCTTAATGTGTTAACAAAAGCCAATGGTGTCAGTTTTAACAGTTTTAGCTAAATTCCCACGACACTCTTAACAAACGCTGAAACCTCTGCCATGTCTTACCCTGACAGATTTCCTGCCGTCATTGCACACTTAAAATAAATGTCATCCCCAATCAAAAAGTTCACGTTTTCTCTGACAATATAATTTGTTACTTTGTTCCTGCTTTATCTCTTTCTTTGGCACAGAAATCTCAGCCGAGAGATGTTACTTTTCTTCATGTTGGCTGCTTTCCTTTTTGTTCTTCCAAGTATCTGAGTGGAATAAGAAAGGGAAGCTAAGAAGGGACTGCCTTTTCATTTCATTCAGGAGTAGATAGAAATTTCTGATTTGTGATTTGATGAAGCAAATTCATGTAAATGATGAGTTGATACCATGGTCTCCTTTCACCCGGTGTCTTTGTCCATTTGCGCTGCTATATACCATAAACTAGGGGCTTATAAGCAACAGAAAATTATTTCTCACAGTGCTGGAGGCTGAGAAGTTGGAGATCAAGGCACCTGCAGATTGTGTGTCTGGTGAGGGCCAGCTTCCTGCTTCATAGACAGTGGCTTGTTTCCGTGTACCTTACTTGGTGAAGGGGCAAGGAAGTTATTCGGGATTTCTTTTATAAGGGCATTAATCCCATTTGTGAGGGCTCCAATCTCAGAACCTGAAGGCCTAATACCTCCTAATACCACCACCTTCAGGGATAGGATTTAAACATATGAGTTGGGAGGGAGACATACACATTCAGTCCACTGCACTCAAAGACCTAGTGCTGTATTACTTAACACAGAGCACTTGTAGATTGAAGGAATCAAACTAGGTTCCAAAGAAAGAACTTGGACTTTGGAGTGGACCTGGGCTAGAATATTGGCTCTCTGTGTGTAATAATGGGCAGGTCAGGTAACATTTCTGGCCTTGATTGTCTTACCTGAAAAGGGCTGTAACACCTCTACTAGAGGCACTCAGCAGATGGCAGCTCTCTTCTGTGTCATACCTTTCCCAAGGGCTGTGGACTGTAAGACCAGGATATTTCCCTGGGACAGCTCTTCTGCACTGACTTTTCCTGTATGGTCTTTTGCTACAGATTCCTTTGCTCTTAAAGGCTTATTGTCTTTTTTTTTTTTTTTTTTTTTTTTTTTTTTGAGACAGAGTCTTGCTCTGTCGCCCAGGCTAGAGTGCAGTGGTGTGATCTCAGCTCCTGGATTCAACCTCTGCCTCCTGGGTTCAAGCCATTCTCCTGCTTTAGCCTCCCGAGTAGCTGGGATTACAGGTGCCTGCCACCACACCCAGCTAATTTTTTTTATTTTTAGTAGAGACGGGGTTTCACCATGTTGGCCAGGCTGGTCTTGAAATCCCAACTTCATCATCCACCCACCTCAGCCTCCCAAAGTGCTGGGATTACAGGCGTGAGCCACCGTGCCCAGCGTCTTTTTGCATTACTAACTTGGTGGAGGCACATGGAACGCTTACTCAACAACCCAACAGGCATATAGATTCTTCTTGATATAGAAAAGAGTTTGCCTTTCTTCTGCACAGAAAAATATCCCAGCAGCTAAAACCCAACCATCTTGTACAATGTCCTTACTTGCTGGACTTAACAGAGTTCCCTCCAGTGCCCTGTGGCCTGTTGAATGAGTAAGGCAGTGTTCGTGGGTAGAGCACAAGATAGGATGGGAATCACAAGGCCAGGCTCCTGCCACCAAATTGATACGTGGAAATGAGGCCAAGCCAGTTCTCTTCTCTCAACCTCAGTTCCTCAGTTTCCTTTTATGTTAAATCGGGGCATTGAATGAAATGGTCTTTAAGGCTCTTCCAGGACAAAATTATTATAATTTGAAAAGTATGAAAGATCTGTCACCTGCAACTATTATTTTTTGATCATACATTTTCTGTTCATTAGCTTTGAGATGGTCCACAGACTTCTAAGCTAATGCTTTATCGATGAAATCAGCTCCTTTCTTCCTGCTTTTCCTGAGCTCTGTCCTCCCCACCCCCACCCTCCACTCTCTTTCTCAGAGAATAAGAGGTGGCTTTCACACCAGCTGGTTAATTTCCCTGGTTTCACACTACTGTTTAATGATCCGTTTCTCGTGTGCCACCTCTCTCATCTATGGAAAGATAGGTACAAATTGTACCTATAAAAATTAGAATATTATTCAGGGTTATCTTTTTTCTTTCAAAATTTTGAACCTCAAAATAACTTTCCGATATTTGTTTTCCTTCACAAGTTCTTTGAAATATGTTGAGGTCTTTGACACCCTCTGTTTTCAGATGCTGAGAGAGTAGATGCCTTTAATATTCTCAGTTGTATTCAAAGCATAGCAGTTGAATCCCTGGGAGGTATCAGCCCTGGAACTGGACCAGAGTATGAAGCATGTGGGCAAGGTTGGGCTTGCTGGTTCCTCAGTCTCCCAGGAAGTCCTTGGTACTGTTTTGTGTCTGGTTCTACCAGCGGAGGCCCTATCCCAGTGGGTGAGGATGTCTGTGTGGAAGTCCTTACTTAAGAAAGACCTGAGAAATTGATTGCTTGTAAAATGGAGTCACTAAACAAGGGCTTACAGAAGGAGAGTTTCTGAACACCCCCATTAATAAAGACTTTTTTTGCTTTTAGTAAAACAGTGCTGCATAAAGAACGGTGGCCTTAGGATTAGGCATCCTTAGGATCAAACGCTAGCTTTGCCACTTACTAACTAACACATGGAAGTCTCTTATTTTCTCTGGGACTTGGTTCCTCAGCTGTTAAATGAAGGCGTTGGACTCGATGTCTGTCCCAGTTCTTCCCCAATGAGGTTGAGGCTCACTGCTGGGATTTAGGAAGTGTGTGTGCACACACATGTGCTCTGTCTGTCTGCTTGTCCATAAGGAAGTGCAGAATCTGGACAGGAAAAATGAAGAAGACGGACTTGATTTCCTGCTGACATTTTCCTCTGAGCCAGTCAGATCAGTCAGCTGCACTGGACTCCATGGGACCAGTCTTCATACCTGTGATTGTCTGCTTAGTGGAAGGTCTAAATGTGGTAATACAAATGAATTGGCCATTACCGGCGAGACAAATCCTGATAATACAGTTAGGAACTGTCAGAGGAATCCGCCAAAGAAACAAGAGCAAAGCTTGTAGGGGCAGCCTACTTCCAAATATCCCAGTTCTAACAGTAGAGAAACCTTTGCCCGAGGTGATACTGTGGGGCAGGGTTTGAAGGAGCCTTCTCCACCACTTATAGCTGCTGGATTGTAAAGGTTATTTTGGTTTGTGTTTTAAAAGGAAAGCTATTTGCACTCATGCCATACACTGTGGTTGTTCTTTAACACTGCTTTGGCAAGCAGAGGAGTTTTCAGGAAGGACATTAGCAAGAAGGGTTATAGATTTTGGCTGTTTTAGGAAGACGCAGTCTTTCAATTACATTTAAAAAGCACCAGAAATGGAACACTTGTTTTTATAGACGTAATCGGATTTGGACTGGACTGTGGTGTGGCGAGACTCATCCTGGGGGTTACAAGGAGACAGAGGAGGATCCTTTTGGGAGGTCAGAGGGCACAGCAGCAGGAACCAGGCCTCCCTGCCTGTGTTTTTCCCAAGGTCTCTTGTATTCCCCCAGTCCAACAACCACATTCGGCACACTCACTCACACACACATGTGGTGTCCCATTTGGTTTAACAGTTCAAATTCATATAGGAACTTTCAATTTGAAATTCAGCTCTGTGGGTGATCTTTTGGGGCGGAGAATATTTCAACATAATCTAATGGAATGAAATAATTTTCTGTTTTATTACTAGACTCCAAAACAAAGGATCTGGCGTCTGGTGCCCACACCTCTGTAATCAGTGCATGACAGGAGAGACAGCGTAGCCTAGTGATTAACTCTGGTGTCCCTGGAGTCAGGAATCCCTCTTCCCACTCCCTGCTTCTGCCCTTCTCACGTGGTCTTGGGTGAGTCATTCACCCTTTCTCAACCTGAACCTCTCCTTCTATGAAAACAATAAAACTGATCATTGATAATAATAGTAATACCTCAAAGGGCTATAGAAAGAATTCAATGAGGTCACATATGCAAAGAGCTCAGAGCAGCACCTAACAGTAATTACCCAACCCATGTTAGACATTATTGTTGTTATTATTGTTGTGTTTTTAATACTTAGCCTTTCTGACTCTTGTTTTCTTACCTGAAATGTGAAAGAGTTGAACTAGGTGATCTGAAAACTCCTCTATCTCCAAAGCTTACTAAAATATTGATGTAAAATAGGGACTATATAGAAGTATTTTAAACAAATTGGCATGAACATAATATCAACAAATCACTATGCACTTTCTGCATTAATTGCATAGAAATGAAATTTTTCTTTCCAAAGAAACTGTATATCCAGAAGAAGAAAACATTGGGAAGCCAACAACTTTTTTTATATATTATTACGAAATTTTTGGTGCATTTCTTTTAACAAAATAGCTTATTGATTTATGTGAAGGGAAAAAGGGGAATATTTCTGTCTACTTTAATTTTCTCTGATTTTTTTGTTGAGTAGCAATAATGTATTTTATCTTGTATAATCTTTCAAAAGCCTTCACGTTTTTAACAAGATCTTACAGCTGTTTATATGTTATACTGAAATATAATATTGACTAAGCTGACATATATATTAAAAAGCAACCAAGGAATAAAGGGTATTGTTTTGGTATATAAATCAAAAATAATACAGCAACTGGTCTTTCAGTGATTAAAGCTGCCTTTCCCTTTAATAACTCTCCTAAGAAACAGGAAATGTAATTTCCCTACACCTTTCCTGGGGCTCTCCAATCAGCTAGGTCCTCTGGGGGTTCCCTACTGTATATTCCTTCATCAACAAGGAGTCCCCCAAGGGGCCCACACACACTCTGTTAAAATTAGCTGTGCTCCACATTAGTGACGGGAGCTGAGTATTCCTCAGAGGGGTACACAGTTGTATGGTGCTGCTTCCTGTTTGAGCAAAATCATATCTTTAATTGCAGAGAATTTTTTTCATTACCTGTTAATTGATAAATCATGCTTGCTCCTGCTGCTGTGGCTTGTGTAGCAAACCTGGTCATGGAGCCGTCTCCAGCCCAACCCCCATCATCCTTCCAACCCAAACAAAAAGGAAAAGAAACATTATGGCCAGAGAAGGAAAACAAGCAGGTTGGATTTCTGGGCAGTAGCCTCAAGGAGTTGCATTAAAACAAAACAAAGACATACACACACACACACACACACACACACACACACGTATACATATACATGTATGTATGTGTACATATATAAAATAAGGTAAAGAAGCCATTTAAAATGTTTCTCTTTTCTTTCCCCCTCCTTTTGTCATTCTTGTCCTTTTATTCATGTTTCTAATCTGGGTAGCAAGAGGCCACTGTCTTGGCAAGAACAGTAAAAATCCTGAGTATAGTGAAATAATTTAGCTGATAATTCCCCACTGTATAATTTTCTACGCTTCCTGCTAGCTGACCTTGTGGGCTCCTGTCAAGTTGCTAAGGGAAATCCAGCAGGACTCCAGCTCAGTTCCTTTACTTTTAAGAAGTATTACAGGATAGAGTGGTGTGTTTGTGGCAGCTTAGTTATGGGGCCGTACATTCTGTGTTTGATCAAATAGCACTAAGCACCCCCTCCCCACCACTTGCTTGGATCTTCTCCTCCCACCCCTCTTTTTGTGGTAGCTGGAAGATGGAGAAATTGCTGCAAAGTGTTGAGCTGGAATCATGAGCTTGATGGATGTCATCAGAATGTGCCTGGATCCCTTGGGGCGTGGCCAGGGGAGGAGGCTGGCCAAACTGAAGACATCTAATGGAGCCTTTTATCTCAGAGATGTCAGTCTTAGTCCAGATTGGGATGGAGTGAAAAGCTGCAACCGCTGCAATAAAAATTGTTTTGGAGTTGGAACACATCACCCCCAATTCCTTGCTGTCTGAAGTCCGCTTCCCACATCCCCAGTCTTGCTGGGCTACATCAGATGCAGTTTGGGCAGGTAGTAGAAGGCAGAGTAAGCAGATGGGAATATTGTCTTTATCATAATGTTCACAGACCAGGCAAAAGTTACCCTGCTCATTAGGAATGGGACACAATACACCATTGATTTGTGTCCAAGTAATTCCCAGGTAATTATAGGCCATCGATCTAACTGAGCAGTAGCTATGGTGGTTATATTCTGCAAATCTCATGTTGCCTCACACCTGGTGACTGCAGCGCCATTACATCAAAAGATCTAGAACAGTTTCCTCCTTAAGCTTCCTTTGGCCACAGGGATGTGTGGAGACTGTGGGATGGTTCCAGAAGTCTTTAGGAAGCCTGATGACTTGTACTTGCAGCCACTCTGCAAGCCTTGTTCTTTAAAATTCCGTCTGTTAGGATACAAGAGGTAAGGCAGCTTCCTGTTTGTAGTTGCTGTTTATAGGCCGCCAGCAGTAAGACAGGAATTGCATCAGCTGGCTGGTTTTGTGTCTCAGCTGTCACCAAAAGAGTGTAGTAATATTCCTGATTAAATGTCATTACTCTGTGGCACAAAAATGGGAACACTGACATGATTTTGGATCTGTTCCTGTTAAAATTCAGCCCTAGTAGCAAATTATGTCTGCTATGGATTAAACACAGCTATTTTTGAGCTATATTCTATTGCAGGCTCAGAATTTTTATCAATAAGTCTACACATTATACCCATTGATTCCCTCAGGCCTTTAACTAAAACATTAAAAAAAAAGAGACCCTAAGTAATAGAATGTTGAAAACTATTGTTCAATCAGCAGCTGCTGTCGACTCAAAATAATGTGGTTAATGTCCTAGATTAAAATAAATTGATGATAATAAAGTTGATTTGGTAACAGGAGGTAAAACTATAGTGTGAGAAAATAAAGTTTATTTTTGTATGCATTGTTGCATATATGGATATGTTTAGATACACAGTAGTCTCCATTACCTAGGAAGAATTTATTACTTGTATCATAATTATCTTTTAGTGGCTTATATGTCTATAATCAGATGATAAATGGTTATGTGGGTGAAAGAGAAAAGAAAGTGAGGTCTTAAAGAATTTGAAAAGTCAATTCTAAGGAAATAGTCACAGATTGTTACTTCTTGCCAGAATTAAAATTACATCATTGCCAAATCTTAGCCTCAAGAAAATGAACTGTAAAACCTGCTCATTTGTCCACTTCCAGTTCCTTTAGCTGATTACAAGCTCATAGCCAGATGGGAGCAAACAGAAGTAGTGAGGGGAGACATTTGACTCTTAACCACAAATGCACGTAGAATCTATATTAGGCCATGTTAATACATTCATCTAGATTAGGATAATAAATTCAACTGCATTTGACAATACTGGTAGATGGTATTATTTATTGAACTCTACCAAGAGACCTTGAAATGGAATATATGAAGCTGCTTCCTCAATTGTAGGTACTGTGTCCACTGACCTGGCATTTAGCAGATAATGTGATATCACTGACTAAGCGGCAATTAGGAAACCTACCAAGACCGCCCATCCAACAGACCAACACACCTTTTGCTTCGGGAACTCAGCTGATGCCGCACACATGTCCTGCTGTTGAATAGGTTCCACTCTCAGATCGGGGCAGACGGTAGAATTTATGCTCCCGTTTGGCATCTGTATGTTTCCAGATCGGGGCTTTGTCTCCTCCTCTTGCTAGATAAGTTGAAACATTGACAGGCAGCGTGTTCCTTTTTCTCCCCTTTTATTACAGTAATTTATAAGATATTTTAGCTAACAGGAGAACGGCCCAAGGGGGCATTCTCATGTTAATTACCAAATGTGGGCTTGTCAAAATCAAATAGCTCCAGGAATAATGCAAGTAGCTCTGCATCATTATATTGTTTGGCCCTCAACCCAATATTAGCTACTTTTTAAAATCTGGGTTCATTAGGCTTTTAAATTTAAAAGAGGAATCACTACTGGGAGCCTTCAGAAGAATGTAAAGCACAGCCAGCAGTGCCAGAGTTTAATGTAAATGACATTAAAAAATAGTTTCATATCACATACTCAGGGAAACATAAAACAAAACAAAACAAAATTGTGCCTGAAATTAAAGTATTTATTTTTCTCTTTACTAGCAGTCTGAAATGGAAGACAGTGTTTAATAGATGATTATTTCAGGAGTGTGCAGTTGCTCATGTTTTATTCCTAAACATCCTACCATTTATTGCAGTCATCAAGTTAGTGACTCCAAGGAAATGGAAAAAGTTAGAAGTTATAAAACACTAGTCTGCTTAGAAGATACAGTAGGTGGAAATGTAGGATTCTTTGTTGAGGAGCATATCCTAAAAGTTATTCAAAGATTTGTAGTTTGTGATGAAGATCCTTTTCCCAGAAAAATGTTCCCAGTACTCCCGTTTCACACCATCACTCAAGTAGCTGCCCCTTTCATCACTGTTTTTATCTGGCTTACCTTGATAACCTCCTTTTTCTGACTTTGGGATCTCTTGTGCCTTTAAGTCCAGAATCTTGGGTAGGGAGAGGCAAATAAGTATGTGTAACTTTTAAAAAATCCTTTCTTTCTAGCTTCTGCCATGCTCTTGGCTGCATACAGGAGTAAAAGTAGATGGAATTGGCGACAATGTCAATGAAGGACATAAGTAAACAGCTGGTGATGTCAACAAGAAGTTAAAAGTAAGATTTGCTACACTAAACTACAATGTGGAATAATCCTCTGGTGTATAATCAAGAGTTCACTATATATACAAGTGAGAATTAGAGAAGTGTGAACTATTAAAATATTAACTAGAGGATATTACTATAGAGGTTGTGGTGAATCAGAGCTTGAAGATTCACCTCCCGATGTTTACTGAACAAGCATTTATTCAGCACCTACTATGTACAAGGCTCTGGGCTAGATACGAGGGATATAAAGACAAATGCAACACAGTGGTTTTCTAAAGGAGCTTGGGTCAAATTTGGCACCAGACATGCAAATGAATATTTATGTCATGATAGATATTTGTCTTAGGAAAGCTAGGTACCATGATCAACTGGAGCACAGGAAAAAGTATTTGACAAGGACTGCCTGGGAAGCTTAGGGGACACTTCGTTAGGAAGAGAACTCCCTAACTAATATTCGAAGAATGAGCTGGAATTTGCAAGGCCAAGGAAGGATTTTCCTGTGTGTACAAAACTTCTTGGGAAAATTGTACGTGGGATGAATGGAATGAAATGATCCAGGGTGGACAGAGAAATGGAGCCTTACCAGACCATCAAGAACCTTGTATGCCATGCCAAGGACTTTAAGTTTTATCTTGCAGCCCATGGTTTTCTTGATGAAATTTGAGCATGAGGGTGATATGTTCAGATTTTCTTGTAACAGGGTCATTCTGGCATCAGAGTGGATTGAGGGCACTGTTGGAAGCCACAGGAGCAGTAAGAAGCAATCTTCTCTTTCTCATGCTTTCTTCCCTTTGGTTCTCTGTGGCTGCTACCAAACTTTTCTGATTACACTATTCATTTTCCACATAAGTATACCATGGAGACTCTCCAATCGGAAAAAAAGATATATTTTGGATTGTGTAGGATTGATTGATTGATTGATTGATTGATTGATTGATTTTTAGAGACAGGATCTCATTCTTTCACCCAGGCTGGAGTGCAGTGGTGTGATCATAACCCACTTCAGCCTCAAACTGCTGGGCTCCAGTGATCCTCCCACCTCAGCCTCCCAAGTAGCTGGGACTACAGGCATGCACCACAACACCTGGCTAATTATTGAATTTTTTGTAGAGATGGGGTCTCGCTATGTTGCCCAGGCCTATCTCCAACTCCTAGCCTTAAGGAATCATCTCACCTCAGCTTCCCAAAGTGCTGGGATAACAAGTGTGAGCCATAGTGCCTGGGCTGGATTTATTTCTAATGAATAAACTTTCTTAAAGCAGTTTTAGTTTTACAAAAGAGTTTAACAGAAAGTACCATTTCCATATTGTTTTTCCCCCATGACTTTATTCTCCCATCATTAACATCTTGCAGTGGTATGGTACATTTGCTACAATTGATGAACCAATAATGATACATTAAAGTTCACGGTTTATATTAGGGTTCACTCTGTTTTGCACAGTTCTATAGATTTTGCATATCATGTGTCCACAATTATAGTATCTTACAGAATAGTTTCACTGCCCAAAAAATTTTCTTTGTTCTATCTACTCATCCCTCTGCTCCTTCCCCTGAAGCCCTAGTAACTACTGATATTTTTTTTACTGTCTCCATAGTTTTGCCTTTTGCAGAATGTCATATACTTGGAATAATACAGGATGTAGCTTTTCAGACTGGCTTCTTTTACTTACAATATGCATTTGAGATTCATCCATGTGTTTCATGACTTGATAGCTCATTTCTTTCTATTGCTGCATAATATTCCATTAAATTGGCATACCACACTTCATTTATTCATTTATCTATTGAAAGACATCTTAGTTGTTGCTTCCAGTTTGGGCAGTTATAACTAAAGCTGCTGTAAACATTCGTGTGCAGGTTTTTGTGTGGACATACATTTTCAAATCATTTGGGGAAATACCTAGGAGCTCAATTGCTGAAATAATATGTTAATATTATGCTTAGCTTTATAAGAAAGCTCCAAACTGTCTTTCAGTGAGGCAGTATAATTTTGTATTCCCACCACAATAAATGGGGGTTTCTGTGGCTCAGCATCATTGCCAGCATTTGGTTTTGTCAGTGTTTCGGAAATCAGTCATTCTGACAGGTACAGAGTGCTATCTCATCATTATTTTTGTTCACAATTCACTAATGACACATGATGCAGAGCATCTTTTTATGTACCTATTTGCCATCTGTGTATCTTCTTCGGTGAAGTGTCCAGATCATACCCCCCACCCCGCCACTTTCTAATTGAGTTGTTTGTTTTCTAATTACTGGATCTTAAGACTATTACATATTTTAGATACAAGTCCTTTATCAGACATGTGTTTGCAAATATATTCTCTCATTATATAGCTTATCTTTTCAATCTCCTAATATTGTCTTTTGCAGAGCAGAAGTTTTTAACTTCAATGAAGCTTATCTTCTTGAATTTTCTTTCATGGATCATGCTTTTAGTGTTCTATCTAAAAATTTATTGCCAAACACCCGGTACCTAGATTTTCCTGTTGTCTTCTAGAAGTTTTGATTTTGTACTTTACATTTAGTCTATGATCCATCTTGAGTTAGTTTTTGTGAAATGTGTAAGATCTGTGTCTAGAAATCTAGACACAGATTAATTAATAATAATAATAATAATTATTATTATTATTATTATTCCGTGTGAAAGTCTAGTTCTAGCATCATTTGTTTAGGAAATTATACTTTCACCATTAGATTACCCTTGCTTCTTTGTCCAAGATCAGTTGACTATATTTGTGTGAATCAATTCGGGGCTCTCTATTCTGCTTCATTGATTCATTTGTCTGTCCTTTCACTAATACCATACTATCTTGATTTCTGTAGTTTTATAATAGGTCTTGAAGTTGAGTGGCATTAGTTCTCTGATTTTGCTCTTCTTCAGTATCATTTTGGCTATTCTGGTTCTTTTGCCTTTTGTATAAACTATAGAATCTTTTTGTCAATATCCACAAAAATAACATGCTGGAATTTAGATTGGGATTGTGTTAAATTTATTGGTCAAGTTGGGAAGAATTGACATCTTAACAATATTGAGTTGTTCTTTCCATTAACATGAAATATGTTTCCATTTATGTTGATCTTTTTAAATCTCTTGCATCAGAGTTTTGTAGTTTATCTCATATAGACCTTGTACATATATCATTAGGTCTATACGTAGGTATTTAAATTTTTTGAAATTAATATGAATGATGTGTTCTCAATTTCAAATTCTTATTGCTCATTGCTTGTATGTAAGACTGCAGTTGACTTGTATATCAACCTTGTATCTTGCAACATTGCTGTAATTGCTTATTAGTTCCAGGATTTTCTTCGTTGTGGTTGATTCTCTGGGATTTTCTACATAGGCAATCACGTATTCTGTAAACAAAGTTTTAATTTCTTTTTTTCCAGTCTGTATATTTTTTATCTTTTTCTTATATCAGCTACAACTTTCAGTATGATATTGAAAGGGAATGTTGAGAGGAGACATCTTTGCCTTGTTTCAGATCTTAGAGGGAAAGCTTCTAGCTTCTTACCACTGGTATGATGTTAGTTATAGATTTTTGTAGATATTCTTCATGAAATTGAAGCAGTTACCCCCTATTGCTAGTTTTGTCAGAGTTTTTATCATGAATGGATGTTGGATTTTGTCAAATTCTTTTTTTGTATCTGTTGATACGATTTTTTTTTTCTTTAGTCTCTTGACATGATAGATTACATCAACTGATTTTCAAATGTTGAACTTGCCTTGCATACCTAGAAGAATCCCACTGGGTCATACGGTATAATTGTTTTATGTATTGTTGGATTCAATTTGCTAATATTTTATTGAGAATATTTTTCATCTGTGTTCATGAGGCATAGTGGTCTATTGTTTTCCTTTCTTGTAATGTCTTTGTCTGGTTTCTGTATTAGGTAAAGGCTGGCATCATAGAATGAGTTGGGAAATGTTCTCTCTGATTCTGTTTTCTGAAACAAATTTTAGAGAATTGGTGTCATTTGTTTCTTCGATGTTTGATACATTTCACTATTTTCCATTATCCATTATTTATTTTCTTTTCCACAGAGACCAAATCAACCAAGTCTGTTTTGGATTGGGTTAATTTTTTTGTTTTAATTTATTTTTCTTTAATACATGTACTCTTAAACTCACAAACATGACTATAAAACAGTCCGTGCATGCTCTTCAAAAGCAAAATTATTATAAGTGATTACCACACTTGAAATGTACATATATTCTCTTAATGCAATCAATATTTTCCAAAACTCAAATTTCTGAATATAAATTCATATTTGTTGGCTCCTTTCCAAATCATTCTGGATCGTATCTTTTTTTAGGTCTTTTTCTAAAACATTATTGTGTTTTTGATTAGGCAAGTTGCATAAATTCTCCTTTTTCCTCAGTTTCCTTTTTTAACGAAAGCATTAATAATAGTACCTAACATCCTAAAGTTATTATTTCCATTATTTGAATGAGTTAATACATGTAGAGGATGTAGATCTATGCTGGGCATATAGTAAGTGCTTAATAAAATTTAGCCATTGTTAATATTAATGCTATTACTCTGCTAGGAAGTCTCTATGTCGGTCCTCTTTATCCCACTCTGTATCTTGTCCTACTACTGTCACCTACAGATCAAAATCTAAATCCCCTATTTTAAAGTTCAGGACCTTCAACAACCTGACCTTTATATCCATTGTAAGGTTTTTGTTATCTACCCACACAAAAATCTCCTTTTCAAACTGATTATTTCACTTCCCCCAAACAGCTTCCACATCATATTTCCTCCCTCAATTGCATCCCCCAGCCCAATCACTCATTAATAGTATGGCGTGTCTTTGTATTTAAAGTATAGCTTTGCAACATTTGTCAATCTGAGCTTTATTAAAGTATTCCCCACCAATAATACAAACCCATGATGTTTTTAGATCTGGCACAGACCTTATGAGTCACTTGGCCCAAATGAATAAACCAAGTCCTGGAGAGGTCAGATGGCTTATCCAAGTTTATGGTGCTGGAGGCTATCAGACTAAGATGTCCTTTCCTGCAGTGCCAAAAAATACAAGTGCAGTAATTACAATAATTTAATTCTTTGGTTTTTTTAATTTTTAATTTTGTGTTACATTCCAAATAACACATTAATCACTGTAGGTATTAGAAGTAGAATTTTCTCCTGATGTCCAAGATTTATCTTATTGTGCTTATCTCTAATGTAGGAAATTTTAAAGTATAAAAAGACTTTTATCCACTTAAATAGATATTTCTAGAATGGTTGTATGTGGCTCCTATTCAGTCCTTTAATAGTCCCCAGGAGGTAAACGTTATTCATGAGTGACTTTACTTACTTCACAAAACAGAGCTGCTTCTTCAGTTGAATAAAGATTTTTAAATATGACACAGGTACAGAGAAGGAAGTAAATATCTGTATAACTAATTGAAACTACAGAGGGAATAGAAAAACAGAATGTTGTTATTAATAATCCCTCTTTTTATGTGGAATAAACTATTCATTTGAGGAACTAGAACACAGAGTAGATATTGCTTCATTTAAATTTATAATATTACTGTGTAGAATGTAAGCATAATATCAATAGCCTGACTTCATTTATGAGTTTGCAACTTAAAAAGTTAGATGCTGGAGAAGGAAAGAAGGATATTTTCTGGTCAATTTAATTGGGAAAAAAGTGTTGAGAAACCAAAGATTGCTTGTGAGACCTGTTTAGGGGTTAGAGAAAATTGCTCGTGTATTACCATGTGGTCTGTGTCACCAGGTAGTCGAATCCACTTTCAAGTTTTCAAGGTTATTCATTCCTGTGAGATGTCCTAGAGGAGTCTATCCAGTTTCTTGAGGCTCTTCCTAGGATCCAAATTCCTAACTAAAAACTGTATAAAGGCAAACATAACATTTATGAGGACCATTGAAGGGGAATATGGTGCACAAATATTCTGACGCCAAAAAGCTTGCTACAACTAGAAATAGAATGTCAGATAAAATATACAATTTCCTAACTTCATACTTGAGTAATGGCCAAATTCTTGCAAAATGTGGACTAATATCCACATTAAAACTTAAAGTGCCAGCCACTACTGGATAGCAAGCAAGTTTATTTCTTGGAAATAATAGCAAAACCACAACCAAATCATACCTTTCTGCTTATAGTATTTAAAAAAAAAAAAAAGCAGTTTTGAAAACTAAATCTATCCTGGAGAAATTCCCTAGAGAAAGTGCATGACACCATTACACATACATACACACACGCACACACACACACCATTAGTGCCCACTTATTGGATGCCACATAGTCAAAGAGATAGCTGATGCAATCCTACTAACCCATAATCAAACTTGTTTAATACACACAACATACACACACACATATACACATACACACACAAGACCTATTCAAGATGGTTTACCAATTACTGTTTCATTTTAGGAAGAGAGATTAAACCACAAATTGAACATGAGGTATGTCTTGATATCTGTTAGTATTGGGCCTAATTTTCTTAATATGAATAGACTGTTTTGAAATTTATTGTTAATCAAACAGTTCTATAAACTGAAAAGTGTAAAATGCCAAACTGTTGAATTGAATCAAAGACCTCATTTCATTCAATCAATAAATTAGATAAATATAAGACTAATGTTCAACAATGGATTATTGTCTATCATATTCCCATGTGGCTAGATAAGATTCAAATTTCACTGAAAATAAAAACAGAAGAAAATCCACCGTTTCCTTTGAGGTATAAACTGCTAGATTTATGGGATCAAATATTATGTGGAGGGTGAATTTATACCTCCAGGATACTATCGGATCCATGCATACTCTTTGAGGTACTTGTAGTAGACACATAATATCAACTAATTGAAATCACTTTTATATATACTGTGCTCATAAATGGTGTCCAGGAAATTTTGGTTGAATGTTTTAACATAATGCCATAATAACACTTCCATAAGCAATATAAAACTACTTGAAGTAGAACTAGTTGTTACTGTGAGCATAGCTTGGATTTATATAGCTCAAAACATTTGCACATATATCTTTCTAACACCTATGGTTTAAAATCAGGAGCTTTGGAAGCTGTATCAACACTGTTAGAGGAGTGTATTTGACATAGATGTTAATTTGTTTGGAACAAAATATCTCTGCTTATTTGATGTAACTTAAATAGATAGAATTTTTACTAGCATTTTAACTGTCAGCACAGTTAAGTCATTTATTTGTTTCTCCAATTGAAAATAAGATAAAGTTTGCACAACACAAGAACAGCAATACGACAAAAATGGAGAAGGAAATCTGAGTAAGAGTTAAGGACAAGAAAAGGGGGAAATGTTCAGTACAAATAGAAGAAGCAAAAAATAAAGGATGGCTCTGAAATTAGCTTATATTTACACTGTAAATTCATAAAGGCACTCTCAATTCTTCAACTTTTATCATTTCACCAAATGATCTGCTTATGAAAAGCAGTCAATTGCCATGACTTTATTCATGTGTTACTTAGTTTCTGAAGCAGGACCCAGTGGCCAGTAAGCTAAGGAGAAAAAATGAAGCAGGACTGCAGCTGTTGTTAAAACTAAAAGGTATACAAAATTAGGGTAGTTACTTTAGTTCTTCCCCACCTCCTCCTCATCCTGTATCTCTTCACAGATCCTTCTACTTGTTGATGGGTACAGAAAGGGGAACAGAAGAAAAACTTACCCAGTTACAAATAAAAGATGACTAGAGATTTTTGCTCTCCTCGCTCTTGCAGTTGAAAATAATAGAAATTTAGAGAAAAGAGCATTCTGTCGGCTTCTTGTTTTCATAAGAAAGCTGAGATCCATAAATGTTCCATCACTTAACGCAGGCTCCAAGCAGCACTGGGGCCAGGACACAGATTTCTTGGCTCCCAGTCCCGCAAGTATATCTCTACAAGATACTGGAATGATGGCTTATGGAAATAACAATCAGTCGAGTGAATTTGAATTGTTTACAAAGCTAAAGGTGATGATTTATCAAAAAGGTTAAAGAAGGGATCATTTCTTTCATGAGAAGATCTTTTAAAAAATCCTCTATCATCCAAACCAGCATCTGGCAAAAATGTTTCTAAATTCTGAGAACCCCAAACCATTAGTAACTAAATATGGAATTCATGTTTCTTATAGAAAGCACATTAGGTCAAGGTAGGTCAAGGTTATATTAGAAAGTGTATTTTTATGAATGTTAATACGCACTTTAAAGTGCACTGGAGTCCTCTGTAAAATCACTGCATACAGTCTACTCTCCCTCCCTTCCCTCTGCAAGGAAACTGGAGAATGCAACAACCAAGGCTCAGGGTTGTGATTGAGGAGACTTGCAACTCAGTTTCTTCCTTTACAGTGAATAGTTGCATCACCTAGGTTAATCTCTTTACTATCAGGAAATGAGGAGATTGCTTGAAGGTACTTTAGCTCTAAAGGTTTTTGACTTGGAAAACATTAATCTTATTTCACGGAATTATTTCAATTGACTGAGGAGGTTTGTCACTTTCCCTTTTGTCCTTATGTCATTTTCTTTATCATTTCTGTGTTTTCTTTTAAACTGAGTCTTGACTCAATAATTTAGTCCCCAGTAATGCCATTGTGACTATGGAAAAAATATAGCATGCTTTACAACAGTTCCCTGACGATGTGGTCTGTAAGTGAATCTTTGAGGCAAAAACAAAACAAAACAGTGTTTGCTTCTCTTACTTCTTTGTTCTAATAATTATCTGTACTTACAAATGACTCATATAATGAGTCATTTGTAAGTACAGATAATTATTAGACATCTCTGTAATAATCTTCCAAACCCCAAATAGAGGAATGTCTAGTTTATATTTTTAATATTTGGTATAATGGTCACCACTTACAGTAGATCTAGCTTAAGAAGCAGATAGAATCTCATCCTAAGTTAAGGGCTCTATATTTGACCAAACCAAAACACCTGTGACTGGCTGAGTGCGTGTGAATTACACCTTCCCCACTGCCACACTGGACCAAGTTTCATGTCCCATTCTGTAAGCTAGTTCCTGATGTTTTTTTCTCTCCTTCCTTTTTTTCATCATGATCTAAAACTTGTCAGTTTCTATTCTTTCTTTGATAATACTTATACTACAAGTTACCAATTTTTTCTGTGCCACCCACAACCAAAATTTATTTCTTTTCTTCACATTCACAAGCTACCTGCATTCCAATCAGAGGGAGAAGTGAGACATTAAATTTCTTAACTGCTTCATCAGTAATAGATCAACATTCAGGTCCATAAAAAGTGGAGATAAATCTATATTAGAAATTCACTTTACTTCTTGAATATATTCTAAAAGTCACTCACTTATTTGATAGGATATATGTAATTCTAGATTTTACATTGGGGCTTGTTTTTAAATAAATATTAGACATTTCCAGGTAGAATATAATTTTAGGTACAATATTCAGAATATAGTATATACTTAAAACCATGAAAATACCAAAAATTATAACTTAAATTATCTGAATGTTCATGACACTCTGTCACTTGACAGTTACCTATTTTTCAGATATTTTTCTGTACATCTCCTTCAGGGATTTTAGTCATAGGTATATTAGCCACTTGAAATTGTCCCACAGTTCATTGATACTTTGTTCATTTTTTTTCACTACCTTGTCTCTCTGTTTCATTTTGGATAGTTTCTGTTGCTCTGTCTTTAATTTGCTAATCTTTTCTTCTGTAATGTCTAATCTGCTGTTAAATCCATCTGTATTTTTCATCTCTTCAAGTTCAATATGGATCTTTTTATCTCTTTCATGTCCCTATTGAACACCTTCAGTGTTTCTTCTATGTCTTGAATACACAGAAATGTAGTTATAGCTTTTTTAATGTCTTTTTCTACTAATTTTATCATGTGTCATTTCTGTGTCAGTTAATATTGATTGATTTTTTGCTTTGCCCTATGTGTTGCATTTTCCTGCTTCTTTACGTGTTTGGTGATTTTTCATTGGATGCCAGACATTGTGAATTTTACCTTGCTGGGTACTGGATATTTTTGTATTTATATAACTACTCTTGAGCTTTGTTTTGGGAAGCAGTTAAGTTAAGTTTGTAATAGTTTGATCCTTTGAGGCCTTATTTATATTTGGGGGGAGGAGTTGCAGAGCAACCTTTAATTTAGGGCTAATTTTTCCGCACTACTGATGCAACACCCTTCTGCATACTCTACCCAGTACTTTCTCCTCTCAGAGCCCCTCCTGTTGTTCCTTCACTGTCCCCCTCCAGTGGTGGGGAAGGGGATGGTGGTCACTCTGCTGGGTGCTTTCTACTTCCACATGCAGTTATTTCATGTCATCTAACACTTTTTTAAGACTTTCTGGCTGGGTGCTGTGGCTCATGACTGTAATCCCAGCACTTTGAGAGGCCAAGGAGGGCAGATCGCAAGGTCAGGAGTTTGAGACCAGCCTGGCCAACATGGTGAAACCCCGTCTCTACTGAAAATGCAAAAATTAGCCAGGCATGGTGGCAGGTGCCTGTAGTCACAGCTGCTCGAGGCTGAGGCAGGAGAATTGCTTGAACCTGGGAGGCGGAGGTTGCAGTGAGCTGAGATCGCGGGCAACAGAGCGAGACTTTGTCTCAAAAAAAAAAAAAAAAAGGAAGAAGAAGAAGAAGGCTGGGCGCGGTGGCTACTCGGGAGGCTGAGGCAGGAGAATGGCGTGAACCTGGGAGGCGGAGTTTGCAGTGAGCCGAGATGGCACCACTGCACTCCAGCCTGGGAGACAGAGCGAGACTCTGTCTCAAAAAAAAAAAAAAAAAATACTCCTTCTTCCCTTTCACTCTATTTTTTAGGGGTTAAGGAAAAACAAATTCAGTATTATTTTTTTGTTTTGGATTTTTCTCCAAAAACTTCTTGACCAAACTATGAAATTTACTACTGAGAAAGATAAACTTGAGAGCATAGATGACCCATGACCTGAACCAGGTTTCTTACCACCTTCCTGAACAGCAGGTCTATGCTGTGTTGCCCCCACTGCCAGTGTCTTACTGCAGAGTGAAGGTGAAAGTGACTGTAATGAGAAAAGACTGCTTCAAAAGTGAGAAGAAGGGAGCCAAGGTATTTGTTCACAGATCAGTTTTTAATTCTAAAGGGGTTGATCTGTTTATTACAGTAATAAGAATAAGAAAAGGAAAATAATTTTATTTGATTTTTATTCCTTTTTTTTATATCTATCAATGTCCCTTTTAGTATACTCATGTGGCTGACTGAATTATGGTTATAGGCCAGTCCTACTAGGTTTTTTTGTTTGTTTGTTTGTTTGTTTGTGGTTTTTTTTTTTTTTTTTTTTAGATGGAGTTTTGCTCTTGTTGCCCAGCCTGGAGTGCAGTGGTGGGATCTCAGCTCAATGCAACCTCTGCTTCCAGATTCAAGTGATTCACCTGCCTCAGCCTCCCAAGTAGCTGGGACTACAGGCGCATGCCACCACACCCAGCTAATTTTTCGTATTTTTAGTAGAGATGGGGTTTCATCGTGTTGGCCAGGCTGGTCTTGAACTCCTGACCTCGGGTGATCTGCCCACCTTGGCCTCCCAAAGTGCTGGGATTACAGGTGTGAGCCACCATGCCTGGCCTGATCCTACAAGTTTTATAAAATCTGTTTAAGGGGTTGATATTAAGGTTATGCTGACCTCATAAGAGGAATTTCTGAAGAGTTTAAGATAGGTGTTATTTTTTCCATAAATGCTTGTTAGAATTCACCAATGAAACCATCTGATCTGGAATTGTGTCTACCTTTCTTCCTTCCTTTTTTAATAAGTTCAATTTCTTTAATAGACAAAAAAGGCTGTTCAGATTTTCTGTTTAATTTTGTGTCAAATTTGTTGGCATAAAATTGTAATATTCTCTTATTGGCCTTTAAATATCTATAGGATTAATAGTGCCACTTATTCGTTCCTGATAATTTGATATACTGATAATTTGTACTGTCTTTTCTTCCAATCAGTTTAGCTAAGTTTGTCAATTCTGCAGATGTTTTCAAATGATCAATTTTCTTATTTTATTAACTTTTCCATGGTTTATTTTGTATTTCATTGATTTCTATTTTTATCTTTATTGTTTCTTTTCTTATACTGATTTACGTTTAATTTACCCTTCTTTTTCTAGCTTCTTAAGGTAAAACTTAAGTCATTAGTTTTAGACAATTTTATGTTTCTAATACAAGCATCTGTATCTCTTAAATTTCTTTCTAAAAAATGTGTTAGCTGCATCCCGTAAATTTTAAAATATTAAATTTTCAGTATCTTTCCTTTCAAAGTATATTCTAATTTCCCTTGTGATTTCTTTTTGGACCCATGGATTATTTTTTTAATTTTAATTTTTTAATTTTAATTTCCAAATATTTGAGATTTTCCTAGATATCTAATTGTTACTAATTTCTAATTTAATTCCATATGAATAGAGAGCATACTCTGTGTGATTTTAATTCTATTAAATTTATTGATACTTGTTCTATGGGTGAACATATGGTCAATCTTGATGAATGTATTATGTGCACTTGAAAACAGTATGCATTCTGCAGATGTTGAGTATAATGTTCTGTAGCTATCAGTTAGGTCAAGGTGGTTGAGAGTGTTGTTGAAATCATCATCTATGTGTCTAGTCATTGGCGGGGGCAGGGAGCTAGTGTTCTATCAATTGCTAAGGCAGGCATTCAAATATTTATATGTGATTATAAGATTGTCTTTTTAATTGCTAAGAGACGTTCAAATATCCATAATTGTTAAGATTATCTTTTTTTCATTATATTCTGTCCGTTTTTGCCTTATATATTTTGAAACTCTTCTTAGGTGCATACACATTTATGTCTGTTATATTTTCCAGAGCAGTTGGCTTATTTTGCATTATGAAATATCTCTTTTTATCTCTGGCAATATGATCTTGAAGTCTGATATTAATATAGCCCCTCTAGCATTCTCATGCTTACTGTATTCGTAGTATGTATTTGTTCCATCCATTTGCTTTCAACTTCTCTTTATTGTTAATGTGTATCTCTTATAGACATCATATAGTTGGAGCTTCCATTTTTATTCATTCTGACAATCTTTCTTTTAATTAGTGTTCAGTACATTATAATGTGATGTAATTATTAATGTGGTTAGATTTAGGCCTCCCATGTCTTTGCTATTTGCCTCATTTTTTTGAGTCATTTCTTCCTTTTCTTCCCCCTTTTGGACTTTCTGAATCGTTTTTATAATTCCATTATCATTTATTTGTAGGCATTTCAGCTATATCCCTTTGCCTTATTATTTTAGTGGTTGTTGTAGGGATTTTAATATATATAATTAACTTTCACAGTCTCCTTAGAGTTAATATCTTACCACTTTATTTTTATTAAATGTAGACACTTTGTAACCATATGTCAATCTGTGATATAGATTTCATATGTATTATGTCTACATAGGTAATAAACCCCATAAGATAATGCTATAATTTTTTGCTCTAAGTAATCATACATTTGTTAAAGAAATTAAAAAGAAAAATAATTATTTAATGTATACTAGATATTTACTGTTTATGTTGCTCTTAATTCTTCCCTGAAGACCCAAGCTTTCATCTGGTCTAATATCCCATCAGTCTGAAGAAGAACTCTTTATAGTTCAGTTCTGCTAAAGATAAATTCTCTTAGTTTTTCTTATATGGAAATATTTTAATTTCACCTTCCTTCTTGAAGGATATTCTTTATTGGATATAAAATTATAGGTTGACAGATTTCTGTAGTATTTTAATACCTTAAAGGCATTAGTCTGCTGTCTTCTGAGATCTATTGACTCTAGTGAGAAGACAGAAATCATTCAAATCATTGTTTTGCTCTGTGTAATATGCTTTTATGAGTTTGGGGTTTGTTTTTGTTTTCTATTTGGGGAGAGGTTTTTTGTTTTGTTTTTTCCTGCTTTTAAAATGTTCCCTTTGTATTGCTTTTGAACTATTTGACTAGGATATGCTTATGTGGTTTTCTTATACTTTTCCTTCTTGGAGTTTGCGAGATTCATGAGTCTGTAGAGTTGTATCTTTCACTAAATTTGGGACATTTTGCCATTATTTTTTAAACTATTATTTTTTCCCGTTTTCTTTCTCACATTAAAACTACAGTTACCCATGTGTTGATATTATCCTACTGGTTATTGAGGCTCTGTTCATTTCTCTTGAGTTATTTCTATTAGTCTATTTTCACATTCATTGACTTTTTCCTTTATCATATTCATTAAGGTGTTAAGCCCATACAGGGATTATTTTATTTCAAAAATTATAATTTTCAGTTTAAGAATTTCCATTTGATACCCTTTTATAGGCTATTTTTCCTCTTTTGTGATTTCCTATGTTTTCATTCATGAAGAATATATTTTCCTTTATATCATTAAGCATAGTTATAATAGCTGCTTTAAAATCCTTGGATGCTAGTTCTAACATCTAAGTTAATTGTCTTTTCTGTTAAAAATAGGTCACATTGTCTATTTTCTTTGTAAATTGTATCTTGGACATTGTAAGTGTTGTGTTGTGGATACGATGGATTCTGATACATTCTTCCAGAGGAGGCTGATATTTTTGTTTTAGCAGACAGGTACCTCTATTGAACTCAGACTGCAAACCATCATTTGGACCGCAGCTCAAATGTCAGCACTCTCTCTATTTATACAGAGAGAGAGAGTGAGGGAAAACACTAGAAAGGAAAGAGCTTGGTAGAGATGGGGAAACACATACTGTATACAAACTCTTCATAAATCCCTGACCAAATTCTGAACCATACAAGAGCAGGACTGACTGGAAGCAATCTAATTAAGGATGTGTGTATGTGTGTGTGTGTGTGTGTGTGTGTGTGTATATATATGTGTGTGTGTGTGTATGTATATATATATGTGTGTGTGTGTATGTATATATATGTGTGTGTGTATATATATATACATATATATACATATATACATATATATGTGTATATATACGTATATATATACATAGATATACGTATATATACACATATATATATACGTATATATATATATATACGTATATATATATGTAACAGATTTTCCCCTTACTTTCCAGTGGCTATGCTTGCCCCAAATTATGTTTTCTAGTTCTTCAAGTCAGACATAACTGAAGCTTTCTATTGGAGTACTGACATCCACATGCGTATAAAATATGTTTTTTTTAAAAAGGAGGAAATTCATCTTGTGTTATTCCCTTCTTCATCCAAGTGTTGACTCTCCAGACTCTGCCTGCTTTTATTCACATGCTAATGCCTTCAGGTTGATGATTGTTTGTCTTTTGTCTGAAATTTATAGTAGTTATCTGCAAGAGGTTTGCTCTAGTAGGAGTTTATTCTGCCAATCCAAGTGGCACTCCCATTCCACAAGGTTTAGTGTGTAGGGTGATCCTAGAGAATGTGGAGATTTAATGTACTCTAAATATAATTTTAAACCATGTTTAAGGGGTTACCTTTTGTTAGTTTTTGTAGTTTGTTTATTTTTAAATAAACTGATTCCCAGAATGGCCCTCAGTTGGAGTCTCACTCAACCCCAATGCAACCCATTATCTAAATCTAACCACCACCTTCCAAAGAACCCACTTTCTCATTCTAACCCACCTTCTCCAATCAACTCCTTGTCTTTTTCTCACCCTGGATTCTATTCCAATGGCAGTTCAGATTGCCCCTGATCATTTAGCACAGCTTCTGGGTAGGGCCACTGATAAGAGCATTTTCTTCTTCCTGGAGTGCCTAAAACTCTTAGCAGCTGAGTTCTACAGTGCTCCAGTGCCACAGGAGAATACCATCACAACAGATCGCTTCAGTCACCCATTGTTCTTGAGCCACCCTGGTCACTGAAAGTTCCAGAATAAAAATGTCATTTTATTCAAATATTTGGTCTTTTTACCACCTTAACCCTAAGTGCTTATCTCTATTAATATACTGCTTTGAATATTAGGTTGTCTAGGCCAGGATAGCTAGAGCATTATTGAGGTTTTCCTGGCGGAGAAATTGAGGTCAAGCTCTTTGTAAACTCACTGGAGTCAGGCCCTGCCTCAAAGCAAGCTGTGGCTGAATAGACAACCAGCCTTGAGCAACCTCAACTCCCTCAAAACCCACTCCCCTGAGGAAGACAGGAGATTGGGGCTTGAACATTCATCACTGAATGACTTTTTTGTTAGTAATTTAGTAACTCTGTTTTCTTAAGTATGTAATGGAGACTGTAATACACAGAACACAACTGCTTCACAGGAATGTAATGTGAATTCATGATATGAGAATGGGAAGCATTATAAGTTACTGAGAAGACAAATCTAAACATGCATGTTACTTTTATTTATTATTTAGAGAGTCTTTACTATATAATACTTTATGAACAGAAAAGCCCATGATTCATGCCCTGCCATAGGTATAAGAACCAGCTAATGAAAAGTGCCATTGATTTTCTTTTTCTGTTTTTTTTTATTCGTTAAATTTAAAGGGGAAAAGAGATACATTAAATTCCAATTCTAATAATAGCCCCCAATGGGGACTAAGTGGCTAAGACAATGGGAAAAAAGACCTTTCAGCAGTAGGATTTGCTTTGAGCCTAAATGAAGTCTGCCATGATCGTATTATTTAGTGAAATGAAATCATGGAAAGAAGTTGATGACTTCTGGTCAGCCCTCAAAGAATAAGTGTCAGATCCCCAAATTATGTCCACGGTAGTAATTAAGCTTCACTCTCTGCAGAGAGCCCTCAGTGACTTAAGAGGCAGTGCTTTTGAGAATCCCAGACTATAGATTTCCAGTTATTCAAGTAACAAATGGATGCCTTCACTGTCTTTTCTACTCCCTTCCATTGGCATAGAAAGGGACCCTGAATTCAGCTTTTGTGTGTTAATAGGACACCATTAGAAAACAGCAAATTTATAAAGGAAAACAATATTCATAGGAAAAAAAATAAAACAAGAATTTACAAAAGGAATATTAGCAAAGAACAATAAACTACGTTGCACATACATTTTCTGAAGCAGGAGCTGACACTTTTAATGAAAACTTCTGTGACATCCTTGAGGCATTTCTGAAGAACCAGAGTACTTGTAATTAATTGTATTAATCACAAAGACTAAATTTATCCTTAGCTTCTATAGTGTGTTAAGGATAGAGATGTTTACCCAAGAAGAAAGCTAACATGGCATTCTCCTATGCGGATGTAATTTTCACTTGACAGAGTGAGTATTTGTGTGGTAGGTGTTTGCTTTTCATTTACCCACTTAGAGTTTTTTCATCCTTTTGGAAATTTATTGATTTATTTCGTGGAGTGCAGAGAGGAGGAAAAGAAAAGGACTATGATTTGTGACAAGTGTACTTCCTGAGTGAAATACTTATTTATCCTGCCCACTATGCTATTCTCTCCATCATCTCTTATCAGTTAGTCTTTGTATATTATAAACCAGAAATCTAAGACCTCATTAACCTCACAATTTGTCAACAAATTATAACAGCTGTAATTTTTAAAAATATAGACCTCAGTTTTCCCCAATTTGACCTCTAAAGAATTGCATTTTGACCACTCCTATCAAAAATATGGAGTAGGGGGAAATTTGTAATCTCTTGGTATAAAAATGACATCCTCTTTTCCACCAGTATTGCAGCATTGGAAAGCAGGCATGAAAGGTTTGCACTGTGGATATCTATATCCCATCTTGCCAAAGGATAAATAAAGGGCATTCATTCATCAGCTTTCAAGCTGCCACCCTCTTTTCTTTCCCCCAACCCCCACCCCTCCCTGAAATTGGGAGGAGGGAGATTCTGATTATTTTTGCCTATTTCTAGCAGAGCTAGGCATGAACAATTAAATTTAGGGCTTCCCTGTGGTCTGTGAATAACAGTGCACAGTGCTAACCATGAGGGCACAAGGCAGAAAACAAAAAAAAAAGGCTTTTTTATTTTTTGTTTACCCTTCAGGACACTGTTTACCTTATCACTGAAGGGAAAGTTATCATCTCATCTTTTTAGGAAATTGTACTGGGTTTATTCTCTAGTTTCCAGTCTCAAACTGTCCAGTGATAGAGTGAGTATGTCAGCCTGGGGCTAGAAGATTTCTGTAAGGCCCTGCTCTCTCCCCCGTCTCTGTGTGTGTGTGTGTGTGTGTGTGTGTGTGTGTCCGTCCGTCCTTCGGTCTGCCTGCCTGTCTGTCTGTCTCAGGCATTTGCTGTCTCTAGCACACTCCCACTTCCTCGTTCTCTCCACGCTATCTCATTCCCTTTTCCTTGATTTTTCTGTCAAACCTTTTTCTTTTTCTGCCTTTCAACCAGAATGATTTTTTCCCTTTTCTCCCTCTCTAAATTTACTTCACAGCAGATTGTCTTGTAGTAAATCACCAAAAACCTAAATAGCACTAAAGCATTCTGATACAACATTAGCATTTGCTTAACAAGCACAAGATAAACATTAAACAAAGAACTGCATTTCTTTATTAGAGGCTGCAAGATACATAATCCATGAGCACAAGAAACATGGGACCCAGTGGATATGCAGATGTGTGTTATTTCATTGGCGCTGGGCGGCCTTGTTAGAAAAGGTTTTCATCTGAAGGCTTGGGGGTGGATGGTTGACTGTCCCTGGTGGGGCTGTAACTAGATACAGAGACTGTTGCAAGCTAGGCTGGGCTCCCTGGTGGACCTGCTGATTGGACAGCCTGAGGAAAACTTGGGAAGCATCGGGAAGTGAACTCAATCACCTTGGGGATGATAGGGTAGAGCCAGATGAAGGCATTTGACTTCTTTTGTAACTCCCACTAAGGACAGATTGCCAGTGCGATCCAGCCTCCATAACTGCAAATCAGGCCCTTTCCCCTATGCCGATTTCATTAGAATGGCCAGCATGGTGCAAAGAGGAAAAAAAAAAAGGTTAGACACAGTAATTTTACAGGCAGGCGGGTACAAAAAAAATCTGCATAATTAAGCAGTCAAGGCTGCTAATAGGGGAGTTTATATGCTCTGGGACCAGGCAAGGGCAGCACATATGGATATAGCACTGGATATTAAATCTACGGCATGCAGACTTACTTCAGGGCCCTCAGAGAAAAGGCTAATTATAGAGAGAGGAATTGTGTTTACTGGTCTGTCTTGGGCAAAGATGGTGAAAGAAGTGCAACCAAGTTTTGCAGTTAGACACGAACAGGCTGTTAATAGAGATATCAAAATATGTGCTTGTGGTTGTTTCCTACCTAATCAACTCAAAATTATAGATTCTATGGACTCTGCCCCCCCGCACCCCACATTCCCTACTACAGACAAAATGCTTGGAGTCAAGGTTCATACATTAAGTGTATGCAGAATGGCAAGATGCGCTGGATGGGAGTGTGTTTATTATTAAATTGCCACAATTTAATCTCAGCTGTGCTCTTTATCATCAATAAATTTTATTTAGCAGTTTAGCTAGCCCTGTTTAAAAATGTCAGTGCTTCTGGGCATGAGCTCAGAGTCAGCACTTAAATATAAATGGTGAATTTGAGTGGAAGTTGTAGTGGGCAGGGGTACGCCTTTCTAGAAAGGGTGTGTTTCTGGAAGGGGCCCTGATGGGATGAACATTAACATTTCATAATGCAGATCAAAGGTAAAGAGAAAACCCGAAGGCCCCTTTGTCACGGGCCCCTAGCGACTGCCTCATACATGAGCTGAGATGATATCTGGATATTATTAAAGAGATTCATTTCATATTTGTATGTATGTATGCAGATATGTATGCATGCACTTATTTATTTATTTAACTCCATACAAAGAACATTTTCTGAAGAGGACAGGAGAGTAGGCCATTTGCCCCAGGCTGAATGTGCCAAAGCATGCCTGGTTGTTTCAGAGGACTGGAGCCTCCTGCAGATTTGGTTTCCAGAGAAGCAGTCTGGACCCTTTGTCCTTTAGGGAAGCTTCCCACGGAAAACAGCAGCCCTCTCCTCATAGTGATCTGCGGCTGTGGGCACAGGCCATTTGTGAGCTTGTTGTGCATTCCATTACTCCGCCACGCCGAGGAGGGCCAGAGAAGAATCCCACTGCCTCGTCTCAAGATGCAGTAAAACCTCGGGCTTATGAAAGTAAACAGCATCTGATCAGCCAGATACTGGGTCAGGCTTGCCTGACATCTGTGCTCTTCTTAGAGGCAGGGAATTCAGTGCTAATGAGAAGACTCGAGCCTGTGCCTTGGAAATTGAGAGTTGCAAAGGCTAATGAATGGGCAGTTTAGCCCCTTAAAAAGAAGGAAAGCATCACATTGGCACACAGGGTGTTGTGCACCTCTTCCTTGTCTGCACATTGTTCACTGACTGACCAGGGGTGTCAGCTTTACTTGAGAACAGCTGGTCAGATATTATGTAGCAGTTGGCAAAGAGGGTAAAGTTCTTGAGAGACTAGTATGATGCAAACACCCAACGCAGATATTTCATACTGAATTTTTAAAATGTATTTTTCCCTAGTAACTATTAAGTTAATTGAGCCTTTAAAATCACATGAGTCCTCAGAATTTTCGTTAAACACAATGACTTCTAATATCGTCTGGTTTCTAGAGGTTACAATGAGGTAGCACTCTAAAGAAATTGTGATTGCCCATAGATTAGTAAGGACAGTGTGGGACAAGTGGAATGCAGTAGCATTGAAGTGCTTATTCAGACCATTCTTTTAATCTCATTCTTAAAATGTAAAATAAAGAAAACTTTGCAGGGAAGGCCAAGTAGAGGTCAGCACCTGGAAAATGGTAGCAGCCAAATGTAGACTGCCTAGGGAGGAAGCTGGGCACCGTTTTTCTGCTTGTCGAGAAAATAGAACACTAGCAGGCAGTAAGGAGGCCCTGCTAAATAAAAGGAAAATAGGCCAGGTGTGGTGGCTCACGCCTGTAATTCCAGCACTTCGGGAGGCTGAGGAGGGTGGAACACTTAAGGCCAGGAGTTCGAGACCAGCCTGGCCAACATGGTGAAACCCCATCTCTACTAAAAATACAAAAATTAGCCAGGCGTGGTGGCGGGTGCCTGTAGTCCCAGCTACTCTGTAGGCTGAGGTAGGAGAATCACTTGAACCTGGGAGGTGGAGGAGGTTGTAGTGAGCTAAGATTGTACCCTGCACTCCAGCCTGGGTGACAGAGCAAGACTCTCTCTCAAAAAAAAAGGAGGGGGAAATGTTATTTTTTAGATAGAAATAAATACAGGAGACAGTGCTTCTATATTTGAAACACACAATTTTTTTTTTTTTTACTTTTGGGCTAGTCAAAAGTAAGATAGCTGGGCAAGAAGCCTGTCACAAGTAAAGGAATGGTGTGAATTTGAAAAGATCTCTTTGACGACATATTGAATTATTTGAGGATACAAAGAAGAATCAACCATGTGCTTCTACCTCGTTCATGGGTGGACTTGAAATCCCTTATAACCCTGCGGCTTCACCAAAGCTGTCTCTTCCCTCCCTCTCTCATTCTCTCCCTCTTTTTCTTTCTTTTTTGGTCTCCTGCCTTCCATTCATTCAGTCAACAACAACAAAAACCATATAAAACAAAACCCCACACTTTTGGGATTTTGGATCAGGCAGGATGCAAGGGGGCAGGCAGGACCCAAGGCGCAGGCCCACCTCTCCTCACCTCCTCAGTCCCGCTGATAGCATTCTGCTGAGCGGACTCGGTGTTTCAGCCCTTACAGCCATTGCCTCAGTTTTACCTCCCAGATCCTGCAAGACCCACCACTGCTTTGGGGCAGCTGACAGAACTGACTGTAGATGGGAAACCCACTTTGATAAAACTCTGCTGTCTCCTGTCTTTCTCCTGTCTAAACACACTCCTGGAAGCAGGGTCCCTTTCTGCCCCACAGCCTATGGCTTCTTCTCCCTTTTCTTCCTTCTCTGTTTTTCCTATATGGAGGAGAAGAGGAAGAATATAGAAGAAGAAAATCAATATAAGAATTATAAAGATTAAAAACACTTGGTATAGTTCAAACTAAATACAAAACAGCTTTGGCACAGCAGAAGAAATAATCAACAGGATAAACAGACAATCTTCAGAATGGGAGAAAATGTTTGCAAATTGTGCCGCCAACAGAGGACTGATATCCAGATTCCACAATGATCTCAAACAGCACAACAAGAAAAAAACAAACAATTCCATTAAAAAGTGGGCAAAGGACATGAGCAGACATTCCTCAAAAGAAGACATACAAGTGGCCAGGAAACATGCAAAAATGCTCAACATCACTAATCATCAGAGAAATGCAAACTAAAACCACAATGAGGTATCATCTTACACCAGTCAGAACGGTATTATTAGAAAGTCAAAAAGCAACATATGTTGTCAAGGATGCAGAGAAAAGGGAACACTTATATACTGTTGGTGAGAATGTAAATTAGTACGACCTCTATGAAAAACAGTTGGGAGATTTCTCAAATAATTAAAAATAAAACTACCATTCCACCCAGCAATCCCACTACTGGGCTTCTACCCAAAGGAGAAGAAATCATATAAAAAGACACCTGCGTACCTGTGTTATTGCAGCACTAGTCACAGTGGCAAAGCAATGGAATCAACCTAAATGCCCATCAATGGATGATTGGATAAAGAAAATGAAGTACATTTATACCATGGAATACTATGCAGCCATAAAAAAGAATGAAGTCGTGTCCTTTGCAGCAACATGGATAGAGCTGGAGACCATTATCCTAAGTGAACTAACTCAGAAAATCAAATTACCACATATTCTCACTTATAAGTGGGAACTAAACAATGGATACACATGGACATAAAGATGGAAATAATAGAAACTGGGAACTCCAAAGTGGGGGAGGGTTGGGGGCGTGAGGGTTAAAAAAATACCTATTGAGTACAGTGTTCACTATTTGGGTGATGGGTACACTGAACGGACATCCAGATCTCACCATTATGCAATATATTCATGTAACAAACCTGCACATGTACCCTCTGAATCTAAAATTTAAAAATTAAATTAAAATCAAATAAATTAATTTTTAAAATCTAGCCAGGTGCAGTGGCTCACACCTGTAATCCCAGCACTTTGGGAGGCTGAGGTGGGTGGATCACTTGAGGTCAGGAGTTTGAGACCATCCTGGCTACTATGGCGAAACCCCATCTCTACTAAAAATATAAAAATTAGCTGGGCATGGTGACACACGCCTGTAGTCCCAGCTACTCAGGAGGCTGAGGCAGGAGAATCACTTGAACCAGGGAGGCGGAGATGGCAGTGAGCCAAGATCGAGCCACTGCACTCCAACCTGGGCAACAGAGTGAGACTCTGTCTCAGAAAAAGAAATATCAAATTTCTAACCATAGCTCTATTGTATTTGGTAACTGGAAATTCCCCCTGCTTATTTTTTTCATAGTTTGCAGCTATGGGAAACAGGTTTTAAAATGGAATAAGAACTATGAATTCCAATATCTATTATTACTAAAATTGCCAAAATGATAAAACACTAAAATGGTAATTGTAAAAGCAGTAAAAAGATAAGACAAAAACATGAAAAAAAAGAAAAACTTATACCATATATGTTACATCTTCAAAGTTGTTTGTGTAACCCCAAAAACAACTTTTAAAATTATATATCTCCTCATGCTTTTAATTTGGCACCTATAAAAATTTTTTAATCATAAATTAAGTCATTGAAAAAATGCAATTTTCAGTGCACTGTATATTGCATATACTTTAAGTATATTTTTATCATTAACATTTATCTCATTCAATTGGATGAGATACTTGCCATGTAATTTAAAGGACAAAGCCAGTCTTCACTGTCAAAGTCATAAGCCAAAACAAACTTACACTTAATGTCAGAAAAAGTCTGACTTTGACTTGAAAATGAAAGTGTTAATATGCATTCCTGTGACAATAATCTCACTTCTAAATTCTAGCTCTAAGAGAGATGGAGAAGGCACAAGCCTTGTGAGTCTCCCACCTGGATGAAAAAGGCACTGCCCTCTTCAGCATGTTGTACCATGACAAATTTTGCTTTCACCCTTGCGGATCTATTCCACAGCAGGTATCCAGTTTTTGAATCCCCCAGAAGATTTTTGCAGCCCAGGACAAAACATGAGTAAGATTGAGAAAGGGCAGGAAGTACTCCCACATTTTGTACAATAGGACAAGGTTAAGTATAAGGAGAGGCGAGATAGGGGAACCAGCAGACCACAGGCTGCTTGCAGGCAGATCAGTTTTAGGAAAGAGTCCATGTGGAGTTTTAACACTGAAAATCAGTTCCCTCTGAATTATTACCGCAGTCTGCATACTTCTTTGAAAGCCTCTATGTACACTCAGGTTGTGCATTCACAGTTTAGTGGTACACATAGCTGCCTTCCATGTATACCCAGCTTGAAGACTCTTGGAGTGTTCTAAATATTATTTAAAAACTCAAAGAAAATATTTACAAGGATGAATATGATAACTTCCATTTCTGATTATATAAATGACTAGATATTCAGAGAAAGTCTTCCAGTATAGATCTAAAAATTATGCATCAAAACTGTTTAATCTTTTAAAATAACTGGCTGAAGTGTTGGGAAAACAGAGTAAGATCTGTATCCTAGATAATAAGAAAGTAAAAATGCTGAGTGTTAAAAGATATTTCAACAAAGGAACAAACATTTGTTTCATTCTTAATAACAAGAATAACTCACATTTACTGAGTAGTTACCATAGGCCAAGTATTATGCTAGATACTTTATATATGTTATTTTGATTGAGTCTCACTTCTACAGTCCCACAACATAGGTACTTGATATTCCCATTTAATAGATGATTTGACGAAGGCAAGGATTAATAACCTATGTGAAATGGCTCAGCTTGTTAGTGGCAGGGTTGGGCATCCCACCCGCTAAGTGATCCCAAAGCCTTTGTTTTTTGAACCTCTCCACCATGTCGCATGGGAAGAAAGGCTTTGGGGATGATGCCTGTGCTGATTTCTATAAATACTGTCTCTTCTGTACACTATAGTGTAAGTTACTTTACATCTGTAGTAGAGGTCTGTGTTTGCTAACATACCAGGCCTAGTACATGCCTTGTATACCAAGAATTTCCCTCCCACTGTGGAAGCAACTTTTGTGACAGTAGAAAAGATGACAGATTATAAAACTGGACTCACTAGTAATGATCTGCTTACTAACCAAGCTCAAACCCTATGTTAAAATAAGAGGATTTTAAAATATATATATTTTAAAAGATGTAGTGGGTGACTATTCAGTATCTGAGCATTCATCAGAAATTAATATTTAAGCAACACACAAGCAGGCTTAATTGCATTCGTGACCTGCTTTCTTATATATTGGGGAGGGTGGAGATGAAAATGGAGAACACACAGTAGAAGCATTTTACTGCCAGAGTAGAACTTTACAATCGCACCAGGGGACCTTTTGGTAATGTTTGTAATGTGCTGCTATTGTGATTTAGGAAAGAAAAATGCTACTGCTGGGCTTTATTTTCAACGGATTTTTTTTTAAACATCAATTAATGCAATCAAATGTAGTACAGGGAAATCTAACTTTTTATTTACATTTCTGGGGGCCGGGAGGGTTTGTTTGTTTTTGTTAACCCCAATCATTTGAGCTGTACAGTATATGGTTTTCCTGGTATTTTCCAAATCAACTCAGTAAGTGATATTTAGCAGTATATGTGAAACTCTCCACATGAGGAAGAGAAAACAACCTTGTAACGGGTACCATTTGTTGGGAAACAAATGATTCTGTCTTGTTTCATACAGTTTGAAAATAATGACATTTTGGATTTTCAAACAGTTTGTTAATAAAATGAATCATATCAGTTTTCTCACCCATAAGAGCAAAATTGAAATAGGTTATTTCTTCATGAATTAGTCAGATTTTTTAATGCCAAGTTTTAAATTAAATCTTGATAAATTCAGAAACAACAACAACAACAACAAAACGAATACCACATTTTTGGCCTTAATGAAACCTTAAAAGGGCCCTAAAATAAACCATCAAAATAACCAGAAAGGCCCAAGCTGAAAGTATATTTTTCTAATTTTCTCTTTATTGCTGTTCACTGCCTTAACTAAACATACGTTATCAACACAAGTAGATGGATGATCTCCTATCTTCCTGGGCATAGGGACCCAGTAAACTAAGCATCATACACGATTTAACTAAAAATTTGCTCCGATACTGAAATTTAGTTGTTTTCTTTTCTCTAATCTGGAATCTAAATCCATATTTGAGCCAGGCTCTCAGTAACTACCCATATCACTTCAAGCAAATCAGTAAAGCTCTTCCTAGGACTTGAGTTACCTGGAGAAATTTGTGTTATTGAGCAGATTAATTGAGAATGGATGTATATAAACCCACACCCACACATTTTGAAAATTGTAAAGGGCTATATAAATACAGTAGTTATTATATTTATAATCATCCTCAGAGATAAGGGGAGGAGAATGTACCATTGTTATAATCTTAGCAACAATAAGAGTCTCATTTTTATGGGGCCTTCGACATGCCCATGAGTTTGACTTGTGTAGACACTTCCTTCAACATCTTGTGCTTAAAAGTCAAGTTGGCCTAAGCACAAAGTCTGATATTTTGCAGA
This sequence comes from Homo sapiens, assembly GCF_000001405.40. Lineage (NCBI taxonomy): Eukaryota > Metazoa > Chordata > Mammalia > Primates > Hominidae > Homo > Homo sapiens. Next base: position 25,105,355 of record NC_000018.10, on the reverse strand, counting down.
AGATGAGATCATATTTAGACCTACTCGGGTGAATTAAGGCCATAGTGATTACTTTGATTTGGAATTTCCCTGCTGTTATCAGTTTAAGATAGAATTTCTAATATTCATTTCAAAAGAGAGATGCCTAGATTCTAGGTCCTGTGTGTCACTGGTTGCATTCTTCCCCTTCCTCTCGATGTTCCCTTTGGAGACGTGTCTAGCTGAATTGTGAGTATCTGGTAGAGGAAGAAGAAGATTCAGACTGAACTACATGAGCCAGAATGCCAGTCTGTCTCTTCATCAATCCCATGCTGTCCTATTGAGAGAGCAATAGTTATGTCTAATTCTTTGAGAATTATTTTATTTTTAATTCTTTAAAATAGCCCAGGGCAAAATTTAATTAAGAAAACATCTCTTCCCGTCCCAGAGAAAAAAAATTATTTTGCCTGGGCATTTTTCTCTAAATATAAGTATCTATGCATGCTGAATTATTGCAATTGGCTGAAAATATGCTGAAATTATGTATTCACTTTTTTATTTTCTGCACATTCATACCATGCTAATCTCTATTTACCCACTCTTGTTTCAATTTCTGAACTGTCTTTTCTCCTGTATTCTGAGATGAGAACTTTTGTTACTGGTTCAGATCAGACCCTACGTCTCCTGTTTTACGCAACAATTACAGTTCCACAAAATTATATAAAGGTATTCGCTTTTCTCCAGATTGTCAAATTTAAAAATCCTCATGCTAATCTTTGTCTTTAAGGAACCAAACATTGCTACTGCTTTCCAGAAGCAAAGAAAAGGGCAAGAGGCCAGGTCATCCCTATAGGTCACTTTCTGTCCTGGACTTTTATGATTTCTTTACCAAGAATGAAACCAATAAGTGAGCTAAATATGACTTGCTTTCAGAAAGGAAATAAACTTTACAGTCCTTGGCATCAGACTTCTACTTAGATTGTTTAAGACAGCATTGGAATTCTGTGCTTATTGTATCACATATCATGCAAGGCAAAACAGAGCCTTTAAATATATAAAATGTTTTAAGGCCATTGACAGATATTTTAGTGAGATTATGTCAGTAGATTTCCTTTTGTGTTAGGAGAGTCATTATCAGCCTTTATATTGACATAGTATACAATTTTTAAATTTTTTAAGTGGATCTTGAATGAGCTGGTTCAGGTTATAGAAAAATTGTCATAAAGATAGGGGATTAAAAATTTATTGTGCCCCAGACATATTTATAATTTGACATTATAGACTTAGAAATATTTAATAGCTTTAAAGAAGGTAATATAAGGAATTATCATCGGAGAAAGAGCACTCCATAACTATTATGTCTCATTCTTTATTTAACAGATAGACTTATTAACTAATCCATGGTTTTTGTTGGGCCCTTTTTCATAGTCTTTAGCTTTGGTTTTTGACATAGCAAAAATACCCAGAGACATCTACTTCTTCATCACACTTCATAACTAAGTAGAAATGAGAAAGAAATCTTTCTTACCACGAGTCTTTTGTCTTTCCTTCCTCCCTTCCTCCCTCCCTTCCTTATTTCCTCCTTCCCTCCCTCCCTCCCTCCCTTCCTTCCTCTCACCCTTCTTTCTTCCCTCCCTTACTCCTTCTCTCTTCCCATCACAGAGGATAACAACTGTCTCACTTAGATAGCTCTTGATTGACAGAAAACAGCAGAAGGAACTAGAAATGAGTATGATTCATTGATATGCCAGTAACATCTTGGCTTCAGCATACAGTGTCTAGATGTGCTAGTGTATCCAGAATGGTGCCCAAGAGAGAAAAGTAGGTTAGGAATATATTGAGCTGACCTATTTTCCATACGTAAGTATGGGGTTATGTTTCTAGTAAGCCACACACTTTGGGTTATGCATGCAGTCTCGGTTTCTTCTCAAACACTCAATTTAACACTATATCGGGGAATGATCCAGGTACTTGAAGAAGTACAGTTAGCTATAGGCAGAATAGAATTAAGAAATCAGTGTTTGTTTTTGAGTAATTATAACTCCATAAAGGAGCACTCAAGCCCAGCCTCCACAGGGTTTTGGGTAACAGTTTAAGCAAATCATTGGGTTATTGTCATACAGAGCATCAGCGTTCAGCCACTCCATCACAGGTTGTATAATCGGGAAGATTTCCTTCAGACTGACAGCTCAGACCCAAGTGCTTTACCTAGCCCCTCTAGGAGCACCATCTAGGGAGATAAAATTCCCCATATCTAGAGATATCTCTATCTCTAGTTATGGGAAATTTAACTTCCTATAACCAAATTTTCCAGCCTTCCAACAGGTGCATCACATCAACTTAGGCTTCCCTTCCCTAAAAGGAGAAGAAAAGCTTTCAAGGGGTGAGAGAGACTTTAACAGTAGCTGCTTAAGACATAGGGGGATGAGGTGGATTTGAATAAATTCAGGCCTTGATTTGTCAGGGAGCAAAGGCGTCACCAGGTTGGCATGGAAATAGAAATAGCTCCTTGCACATCAATAAGAGATCTAGAAAACAGTAACTGCTGTTTTGTTTCCTTGACAACTTACATTGTACTAAGGGAGGAAATAACTTCTTTTTTAAGTGAAGGTTGGTGGGACAGTATAATCTTGGATTCGGGAAGCCTGAATTCTGGTGCTGGCCATGACCATAAGGCTTTTCTGTCATGGGTGTGTTGGTTAATATCTATAGTCTCAGGCCATGCATGGCAGCACACACCTGTAGTCCTGGCTATTCAAGAAGGATTGCCTGAGCCGAGGAGCTTGAGGCTGCAGGGAGCTATGAGCACATATACTGTACTCTAGCCTGGGCAACAGAGCAAAGACCCCTTTACTCTAAAAAATAAAAATAAAAACTATATATATATATAGTCTCAATTTTCTCATCTTTTAAAAAAGTCCTTAGTTAGAGCATCTCCAAGCTCCTTCTAAATTTTATCCAGTGCTCCAGTGTTCAGCCAAATGTACCATGTTGACTCTTTCCCTTTCTTTTTTCCTCCACTCTCCTCGTTGCTTGCTTCTCCTCAATTTTACATGAAAATCTTTGAAAATACTTAAGCCAAAAAATACAGTTTTGTGAGGTATTTATTAGAATGTCTTTTAATTTAAAAAATTATCTTTTAATTTAAAAAAAATGCCAAATAGTAGCCAGCCAATTCTTGTGTGCCTTCCCAGTCGTGTGTCCCATATCACATTTCAGATTTCTCTGAGCATTAGGAGTGTTATTTGTTTTTGGAGGGATATTAATTGCTTTATAGTAGTTTTAGGCCATCGTCTATTTTTCTTCAAACATAAAAGCTTTATCCAAAATATAGTCTGGAAGAAGACACTACATGGATTCATGTGCTGTACATTTATTTTTCTTTTAAGTGTATCATTGCTGTATTTTCCTTTGCTGATATATTTTGACACCTTATAGTTGTAACCTGCTGTTCTCTTTAATTGCTTATTGTTATTAATTATATAGTGGTAACGTAGTTGGCTGCTTGAGCCACTTGGCTGTAAAGAAATTCATTTATCATTATTGCTGTTGGAGCTACAGAAAATTACCAGCATTCTATCCAGAGATGAATGTTGTTGAGTTCACATCCAGTAAAATTTTGAACATGGGTCAAATCTGTAAGTGTTTTCTCCCTGCTGCTTCCCTTTGCTTCTGCTAGTCTGTGCTTTGAGTACCTACATTTTCTTTCATCTTTTGTTTCAGTCCTTGATTTGCTGCCCTTTCAGTGAAGTTTACATATTGTTCTCAGCACTCCATTCAGTGGCCTGTCCAAAGAATACCTTTTCTTTTCTCCTCATATTCCTGACTATAAATTTTCCTTCCTAGAATTTATTTATAGTAAGATTCCTGCCTTTACAACTTTGTTACATGCACATTTCATTTTAAATCATTAATGCTGACTGGAGATTGCCTTAAGCCATGCCTTTCTGTGAAAGGGGTCATCATGCCCTTAAAAACATCTACAAACCCCTTCTCCTCATTCTGTAAATGATCAGCTGTACAGCTGTCCGTTGGGATATGCAGGGGATTGATTCTAGGATACCCACTTCCATGCATGCACAAGTCCCTCAGTATATGTGGAACCCCTATATGCAGGTTTCACATCCCGTGAGTACTATATTTTCAGTCCACATTTGGTTGAAAAAAATCTGCAGGTAAGTGGACCCACACAGTTCTAACCATGTTGTTCTAGGGCCAACTGTATTTAGATTCCTAAATTGGAAAACTGCCAGCATACTGAATGACTGAATGAAAGAATGAATGATGTACACATGCAAACATGGGGGCGTTTATTTACACACATCCAGCTATTTACTGATATCTGTAGTTTCTTTAAAATCTGGGTTTAATTTAGAATACATGACCCCACAGCTGCATGTGCCACAGAACAGCCAGGCCAGAATGCTCCTCTGCCTTCTGGCAGCATGACATTAAATTCACACTAGTTAAGCCAACTTAAATTGAGCCTCCTTGAACCTTCCTAAATAAAACTAGTGGCCTTAATTACAATCAGGCAATTTAAAGGTTATGGAGCTCTAACTAGTACTGCAGTATATCACTTTAATAATGCACAGGCAAATTTCTCTAAGGGGTGGCATCGTTTGATTAGAAGAATTCAAGTTTCACAGCACATTTCCAATAAACTGTTTTTAGAAATCTTATTGCGTTTATTGTGCCATTACCTTTTTTTTTTTTAATTCTTCAAGGCCAAGTTTCTAAGGTCACACCAATAGAACAATAAAAATGTGACTCATTTGCAAATAGCATGCAGTATTGTGATTTTTGCATTGCTGCTTAATGGTTTTCTTACCATTGCCACAAAGTGAAAGGAGCAGGATTGAGCCCCTTGGAAATTAGAGAGATTTTGGCCCCCTTAACACCCCCATGTGCCATTGCAGATATGACGTGTGCTTTTGTGGTGAACTGTGATTCTATTAATAAACAGAATCAGAAGGAGAGAAGATGTCATCTTTGCAATAAGTAATCAATAATATAGTTTCTTAGAAAGAAAATTAGCTTTGAAAATGCTTGACTTAGTTTCTCATCTAAACCTGTGAGCACTTAAAACCCATGGTTGTCAAGGACCATAACATTTGCAGAAGCTGTTGAACCTCACTCAATTTCTTGTGTTTGTTTGATTTGCTTTTGTTGTTTAAAAAATCATCAGCAGTAGCAAGCCGTGCTTTCTAGCAAGGATAAACAGCTTTTCAGTGTTTGGAGACTTTCTCCTTCAGATAACTAGTGGCTTTATGCCAAGAAGAAGAAGATTAAAAAAAAAAAAAAAGAAAGAAAGAAAAAAAGAAAAGGCCCTGACCCTTGCCATAAACTCAGCACAGCAACAGGAAAACATGCCTGATGAGTGCCGTGTCCAGCACATGGCTTGTGTTGCGGGCCCCCCACTGTGTGGAATTAATATTGACTCTTGCACTGTCTCAGTTCTCAAAGATGTTTTCCCAATAGATTTAACTTTAAAGCAGGTTACATTTAGTTTATGCTGCATGAACTATCCTCTTTCGATCTTACCAATTTGTGGGGGTTTTGTACAGTACTCAAAGGTAAATATACCTGTACTTCCACTACTGCCGGAAGTCCCAGATGTAAGGGCATTAATAGAAGGTATTTGATATCAAACAAGAGAAATTTTAAACAAAGAGTATAATAAATGCATATACATCTGGTTTAGCCAATTAATTAAAAGAATGGAGCTTTGTAACATGAGAATACAGACAATTAATAAAAATTGTTTATTGGTCATGGATGTACGGTATAGAGACTTCTCTATGACTTGGGACAAATAAAAGGTAATTATCCCTTCTTTGATATGGCACTTTTTGGTATTTCAGATATAAGATACATAATAATATTTTTCTTCTGGAAATAAGGGATAAGTTTTGGCTTATCAGTTTCTTGCCAGGGATAAGTTGGCAAATTAGACAGCTACTTTGTTAATGCTTTATTTGCCAGAGTATTTTCATCTTATTTTGGGAAATAAAGAAGCCAAGCACTGTAAGGTGGATTTTGCCAGTCCGCTATGTTATATGCACAGGGTTTAATGCACAAGGGAACGGAGCAAAATTTTGAAACCCAACTGACAAACAATAGATATTGTTTTACCATCAGTCTTGGCATTTTATTCTGATGAAATTAAATATAGGGTTTGCTAAGTAGTTATTTCCCATGAATTCAATAAATATTTATTGAGTTCCAGCTATGAGCCATGTACTGTTCTAGGTACTTCGTGTACATCAATGAGCAAAACAGACAAATACCCTTGCCCTCCTGGAACTTGCACTGTAGCAAGAATAGGTGAATAACCCCAAACTGAGTTCTCAACACTCTTATGGCATTGAGATGGTCAGAGCTGCCACACACCACTCTTTGTAGGCAAGGCAAAAACTGAAATGCGTTGCTGAATTGGAAACACTGCTGTCTTCAATCATTCCATTCATCTAGTCTGTTATGTGAAATGGAAACAAATGTTTTATACTTGTATTTGCGTGCTCACAAACTTTCTTTCAAGTCAGAGAACAGAACAGCACTAAAGATTAGGTGACAAAAATTTTTTGAAAGAAAAAATGTACTCTCCTGTATTCAAGTGGGTATAAATGAGGGGGAGAATTGACTGTTCAAGTAAACTGGATCCTTTTCAGTGCAACACAGTGGCACTGTGTTAACAACATCCAAGTTGTTTAAAAGCAACTCCAATATCTAATCAAACCTGGAGGACATACATCAGACTTAGTTGGTCTCAGTCCTCACTCCCGTCCTTATCCCTGCCCTTGCCTTTTCCAGAATATTTGCTAAGAAATATCCACTACTTTCTTCTTTTCTTGGCTAACAATTTTTTTCTTGGGATGGGGAGAGGAAGAATCAAAGTGATTTTATCAGTGCCCTTCCAAAACTGGTGTTTGCAGTTTTTTTTTAATAAAAAAAAAATGAGGGCAAAGTTTTACCTTTAAAGCTATTTGTAGGCACCATGTTTTCTCTGAGACTTCAACCATGGGGTCCATGTTTAGATTCAGAATGTGAAGAAGAAAAGAAGGAACTAGAGGAGCTAATGTACTGGCCAGGTTTGAAAAACATTGTAGTCTGTGTGCTTATCCCCATTCCCTACTTGTGCCAAAATACCACTGCTGAGTCCCCTCAGTTGAAGGAAAGCCACCTTTTTGGTGGGCTGTTTGTTTTACTGTTTATTGTTTGAACAACATTCCAATGTTTTCTCCTACATGAGAATATTCTAATAAGTACTTCACACAACCTATAATAATAGCCAAGGAATTGGACGATATTGCATCTCAGAGCATCTAAAATCCCACTGCCTGCCTCTCCTCTCCCTACCCACCTGGACCTCCTGCTAGTTTCCAAGCTGCTGATGTTTATGGGGCTCTAGGCAGCCCCCGGGCTCTTTAAAATCTGCTGGGTACCATGCAGCCTACCCCAGTTGAATCATTTCCTGCTCCAGCCCTGCTGATAATGAGAAGTTCAAGGCAGGAAATAACAGTGGCAATATCAGTGGCTTTGCTTATAAAGTCCAAAAGCATTGTAGCCTTTAGACCATTGGCTAAAAACAGCCAGTAACTAAGTTAAGGTAAGCTTGCACCTGTAGATCTCCTGGAAGTGAGATTCTGACTGAGGCACACAGGATGTGTATCCTGCGGCTCTTGAGATACCTAAGGGTTAGGCACTTTGTGCACACAGTCAGGGTCCAGGAACCTGGAGCTCATTTCCTCATGTCCCAGTGTCCTTTTCCTCTTATTGTAAGAGTCTCATGCCTGTGTCTTCTGTTCCTCTCTCATGTGGCGTAGAAATACTGACAGTGCCAGACACTCCCATATTGCCAGTGACAAAACTCCTAGAAGGTGCTAGCGTCGGTCTTCAGGCTGCATTCATTTTCATGGCAACTCGTTCAAAAAAAATAAGGGCAGAACTTTTTAACTGGTATGAGAAAAAACGTTCCCACAATATGCAATTCTCTCAAATTCTGCCTTACTTTGGGGGCTTAATGACTAATCTACCGGCAGACTTTGAAGCCTAAGTCATATTCTCCATTGCCAAATTAGCACCACAGTGTGTTTATGTTACAGTCATGAAACATGTGCTGTATATAATACAACAAATTATCGTGGCTGAGTGCTATGGCCCTGGAAAGAATGTGATGGCTGTGTGCATGGCAAATTATACTGCAGTCTGCCTATTTTTCTACTCCTGGTTTCTAGGGCGAGCCAATGTAGCCGAGGGGTGAGTTTTGTCATGTATGGCTTTTCTTTGTTACTCCTCGGACCCCTAGCTTATAAATGTGTGCTTGGAAATTAACTCAAGGAAGAGGAGAAGCAAAGTAAAGGGTGGGAGGTTGGGAATTGGGTTAGGGCATAGTTTTCTTAGATTTAAAAATATATATGAGGATACAGTGGTAACACACATTCGAACTGGATAAGTTACAACTGTAGGGCATTTGATTCCTCTGTTTGGATTCTGAGGGCAGAGTTTACTCCCACTCAGATCAGAGCTTTTAAGTATGGCCCCGGCCACATGGTGATATAGCAGGAGGGGTTTCTATCTGTGGACTTTAGCCTATAGATTTATGCAGTGGAAGAGGCTGGAGGACCCTTCTGGCCAGTCTTGAGGGTAAAAGGGAGAAGGAGTTCTACTTATAAACTGTTACAAATTGGCCCTCAGTAATGGCTGTAGCGTTGATCAGACGATATAAGGGGGCCCCCAGTGATTCCTGGGATAACAGCAGCATGTAAGTCAGCCACTGAACATTTGCTTGTAGCCACTCTAGATTTTTGTTTTTATTGAAGGAAAAGGAGTATAAACATGGGACACACAGTCTGGAGGCTGCTTAAAGGGTTTCTCTTGTTTAAAGCTTATATTGAAATGTCAGTGTCTTGTGTTAAACTACCAATTGCCACCTTGGAGCTCATAATTTAAACCTGTGCTTGAGCATCCAAATGGTAACTAATATTTCTCCTGTTATAAAACAGGCTAATAAATAGTTATGTAGGTCCAGGTTTTATAAATTGGAGGTATAGAAGTTGTCATTCATCTTTGAACTGGCTTTAGACAAGCAGATGGTTTTCTTAGAGCACAAAATTTTGTAAGTGATTAGCACGTTTCCTACTAAGTCAGTGAGGTTGTAGTCCAATTATGTATGCAGACGCTTTCCTTTGAAACATTTAATATTGGAGTAAATATTTACATTAGCATCAGTCTCTTTTATGTAGACTTGATTCCTGTTTACATTTATGTTCACAGTTAAATGAAGATTAACAAATGGAAATAATTATTTTAGATGAAATTTCTATACATGTGAAATGATTTCTTAATTATACTCAAAGCAGCTTTGGTCATGCCTTTCCAGTGGGTGACCAAGACAGGAAGTTGCTGGCTTCCAGCATGGTCTCAATGGTAAAGGCCCCACTCTGACACTGGACCCCCATTGCTAGGCACATATACCTCCCTCAGTATCCAACAGAGAGGGGTATTCTGTGTGTTCTGGAAAGATACAGGCTCATACAGAAAGCTCCATGTTTGCTCATATAGCTAAATTGCATTCTGATAGTTCTTTCTCCCTTTCCTTGTGCTAATTTTTGTTTTTGTACATACGTGGCTAGAATACTTTTAAGTTTAATTGGGCAAAACTAGAGTTTTTCTAGACTTCATAATATTGCTCATTTCCTATCTAATTTTTTAGCTAGCAAAATTTCAGTGTTGTAATCAGTCTTCATTAATAGGGTTTAGAAAAGGTAGGTTTTTCCCTCTCTCTTTCAATTTCAAAGTACCCTACAAGGCAAATTGTGCTCATTGTAGAAAATCTGGAGAATATAGATAAGCAAAAAGGAGAAGAAAAATCTAGAAGTTTCGTTCGAAGATCCCATCTATAATTCTTAATTAAAAAATAGGGCTGTACTAGCCTATTATATCCTTAATGGAATATTGTAATGGTTATTAAATCAATTGACTCTGAATCTCTTTTTAATAAATGAGTCAGGCTGTATTATCCAATTACTGTCAGCTGCTACCTTTCCAGAGAGCAGAATTGGTTATTTTGATTGAATTTTTTAAGCTTTTTGGCACCTTTAGGAAGAGGAGGAGGAAAGACACAATTCAGGTTATGCTTTGTGGGCAAAATCCTGAATAGAGGTGCTGATAGTATCCCATCAAGAACATTGGCTTTAAAAATAAAACAGCAGTTACATTTACTGTTCTTTACTACCTTATACCAGATAGGGGAAAGAAAGGAGAGTTTTGAAAAGAGATGGGGTTTAACTCAGCCAGATCCCCCCCACCCAATTCTAAGGGTTTTCAAGAATTCTTTGAAAAGTCAGACATGGCTCTCAGCCATACAAAGGTAAATATGGAATTAGAAGAGAAGAGTTAAAGACTCTGAATAAGGATAAACTTTTGAAATTCTTACTATAAATAAGTTTCATTTTCTTTTACTACCTGTGCTGCCCTCAATTAAAAAAAAATACAAAATGAATTATATTAACCAGTTGTTAGAATGTTTTGTGTTACTATCTCTCTTTCTCATTATACATTTGACCTTGAGGTAATAAGCAAGTGTGAAGATGGGGGAAGGGAGTAGGGAAATGAACAAAGGTGAGAGAAAAGGAGGGACTCTAAATGTCCACCTAAGAGCTTATTGGCTTTTGCTCATCTTATAATGTGCTGTGTAACAATTCATATATATTTTCTCTCCTATGGAAATAACTAGGAGATCAGTAACTAGGAAAGACCTCACAGTGTAACTTAAAAATAAAAGGCAGGTAGAACTTCCAACTTTTTTTTTAACATTATAACGTGCTTTTAAGCTGTAAAAAGAGTTCTGAAAATGGTAGATGTGATTGTTATCATTGCTGTCACTTAGCGCTTTCACAAATAAAAGATAGAATATGTAGAAAATAAGTCTTCCCTAATAATGCATAAATACCTTTATGCCTGTGTGTCACCTTTTTATGAATTCACTTGACTGAATTTGGATTATTTAACATTTTGGGATGCAACTTCTCTTTTCTTTGGGTAAGAAATACATAAAAATGAATGAGTACATTTTCCCTGCACTCATACACATATGTCTTATTTATTTTTCCTTCTCTTATTTTTCCAAACAAAATACTCATAGTCAAGAAAGATAATATTACATTACAGAACATCCTAATGTGCATAATTCACTTTATGCTCATGTGACAGTCAATTGTTATCCCCAGGAAAACCTGCCAGATCTATTACATCACACCTATTGCAAGTTTTAAAATTCTGGAACAAGTGTATATCAGTTCATATCCATAGGCCATCTCTTGGTTCTTGTGCAAAGCACACATAATTTTAAAAGGAGATGAAAACCCGTAGTAACCTTCTTACTATTCAAAATAAAGGTATGTAGCATTAAGGAAATAGAGAACTTTTAAAGTTAGCAAGTATTTTTCTGAAGATGCACTTGCCAATCCAATTTCTTACAATAAATAGTGTTTTTTATATTTCTTAATGTCTAAAATCTGGAAATTTTTTGGTGACTTCAGGATTTTAAAAAAAGGAAACAGATGAAAAAACCCTTGATCTTATATAATCCCTAAAGCTTTTTGTATAACCCCTTGTCATGTCAGTATGCACAATTAAACTCCCTCTTACATAATTATAATCAAGGAATTTACTGTGCCACCCAGATACAGAGTAGGTTTTTATCTCTTGTGAAATGTAGACAGTACTGGGTGGCTTAATTAGTGCTTTGCTTCTCTTTTTACAAATTCCAATCCTCTGCTTCTAAAGACTCATACTTGTATGGGAAGAAAGATTAGGAATACAAATAGAGTGATTTTACTCACAGTTAGCTAATAATTACTCACTTTGTAATTGGGACGTGGTATTACCAGTAATATCAGCTGGCAGAGGACTTACACATGCATGTTGTCTTTGAATGAAAGAAAATAACTGCAGTGTAGACTTGTTACCCTTGTAGTGTGACGGTGTCTTTCATTCCCTAGACCTAGAATGTCTTAGTAGCATTTTTTAATCATTGCTAATAGGAGAATATAAAAGTGTAATGTGATAACAAGCCAGGTTAAAGTGCAGCCTCTACCCTTTAGTAAGTAGTCTTGGAAGTAGTGGGTGTGTGCTCCACCATATCTATTAAGATATGTCCCCTGAGGCCAGAGTGCCCAGGTTTGAATCTAGACTGCCTGCGTTCAAGTTCTGGCTCTTCCAATTATGAGTGCTTGTGACTCAGAGCAAAGTTACTTAAACTCTCTGCGCCTCATTTTTCTCATCTGTAAAATGAGACTAATAGTAGTTTTTCTCATAGGGTTTTAGTGCAATTAAATGAATTTGTGTCTCTGAGCAGTTCTGAAACACAGCAAACACTAAATCAGTGTCAGCTAGGCTGCTAGCTCTAGTGCCCCTGGTTTTTTATACCTTACAATTGCACAATGAAATAAGTTAGGATAATCCTTACATTTTAAACTTCAATTTTAAATTTTAATTTTAAATGTTTAAAATCCATAAATGTTTAAAATAACAGTGTCTATGTATAACACAAACTCTCCACTTTATATAGCAATGTTATGACATCAAAATATTTTTCTGCCCCCTCATTCTTAAGATATCCAAGAAAAATTCAGGGCTAGTCAAGTGAGCCTGGAGGTCACAAAAGTGCTTTGGAGAAACAGAAGCAGAGTCTGGTTCTGGGGGTAAAATTGAAACTGTCTTCCAGAGTTAAGGGAGAGATGAACTAGGAAGAATATGGGAGACTGGAGGTGCGAAGCAGAGAAAAGGGCATTTGTAAGAGACTGTCCTATTAATGATACTTCAAAATTGCCAGAAATTCTTGGAAATAGAAAAAGATAGTCTGTATCAACTGAATACCACTGAAGACCTATGGTTAGAAATAGACACTTCCAGGACCCTCTGGATAAGCCAGAGTAGAATCACTGAGGAAGAAGCTGTCCACACTTTTTTATTTTAGGGCTTTGGAAATACAGACCCCAGAAAATCATGGTAATGAGAGAAAAGGAAATGCCTCATTATTGATACACCAATTATATTTTAAAAGTGTAATAAAATGCATTAGCCTTAAGATAAAATCTGACTTCTGATTATCTTTGGATTTTAAATTCCAGAACTGTTTTAAATTGATATAAACTCATGAATAATGTGAAATAACCAGAAACCATATATAATACTACATATGTATATTAGGTGATGGAAATAGTTTAATATATGCAATTAAAGATAACTCTCTAGTGTATTAAAGATATGACAGGTTTTCATCATTTCTCTTCATGTGTTTTCCTTGACAGATGAAGGACTGAACCATGAATGCAAACTCTGCAGCCAGACCTTTGACTCTCCTGCCAAACTCCAGTGCCACCTGATAGAGCACAGCTTCGAAGGGATGGGAGGCACCTTCAAGTGTCCAGTCTGCTTTACAGGTGGGAAGATTATTTCAGGAAGACACAGGAGAGGCTGATGGCCACATCATGTCTTTCCTACCAAAGCATTACTTCCCACTGCTATGGCCTTTTACAGACATGACTTCAGTTCAATTTGGGGGGAAGATGTTTGATTTCTGCTTTATTAGCATTATTGATTGCAGCCTACTTAAAGGCTCACATGAGCAGGAAGGTTAACTGTCAGGATGAACAAAGGCATTTCAAGTTCTCTCAGAAGTTTGCACTTTTCCATTTGGAAAACTACATACATGTTGTGTTCACTTTTTTTTTTCTCTCGATGTTAAAGGTTACCAAGGGTAAGGCTGCCTGCACAGAGCTGCTTTTTAATCACAAGATGTTCAACTAAAAGTGCAGCCGTGTTGTCAGCGCATGTCTGCTACTTAAACATGGAGAATTTCATAACATTCTCCACCAGAAATACAAAGATAGTATTAAAACTCACCCCAAATTCTCTGACATGGAAAACAGATTAGATGAGGCATTTACTGCCTATGAAATTGGATTTTTAGAGTAGAAGTTGATCTACACTTATACTTTTAAGAAGAAATTTTTTAACAGATACGATAGCATTACAGATTTTAGCAGAAAAAAAAAAGTAAATCTGAAACTCTCATTTGAAGCCCATGGAGGTTGAAATATGATCACACATATTTGTGGTATTCCCCTAACAATGACAAAGTTATTTTGGAAAATCCTTTGTGATTATTTTGCATGTGTTTTGGACTCAGTGGTTAAGCCCCTCAAGCAATGCCTTTTTATTTGTTGGAGGAGGGAGAATATATCCTTCTCTCAAGGATGACTTCTTTGTTTGCAGAGCAAAATTCCAAGCATTGATTATTTACCTTCACTGAACTGAGCCTATAGATTTCTATTCTGTGATAAAGAGGGGCCATGTTCATTGCACAGCTAGCACAATTACTAACTGAGTACGTTGATGGCTCTGCCTTCAACAGTTGCCTGTTTGGCTCCTTCATTCAATAATTCCATCAGCCACTCTCCATCCTTCTTTTGGAACTCTTTTTATTCTTCCAGGTTTATACTTAAAAATATATACTGCTATGGTTTACCATCAGTAGTATATATCCTAACATACAACGAGTCAAGAGTCTAGGTTCTTTATAAAAGCTCATAAGTCTTCATAAAGGAGGACTGGGTCATAGGTCACCTCACGATTAAGACCCCTAATAAAATAGGTCTTTCATGTTGTAGCCAGAAGCCTCATAAAATGTACTGAGTTATATGCAGATTAGCTGCAAATCTATGTAAAAACCTCATTTCTTCTTGTTGATACGGATAAAGAGACAAAAATGCATTAATCGTGCACAGTCTGCATTTTCTGTGCAGACAGACGTGAATTGTTTTAGCGTATCTTGAAGTAATTTAGAAATAACAATTTTTAAAAAATGCTTCCAATATAAAGTGTGTTAGGTGGGAAAGGAAATCTGAGCAGTTTTTTAAGGTAATGAGAAATGTGATTAAAATGTATGACTCACAAGAACAATATTCTAATATTTTAGGTTGGCTGGCAATTAGAATAATTTTAATGATTAGAGTGGAGTCAAAGTCAAATGCCAACATCTTTAATAAATCCTTTCCCTGCCTATACAGATTAATATTGTAGATGCAAACTTTTTTAGGTCACAGTGCACCAGGCATCCATCAGAAGTCAGTTCTGCCAACCCAAACACTGCCTCTGGCATATACAATTTAATTATTAATAGCGTGTCTCCTAGGTAAACTGTTACACAGTCTTAGGGCCTTGTTTTGTAGTCATTAAAATTGAACATGTTTATATTATTGAAACCCTTGCATTCAGTGTGTAGGCTGAGTTGATCTTAAAGTATCCAAAGAGAATTTACCTGCCGTTCTGTTTCACATTTATAGACAGTGCCCCAGAGTAGCTGTGGGATATGATTTTTAGCATTAACACATTTAAATAGAGAACTGTTTGCTAGCTATAACTTTAGGCAAACACAATAAACAGGGTTTTGGCATCTATGATTTCTTAACCTGTGGGTTGCTGAGAAATAGGAGTCATTTCTGTTGAGACAGAGCTATGCATTTGACAGTTTTCGGCTTTATTTTTTAAAGATTTATAGGGAGCAGGGCCTCCATAAACCTTTACTTTGGAGCTGTTTGGGTTGAATTAGGTGCTCCGTAGAGTGCATCTTAACAAAAGCCAGAGACCCAACCATGAGCAAATGTGACTCAGCTCTCCCCAGGTCTCAGGCAGTAAGTCACACCTGGGAGGCGTGCTGTCCGGCCTGCTGTCTGTTCATGCAGAGTCATCGACTGAGGGCATTTCGGAAACAAAATAACCCAAGTTCATCATTCTTTTATCATTTCAGTATTTGTTCAAGCAAACAAGTTGCAGCAGCATATTTTCTCTGCCCATGGACAAGAAGACAAGATCTATGACTGTACACAATGTCCACAGAAGTTTTTCTTCCAAACAGAGCTGCAGGTAATGTCCTCATGGGGAGGACTGGGATTGAACTCAGTTGCTATTCTTATAGTAAACAGGGGCATTTTAAATCTGGATTCACAGTATCACTCACCCTGGGCCACCATGATGCTTTGTGTGTATTGGGGGCAAAGGGAAAATTAGAGCCTGGATTAATAGACACCAAAGTAATTTTGCCTCTGGCTGCTGTCAATCATAAAAAGAACTAGAACAGACCTATAATTGGACCTTCTGACCCAGTGTGATAGACTTAGAGGTCAGGTTTATTGGACTGTGGGATCATTCACCTTGCTTGTCATGACTCATTCTCCCAAATCCTGTTTTATTCATGTTCTGTTCCCACTGGGCTCCAAGCTGGGTGGATGTCCAGGTTATTGTTGTCCTGAGGGGCTTAAAATTGGAAGGGAGAGGGGAAGAAAAGAAAGAAATCGTACTCTTGTCCAGTATGTATATCTTCCATTTAATGGAATAGAATAACTGTTACTTAACCAAAGCCTTATAGTTGAAAATTTTGCACCCAAAGACATTGAATCTAGCCTTGAGTGGTCCACTTGATTAATGTGTGAGTAACCTTGGACTGTAAGTCCTCTGAACCTCAGATATGAAGAAATAAACAAACATCACACTTATAGGGCTGTTATACAGTGAAAATGAAATGATGGGTATGGATATAAGATATAAACATAGGAAGATTTGGTTATTCTTATTTTTCTTAGCTATAGACTGGTAGTTTAAAAAAAATGAGTCAGAGACCTAGATTCTATTCCAGAAGTATCATGTATTATAAAGGAAAATAATTTATTTTTTAATGTTACTTCACCTTGAAAATGGGTATAATGTCTTATCCTTATTTTTCTGATGAAATGATCTGAGAGTAACATGCTTTTTGTTCAATCTTATTGGTTCCCGTGGAGGAGAATAGAGTCGAACTGAAAATTATTCTGTTGGCCGGGCACGGTGGCTCACACCTGTAATCCCAGCACTTTGGGAGGCCGAGGTGGGAGGATCACGAGGTCAGGAGATCGATACCATCCTGGCTAACACGGTGAAACCCCATCTCTACTAAAAATACAAAAAAAAAATTAGCCAGGCACAGTGGCGGGCGGCTGTAGTCCCAGCTACTTGAGAGGCTGAGGCAGGAGAATGGCATGAACCCGGGAGGCGGAGCTTGCGGTGAGCCGAGATCACACCACTGCACTCCAGCCTGGGCAACAGAGCGAGACTCTGTCTCAAAAAAAAAAAAAAGAAAAGAAAAGAAAATTATTCTGTTATTATGAGTATTATTATTAACAACACAGGTATTTAGCCTAAAATGAGGGTTGCAGTTAATTTTCACAGTGAATCCCTGAACCAAATGAAAGAGCTGATCTGGTTGACTTGGGAGAGGCAAGACTGAGGGACTGGGAGCCCACCCACTCCTCAGTCTTCCATCCCACATTGGGTCCTGGGGCAACTTCGTGCTTCCTTGGGCCCTGATGAAACGAGATTTATGTGAGTTATGTGTCAAAATAAGGAATTTGCAGTTTATCTTCTCAGTTATCATTCTAAAAGTGAACAAATAGTAAGTTAAGGAGATGAAATACAAAATATAAGAAAGAATGCTTGAGCCCATTTAGTTGTCATAACGTGTCAGTGGATCCAAATTAAAGTTACTATCTTACCTTGTATCGCTTCTAAAAATGCTATTCTGTCACATGTGTTCATGAATTGAATATAGAAGATGGGCCAAGTTAGACTATTGTTTAAAAATACATCTTATTAAAATAATCTAAATTTCTGTTTGAAAAAAATACTACATTTTTATTGCATAGGTATCAAAGCATAAGTCATTTTGATTTTGTGAATCTATAAAGGATATGGCCAAAACACCTAGTGATACTGTTAATTAGTATGTAAACTGTGAGGCAGAATTAAGTAATCGTTTAAAATCAAAGCTGTAGAGTTTCTTTAGAGACTGATTCCTACCTAGTGTTCTTGAAAACAAAAATGTTTGCAACAAACTTCCACTTTTGTACTGTATTAGTAGATTCTTACCTGGTGGTACCATCAATGTCTTTCATTAAAAGAACTCAGCACTGTGGCAGCGGTGGCCTCTGACCCATTGTAGAGCAGACAAAATTAAGCAATTAATCACATCCTTCAAGATTCCAGGTTTCCTTTATGATGATGTATTTTCAGGTTTTATTCTATGTGGAACATATAGTATTCACTCTTTTCTACGATTAGTATAGACCAATCACAGACTCCTTGATCTCAGGATGCCTTTACATTCTTAGAAATTATTGAGGACCACAAAAGGCTTTGGTTTATGTGAGTTACTATCATTTTCCATCTTAAAAATCAAAACTGAGAAATCTATTAAATACAAGAATACAAGCACATATTCTATTAGCTGTCAGAGAGATGATGTCATCACATATCAGGTAGCGTCTAGAAAACTTCACTGTACCCTCTTGAGATAATGAGAGTATAAAGGGCAAATAATGTCTAATATTATTGTGAAAATAGTTTGACCTTACAGACCTCTCATAAGTGTTTAGGAGACCACAGAAGTCCCTGGGCCACCCTTTGAGAACCACAGGCATAGAAATTTTAGTGCAGAACACACAACTCTTTTTGAGTTTTTGTGACCTTTTTAGTCAAACATCTACCAAAACATTTCTGACTCGCTCATACAAATTGTGATCTGGGCCAAACAGAGACTTACTCTGTAATCCAAAACTATGAGCCTTATATTTCCAATCCCACAACTCTAAATTATATATATTTGCTCTTGATGCGAATACTCAGGTTTAATATGTGAATCATTCCTTAGATAAGAACAGTATTTATGGTGAGTATGTGATAATTATTATGAATCTGAGATGAGATATTGACTACACAGTCAATATTTCGCAAAACTATAATTCATAGTTATTGGAATCTCTATGTGGGTCTAGTTTCTGAAATCCTCAATAATGTCAGTGGCTTTAGTTTCAACACATTAAGAAAAATGGATCAGAGTTAACTTGACTTTTTCTAGTTTTGAAAGTGTTTTTATTTTTATATTTTAACTTTTGGCATTCATGGTCCTTTGCATTTGCTTTCATTACCCAAATTGCATTTATACCAGTGCTTAGAGGATGGAATTAATGTAATTTTAAAATATTGATTTATTTTATTTGCTGTATAGAAAATGGGATGGTAAGTGTACAAAAACCATGAAACAGTTTTGTTATTTTCCTAGGACAAGTGAAAAAAAATTTTCTAAAATTCAGGTGACAATAGAAAATAGGATCTATAACCAAAATAACCACAGAGTAGAAAAATGAAGCCATTTTATCAGCCACTGTAGTTCATGCCTTGGTGTGCAAAATAAATGTAAATTTTAAACCACTTGAACTCATCTACTTTTTTATGCCACCAAAGTTCAGAAATAAGGACTTTTCACAAGAGACTATAAAACTAAATGTCTAAGAACTGCAATCCTATTAGAGATTTTAAAGTATACAATTTATTTGGCTTTTCTATCAAGGTGAGAATAATAGGTTAAGTTTAGGATAAGCATTCTGGAATTGACCATCAACATCACTATGGATATCTTTTAAATGTACATGAATGATTTTATGACCATAATACATAATTTACATTTCTTTTGGTTTATGCCCAGTTGAAAATATGAAGCATTTTTTTGTGGATAGAAGTGCTTTGTTAGGTATAGAATTTATATATATGCGTATATATGCGCATATATATATATGAGGGAATGTTAACGAAAATTACTTGCCACCATATATGTATACACACACACACACACACACACACACACACATATATATATGGGGATGTATAAGTATGTATACATGCATGTATATATACTATGTGTGTACATACACTATGTATGTACACATATATATAGTGGTGTGTTACCTTCATTTGCATTGCCTACAAAGCCAGTCAGAATGTAGATAATTCTTCACTATACATTGTTCATCTTTAGGAGATCAAGCACTCAGGCACCATCCTTTGAATATCACAAACCACAAGTCCTTTAAGATTTAGGCCAGATGAAGCCCTTATTTCTATGAAACGTTTAATCTAAGTCACACTTTTTGCCAGTGTAGAAGTTACGTTCATCACACAACCCATAAACCTTGCTGACCAAATGTTCTACATATACAGATATATATCTGGACTGGAATTTTATATAATGTGTATAATATAAAATTATATCATATTATACTTATATATATATATACACATAAAAATATAATATAATTTGTAGCAAGATATAACCTTTCTCTTTTGGCAGAGTTTCCCTCCATTTTTGCAAGAAATTCTAATACACTTCAAAGGCCACCTAGCGTGCTGCCAGGAGAGGAGATGTGCTTTGGAATAAGAGTCCATTATTTCAACTCAATGAACATTTTATTATTTTTTAAGTGAATGAATGTGTTCAATGTTTCACATGTTTTCCTAATAGACCTCAAAATTTTTCAGCAGAACCTAAGGAAGCTGCTTTGAGAGAGGATGGTATGGTCCAAGAATAATATCCTACAATGCATATTTGTATCCAAAGTGGTTTATGCAGGTGTGAGCAAGTGGTGTTTGTAAAAATCCTGTTGAATAGACCACATTCTTTCAGTACACTAATTGCTGTTTAATTGGTGCCTCCAGAAAAGCTACTATTGGATGGCAATGATCAAATCATCCTCTCTCCCAATGTGTCCACATAGAAAGTTCTGTCAGGCCTCTTGTTATAAATTTAATGAAGATTGAGGGAATTCCTGCAGTACGGGTAGAAGAAATTGGTCTAGTTGAACTTTAGGCTCTGAAATTCTAGTATTTCAATTCCTTTTGAATCAAAGATTATCTTAATACCCAGCCCTTCCCTTCATTAAGTCATGAGTGCAGTGTTTCCTACATTCAAAGTGCAGTAGTAATTTGACATTTGAGGGATATACCGAGACTTTCAGAAATCACTAAGGTTTAAATGTGTAATTGTCACTATAGCTATTTGATTTCCTTCTCAAATCACTTCCACCAAATCACCTGATTTTGATGCATATTTTTCACACCACAGTTTAACTGGTGCTTGAGTGTTATGGTCATATTGCTGAAGGAAAAATGAATTACTGCCTATGGGATGGGACGTATAAGACAACAATACAGCATTAAATTGTCACCATTGAGTGGCTTGCTGGGTCACTTGCTAACTTAGCTACTGGTCCTAAACCAGCTTCTCAGTGAGTATAACACAAAATCTGTCTCACATTATTAAATAATATGTGATGAGGCCTTTAGGAGTCCTTGTTAATAGTCAGAATTACAACTGCTATATTACATACTGCTATAGTCCCCATGCCATTATTAAGAAAATATACTTATTAAAAATATTTACAGGCCAGGCACAGTGGCTCATGCCTGTAATCCCAACACTTTGAGAGGCTGAGGCAGGCGGATCACTTGAGCCCAAGAGATTGAGACCAGCCTGGACAACATGGTGAAAGCCTCATCTCTACCAAAAAAAAAAAAAAAAAAAAAAAAAAAAAAATTACCCAGGTTGAGGTGCCTGTGGTCCCAGGTACTCAGGAGGCTGAGGTGGGAGGATCACCTGAACCTGGGGAGGTTGAGGCTGCAGTGAGCCATGATTGCACCACTGCACTCCAGCCTGGGCGACAGAGAGAGAGAGAGACCTTGTCTCAAGAAAACAAACAAACAAACAAACAAAATATATATATGTAAATATATAATTCCATCTTTTTAAATTCACCATGATGCCAGACACTTCAAGACATACTTAAAATAATTAGACATATATTTACAATCTACTAGGAAAGAGAAGATAGGCAAAGAAATAGCTACTATATGAGGTGATATGTAATCAATTGTTATAAATCTTCCCAGAAAAGGTGTTTCTTCTCCAGCTGGGAGAATTGGGTGGGAGGCACCCCTGCTGGTTTGGATGGATGGTTATGGAATTCGGAGAACATAATAGACACTCACAGAACGTTGGCTCTGTGACCTTCTTGCTGCTTTCCTAGTGCTGACCTAAGTGAACAAAATCCAGATTCATCATTATTTGAAAACAAAATCTCTACCTCAGACATATCAGAACTTTCCTGAGTTCTCTGTTCTAGCTTACGAGAATAATTTTGCAATGAGTCATATCTGGACATGGTTTCATGTTAATCAGTTTCCAGGTAAAAATTCTTATTTTTAAACATTTATCTTTTTCAAGTGATTAGGAGTCTTGGGCTTTGTTTTGGTTTTTAACCTCTAACTACAAAACTAAACATGTATACTTGCTTTCAGAAATGTATTCCAAACTAATACACTCCCCTGTCTTTCATCCAATTACGGAGGTGTGGCTAAGACAAACGGTTTTATTTTACCCCTTCACGAAAGACAAGGTAGAATCTGAGTGTAGTTTGGAAAAAAGTTTTAGTTTATTTTTTCATATTTTCCTCCAAGCGAGGCTGAAATCCTCTTTTGCAAACAAGAGGAATGAAAGGGTGTGTATTCACAGCACATCCAAAGGAAGTAACCCTCATCCCCGTTTTCTCACTTTTTCATATTTTTCAAGGGCTTACTTTTTATTTCCTACAGAGCTTAATTTTTTTTTTTTTTTTTTTTTTTTTTTTGAGACGGAGTCTTGCTCGGTCGCCCAGGCTGGAGTGCAATGGCACCATCTTGGCTCACTGCAACCTCCGCCTCCTAGGTTCAAGCAATTCTCCTGCCTTAGCCTCCCAAGTAACTGGGATTACAGGTTCACACTGCCACACCCAGCTAATTTTTTGTGTGTGTATTTTAGTAGAGATGGGGTTTCACCATGTTGCCCAGGCTGGTCTCAAACCCCTGAGCTCAGGCAATCCACCCGCCTTGGCCTCCCAAAGTGCTAGGATTACAGGCGTGAGCCATCACACCAGGCCAAAATTTCTTTTATTATCCCCACACAAAATATAAAACTCAAAACCCTGTTATGTCTTGCCTCTTATCATGTGTTCTTCTGCTGGGACCCCTGGGTTGGAAATATTTGCCCATCACCACATCTAGATCTGGCATATCCGGGTCCTATACTGATCAGTTTGGAGGAAAGCCAGTGTGGGGGATTGTAATTCCCACCCCTTCCTGGATGGTCTGGGCCTCATTCCTTTGCTCTTTACATCCTTAGATCCACTGTGCCCCTGTGTATCTCTTGTTCTTGGGGCTGAAATCGCAGCCCTTAAGCACATCACAAAGACTTCAAAAGTCACAGGAGTATAAATTGTGTCAAATGAGCACGTGGTTCTGGAACTGGTCCATTTCATACATCACCTCATTTCTTTGCTTTGTGGGCCTGCAGGGCTTTGGAAGTAAATTGGTGCTACAGCAACTTCCACTTAATTTGCTCAGTGGTTAAATTGATCTATCTCTTTTATTTGATCGGATCTCCAGGAACCGAATCATTTGCATTGATTTATTGATTGGTGCTATGTTTTCACCATTAGTTTTGATCACTTTCAGCTGTTAATATTGGATAATTCAATCAGGATTGATTGGCCTTACCATTGAAGGCAGAAAGTTAATCACATAGGACACAAACAGGACATGGCTAAGCTAACCTCAGTTTGTTATTCTCTCTCCGTTCCAACCCCCCATCATCTATGCAGTAGCAAAAAGACTAGAGTTTTTCTTAAGCAAAGGAGGGAGGTTGCAGTTGTATAGCATTCATAATGCGTCTAAAGGTAAGATAGTTTTATTTGGCTTTTTAATAAAATTGCATCTAGAAATTAAGCAAGCATACAGAAAGATAAGCATGATTATCACAATGAACTCATTTGGACTAAATGAGTAAATGCATTTTCAATTACCTGTTTTGTACAATAAATGCCTCATCTGTGTGTGCATGCTTGGAGGCACAACCTGGGCTCACCTTTTTCTAAATTTGGCCCTTCCTGCTTCACCATGTGTCCTGGTAGTCAAATTTTCAAGAATCAAGTGGTTAATATGACTGAAGTAAGGGCAACAGAGGTAATTGCAATAAGCTGAAACCACTTTATTTGCATTTGAATTGTTTCTACAGCACCCCAGCTCAGTTTTTAAAAATTCTCCATCCATTAATTTCTTGATGTTCATATTGATGGCTGGTTTTCGCTATTAAAAGAGGGAGCACCACCTCTTCATTCTAGGACTCGCTCCCTCCTCCAACAGCCCTGTTGTTAGCGAGCTGCCATTACATTATTTTTTTGTCTGGCCCAGAGTTGACGACAGATGGCCATCTCCGAACTGCCATCAGTGCGGCTTTATGGAGCATCCAGCCAGGGTGTACTGAAGAGCACTGTGGCCAGTTCTGCAGCCCCCTCCCTCCCACCCCCTGGAAATGTTCATCACCTCTGCCACATTCTGCTTTGGCTGGGCTCTGCTGGCCCTGCCATCTTCCATGTCGCCAAGACAGCCTGCTGCCATAGCACCGGAAGATCTGCCTCCATTAGGAAGGAAAGACTGCATGTGTGACTGTCTTGTAAAGACAGAGCTCTGTCTCAGCGCCTTTGTAGTCGGATCCTTTGGAGAAATCCAGAAATCCAAATTTCCAAAACATTCTGCAATCTAGAGAGGCACATGGAATTGCCACCTGTTTCTATTTTAGATGTTTGCACCACACATGGATCAGTTTCCTCACATTAGCAGAGACAAAGTGGCAAGAATAGACCCTTTATGTTTACAAACTTTCCTCTAACTATTGGAAAACACCACTTCCATATCCAGCTGTTGTGACAATTAGGGTAAGAAAGATAGTAATCATGGGCTTCCACTATAAATCCCCTGAAACGAGCAAAGAATCCATTCCAGCGTCTTCCTGATCCATCAATGTGGCGATCCCTCGGACAGCCGGGTGAAATGAGCTGCTGCTGTGCATTTGGAGAAAGATTGATAGGCTGCTCTTGATCGAGTTTGCTAAGGCCGGGCAGCTTCAGAGCCAAACGTGTATTTTAAGAGGAATTCACATTTGTATCCTTTATTGTTATATTTGCAACGAATCTACAGCTTGGAACAGGCTCTGCCCTGCAGCTATGAAGGAGTAAGTTCCCCTTATTGGAGAGAGAGAGTAGTGTTCTGTAAAAGCCTGAGATGTGGCGGCGAGATGAATAGTGCTTAAAAGCTGTGCTTGCGGTGCTGTCATTTAGAACAGCAACTCCGAGGCTTTAAACGGGAGTGAAAGGCAGGGTAAACGAGTCCTTTAATAGTGGTGAAATTTTAAACTGCCTAAAATAACAGGTCTCCTTCATTGATAACTTCATTGAATGAGTGAGTGGAAACTAACTGGCCAGGAACTGCTTTCCCATAGGAGGGCCAAGTTTGCAAAAGCGGGGCTTTTTCCTTGGGCCCCTCCATGTCTGGGAGGACAGCTTCTTTCCTGCGTGATCCCTGCCCCTGCCTTGATAGCAGCTCCTGGCTGGCAGGAGACCATCCTTCACTGGAAACCCAAAGCGCCCATAAAAGACTTCCTTTTTCACATTGCCAAAACTTAATTTTATAATTGTCTGTCTTACACCACTGGGCACATCTGCTAAGCTTGTGTGCCTTCTAGACATATAAAAGGCTACTGTGATACCATTAAATATCAGCAGTGTGCTTTGCTGTGCTTTGAGTTTATAAGGGTGAAAGGTGATTGTGCAGGAAAATGGAACAGTATATTTGCTGTGAGACAGGCACCAAGACTTCACTCCCATACTCAGTTATAATTCATGACAGTACTGGTGGGAAGCCCTTATCCCTCTGTGGAGTTAATGCATCTCCACTGAAGCCTGCTGAGAGCACCCTGCGTCCCCCCCACCATCTGTGCGCTCACTTCCTAGCTGTCTTCTCTCTTTCACTCTCTCTCTCTCTCTCTCTCTCTCTCTTACTTTTTCCTGAGATCTCTTGGTGTTAGTATAGTCAGACTGCTACTGAATTGTAAAACTGGTTCTCCAAAGCAGAATTGTCATTTAACTAGGGGAAGAGCTGGGGAGAATGTATTACAGCATTGTTTAATGTCTCATTTAGAAAATGTCGATTAGAAATTAGAGAAGCAGCAATGCCTTAAACCCGTCGCTGACTCCGAGAGCCGAGGCTGTGCTGCTAATCATCGATGAGTAAGAGGGACCCATGGCCTGAGCGTGGATGGAGGCCAGGGACACAAAACAAGGTGTGCATCACAACCCAAACTAACCAACCCTGTGCTGAACCTGAGTTCAGTGTTCTGGAAGTCGAACTTGAGTGAGACCAAGGTCCTGAGAACTGCTTGCCCACTCTGTCCATTGGCCTGGGCCAACCAGTGGCATGAGCGCCAATCCAGACCCCACGCACTGGCGCCATCTGCCATGCGATGCCACCCACTCTGAGGACCAGAACTAATTGCCTTGGAGCTACCCAAGTCTCAGTTCAAAATGATCAAACCCCTGGGTTGTACAGAACTTCACTTAAAAGAGCAGTGGTGATTTGTGCGATGCAAGCCACAGTCTAAAGTGAAAGAAGCCAAGATGGTCAAACTTGTTGCAGCCCAGAGCCGGCAGAGGGTCACAGAAATAGGTGGTTTGTTCCCACTCTGTCCTATCCCTTTGTGTTCTCTCCCACCTCCCCCGCCCTCTGCACTCCCACTTTCTGCTGGGAGCCCAGAAGGTGATGGGACATGCAGAGGGCGTGTGCTGAAACAAAGGATGAAACTGCACCTCGTTCATAGCCAACCCAAGATTAATGTGCAACGTTTCATAGTATATATTCTTGCCATACTCCATTGTTAGTACTCCTTTTAAAAGATAAATCAAATCCGGGTCTGAAATACCAGTGTATGCATTTAACAGATGTGATGCCATAGGGGACCTACTGTGTTATAAGCTGCAGAAATGGCCTTTTTATGCCTTAGACTCCACTTATTCCAAAGGGGCTTTAGAACTGCAGCGGCGGGGTGAGAGGTCATGCATTAAGACAGCAGCACCCACGCATAATTCTGCCTCGCGTGTAATTGGCTCACGGTCTCATTCTGATGTTTGGGTGGCATTAGTCACATCGTCTCGTTCATCCTGCAAAGGAAAAGTAGGGCAAGAATGGCCGTGTTCACTGTCCAGGTTTTCTTGGGTGAAAGATCACTTTGAGATGACACAGCTGAGTAGTCAGCCTGAAATCCTGGTTGGTATTTTATTAATTTTGCACCAAGATAAATCCTGAAATTCTGACAAACTCCATGACAGGTGAAATTCCTTCTTTCAGAATCTGCGCAGCAAGAGGCTGCTCATTTCGTTCTGTTCCGAGGCAGGCAACAGGAGGGCAGCTTTATAATCAGCCCTCAAAGGACCCCCAGCCGCCCCAGAGTCTCGGGCTGATTGAATAACTCCTGGGCCTCTTCCCCTAGGCCTCCATCAGCGGGGGCCCTGTGGAAAGCCATCTCCCGCAGACTGGCACTGAAGTGAGCTTTAAACCACCATTTTCTGCTCTCCAGAGGAGCCCGGAGTACTAAAAGATAGATGGACTGCAGATATTTTATGAGAAACTGTCAGAAGAAGAGCAGAGTAAATGTTTTTTTTTTCTTCTTCTTTGAGTCACACACTACATCACTGTTGAATTTCTCCCAGAATCTTTTACATTTCAAGTGAGAAATTAATTGGTTGCTAACCTTTAATTCTCCCCGCCTCCCTCTTCTTCGTTGTCTTCCTCTTTTTTTTCTTAAATATTCACACAGAGGCCCTCTGCTTAACCACAGTTGCAGAAAATCAGTACCATTTGCAATGAAATATTTATAATGACAGAATGAAAAATTGGATTCATTTTCTGGACTGTAGCCGAACAGTCTGCAACTTTGGTGCGGCATTGTTTAGCATCTCTCATCCCTCCCTTTCATTGGCGTCGTTTTCGGAAACATAACGCATGGACGTTCACCTATGCTTTGGAGGGATGCCTACCAAAACACAGAGCCTGTTTTTACTCTTAAAAAAAACATAAGAGGAGAAAGGCACATGTTTGTGTTGTGCTGCTATGTGGGGGGCACGCGGATGTGGCCCATAAAAAGGTAGAGAGGACGTGAACTCTGTCAAAAGGAAGGGCGTGCTTGCTCTGTAGGGAAGAGCTGGGAGAAGTTTATAAGGAATACAGGAGACAGTCTGGCCTGGACTTTGTAGCAGAGCACAAATAGCAATCAGCATGCCATCGTATCTTGGGGCAGATTTATAAGGGGAACGGGAAGGCAGAACAGAGGTGAGTAAATACACGTTGAATAACATAGCTCACGTTCTTTCTTCCCTTCAGTGTTTGCTGTGTAGGCTTTCCTTGCCATGTGACCCTTGTATTCAGAGCTGTCTCCTAACCCGGGCTGATGACCGCATTTTTTAAGAGATAAGAGATGAAAGGATTTTGCTAGGACAGCCCAGTGTTGTATTTTAAACAAGTCTGCCTCACAAGTGTGAGGGCCACAACAATACACTGACTCTTATTACAGGGCTGGGTAGGATTTGTAGCAAGCTGCCTAGGCAGTACATTTGGGTCTAGCAAATAAGTTTGTACTCACTACTCCACAGACAGGCCCAAAGAGCCTGCCTGTTTCTTCTCCCTCCGTTGGAACAGAACAAGGGATTATACCCTATAAGGGGGCCATCCCAGCCTTCCATCCCAGGCCTCTGTGTTAACTTTTCTTTGTCCTTTTTGGAACACTGGGTTTAATTAGTTTTAGTGTTGTTTTATTTTGATGGTTTTTCAAAAGTGAAAATAGTTCAGGTAGATTCAAGCGTCAATACAAATAGCCTCAAATTCCAATATTGGAGGTTTCCTTCACTGAATTTGCATCATGCAATTGCCAACTCCACAAGATCAATAATCCATATTTTATTATATAATAAAGGCTGCCTGTAAGTGAATTGGCTCATTCATTCCATCTGATTAGCTCGATTGTATTCATGGAGAGAAAAAAGAATACAAACTTACCTTCACCAAAATATTGCATTATTTGGATATAAAAAGCTTCCAGCACTATAAAACAATTGCATAGGGATAAGAGATAATTCATTTCAATATTTGTTTACCCTAAGAAGAATATGACTCCTATCATCCTGCAATTTTTGGTGACAACTTTAAGTTTCACATCCATTGCGTGGAACTGGTCTCCGGTCAGCCTGGTCTGAGCACCCTGTAACAGGTCTTTCTTCCAACCAACAGCAAGAATCCCACTCCAGAATTCTGAAAAACAACTGGGATAAACAGTCTTTTTCTTTTATAACCCTTGGAGAGATTCACCTTTTACTTACCCTAAGGCCATTTCCTCTTATTCATCCACGGATTACCATTTTCGAGGTTTTTGAACGCTCACTGTGTTCTCTGAAGCAAAATCTTAGCACAGATTTGTGCCCACTAAGGTGATGAGAAACACTGAGCAGGAAAGGAGTGGTTCATTACTGGGATCTCTCAAGATCATGATGCTTAGTTTAACTTGTGGGTGACACATACTTTCTCAGAGGCTTGGAGGTTTTATACAGGCTTCCAGATTTGTCGTTTCATTGCATTCCAAAAAAAAATGATTTTGAGAAATATGCTGACAGTTCAGCATGAAATGATGTGTGTTCTGACACACACTGCATTGCAGCTTAGGAATCTAGCCTGAAGTAATTTTTCTGTAGCGTTTCTAGGACTCTGATTCAGGGGAGAAAAAGAAGTTCCCTTTAAAGCATATGTTTTAGGATGTGACAATAACTTTTCTCCTGCGCCGTGCGTGGATTCAGTAGACTGTTTCCACTTAACCCTTATTATTGTTTTCTTTCTTGAGTGCCAGGGTTAAGGAGAAGAAATTTTTTCTTCCATTAGTTTTTCAACAACTTAGGTGAGTCTGAAATATATACCCAAGTAAATGGGAACTGTAATAGTGGTGTGTTCAGAATCAATCTCCTCTGCAGGCCAGGCAAGGAACATTGAATAGCGTTCATTTATGTACTGCCAGATGTATTTCTGCATGTGACTGGGCTCGCCAAACCGCTTTGAATGATTTTCAGTGTTATTAAGCAAACTCACAGGAGCAACAGGACTTGTGACAGAAGTAAAGAGCCCGGTGGCAGGAGTCATTGGTGAAGGAAAGTTGCACGGAAAGAGAAGCACCACAATGCAGACTCTATTTTAATATCTGAGCTAACAACTCTCTGGGAATATTTCTCTTCCTCTTGTCCAGCTCCTTCTGTGTTGTGGCTGGTTTGCATTTGTGTTTGAAATGCCAGGCGGTTTAATGAAGTTATTCTTTTATAAATTTTGCAACACTGAAGCAAGCATGAGGGCTTTAAATTAGAATAAGTGCCACTTCTGTATGGCAGGTTCCTTTGAGGACTGATTAGAATGAGGCCTCCCGTTGCCTGGCCCTTTATGCATGGCAGTGTTGCTGTGTGTTCTTGTTTACGGCTCACCTTTGAATTTGCATGAGTTTGCACCATGCCTGCCGCCTGGCCCTCTGTTAGTCAGGACTGTCTTTCTTTCAGGATCATGTTAAATACTTCACTTTAAAGAGATTTTTTTAATTATATTGCTTTATTGTAATGAATTAAAATTAACTTGGAGTAGCAAATTATTTAAGGATGTGAGGGTTATAGATTACTCTCACCATAGCTACAGCACATCTCTGCGTGGAGGAATTAAAGGGTTCTCTTTCCAGTAGCTCTGTGCACCATAAGGGGTGAGGAAACTGTCCCACAGAGACCTAGAAGTAAAGCCAGAAAAGGTGCCCAGGAA
Organism: Homo sapiens; assembly: GCF_000001405.40. Taxonomy (NCBI): domain Eukaryota; kingdom Metazoa; phylum Chordata; class Mammalia; order Primates; family Hominidae; genus Homo; species Homo sapiens. The sequence goes on along the minus strand of NC_000018.10, from coordinate 25,074,770 downwards.
GTGAGAGGAGAATGGGAACTTCACGTGTGGGTTTCTGAAGCAAATAGAAGCTCTTCTTGGCAGGGTAGAGAGTGGGGGCAGCTCTGCCATTTTAAGACCTTAAAGAGTATAAGACAATGGGAAATCGTGGACAAGAAAGAATAAAAATATATCTTAAGAACAGGTTTAATAGAGAATAGGAAATGCACCCAACCATTCCTGACTTCTTTGTGCCTGTATGAACTTGCTAATAAACCGGGATGATTTTAGGGGGTGGGGAGGGATCGTTAAAGAAAGAGACCTGAAATTTTCAACAATACACAATAACATACAGGGAAAAGAGAAAGAAAAGCAAGCACACAGGCAAAAAGAAAAAAGCACCAAACTTGAGTGTGAAATGTTTTCTCTTCTCCAAACTTGGGTTTTTTATTTAAAGTAGGGGATAACCAAACAGAATTGGGCCTGTGAAATACTTGCATTTTTAAAGGGCTTGCTTAGATCTTAAAACAAGAATTACTTGGGGCTCCTTCTAATTGCATTCTCCATGCAGGAATAAGTCCCCAGAGAGACAGAAAGATCAAAGGCAAACACCAGGAATTTTACCTGTAGAAGCAATGCATGTATGTAACTCTTTTTTTTTGCCCTGCGCAACACTCGCTTAGGCGTGGAAATGGACATGCGCACAGGCATATTCCCGTGCGCGTGCACACACGCACGCACACACGCGTGCGCACACATGTGCACAGACACACACATGCACGCACACACACCTCTCAGGAGGTGGCTCATACTTAACACAGTTTATCTAAATTAATACATTGTCCTTTCACAGTTTTATTTTTATATATCTTTACCAAAGCATATGCCATAGTAGACAAGCTTTTTTTTTTTTTGGCTTACGGTGGGGAAAGATGTTTTTCTGTTATTCTTAATGATTTATAACATGTTTGACTTACTCTTAATGTGAGTTTACCTCCTAGGGAGTGTGGCAGTGTTTTTAATAAAAGAAATAATACACTACAAGGAAGTGGCATTTCTTTTGCTTTTTGCCCAAGTTCAATAAACTATTTTTCATAATTATTGGAATTTGGTTGAAGGGAATCCGTGTCCCTATCAAGTGGAAAAGCAGAAAGAGTCTTGGCTCCCTCCTTCTTCCTACAAAGGTTACCCTTTGAATATAAATTACAACGCCCTGTGCTTCTCTCATTCTAATCAGATGACCTTTTGAATCTGGTGGACCAGAGTTTAAATCCTAAGCCTGCCAGTCAGTTTTTAAATCAATGCCCTGCTCCACCATCTTTCAGTGTGTAACTAAATTTCAATGGATTTCAAACACGGAAGTGAAGTAAATGATGCCAGTGGAATCTTGCAGCTGACTGCAAAACAGCCAAACTTAACTCTGAGATCTTGACCAAGTGATATGATTATAGTTAATTTTGCTGACTAAATTCTCTTCAAAAACCTTCCGGGATTCAAAATCTAAGAGAAAAGGGAGGAGTTGGAATTTTGTAATGTTTGTAAGAGGACATTTCTGAGCAATTATCAATTTAAGCTTCCATTATTTGCTGCTAATTGGTACACAAGGCTGTTAAATATTTAGCAGAAGTTTGTTTAATTGCGTTTGACTGGGAAGGGGATGCTTGAATATAGCTTCAGCAGCAAGAGTTGGTTGTGTGCACCGAGAGCTGGCGGAGAGGAAATTTGTATTCGCCCAAGATGAACACATTACAATGTCAGACAAGCCTTCTTTTTTCTTCCTTCCAAAGATTTATTTATCTTTAAGGTATCTAAAATTAGAGCACGAAGAAGGGGCACTGTTCATGGATGTAAAATTGGAAGGAGGTCATTCTTAACCTTGTTTACAGATGTTCTAGTTTAGAAAGCGCCAGTGTGATAAATTAAACATTACAGGGGAAAAAATTAAAGCTTAGCAACAACTGGCACATGGACACATCTGTCTGTGAAGCACTGACTTAATCCCTGAATATCTTATTAGACAGTATTGCCTATCAAAGCCTTCTGTCCCACAGTACGCTGGAATCCTGCAATTCCAGAATCTTGAGTGAAATCTTTACACTCTCCCTCTCACTGGTGCTGGCTTTATATAGTTTGATTTAAATTTTCTGCTGGCTTCTTGCATGGAAACAGACAGCTCAATTCATTGTTTTCTTTTAAAAATAAACATCGTACTCTTTACTATATTTCCCAGTGGCCATTTTGCTCTTTTTCGCCTGTTCTTCCCTTTCGGCACCTTTTTCCCCCACTCTCAAGGTAGTACATAGTGCACGCTATTGTCAGTTGCAAAGAGGGAAATTTTCAAGCTTGTCAGGTATGCACAACAGATAGGGGTCAGCTTGCAACTACAATTTTACTACTGTTTTTAAGTTCTTAATGGAAAATGGGATTGTCACGATGTTAACATTTCCCACGTATGACGTCACAGCAGAATTTGTCCTTTGGAAGCTGGTGGACTAAAGGGCTTGTTTTATATCTCCAAAATGTTTAATTGTCAAAATACTAGGAATTGTTCTATGTTAGCAACTAGGACTTAGCATTATTTAAATAATTAGTCTTTGCTTAGTCTTCTGAAGACTCACATTAGACTAAGGTCAAACTGGGTATTCTTGGTACATGGTAACCGCCATGGGCTTTTCCAGCTCGTTTGATATTGCAGAAAATAGCAAAATGTGGTGAAAATAGGCCGTTTTTGAACTGACTCCCTACCTCCCGGCACAGCCGGACATATCTGCAGCTCCACCAGATGCCTCAGCTCCTACACAGTTCCTGCCCTCTGCCCTCTGCCCCCTGCCTTCTGCCCTCTGGTTCTCAGCTTTGCTGCTGCTCTTCCCTCTACTTCGGGGGCCATTCTCTCCCTTTTTACCTCTGCCTCCTCATCTCTCCCGCACCAGGCATGTGTGACTCCTCCAAGAACAAAGCCTCTGACATAAGGTGAAGGGCCCTTCCTCTGTGTCCTAGAGCACCCTGTCTCTCCAGATAGAAGGTCTGGGCTATGGCAATGAGTGTCCTTTATCTGTACAGCTGGCCCAGCCGTGGGACTAACTCTAAGACCTTGAGTGTTGGCTTCAACCCTCTGGGACTTAATTTTCTCATCTATAAAATAAGATACTGGACCAGATGCTGCTATGTACCACCCCCAACCCCCAGCTCTGAAACCAATTTTTTCTTTCTCTGCAGTATTACTTACAGGTGTAGTTGATTCACCTGCCATTGAGTCTAGACCAACAAATTGAGGATGATGGCTCTGTAGTTCTTTCAAAGTAGATAGTTTTTTCCATTCCCCAAATACTGATTTCCAGAGTTTAATATTTGGGTACCTTTAAACATTATTAGATTGCAAATATCCCTAAAGCAGCATAGGTTGATTGCCACTAAAACGTACCATCTTTGTTCATCAATGGTATATGGATGGTCTTGATAAGTCACTAAAAGAATGAACACTTCTGGAAATACTTGGTTCTTTACATAAACAATGCCATTATATATCTCAGAAGAATTCTTTCTACAGTTTCTGTATACTTGCCCACGTTCACCCATTGACTACGTTTTACTGCAGTACGGTATATATTTACTGCAGTACAGTCTCATGTGGTATATGTGTCCCTTTGCAGTTCTCTTTTTAAAATGGGGAAAATACCATCTTATAATGAAGACAAAGTAGCATACTCAAGCATGGTATAGCAAGCTCAATGTGTTTTCAATACAAAGTAAATTCAAAACAATTATATACCTTCCTTATGACCACCTGTTCCTGTGTCTGACCTCTAATTTAAACCTGTCAATAACAAGACAGGTCATTAACAAGACCTCCTCATTACAGCTATTTAACACACCTCATAGACCACCATTTCTTCTTCCCCTTTAGATCAGTTCCTCCCTGCAAATTCTTCAAAACCCTTAAATTCAGAACCCTCCTTATTTCCCAGCTTTCATTTATTCATGCACAAGTGTTTTTCAAACAGTATAAGGCAGTGTTCCTCAATATCTCCCTGGTGGGAGAGATGCTTCCCACCAAGAGATATGTGGCAGTGTCAGGGGACATTTCTGCTTGTCACAACTGGGAAGATGCCACTAGCATGTTGGCAGTAGTGGCTGAGGATGCTGCTAAACATCCTACAATACCCAGGACAACCCCCTGCAACAAAGAATTGTCCAGCGCCAAATGTCAGTAGTGCTGAGGTTGGGAAACCCTGCTTGTGTAAGGCAAGCCCCACTGGCCTTCTAAAATCTATTTTCAGGCTCCTCTCTGGAACCAAGCAAGTGAATGGGATGTGTTTTATGTAATGACTGAGAAATGGTGTACTGGATGGTCTTCTAGGTTGCTTTGGATGAGATGGATGAACTTTTATACTATAGGTACATGGTCTAGTGTTTGGAACATAAACTCATCAACATGCCAGTGTCCTCATCCTTCAGGATTATCTCAGATCACCCTTTTTCTGGACGTAGTTAGCACAAATGTCCAGAGAACAACAACAAAAATGTCCTTCAGTGAGGTTTATTAGAATGCGAAATTGTTTCCTATGGGAGGTATGATAGCAACTTCATTGCCAGAATCATTCAAAACTGGCCTAAGTGTGTAAACTTTATCAAACAATTATGTTCCTACAAGGGGACAAACCAAATGTCCTAATAGTCCTTTTCCTTCTTTAATATCTTGTATTCTTCTGATCGCTTCTGATGATGCCATTTCACCTTTTGCTTTAATATAGCTTAGTGTCATCCAGAAAATGCTTTGAGATGTCAGACCAAGCCCATGTGAACTGTTAAATGTCAAAAGAAAATGCATCAGTGTTTCTGTAAGTTCATGGTGATGACATTACCATATGAAAAAATAAAAAGGGAAATTCTGTCAGTGCAAACATGATCATAAATGCAACATTCATGGCATTAAAGAGAGGGGCAAAAGCATACATGACAATTTGGAAATGCCATTGCTGTGTCATAATAAAAGAGTAGAACTTCATTCTAGCAGATTCTACAAATGTAAAGATTATGAGTCAACTTCCCTGGCTATGAAAAAAATCCACTATGCATATGTCTTTTCGATTCTCATAGCACTTAGGGAAAATACTGTATATTTGTCCTTTAAAAAATATGCATTGAACTATAGCATAGCTCACAAAAATGCAATATCCACAGATATGGTCCTGATGTTTACCTGGTAAGGTCCATAAAAACACAATTACCCCAGATTTCCTCAGCCAGGAATTATATAGTTGTGGGCAGTAGAAACTTTGGGGTGGGCAAAGTAGGGTACTTGAGGGTGATTTTGGTCTTCAGTGTAATTTTTAGAAAATTCCTAATGGTACTCCCAGAGCCGTAGCAATTTACTTTTAATCAGTTGAAAATTATGAGTACTTTTGTAATTGTGTGGACTTTGAAAATGTTAATTTATTAACATTCACATCCTGTTAACCTTATTAAGATGCTTAAAGGTCACCCTTTGCCATTGTGACTATTTTTTCTCTTAACGTTCAGGGGAAATAACCCAGGATCCTGTCATCATTAGCTGTATACACTTTTAAAACTATTTTACTAGCATAAGAAGTTGGGAATGAAAAGGAGAGAGGATGGAAATGTAAAAATCTTGATTAGAAAGTATAATTTAATAGAATATGTATTGAACCAAATATATTGATTAATGTAGAAGATATAGTACTTATATTGATTCGAACCAGAGATTTAGTACTAAAAGCTCTAAGCCAAAAAGCTGTTGCAGATTGCTACAAAAGTCAGTTTAATGCTGTCCTTGAGAATGCCTTCACAAAGAAATTCTTCTAATGTTTGAGGACTAGGTAGAATGCGGTATATGTCAGTCTGATCCCGGAGGGTTTTATTTTGTACTCTAATAGCTGTTAGGAGCCTACATTATATCCAAGGAGTAATTTTCCTTAGGGGTGCCCAGCTCGCTTTGTGTCAATATTCTAGCATTTTAAGTCACGTACAGTATATGCTTCTGGGAACGGGGAAGGAGCCAGCCAGACTCATAATGGTCTGCATTCATTAATAAAGGCAGAAGCTTCTGTCCCTCCATTGCCCACTACAGGGATGCCTCTTTGGCCTTCAGGGACCCGTACAGACACATTTAAAGAAAGCTTTATTTTGAGTGGGCAGGAGATGAAATGTAGGACTTGCAGGCATTTCCTAAGTCAGCTATATGCCCGAGCACAGGGGTGACCTTAATGGGTCAAAGAAGAATGCAGGTCAAAAGACTTATTATCCAGCCTGTGGGAAACCAATTGCTTTTGTTTAAAAAAAAAAATTAAAAATGAAAAAAAGCAATAGTGCTTAAAGGTGGACGGTAATGTAGAATTCTGTTTGCAGCCTGTAACTGCACGACTGTATGTGAACTAGAATATACTTCCAGAAAAATAAGAGCATACCGATTATCCTCAGTGTTTATGGATAAAGGTCCAACCCAAGTGATAAAAGGAAGGGTAATATAATTAGTTAATCAGTGATGATTGATTACGGATGTTTGTGTTCTTCAACTAAAGAAAAAACAACATGCTGCCATGGTGCTGTCACCATCTGTTGAAAGAAACAGCCACATTTAATCTTTATATTTCTTTATTTCTTCCCACCTTGCATTGTTTCTGAGCCACAATTGCCTACTATTTCATCTAGTTAGAAAACATCTCATTTAAATTAAATACAACTGCAGTTTAAATTCGGGTTTCTAATGGCATAGTGAATTAGTGGTGGAAAGCTTGTTATTTTTTTTCATTCCTTTTTAAAATAGCGTGCTGGCTCTTTTACTTAGTTTTAAAAGCTTGTCAGAATTTGTTTGAAACAAAAGGCTATAAATAAACAAGTCATGGTAAAAATGATTAACATCTTTGAATCAACAGATTTCACAAAACTTCCATTCAAATGCCATTTTTGTTTTTATGACCACTGATACGTAACATTTTGCCGATGCCAACAGAGTGTTACAAAGCACAGACGAGACACGGTCTCTGCCAAAGAATTAGAAAAGTGAAGGCAATCTCTGGGCATAAGTTTTGGGGTTGGGAATTTAATTTTTCAACTCTAGGAAGATAGGTTCCCCCTGGCTTTCCTCCAAAGCTGAATTTCATCATTGATGTAGGTGCAAAAATTCAAATTTACATCAAGATTGCAGGAAAATGGAATGTCTTTAGCCAAGGTGAACAGTTTCAAAGGATCATGGATTTTTATTTTTACTTAAAAATATTTTTCTTGGATTGCATTTTAAATAGGATTAAACTGTTTGACCAGCAAATGTGGTCAGCTCTCAGAAAAAAAGGAGGCTGAATTAATCATTTGTTAGAGTGCCAAGCCCAAAATGAGAATTCCAGTCTTGTAAAATGAAAGGCATCTCATATTTAAAAAGAAATACATAGTGCTAGAAGGGAATTTTTAAGGCCCTCGTCTGTTTTTTAGCTTTCTAAGTTTAATTTCACATTTATAGAGAAAAAAAATACATACAGCACACTCCTTCCAGATGGGGCCCTTTACAGTAAAGAAAGTGTTTTTGAAACCTCGCTATTAAGGTATCATACCTAGATGGATCTTCTTTTCAGCTTTAAGGTATGTTGTGGATTTGATTTTTTTTTAACACAAACCCCCCTCGTGTAAAACAACTGTTCATAACTGGGATTAATGGTTTGCAATTTTCAGTTACTTAGACATGGGGTCTCCAGGAGATGGCTTTTTGCAGAGTAGAATATGGCTCTCTGTGGGATTACAGAAGTTTTCTTCTCTTCCTACTTCCTTTTCTGTCTTCACCCCCCACCTCCACCAATGTTGCACTGATGTTCTTCTCAATTATGTAAAACACTTTCCCTTCATTGGAACAGATATTTTTTCTCATAACCTGTCATTGCATTAAAGTACTTTAGGGACTGTGAATTGCTGTGTAAAATTGGTGAGATTACCCACTGCTTTGTTCTAGTGTAGTGGTTTCCTCTGGACCTAAAGAGCTGAAAACTCTTGCACAGAGAGAAGGCTGCTTGTGGATGGCCTGGCAGCATTTTTCCGCTTTCTGCTCATATGCATTTGTGTCCTTGCTGTCTCAGGACTGGTTCTGTGGTGTGGCAAGTAGCCAGGGGGAGAGCAGACTGGGCCTCAGAGCCTACCCTCTCTTTGCTTGGCGCTTCTGCTGTCTACTTTTTTATCCTTCCCACTTGCCTCTTGTCTCCCTTTCTAAAGAAATAATGTCTATGAGCATCAGAAAACACAAAAAACACTGAGTGCTCCCATGAAGCTCTATTCAGAGAATCTTTAGTCGAGACCAGAGACTAGGACTTCGCATCTGTTCTCACCAACACCTAAAAGCCAATCGAATAAACCATGGCTCAGATATTCCATTCCTTCCCCCAGAGAATGAAATGAGGCCATTTGTATTTCCAGTGGACTTGAAATACTGCGTGGGGGAGGAGAACAGACACATCCCCCGGATCCTCAAAGGTGGCAAAGGCAAGCCCTTGAGGATGGAGCAGAATCCCATGGCGGGGTTGTTTCCAACACAAGTATATCCATTGCCCAAGAAGCTCTAGGAACGTGCTGCCTTCCACCATGAGCATCACTGCCAATGGTGGACAGCCAGGCCTGGGGACACCCTGCCATAGCACTCTGTTGGGCTGGAGCAAAAAAGGGAAACCAAACAAAATGAGAATAAGAGACCTCCGTGGTCTGCAGGCATCTCCACACCAAGAGGACTTCCTGCCCTTACATTTCTCATGCCAGATTTCTTAGGTTGATATTACTTACATTGGGTTGCTTTATTTTTGAATTTCACAAGCCATACCCTTGCCCTTCTCACAAGTGATTTATATTCCTCTCTCTTATATGCAAAACATAACTCCTTTATGAAACAACTTCAGTCTGTTGTAGTAAGTGATGTATGTGTATTTGTTCATGTCCTTGCACCTCTGAAGAGACTTGTATGGCTTTGATTGAGGATGAAAGCATACAACACACAACCATTGCCAACTGTTATGGGCAGTTTGTTTTGGGTTCTTGTAGCATCTTGATATGAGCACATATAAAAACACCAGGAAAATTGCACTGTGTACTCTTTTACTAACCCCTAGAATCCAATCACATGTGGAGTGTCCATCATAAGCACTTAAACATTTGAAAATAATGTAATTAAACTGTTTTTTTTTTTTATTTGGTAAGAAGAAAAAAACACCCATCTTTCTGTCAGAGTCCTATCATTTAGGTAAATACAGGTTGAGTATTCCTTTTTTAAAATGCTTGGGACCAGAAGTGTCTTCGATTTCAGAGTTTGGCATATTTGCATATACATAATGAGATGTCTTGGGGATGCAACCCAAGTCTAAACACAAAATTCATTTATATTTCTTATATACCTTATACACATAGCCCAAAGGTCATTTTACACAATATTTTCAATAATTTTGTGCATGAAACAAAGTTTCAGTACATTGAATCAGCAGAAAGCAAAGGTGTCACTAGCTTAGTCACCTATATTCCATCATGTCAGTGCTCAAAAATTTCAGATTTTGGAGTATTTGGATTTTGGATTTTCCCATTTGGAGGTGCTCGATCTGTATTATCGTATCTTCTTGTACTTATTTGGTCATTGTTTTTGGACTTTTTAAAAATAAAAAACCTTTCTATAAACTTGACTCTGAGATAGCAAAAGGTATAAGAAGGCTTAGATGTGGTGTATTTTGAGTAATCAAACTTTTATTGTTTATAACCTTTCCGAACAGAATCATGTTGATTTTTCAGAAAATAGCAAAGTTTTTCGGTCTCATTAGTACTTTTATTACCCTTTCTGTCTACATATCGGTGACAAGTACTTTTCAGAAGTATTAAAAATCAATATACAGATAAAAGAGCTGGCATAAAAACAATTTGCTATTTCCTGTATTCACTCTGAGGCTGGGACTATTAAGATATGTTTTAAATAAGGGAGAGTGAAATACTGGTCTGCATCATGATTTGTCATCCATCTTTTTCAAAAATGAGCTAAATTTGAAATGGAACAAGGAAGACCTAAGTCCTCTTCACAAGGCTCCCAGCCCCCCGCCAACTTCTGCACGCAGCCCCAATTGGTTCTCAGCTGAACCTCTGGTCATTCAGCCTGTATTCAGGGAGCAGGCAGTTTGCTAGTTGCTGTAAAGGATGAAGAGATAACAAACATCTCTAAGATGAATCCCTCTGCTTAAAATACTCCAATGGCTCCCTTAACCTACAAGACAGTCTCAGCTCTTTAGCAAGGTAGATAAGACAGCTCATATTCTTGCCCCAAACCAGCTCCATCTTCATGTCTCGTGAGTACTGTTGATTCAGAACACTCCAGAAGAATTCATCCAATCTAAACAAGTTGCAGGTCTGCAAACGTACCTTGCATATTCCTGTTTCATTGCCCTGACCCATGTGGGTCCCTTGGCCTAGAGTGCCCTCCCTGTACTCTCTGCTCATGTCTCCGGCTGTCAGTATGCTGGATCCACTTGGAACCATTCCCCAATGGCTAGGCAGGTTTAGGTGTATCCGTGACATTTCTGTGTTCTTTTCTAATAGACTGCTTGCCATCTTGCTTTACTTTTATGTACCCACATGACCTTCTTTAGACTGTGAGCACTTTGAAGGCATGAAGGCAAGGACCATGCCCTTCCTCTCCAGTAGCCCTTGCCTTGCCAGCCAGTCACTGAGATAGCCAAACCCTCTTTCCTGAGCACTGCAGCGCTCTGGCATGTGCCAGGTGCTGATGTGCGTTTTCAATAGATGCTTGTAGATGAATGAATAAATGAATGAACATCGGAATTATTGGCATGAGTGAGAGCCAGGCCTACAAATAATCATGAGACAAGACCTAAGATGCATCCTATGTAAGCAGTATAAAGTGCAGCAGGAAATCAGAGAAGGGAGAGATCAGTGTTAGATGGGGTGAGGATGGAAGTGGTGATATTTTGAGCTGGGCCCCAAGGTTGTAATACAAAGGGATTGGGGTCAGGGGATACAAGTGAGTAGTGAGAGAACATGGCTCCAGGAAAGCACAGAGGAGGAGAGTGGAGATCAGGCCATCTCCAGGCTTATGCTCCAGGCAAATATCCTGCAGATCTGTGACCATCATCCAGGCCTGGTTCCTGGCGAACCAGGTTATCTCTTCATCCTTTACAGCAACTAGCAAACTGCCTGCTCCCTGAATACAGGCTGAATGACCAGAGGTTCAGCTCAACTTTCCCACCCGGCGTCCACCCTCAGGGCCTGGCTGGTGGTCCTGAGTTGCCCAGCAATCCCAGTTACCCTCTCACAATTTGGAAAGAGAGTGTTCACTCAGAAAGGGGACATGCTAGCATAGATGAGCAGGGACCACCAATATACAGCACAGGCTGTGTCAGCTGAGAAAGAGCATCCGGGGACAAGGGGAGACCTGGCGGGCTACTGTAATCTGCCCCTGAGCCACGGTATGACCACAGCCCAAAGCCCACCCTCAGGAGGGGGGCTGCTCCCACTGTCCATCATCAGCCAGCTAACTCTTGCATTTCATACCCATATTCAGGGGCAGATAGAGCCCCTGTTGTCAAGATGTTACAGTCTCAGAGGGATTGGAACAGAGGCATATGTAACCAATGGAAATCACGCACAGATCCATAAAACTGTTAAAACAGTGCTACCTGCTCCTTGAACACTGGGTCGTATCTTAATAAGAAGAGATGATGGATGGCGGGAGGGTATTATAGAAAGGCATGGCAGAGGTGGAGAAAAGGCAAGGTGCCAGCCAGCCATCTCACATTAAGGAGGCTTCTGCCCTGGCCTCTCCTTCCAGGCCCTCATGGGTGACAGCAGGTTCAGAAGATCTCTGGGTCTGTTTCCCCCTGGGGAAGAAACATTAGATTTTTTTTAACATTAGAGGGCACCCATGAGCACTATTCATCAGAGGGCAGAAACTCATTGTTCTGTTCAAGTCATTATGAATTAATTACATGTATATATGCTTGGTCTGATGAAAATGAAATCACTGAAGTTTGTTTTCCCTCTCTTCTCTTTTTTTTTTTTTTTTTTTTTTTTTTTTTTTTTGTTATTTACAGAATCATACAATGACCCAACACAGCAGTTAGTGCAAGTACAGTCTCTCAAGGAGAATTGATTTTGTGGCACAAAAAGGGAACATGTTTTACTCTTTGCACGAAACTTTCATTGTTAATGTATATTATTCAGAAACATTGTATTGTACCATAAAACTTGTATTATCAAACTGTTGGATGTTCATGTGTTTGAACTTTTGCGCACCGGATAGACCCCTTGTATATAAAGTGTTGCACATGTATTATGTCGTCTGATACTAAAATGGTCTTATAAAGACAAGTGGACTTGGGCCCTATTCAGGCAAGATTAAAAAAAAAAAAAGACTATGACCAAAATGGCTTAAGATAAAGTATTTTTAAGGAAGAAAGATTAAAAACAACTGTTATACATGAGACTATGGTTGGACTTCCTTTTCTTTACACTTAAGCCTAGAATTTCTCTTTAGGTATATCAGCGCTTAAATCCAAGACTATTTTTTATTGCTGAAGATTCTTGCAAACCATGAAGAGATGTTCTCACAGAACAGAACCCCACAGCTGGATAAGGCCCGTATATATATATTTGTAAGCCTTGCAATGTGACAGGTAGCATCACTATATATGCAATAGTTGTTATGTAGACTGTCAAAGAATTTTTTTTTCCCTGGATACATTTGAAGCTTTGAGTGTTCAAGGTTTTCCTTAATGATTTCACGCAGCCAAATTCTTGAATCAGTTGAACTAACCTGTATGTTACTGTTATTAATGTTTACTCTGCAGTCTGAACCTGGAGATTACTGGAATTGTTTTCCAAGAGGAAATAAATTCAGTTTACCATTAGGTATGAGTGTATTTGTGTGTTTTCTTTCTCTAGTTACTACACCATTAAAAAAAATCTAATTGCCTGCACCCTTGGATATGAAATCTGCTCTTGAGCATATCACAGGCATTACCTCAATCATATTTAACCTTTTCACACTGGGCCAAATGCATCTGGAAGGATATTCATCACTCTTCATAGGGAAGGAATCAGACACAGTATCCTTCTACTCTGTTACATACTAACAGGTCACATTGTACTTGAGGATTCTGACATCACAGATGGATGTGATGGCTGTTTTCTGCATAATTTGCAGCCCAATTCATGTCATGCTGTGCAAATCTGAACTCAAAGTAGATGGCTGCAATTTGAGAGGCAGTTTGGCTTATGTGTACTTAAGAAGCAGCATTGTTCATTCAGAAGACAAAGCACAGAGCAAGGAGTCAGATGGTTGTTAGTTGTAGTTCTGGCACTGCCTCCCGATGGGAGTTCCTTTACCTCCCAGCCTTGGTTCCTCCAGCCCGGGAAGGTAACAGAACCTGGTCATCAGCCTTCACCCAGGCATGGGGCATCTCTGGAAGGTTGCCTCCACTACAGCCTGCCATCCAACGGTCAATAAGTAAGAGCTCTAATTTCAGAGCTTCTTTTTGTTTTTTGAAAGAAGAAAAGAATTGCTATGTGTAACGTGAACCCTGATATTCACGTTTAGTCAAAATTGGTAAGTAAAGACCTGGTATTCATGGGCAACCTTCATGCAAACTATGCTGAAAATATTTAAGCCACTGTGAGTCTTTTGACCTCTTCTAAGCTCTGAGATCTTTGAACCTTAAACAAACAAGAATCCTCACAGCACTTTTTTGGTGGGGAACTAAAAGCAGGGACCAGTTGCCTTTGTTGTGACCACGTGTCACCAGGAGAACCATTGATGAAACCAAGATTACCAGCACCACAGTTAATCCCCATCCCATGGCTCTCGAGCCTTAACCTGTTCCAGGATCACCTAGAGAGCTTGGTACATCCTGGGGTGCTGGGCCCAACTCCCAGAGCTGCTGATTCAGTCGGCCTGGGGTGGGGCTCAAAACTGCCTAAGGAGTTCCCAGGTGATGCTGGTATTGCTGGTATGGGGACCACACGTTGAGAACCACTACCCTACCATGTTTCCAAATTAGTTGAATACATTAAACATAAGCAATCAAGTGGAGTGGTGGCAAATTACCCTATTATGTTAGCAATATAAAAACAGTTTGGTCAAATTTTAAGATCATTCAGAAACAAGTATTTTATAGTGATTAAAGTATGTGTGCTCACCAGAATGTTGTGTGTGTGTGTGTGCGTGTGTGCAGATGGTTCCCAACTTACAATGGTTCAGCTTACAGTTTTGTTTTGGTTTTTTTTTTTTTTTTGAGATGGAGTCTCGCATTGTCACCCAGGTTGGAGTGCAGTGGCACGATCTCAGCTCACTGCAACCACCGCCTCCCGGCTTCAAGCGATTCTCCTGCCTCAGCCTCCCAAGTAGCTGGGATTACAGGCGCCCACCATGCCCAGCTAATTTTTTGTATTTTTAGTAGAGACGGGGTTTCACTATGTTGGCGAAGCTGGTTTCAAACTCGTGACCACGTGATCCACCCGCCTCAGCCTCCCAAAGTGCTGGGATTACAGGCGTGAGCCACTGCGCCTGGCCCAGCTTACTTTATCACGGTGCAAAAGTAATACACATTCAGTAGCTCCTCAAGTTACAATGGGGTTACATCCGGCTAAATCCATCGTAAGTTGGCAAACATCTGTATTCAGCTTCATAATGCTAGGAAAACCTGCATCTATACATTTCACAATGGATTGCCAGCACGCTATTTAATTAAAAAGCTTTTTCACCAGCTACATAAATAATGAAGTATGCTGAGAATATGCAAGTACATCTATAATTAAAATACTCAGCTATATTTTTTAAAAATTAAGATCTCTGGTCCATTCAGGATTTTGCATTTAGAATGAAATAGTCATGCTTAGTAATGATTTTTTTAAAAGCTTTAAAATGTCTGATTATTAATGAGTGAGTTATATTTTACTAAAGGTAAGCTGCTCTGTATTTACAGAAAGCAGGTAATGTGTCAACCCAGGGATGTATCCCAAGATGCCTTTAACAACATTGCCTCTCAGAGACTTCCCAGACTCTAGTATAAACACCAGGAGTTGGAATTCTTAGGACGCATCAGAGGCTGTGTTCGCCATTCTCCCTAGAAGCCTCCACACGACTGGGCATCGGGCTCCTTCAGCACAGACACAGTTCAGCCTCTTTCCATACAAAGCCAAGAGGCTGCAGGAGTTGACCATTATTTGCTCCATAAAACTGGTTGATCCTCCAGTAATTAGGAGGTAGTTCCTACTTAGCAGGTACTTCCTCCTTAAAACCAACCGTTCTTTGGGTCATAAATGCTGAACAGTGCTTGGAGCAGTCATTCCCCTCATTGGCTTGTTACCTTGTTGATATTTACATCCTAACTCCTTCCCTAAGGATATAAAAAAGCAACTTAAAGATGAACAAAACATTAATAGGAAAATCAGCATCATGTGAAGTCAGAGGGGAGAAAATACACTACAGTAGTTGCCTTGTTTTATGCTTCAGTTTCGATTTTGAGTGCGTTTTAGCATTGACTTGGAGCTTCCTGGTAGTAGAGGGGGGGAAAACATCCAGAAAGGAAGGAATATATCAGTTCCTCGAGAGAGAAAATGCTTCCCTAGCACTTAATCCCAAAAGAAATTTCTCCAAGGCCTTCTAGATGGGTAGGGGACCAATATAATAGCCACTATTCCTGACCATAATTTTATTACTTAATACAGTGTTTTCTTATCTGGAGAAATGCTACTGCATCTATGGGTACAACCAAATATGCTGCCAAACTCAGTACACAGGACAGGTCCGCACAACAATGAATTATCTGGCCCGAAATGTCAATAGTACAGAGGTTGAGAAATTGCTGTAATGCAAAGTTGTACATGATTTGCAATGGCCCAAACTTCTTTACATTGGAACGACCTGGGGAACTTTAAAAACATCCATTGCCTGAGTCCCACCCCAGAGATCCTGACTTAATTGGTCCCAAGCAGGGGTCGCCAATCCCAGGACCACAGACCATTATGGGTCTGTGTGGCCTGTTAGGAACCAGGCTACACAGCAGGAAGTGAGTGGCAGGCAAGGGAGCAGAGCCAAGCTTCATCTGTATTTACAGCCACTCCCCGTCACTCACATGACCGCCTGAGCTCCGCCTCCTGTCAGATCAGTGGCAGCCTTAGATTCTCATAGGAGCACAAACCCTATACTGTGCATGCAAGGGATCTAGGTTGAGGGCTCCTTATAAGAATCAAATGCCTGATGATTTGCCATTGTCTCCCATCACCCCCAGATGGGACCATCTAGTTTCAGGAAAACAAGCTCAGGCCTCCTACTGATTTTTTTATTATGGTGAGTTGTATAATTATTTCATTATATATTACAATGTAATAATAATAAAGTACACAATAAATGTAAAGCACTTGAATCATCCCAAAACCATCCACCGGTGACCCTGGTCCATGGAAAAATTGTCTTCCACGAAACCAGTCCCTTGTGCCAAAAAGTTGAAGACCACTGGTCTAGAGCACAACTTCGACATCAGAAACTCCTCAGCTGATTCTAAGGGGGCCAAGTTTGAGAACCACTGGGTTCTGTAGCTGACATTCTCAGGTGAGTGTACCTGACTCAAGACTAGAAATTAGACAAGAACGTTCAAGGAGTAGAGAAGTGGTGTGGGCCTTAGTCTCTTCCCTCAACATTGATTTTTGCAACGGGGCATTTCATGATTATTTTAACCCTGAAGTAACATAATAACCAATAGCAAGTCTGTGAAGAGGGAGAAAGGAAGAAATGACCCAGAATCCCATCACCCTTACACCTGGTCCAGGGATTATAGACTCAGCAAGTGAGAAAACTGGCGCAGGGGCCTCTAGCAAACTGGAGAGCAAATGCCCCCTCCTCTGCCCCACTGTTGCCTGCAGGGAAACAGACTCCCAGTGCCAGATTGCCCCGTGCCTTCCGAGGAGCCAGCAATCCGGGTGGCTACATGCTATGTTCCAATTTCCAAATGTTGGCAACCTATTCCATTTTTTTTTAATTCGAACTCTGCTGGCCCCCACTGTGTCGGCCATATGAGACACACTTTCAGGCCAGGCTTGAATCTTGGATTGCCAGTTTTGACCTCTGGCATCAACTGTTTTGTTTTGTTTTGTTTTGTTTTTCTGATTCTCATTCCAGCCCATTTTAAATGTTTGTTTTGAAAGCACGATATGACTTTTGTATATAAAAGTTCAAATCATGCTTTGTTTTCAATTAGCATTATGTGCAGTTTTGAAGCTGCTCTGTGACCTTCATATTCACATTGCTTAATGCTGAACTGAGTAATCCAGTGAATGGATGTGTTCTATATGAGGCTGCCCCTATTTCTGGATCTTTAGATTTCAGACAGATTTTGGGGAGTGATAAAGGATAATAAATGATAGAAAGTTAATATTCTCTGATGCAAGTCAGATAATGCTAAATTCTGTGTTGTGAATGGGGGCCAGATTAATACGATTTAGAAATCATGTAAATGGGTGACAAGGTTGACATTCTACTTGGAAAACTGACAAGCATAACCAGTGTTCCAGCCACAATGGAAGGTCACAGCGCCAGAGACCCTCTAGGGACCCCCACAGGCTGGGCTAGGCTTCCCAGAGCAGCTCTGGGTCAGTTCCAGAACATGGACAAGGACTCCAGTGAACCCTCAAGTTCTGCTCTATAGAGCATGGCAGCCTGACTTTGTGTCTGTTTGTGCCTGTTGGGGTGCAACACTGCAGAACTCTTGAGAAAGGAAGCCTGGAAATCCAGATCCCATTATAGAGCACCTGCAAATGCTTCTCCATTTAACTTCAGCAGGCCAGAGACACTTACCATCTCCCTTGTGTGGAGGAAGCGCCTACCAAAGACACTGAAAACTGGAGTTCAAGAAAGAGGGATGATTTAGGCTAAAATAGGCCAGCATGGGTTCCTGGCAGAGTCCCAAAGCTCAGGTCTGGTTGGCACTGCATTCCTGGGTGAGTGCCCCCTGAGACTGCGGAGTAGCCTCAACCATCTCTGCCAGATTCCTCTGTAATGAAGTCAGCTGTCAACTCCTTGGGGGGAAAAGCACAGAGCCCCTTTATTTCCAAGCAGGTGTTGCAGCATATTAAAGGTTGAATTCCATCTTGTGCTCACATCCTGAATGAGCCAGTTTGCAGGCAAGCTCAGTTCTTTCTGCAAAGAGGGAAACTTGGCAATGGTGGAGGCTGAGTACTTAAATGGCAATCAACTTCTGGCTCATATCAATTAATTCCTTCATGGACTTCTGCCTAAGTATAGCATCTTGAATTCCCAGCTGCGGCGGCTATGAAAAACAGCCCAAACAACACACGCCACCATCTCAGGGAGGGCGCACCGGCGGAACGATGGGTGATGCTATCTCAGGGCAACCGCGGATGTTGATTTCGGGCTCTCTCTTTGTGTACCTGCAGAATACGGAGAAGAACATACACTCATTTCTCAGTGTGGGAAATTCTTCAAGAAAACGTCAACTAAGTCTAAGAAAAATCCCTCTGAGGGGAATCACCTCTTTTTGGCTTTAAAATGCCTAGATCCAAAGTAACGGTGAGATGTGGGAGCAGAATGCAGGATAGAAAATCAGAGGATGGCTTTATTGTGAGCAATATCTTCTCAGAAACTGGAAAGCCCCATTCCAAAATGACCTTCATCCCAAGGAACCTACCAGAGTCCTGTCCATCTCTGTTCCATGAACAAGGGGCTCTTGCTCAAGGGCTGCAGACAGACTGAGGGTGATGCGCTGTGACATGTGAGACTTGGCCATTCTTCAACTCATATGGTTGGTTCAGACAGTACGATTCAGACCACAACGTCCACATGGGGATGTGAATTTTCAAAGATCTCTCCTCATCTAATGATCTAATAATGTGGCTATCACCAAGGTATAACCAAAAAGTCAAGGTCACCTGGGAGGGGCAAACACATTTTTCCTCTCCCGAGTATGAACAGCACTGGCTTCTCTCCTTCTCTGCTTTCTTTTTCTGAGTCAGTGGAAGAGTCTAGTCCCAAAGCCTTTGGTTCCCTGAGGCTCTTACATCATCCAGTATGGTAGCCACTGGCTATTTAAAAATGTGGCTATTTAAATTAATTTAAATTAAGCAAAATAAAAAATCGAGTTCCTCAGTCTCACTAGGAACATTTCATGTCTTTGGTTGCCACATGAGGTTTATGGCTTCCATATGGAATGGCACAGATACAGAACATTCTCCTCATCGTGCAGAGTTCTGTTGGCAGTCCTACCATTCTAACCTGTCCCCTCCCTGCTGCTTTCACCCCCTCAATGTACAGAGGTCCCTCTTTCTCTAGTTCCTTCAATATATTCCTTCCCTCTGCATACTTTCCTTCTGTCTTCAAATGCGCACAGGTTTCTTCACTTCTTTAAAAAAAAAATATTTTTGCTTAACCGTGAAGCATCTTTACAGGACTGTTTTATTTATTTCCTTCATTTTCTTCCAAATTTCTCAAATTTGTGGTCTTCCCCACATCCTCCATTTCCTGACCACTGACTCGCTTCTGACTCACCTGCAGGCTGGCTTCCATCAATCAGCAATATCCTCTTCCTGAAAATGAATTGGCCAAGGTCACCAGTAGCCACCCAGTCTTTGTTTTTTTTTTTGTTTTGTTTTGTTTGGTTTTGTTTTTTTCCTTTCCCAGTTCTTCTTCTCCTTTTTCAATCATTTAGTCCATCAGACACCAACTCCCATGTTCTTATTCGGCAATATTTCTATGTTTATTCTTTCCTTTCCATTTCCAGTGATAGGACCTTAGGGGCACCCTTATCATTTACCTGCTTCTGGTCTTTCTCCCCTTATCCCCCTTGTGTATGGCCACCATGTATCTTTATAAAACACTTATTTCACATCATTTACTCATTTAATAAATACCTATGACTCCCAGAGTAATGTAGTGAAAAAGGATGCAGTTTAAATGAAGTTTGGATCTTTTCCTGCCACTTACTAACTATGTAGCCTAGACCAACTTACTTTGCTTTTTCTAAGGCCCCTTTTCCCTTCTTTAATTTAAGGATAAGTATACTTATAAATTATGGTAGGATTTTGCTGATATTATCATCAGTGGCTAGAAATACCGGAAACATATTAGATGACCTATATAGAAAAGTTTTTAACTATTATTGTCTTTATTTAATCCAAGCTCTTTTTCTGTCCATTTTAGAATCACTGCCTTTTCTCTGTTGTAACCTCTTACCCCTCTGATTCCTCTGTACCACTCCCTTGTAATCTTTCTAAAAACTACACTTTTTATCATGTCTCCTACCTATGAGAGCCTGGAATAATGGTCTTCATCTTCCACCAAAAGTTGAATATTCCTTTGACTTTCCAGAGTGTCTTAACTTTGTCCAACTCTGTACACCATTCTTATACCTTATCCTGCTTCAGCCTATTTAAGCCAATCAAGCCCCATCATCATGCTCCATCATCCTCCCTTGCACATCTAATTCATTCCTTTTTTTATTGTTCACTTCTATCAATTCCCACTCTGTGCAAAACGTTTCCTTCCTCCTCTCCAGTTACCCAGTCCTGCTCAGTCTTCTGGTCCCACAAAAAGCCCCTCTTCCTTCATAAAATCTGATTTGCCACATTATCTCCTTTCTCTGAATGCCTGTTGCACTTACAACCTAGCTTAACAATTCACGATTTCCTTCAAAACTAGTTTGTCTTCAATGAAACAAAACTAATTTATCCTCAAACTGGATTACAACTTTTTCAAGGATGAGGAATCTGCTATTTGGTTTTATTTTTTAAACTATCCTTGGTGATTTCACCTAATAGAAGTTCAATAAAGCACACATTGTTCAACTACTAGCTTAAATATGGTCCTCAGTTTATCTTAGTTCAACACACATGGGTTATTTGCCTACCCTGAGCCAGGTACAAAGGATAAAGAGGTATGACAAGATCCCTGCTCTTCAGAAATTCGCAATTACAATTATCCAGAGACTCAGTCTTTTCTCCTTGTTCAACAGTTGCCACCATCC
The DNA here is from genome assembly GCF_000001405.40 of Homo sapiens. Taxonomy (NCBI): domain Eukaryota; kingdom Metazoa; phylum Chordata; class Mammalia; order Primates; family Hominidae; genus Homo; species Homo sapiens. The sequence goes on along the minus strand of NC_000018.10, from coordinate 25,053,801 downwards.
TCATAAACCAGATAAGGAAGAGCATGTGGGAGCCGAGTCAGCTTGGACTTGATTTGTAGCCATAAGATGTTGAAATTGGAAGTCATAATGCCTTCCTCTTTGGCCTCTTCATTGATGGTGATTTCAGTTGATGTATTTAGCACCAGGCTGCTCCTGAACAGTCAGCAGCATGCTGCAAGGCAGAAAATCAACTAGATGTGGTCCACACCCAACTGACTAAAAGTATTTCTCTACCACGAACGAAGTTTTGCACTAGAAACAGATCACGCTACACATATTCAAAATGCAGGTTAAAACAGCGTGCAAAACTGCATCTGGAAAGGTACCAGATCTATATGTAAATTCAAGCTGTAGCCCATTCTTTCCTTAAAGCAACAAAGATGTTGACTGTGATTACAGATAATAAGAGCTTTCCTTCTGATGAAATGAGCATATACTGAACCAAACATACGATATATTCCCATGACAAATATATTTACACTCAACACAGAACACGGAGAGAAAAGAAAATGTCAATAGTTGACAGCTTCTTGGCCTATGGGGTGTAATCCAGGAGCATAATAAACTCATTTAAGCTTGGTGTTGAATAAATGCATGTTAGGCCTGTGCATTTTTGGGGGGCTTTCCCCCAACACATTGTTTTAATACAATGTCACATTTCTCCGTGTTGCACAGTCCTTCTGCTGCTGTCAGCAGAGACAGGGACCAAGCTAATCTTTGGGCCAAACCAGAGGTAATTTGCCCTAATGAGTAAAGATAGGAACAAAAAAAGGACATCATGGAGGAAAATGCCTGATTGTCAAATGTTGGCAGATAACCATTTCACACTGGAAAATACGTCTCAAGAATGTTGGCTGCTGGGAGATTAAAAGTCTAAAAGAAGATGTATTTCCATGGAAGATCTTAATCATGCTGATAAAAGGATAAGCATAGTCAAGAGGATATAAACCACATCAAAGGCCACCTCTGTTTAGAAGCTGGAGACTGCTCCCTTCCCCTTATTAATGTATTTCTCATCCCAGCCAAATTGGATGTGAAGATATGTTCCTTATTCCTGGCAGATCTTGCAAGATATCAAACATTTCAGACTTTGCGTGTGAAAGCAGGACATATTGGTTAAGACTGGAAATAGCATGTTTCTGGTAGAGTTCAAGTCTATAAGAAATACTACACCCTACTGTTTTCGTAAATGCCAGAGTTCCATTGAATCGAGACAGATGGTAGCAGGCAAAGACGCAATCTTATAATCAAAAGCTAAAATATGTCAAAAATATGTTAGCAAGCAAAATATAGCAGATTACTAACTTCTCATGTCATGACAGCTTGCAAAACATGTTAGGATGTTGAATTTCTACTTATGTAAATAAAGGAGCAGTAAACAGAGGAGCAGCATGGCATGAGAACTCACGTGTTGACTGTCCCTTCACTGCAGTTTGGGGAACAGAACGAGCCACGTGGCCCCAAGGAGACCCAGATGGATATTAAAATGTCTCCAGAACAAAGCGTGGGGATCCATTTTCCTTTCATGAGCAACGAATTTCTCTGTGATACCTAGAAGCTGTTTAGCTAAATTACAGGAGACATTCGAACTTCCCAGAGAGAATTGTGAGGGTTCTGTTGAGAATCATCATGCCATTTAGCTCAAGGAAACAAGAGGGTGAGTACCCAAGTACCCAAAATGTACCCAAGGCTTTCTGTATATGTCAATCGCAGCCCAAGGAAGTTTCTTTGATCACAGTCCTGGTTTCTTAGTGTCTTGGCTAATTTTGGTCAGGGTTGTGGGGAGCAAAGGCAATGTTAATCATGGTTGGGGCAGGTGGAAGAGGAGGTGTTTTTCTTTTTTTTTTTTTTTTTTTTTTTTGAGACAGAGTCTCGCTCTGTCACCCAGGTTAGAGTGCAATGGCGTGATCTTGGCTCACTGCAACCTCTGCCTCCTGGGTTCAAGTGATTCTCCTGCCTCAGCCTCCTGAGTAGCTGAGATTACAGGCGCACGCCACCTCGCCTGCCTGATTTTTTTTTCTTTTGTCTTTTTAGTAGAGATGAGGTTTCACCATGTTGATCAGGCTGATCTTGAACTGCTGACCTCGTGATCCACTAACTTTTATTGAGCACTTACTGTGGTCCAGGTGTTGTGTACTGCTGTCATACCAAATTAGATTCTCAGCTCTTGAGATGGTAAGAAGATCACTTTTACTACTCCATGCTCAATGGAAGTTCAAATCTGACCCTCTTCCCTGCTCCCATGGTCAGGGAATCTAGGGTGGGAAGAAGGTGGGTCTTCCATTCTCACTCCAGCATGGCCCCGCCTGACACCTGCATCGCACTCCAACACAGGCTGCCTCTGCTCTGCACAGTACCAAAGACACAAACATCAGCTCCATTTTTAAATTTCCATAGAGAATCTGTTGGGGAAAACATCAATGTACCAGAGAATGATGCATTTTGGAGCAAGAAATATCTATATATCTATATCTATTAATATTTATATATACAGAGATAGATAGATAGATGGATAGATAGATAGATAGATAGATAGTCTCACTCTGTCGCCAAGGCTGGAGTGCAGTGACGCGATCTCGGCTCACTGCAACCTCCACCTCCCAGGTTCAAGCAATTCTCCTGCCTCAGCCTCCCAAGTAGCTGGGATTACAGGCATGCGCCACCACATCCAACTAGTTTTTGTATTTTTAGTAGAGGCGAGGTTTCTCCATGTTGGCCAGGCTGGTCTCGAACTCCTGAACTCAAGTGATCCCCCCATGTCTTGGCCTCCCAAAGTGCTGGGATTACAGACATGAGCCATAGAGCAAGAAATATTCTGATAAATTGCTTGGGTTGGAGAGTGAGGGTCCAAGGGTCTGCTCCTATAACAAAAGATGCTGCCTAAATTGCTGAACATAAACTAAGGAAAGGAGTTTGCATTTTTCCGGAGAAGAAGCCAGCAACCCTGAGCTCTGGAGGAGAAAGGACCACAGTAGGCGACAGGTGGTGTAGCTGCTAAGTTGGGACATTGGAGATGAGACGGGTCTAGAGCATATTCCTAAGTTTGTGTTGTTGTTGTTGCTTTGGTTTGGTTTGATTTGGTTATTGTTGAGGATTGGGCCACGTTAAACCTCTTCTGCTATCTTCTCCACAAAATCTTCAGTCAAGACGCAGTGCTTGCTAATGCTTCTGAGTGAGCTCACTCTTTATGGGGAGCGTAAAACAGGGGACGAGTCCTGTCTCTGGCCTGACTGGCCTGACACTCAGTGAAAACATAGTCACATAAGCAGGAGCCACAGAATAAGGGAACGGCTGGCATCTGGATTACCCACAGCAAACGGCACCCCTGCAGAAGCGTTCCTGAGAAGAATAGATGCATGGAGCGTGTGAGCTGGGAGACAGAACAACGTTTAGTTAGTGCAATGTTTAGCACTAGCGCCTAATGAGTCCCTCAGTCAGTGGCTGGGGAGGTCACAGCTGCTCCCCACTGGGTGCCCGACCTCACACCATCCCCATGGCCTCTCTCCCGCACCCTTCCCAACCACCCTCCTCTTCCCACATTTGAGCAAAAGTGAGTCCTTCCACTTTGCTCGTGGACAGTATTTTCAAGGCTTCCTTTCGTTGCTTTGGCTTTTGCAGACATGTTTACCCTCGGAGTCGCCACCCTAAGAGGCTTAACAACATACTTTTGTACAAAGTTCTCTCCCTGAATTTCAAATGAGAAGTTCTGGGGCTAGTTGTTAAAATAATAAATTTCGAACCTGAACTACATAGGTGTCTCCCTAAATCCACACAACAACCTCGGAACACTTGACATCTGCGTTTTACAAATGAGGAAAGTGGGGTTCAGAAAGGTATTTGCCCAGGGTCTCAAGGCTGAGTGTGGGCATGATTCAAAATCAGAGATTATATGAGAAAAAGGATGAGAATATGTATATCTGTGTGATACATATTTATGTATCAAAGACTGATGTAGAATTATGTCTCTACATACAGAATAACGTTAAACATTTATTAATTAGCACCTTATTCGGCATTTCATTGAGAAAGATAATCGTTTCTAAGACCAAATAAGATCTCTGAACTTCCCTATAACTGTCATTCTGTGCAAAAAATTGACTTGGGGTGGGTTCCTGCTAAGTAATGTATGAAATATGCAATTCACACATTCTAGTAAAATTGAAGCAGGTGAACTCTAACTGACAGGAAGTAATGAATGTAATAAGCCAAAGGGAATACCTCGGTTTAAGCAACCATATGCTTTAGTTATCAGTGGGAGTATAGAGGTAATGGTCCCCACTGCATAATTCACTTGGTGGCTTTTTCCCTAAGTGCACCTAAGTGGATGTTCCCCTGTGGGCAGAGCCAATGTACAAAGTCTTTGGGGGACTTTTTTCACAGAGAAAGGAGGTTCAGGGCCATGTGTGCTCTGAGGGGGGCTGAGTTGGGGTTGGCTCAAGAGGTAGTGGTGACTGGGAGGCAATGGGGTGGGGTCCTGGGTTCTTCAGCACTGTGTGACTTTAATCGTGGAACAAACTCCCTGGACTTTAATTTCTTAATCTCTAACATTGGGGAAAGGCCTCCATCACATAAGGCTGCTGTGAAGGCCAAGTTGCACATGGATGTGAATCATTCAGCACAATGTCTGCTGCACCATCCACGCTCAATAAATTTTAGTTCCTATTCATTAGCAGAATGTTCCTGAAAGCTCTTGCAGCCTAGGAGCAATAAAGAGTTTAAAGAACAATTGTTAATTTTATTTACCATCAATGTTTCTATCAGGTGTCATGCATGCCACTAGTGTCACAGAATTGAATCAAGATACCATCTTTTCATCCAATGAGTTCAACAAATAATCAGGAGATAGAGAAACCAACACGTAGCAATAACCCACATGAGAAACGCTTCTTGGGACTATTTTTGGTTTATTGTTTGTTTTTTCAGACAGGTTCTCACTCTGTCACCCAGGCTGGAGTACAGTGACACAATCATGGCTCACTGCAGCCTCAGCCTCCCAGGCTCAAGCAATCCTCCTATCTCAGCCTCCTGATTAGCTGATATTACAGGCATGCACTGCCATGCTGGGGTAATTTTTTGTATTTTTTTAGTAGAGATGGGGTCTCTCTATGTTGCCCAGGCTGGTCTTGAAATGCTGGGCTCAAGCAATCCTCCCACCTCAGCCTCCCAAAATACTGGGATTACAGACAAGAGCCACTGCATCCAGCCCCTTCTTCAGAGTATTTAAAAGGTGCTGTGGGAGTCCAGGAGCCAGGTGTTCACCTGTACACATGACTTCAGCCAGGGCTTCACAGAGGAGCTAGCAGAGGAACAATCAGTAGGAGTTTTTTAGGTTGTCAAGCCCAAACAGAAGAAACAGCCTGTGTGCTAATAAAGATGAATTTCTGTCATTTTTTTTGAAATTATCAGAATAAGTCTTTTGGTTCAGAGGACACAGTTCATGTCACATTTTCAGAGTCATCAAAGCAGTGTGTATTAAGCTTGTCTTTTAATTCTGATGCTTTGACATCCGGGGCCTTGCTGACCCTGGAGAGCCTGCCTCTCCCGGAGCTAGCTAAAATTCCTGGAGATAGTAAATGACTCACCTGGAGCGCGCCTTTCATATGCAAACCAACCGATTGGAGCCCATCCTCCTCCAGCTCCTCTATTGGGCTCCCACGGGACTCTATATTCGAGACCACATTCCACCTGCCCTAATCACCCCGGGGCCTAGTACCCGGCAACTAGGAACAGCCCCAGCACCCCTGAACCCACTACAATTATTCAAACTAGCCAGTGCTAAACCTGCTTAACCTGCTTACTTGGCCTCACCTATTCTCCCCGAAAAAACATAATAAATTATTGTCCATGTTTTCTCCTCGCTCCATCTGCTCCTGACCAACCCTGGTGCTTCCCCATGTGGCCTGTGTGGTGCACCTTGTCTCCTGTTTCTCAGGATCTGTGAGTAGAAACTTCTTCATTTCTGTGTCCTTGGGTCGTACCGTACATGATTAAATCAAATCCCAGGTACATTCTGAACAGGGTGTGTGGATAAGGAGTAGGTGGGGGTTCAGAACCTGGCTCCTAATCTTCAAGCTGGACCAAAAGCCCTACAGAGGAAAGAGACTGTGGCTGTCTTGTCACTGCTGTATTGCTAGCACCCCACATAGTGCTAGTACACGCTGGGTGCTGGACAAGTGTTGTTAATGAACGAATATGCAACCCACACTCTGGGCAGCGTGGATCCTGCTGACAAAGTTTGGTCTGCCTGGATATCATGTCCAGGGACCTGGAAATTCCTGAATTTCAAAGTGCAGCCCAAGAGCACACTTTGGTCCTTGAGGAGGACACAGGGGTTCCCCACAGGAGCCCACACACTGGCCACAGCCAATGCAGACAGGTAGACCAACAGGCCAGCAGCTTTGAGAACTTCTCAACCAAACTCCTGGGGATCAAAGACCATAGGAGTATCAGAATGGGGACATGATGGGACACAGGGGACTGGATTCTGGGAGAAGGAAGGAATCAGTCAGATTACAGCAAGGGAGACTGATGGGTTCAGTGAGTCAAAAAATGAACCCATTCATTTTTTGTCATCCCAGGTCAACAAAAAATAGGAAAAGGAATTAAATACTGATCTTTACCCGAGCTCAGACTGACCTGCCTACAACGATGACACATCTGGAACCTGCCTCTGGGGATGGTACTGAGAGTAGAGGCAAGGAAAAAAAGCCAGGACTCATTAGCTCCAAAAGTATGACAATATCTGACAATGTTTTCATCGATTGATATTGGAACATACAGCTGCACGTTAACCACAAGAATCTCCAGATCTTAATTTAAATTTCTTTGTTCTTTTGTGTACATGCTTCATCCCTGGGAACCCTAAACCATTACCAAACTATGATGCTAATTAATGGAGCTAGTAAAATGTCACCACTCTGGGGCCATGAGCCAAGATTCTTCTACACGAATAAGGTTAAATGGTGAAAGCCTAGACATTCATATCCATGGTGTCTCAGCATCATACATCAAAGGGTGCAGGGAACTGATAGCTTTGTCATTTTCCTATTAATTGACTTGATCACTTTCACGAGCAACCATCTGCCAGGTAGAGGGGAAAAATAACAATTAGATTTACACCAGTCTAGCAAAGCTCGTCCCATGCAATCATCTAAAGAATCACTGAATCCCTTTTTTTTTTTTTTTTTTTTTTTAGATGGAGTCTCGCTCTGTTGCCAGGCTGGAGTGCAGTGGCGCAATCTCGGCTCACTGCAACCTCTGCCTCCTGGGTTCAAGCAATTCTCCTGTCTCAGCCTCCCGAGTACCTGGGACTACAGGTGCCTGACACCATGCCCGGCTAATTTTTGTATTTTTAGTAGAGACGGGGTTTCACCTTGTTGGCCAGGCTGGTCTCGATCTCTTGACCTTGTGATCCACCCGCCTCGGCCTCCCAAAGTGCTGGGATTACAGGCGTGAGCCACCGCGCCCAGCCAGAATCACTTTAATTAATATCTCGAAATACAATTCTCCCAGATTCCTTCTTCATCTCCTGACTTCTCATAAAGATGACATCTAAAGTCTGAAATGGTACATAGATGTAGGAAAAGGAATGGCTGTGAACATGGTTCAAATGCAGTGGACTATGCATGAGATATGTTGCCAGAGAGATGTCTTAGACTACATGAGGGTGATGTAGGGGTGGGTTCCTGCATTGAGCATAGCAGGATCCATTCCTGCCAATACGAGTGAACTTCTCACTTCCTGAATCGTCTCTGAAATCTACCCTTCTGCTCCGCAGGGCAATGAGCAATAGAGAGGGCATCTGATAGAAAATACTATGACAATGACTGCTACGACTTGTATTAGTAGTATTCATCACTGGAAAATTTAGATTTAAATTTTAAACCTAAAATAAACTTACTACTTCGTTGTAGTTAGTAGTAGTAAGTCTATTTTAGGTTTAAAATTTAAACCTAAATTTTCACCGTGTTCAGAATGTACCTGGGATTTGATTTAATCATGTATGGTAGGATCTAAAGCCACAGAAACGAGGAAGTTTGATGCTACTATTACTACTATTACTAGCAGCACCTAACGCTTACATAGAGCACTTACCGCTTGTCAGCCGTCCTTTCTTCTAAGCCCTTTACATATACAAATCATTTCATCTTCGTAACAATTCTATCATGTAGATTCCAGTTTTTATTCTTTGTAACATCAGCTAATCATTAAATGTGCTGGTGGCAGAGCATATTTTGTGTGTGTGTGTGGTAGCAATAATGAGATAGGGAGGTGATAGGGTATGTCCTAGAAATTTTAGGTTTAAAACAAATGAAAGGTCATCAATCATTTATAAACACACGCTGGGTGCCAGCATTGCACTAGGCATTTTACACACATGATCACGTTTGATTTCTAAAACAACCCAGTGAGACGGGATATTAATATTGGTGATGCTTACCTGATAGGAACTATCACCATCCTCCCTGGAAACATTTTATTAAGGTTTGCCTCTTCCTCATATCCAGCTTCAGGGCATGAAAATTCAGGATTATTTATTTTCTGCCTTTAAGGTACCTCTATTTAAGATAAATTTCGGCAAGATTTGGTTCCTGAGCATGGAGAGGATGGCCAAACAAATGCCAGTAAGAGCTAGAAAAAGATTTCTTGGTAGATTTCACAAGGATACAGAATGTAGCAGCGCCCAAAAGTTATCTGGGTTCACCCAGATTTGATCACCCCTTTGGTGTCAAGGGTGAAGAGTCCACCATTCAAAATAGGTTTTGAATAGAAAACCGTCACTTAGTACTCAAGCTAATTTCACCTTTTTAATCAAAGAAAAAATAAAATCAATAGAATCAAATAATAAAATTAGTACTCAAGCTAATTTCAGCTTTTTAATCAAATAATAAATATAATAATAAAATTTATTTTTAATCAAATAACAAAATTGTAATCAAATCAAAAAATAAAATAATAATGTTTATTAAATCCTTCAAGGGTTACAGGAACTGTGTTAAGACATTTTAGAGCTTTAATTCCTTAGTGCTTGTAGTTATTAATAGTATCAGATCAGTCCCGTTGCAATACCCTCAAACCTGGTGCCTCAGGGCTAAAAACTGTCTTCTGGCTTGTTTTCTGACTGATGCTCTAGGTTTTTTTTAGAGCACCTTCACGCTCTCTTTTTTTTTTTTTAGACAAGGTCATGCTGTGTTGCCCAGGCTGGAGTGCTGTGGCACAACTGTAGCTCACTGCAGCCTCAACCTCCCAGGCTCAAGCGATCCTCCCACCTGAGCCTCCCGCGTAGCTGGGACCACAGATGTACACCACCACGCCTGGCCAATTTTTGTATTTGTTGTAGAGATGAGGTCTCACTATGTTGCGCAGGCTGTAGAGAGCCTTCTCTTGCCCTGTTCTTCCTGAGCTTCACTTTGAGTATCCTTACAGGGTTTCAGTTTCTCCACAATTGTGTTTCTGCCTGTCTCCTGCCCAGCCTGACCTAAGCTCCATCCTGTTACTTGATGTCAGACCTCCTCAGTGCTATTTTGCCTGCCTCCTGATTGACCTGGTTCTCTGATTATTTCCTGCTTGCCAATAGTTCGTCCCTTTGATTGTCCCAGCTGCCTGAATGGTTCTGAGGCTGTCTGGTTGTGTGAACTGCCACCGAATGCTCCAGGCACCCCACAATCCTCCCCTAGCCAGCACCACATTTAATTCAGAAGAGCCAGAGCATGCCCCACCGGGGGAATATGTCCAGCTTCCTAGTCTTAATCCTTCTAAGTCTCGTCATTCTTGATGCCTTCTGATCTCCAGCTTTGTGTTCTTAAATTACAACTTGGAGACAAATACTCATTCTGGTCCTCTCATTTCCATAACAAAAAAAACTCAGCCCCACTCACAGGAGGGAGTAATAGTCGCACGGGAACAGTTGACCTTTCCCTTCACCTTCTTACTTATTCCTCTCTGCAGAAAAGAAGTGACATTTTTGGTAAGATCGGGAGAAGCTGGCAACCACTGGGCCACATTAACAGAGGCAAGAGCCAATTCTGGGGCCTCAATTTGGTCTCACTTTGGTGCTTTCTGATCTGTCTGTTGCTCGGCCCAAGTTGGCCTCATGATCCCTGCAGTGTGCTGGTCAGTCTGATGTGAAGACCCAACTCCCCGGAGAGACCTCCAAGTCTACTTGGGGGAAGCCACATGGAAGCTGTTCTTTGGTTCCAGACCAACTGGAAGCTCTGCTTTGAGGAGTTACTGGGTTCCATCCAGCCAGGAGTAAAGCTGATACTCTTTGCTCTTCATCTATCTCCCTGTGCTGTTCTCAGTTTTCTGTGAGCCTGAAGGAGCAGGATGGGCACTTGACTGGCATTTGTACGCTGCCCACAAATGCACCAACCATATACTACATTACAGTCTCAGGCTTTATTTGTGAATATGCTATGACTGCTGTCTTCACCTGGAATGTAAGCTCTGAAAGTAGGAGCCACATAGTCTACTTACACGTGTGTAGCAGGAAACCAATTAACTCTGGATATGACTTTATGATCGTTTCTATAGCGCTACATAAGTAGATTCCACAGCCAGTTGTTTCAAACCATCCCAAAGTCACCTGATACTAGTAAAATTCCAAGAAAGTCACTTTTCAATAAACTGATAGTCACAGCTTAGTAAGCTACCTCCCAAATGGGTCACCAAAAATAAATCCTCTAAAGGAAGAGCCACTGAAGGATAAACGATGTCAGCCATTCTCCTTGGCAATGCTGGCTTTCCTCCAGCAAGGTCCAAGTGACCTCAATTACTTACTGCAAGTCATCTTGGTTAAATAAAATCAGTCTGCAGTTTGGGTGGCTGGGGCTTTATCCAGGAAAACTGTGGCGCTGAGAGGTAGCAGATACAAAGCCTGCTGAAATCTGTCCAGATAGTATCTGAGCTCCCAGCAAGAAGGAAATGCCACCACCATCTGCCTCTGTTTGTGATGACCTGGGAATAAATAAAAATTAACCTTGGCCCTTGAATGAATCACGGAGCTTATCAACACTTCCTTCGTGTCTTTAATGACTATTGTGAAACAAGTTGACAGTGAATGTTGGAGAGATAGGGCAGAAGGGCTATTGTTCTAAATGGCTCTTTACCAGGCACGGCACTTTGCACCTTCTCATATTTTGTGCCATGATGCACTTTGCACCCTGTATTAGTAACAGTGAAAAATAAGGAGACAGCATCTTCTGAAGCCAGCAGGAGCTCAATGAACCACCGGAAAAGAAAGAAGAAAGGAAAAATAAAAGGAAGGAAGGCAGGAATAAAAGAGGGGAAGGAGAAAATGCTGGAGAGAAGAAGGGAATGACAATCCCAGTCTCCAGATGGTCAGTGTGACTGATGGCTGAGGTGGGTATCCAGGGGGCTGCATCTGGCCTCTGCCCAATTGTCAATAAATAGGCCAGTTTCTGTACTAGCTGCTTAACACACATTATTTTCTTTTATCCTCATAGCAACTCCAAGATGTATGAATCACGATTTTACAGGTGGGGCTATAATCTCTAAAAACTTTTTAGAAAAAACAGCCAGGCTGGGCATGGTGGCTCACGCCTCCAATCCCAGCACTTTGGGAGACCAAGGCAGGTAGATCATCTGAGGTCAGGAGTTCGAGACCATCCTGGCCAACATGGTGAAACCTCATCTCTACTAAAAACACAAAAATTATCCAGGCATGGTGGCGGGCATCTATAATCCCATCTATTGGGGAAGCTGAGGCAGGAGAATCACTTGAGCCCAGGAGATAGAGGTTGCAGTGAGCCGAGATTGTGCCATTGCTCTCCAGCCCGGGTAACAGAGAGAAACTGTCTCAAAACAAACAAATACCCAAAAATACAGCCAGAACACTCAGCTAGTGAATAGAAAAGCCAGCACTTGGACCCAAACAAGGCTGATGCCAAAATCCAAGCTCTTTCCACCATTCTGCATTGATCCTCAGTGGAAATGCCACTGGGCACTGGGGGAGAAATATTATTAGCCATTAACTTTATCTTGAACTAACAAGCTAGTCACTTAGAGAGGCCCTGAAGAAATGGAACAAGGTACAAACACATTTTGATTGGGTTAGGAGTTGGGGGAGGAGGAGGCGTTGGGGAGGGCTCTGGAAGAGCAGCGGGGAAATAGCTCTAGATTATGGGATGCTAATTTAAGCTTTATTGGTTCTGGCGTTTGCTGGACCTCTGAGCACACGCAGGCTTTCCTCAGAAAACACACTGCTGCAGGTGCTGAGGAGCACATTTAGGATGTGTTATCAGGGACAGAGCGGGCCAGAGCCCTCACCGCTGAGAGTGCACGTGTAAAAAAAGATTCACGGTATATTTTTCATGAACTGGTTTGGGCTGGAGCTCAGTCAGTTTAGCCTTATTTTTCTAAATCCGCACACCATGGGGAAAAGGTAAAGAAGGAAAAAGATATTTTGATCAAATGGCTCGTCGGATGTGCCTCTAGAAGACACAGAGAATTGTAAGGCTAACTCCACAGTCAAAATCAGGAGGAATGGAGATCCCTGGGGTTCCGATACCCAAACCTGACACTAATTTTTTCTTTCAAATGATGATTCTAAATAAGTGGGGAGACGACTACCAGAAATCTGAATCCACTTCGGAGACTTGTCGGCCATTATATAATTGGAAGCTTGGTGAGCTGAACCAGCTATTTCCGAAACTTCTTTTGTTTAGTTTCAGGAACATTGTTTGCAACAAAGAAGGAGACATCCCTTGCATCCTGACATATGGTACCTTCTATTTATAACAAGATTAACAATTCATTCACACCTTGATTGAATACTGCTTTATTGAGATGTCACAACAGATTCTCACAGCCTGCAAAGGGAAAGACTTACAAATGATAATATTATGACAAGCAAGACACCTAAAAGTAAATGAATCATAATTGATGATAATTAGAAAGAGCTCAGCACAAACACAGAATCATAGCAGTGATGGTGAGCAGGATTCGCCTCTTGCAGAAGGACTGCCACAGAGCAATTCTGCTGAATTTTCATTGAGAAGTTGAAATCCACTCACACCTGTAAGTCCTAGCTTATTTTCTTATTCATGTAAGAAGCTCCTCCTTGGTTTTAGGGTTTTAGCATATGTTTACATTTGTCGTCCGCAGCTTCACATGAGCCCTTTGCTTGAGAAGGATAAAACTGACGGCTCCTTCTATTACGATCTGGCTGGAAGCAAGGGCATCATCTTTAACACCTCCTTCTGTCCTTCACCCCACATCAATAAGCAAGACTTGTCGATTTGACTCTCAATATTTACTGAATCTCTCCATTTCTCCCCATCCATACTGTTGCCATGCAGACTGGGCCGATATTGTTTCACCTGAGAGTTACTGCTTCCTCCCTGGTCTGATGTCTCCAATCAATTACCCAGAGTACTCCATCTAAAGTGTTTGAAATTCCTCTATGGCTCCCAATTGCCCTTAGAATAATGGTTAAATGTCCAGGTCCCGCAATCCTGCCTGAGAAGCAGGACAGTGATTGCACGGTGATTGAGGGCACACTCTAGTGTGAGTCCTGGTTCTGCCAGATGGGTTACCTTGGGGAGGTCATGTAGCTTCTCTGACTTTCAGTTTTATGATCTACAAATGAAGATTGTGATAGTATCTATCTTACAGGAATCAGCTCCATATAAACCTCATGGAGCAGTGCCTGACCTTTGGCTAATGCCTGTAAGCATTAACTTCCCACTGCCTCCCTTAGCTCAATAGATGAGATAGCAAAGCTTTCTTCTTCTTGTCTCTACATGCTAGCCCCAGGCACTTCTCAGTTCCTCCACTCCACACTCCGAGCCTAAATGCGGGCATTGGCTATGCCCTCTTACTGGAAGTTCCTCATCAGCTCCTCCACCAGGCCCACCCTCTGCACATACTTGACCTGAATAACTCCAAGTCATTTCTTACGTCTCTGTTTTAATGTCACCTCCTCAGGGAAGCCTTCCTTGACTGCTCCTGCCCCTTTCACCTACAGGTAGGCCAGATTGCTTTGTAAAACACTCTCCTCATGCTTACACTTCTTTCTGTAGCCTTTCACACAGCGGAAATTAGCCGTGTTTACTTTTTCTGGATAATGCTTATCTCTCCCTTAATACTGAAAGCTCTGTTGAGGACAGGGATTGAGTTTATCTTATTTACTATTGTGTCATCCAGACCTTAATTTGTTGGATGAACAAATCTACTTCATACTGCCTCCCTCATTAACAGATAATATTAGTTGACTTACTGTGGTAGGCAGAATAATGGCCCCCAAAGGTGTCCACGTCCTAATCCCTGGAACCTGTGAATATGTTAACTTAAAGGCAGAAGGACTTCGCAGATGTGATTAAGGATCTTGAGATAAGGGGATCGTTGTAGATTAGCTGAATGGATCCAGTGTAGTAACAGGGGTACTTAAAAATGGAAGACAGGCCAGGCGTGGTGGCTCACACCTGTAATCCCAGCACTTTGGGAGGCCGAGGCGGGCAGATCACGAGGTCAGGAGATCGAGACCATCCAGGTAGCATGGTGAAACCCTGTCTCTACTAAAAAGCCTAAAAAAAAAAAAAAAAAAAAAAAAAAAACAACTTAGCTGGGCATGGTGGCACATGCCTGTAGTCCTAGCTACTTGGGAGGCTGAGGCCGGAGAATCACCTGAACCCGGGAGGCAGAGGTTGCAGTGAGCCAAGATCGCACCACTGCACTCCAGCCTAGGTGACAGAGTGAGACTCTGTCTCAAAAAAAAAAAAAAAAAAAAAAAGAAAGAAAAAAGAAAACAAAAAAGGAAAACAGGCGCAGGAAAGTCAGGGTAAGAGAGATGTGATATAGGAAAGACTTAACCAGCCACTGAAGGCTTTGAAGGTGGAAACACCTTGTGAGCCAAGAAATATGGAAACCTCTAGAAAACAGATTCTTCACTAGGGCCTCCAGAAGGAAGCAGCCCAGCTGACACCTTGATTTTAGCTCTATGAAGCTCACTTCTGACTTCTGACCGCCAGAAGTATAAGGTAATACTTTAGTGTTGTTCTATGCCACCAAGTTTGTAATTTGTTATGGCAGCAGTAAGAAATGAATACACTTATCCAAGATTAAAATGCAGTGGTTAGAGCCAAGGGCCAGCCCCCTGTTCTTTCCACTACACTACCCTGCCTCTGCCTCCTGCTTCTCAGATCTTGCTGGTTTTCCAATTTGCTTTCATCTTTTTGTTTCCAGAGGAAGAAATCATTAGAGATGCAGCTGCTTACATGCAAGAGCATGTGCACGAAGCCTGGATACACAGATGCATGTGTGCGAGAGAAGGTGTACGGGATTAGAGAGCTCTGAATGGCCTCATAATAGAATCCCAGGGGAGGGCCGGAGGTCCCAGGCCAGCGATGCTCACACGCCCATCTCCTCCTGTCTGTGCCGCACAAAGCCTGACAAGGCCTCACTCATGTTTCAAAGCGCTTTCTCTTTTCAGAGCTATTTGTTATTGTCTCTGCCATCACAAGTTTAAAAAAGGAAAGTTAATTAAATATGGAACAAGACTGAGCAACATCTTTTAAACCATCATGTCATTAGAACTGGAATCCTTAGAGAGCTGCTTAAAAGGGGTTTGAGAACAATGACTGTTCAATCAGATATTTATGGGCATAGTTATGTAAACACACTCTTTATTGTCTATGTATATTTAATATAATTATCAGTTTTGTAGTTGGACTCTCCAGAGACCCAACAAATCACAGTGTTGCTTTGAAAATGTCAGCAGAAAAGACAATTATGTTGCTAGCAAATATTCATAAATTATATTAAAAAGTCCTGTGGAAATGTCCCCATGTTGCAGAATCCTTTGCAGGAACTAAATGATTCTTGTATTTCTTTGATTTAAGGGTGATTTGAGAAGCAAGAAGGTTCTTTGTGAAATCTTACAGATAGGTGCATGGCAAAGGCACAGGCCAACCCTGGAAAACAAAAGCATGTGCATTGCAGAAAATTCAGAAAGTCTGTCCATCATTTTCCTTTTGCTGACTATAATCAGTTTGTACGTGCACACATCCATACAGGTACACACCTGCTCACATAACCGACATGCACATTTTATGCCTTAAAGTATCCCATTAAAGAGAGAAAATAAATTCAATCTGTTCAGTCTTTTAGTACCTACTTAGAGCCATAACTCTTTCCTATGGTATTTTTCTTTAGCAACTATTTATAGTATTTCCCATTTTTCCTCTCTTATCATTTTTTTTTCTCATTATGCACATGGAGAAGTAAGTGGAGAATTGGGAAACTGCTCAGTAAATTAAAATGCACCAGGCTCTTGCTAAACCAATATGAGTGGTGTAGGTTGATAAACACCTAGTAAGCGTTCACAAATCACTTCTATTGCAAGATATACAATCTGCAAATCAACATCTTAATTAGCAGCTAATGACATTTGGAAGGAAAGGTTAATGTTAAGTGCACAAAAGCAGTGTGGTTAAAAAAATTAGATTTTCCTGCCTTCTTCTTATAAAAAATAAAAAAGGAGAGAAAAGATATCCCATGATTGTAATGGGTATTATAAATATACACGTATTGGCAATTTGAAGCATCTTAATAATAGAAGGCCTGTATTGATATGCTACCTTTCATCTCAGGAGTTCAAAGCACTTTGCCTGTATCTCATTTATCCTCAAAATACCCCTCTGAGGGTAAGTGTCTACAGGCAAAATGAAGTGGAGAGTTGAGGCAATTATCAACATAATTCAAACCCAAACCCCTGTTAATGAGAAATAAGTGGACTATCTGCAGAGGCCGAATTTTCCTGATGGGCTTTCTGTTTAGATCAAATTCCCCAGACACTGAGCCACTTGGACTGCACCATCCCCAGGTAGACAGCCCAAGGAAGCGAGTGCAGGGAAATCAGTCACTTTATTTTAAAAAGCTAGTGCCGAGTCGCATATTCAACCCCATCTCTCCTCAGCTGGGGCCGCCTGGGTCTCCTGCCACCTCCCCACACCACAGCCCATGGAAAGCTCCAGGTGGGCCCCTGCCTCACCTGCTTTCCTCTCTGGAAACCCTTCACACCTGTCCATGGCGTTCCTCCTCTCAAATCTTATCATTAGGTCCAGTTCCTCCTAGAAACCTCTTTTGTTGGGGCACAAAAAGACACCATCGAATTTTTATTTTTTGATACATTAGATTGGCTTGCTGGTAATTTTTACCATAACCTGTTGGACATATCTTATTATCTGTACAATTTCAGTTACAATGGCATGAACTGTTGCTAGCTTGCCCTGTATTAAAGCGCCCCATCGCTTTCTGGGTCCGGCTCAGGCATGCGTGGAATGGGTTCTGCATGTCTTTCTGCATCCATGACCTCCTCCCCTTGGGCCTGTTACCAAGAGGCCTCAAGGAATTGCCACTCAGCAGGGCACAATCATCCTCTACAGGAGACCACTGCCCTCCCCTTGGCTCATCTATCTCCAATGGTGGACACACCATTTCCCTTCATTTCCCATGGGCTCTCAACAAGTAATAAGATTTGTGGATTTGGGGGCAGCTGAACGAGTGAATCACATATAATGACCTATACAGGCTGGCCGTGGCCCATGCCCCGGGTCCATCAACAGCTGTCCCTGGTTGCACCCGCAGGCCTATGCCCCACCAGGAGTGTGCCTTGCTTCTCCGGCCTCTCGCTCCCATGCCCCTCAAGCTGCAGAACAAGGAGGATGTTTTTCTCCTTATCCCACTCCGAGCCCCACCTCCTGAGTCTCCATTTCCAGTCCTAAGACACAGCTTTCCCCAGAAAGATTCCCAGTGGAACATCCATTTCTTTCAGGGGAAATTCTAGCCCCACCTGCAGGGGTGTGATTTGTGCTGTGCCTGCACCCCTTCCCCAAAAACACAACCCGCAGCCATGTGTGCAGTTCCCGAGCCCTCAGCTCAGCTCAATTTGCCTTCAGTTTCTTACCCAGAGGAAAGTGAATCCCAGGCCTGCCTGGCCTTCACACTCTGGGCTCTTCAGCACTATGGCCCAAACATACATTTTCAAAGAAAATCACAAAACCCTAAAGAAAACACAACATACAGAAATAGGACATTCTGTTTATAGCTGGAAAGAGACATTTCTTTGATTAAAACTGCATGTATTTCACTCACTGCCCTATTATCAGGGCCTTCCCAGTGTGGGGCCCACAAGAGGCCCTCACTTATGTGCTGACGGGAAAACTCAGCCAACGTGAAGGGCAGCGGATGCAGGTAAGCATGCAAAAGAGGGAGAGAACCTATCTGCTAACAAGAGATAAAGAATACACCCATATTTTATGGAGAAGTTAGTCTTTGAAAATTGACCACACAGCAGCAAAAAATACCTTGTTTTTATATAGCACTTTCCTCCTAAATACTTCAAATTATTTTCATGTTGATTATCATGGTCATTCCCATAACCCAGCTATAATTAGTTGTCATTGATCACATTTTATAGGAGCACAGTTTTAAGTGACTTATCCAAGGCCACAGAATAAATCAGTGGGAGTGACTTTGAAGAAGAGGCTTCAGGTTATCTCTCTATCCACTCCCCTTTTCCCTGCAGGGATTTAGTTAGACTAGACAGTTATCAATACACTGCATTTTAACGACTTATTTTTTATATGTCTCCCCAGTAGATTGTGGGCTATGATTATCCATGTCTGATGGAAAAGACTTGATGCACGAATGCTTAATGAAATGCTTGTTGAGTGAATGTTGAATGTTAGTGTGCTTGCTCTTCAGGTCAGTAGGACCAAATCTCAGGCCATCTGCATTTTCTCTCACTAGAGGGACACTCCCAGGTTTGCACTGTGCTTGTTGTTCTATTATTTGGCATCCCACCAATGCTTTCCTTGTGTATTTATTGAGGAAGGCTGTGATGATATTGCAAGACAGAAGTCAAAGCTATTTAACAGCATGGTTCATGCTTCTTGGTATGGTTTGCAGGTTCTAGGCACAGATGACTGGAAGGAGAGAAAAAGACAGGACACGTAACTAGGAAGAGAAATAAGGAATAAGGAGATCAAGAAAAGAAAGGATAAAAGGAGCTGCATCTGGTCAGGAAGGGCAGCTGCCATCCTAATTACCTTTGGTGCCTCATGGGCACACCGATGACACAGGTGTTTCTCCTTGTCTTAAATGATAAATAGCTCCCAGCTGGCCTACCCTAAGTGAATGACTCTCACAGGTGAATAATGGTTAGGTTTCATTAGGACTCAGGCATTTTTAGGGCTTCTTGGAAGGTTCATCAAGATCCATTTATTGTAGGAAGATAGATTGGTTACAGGGATTGGTCAATTGGTTATCTTCTCAAGCAATTTCTGAGCTAAAATCTGAACCACTGCTGTGCTCTTTTAGACCCTCTGCCTTTTTTAAATCACTAAAAAAAGAAAAACCAACAATCACTATGGAATGTAAAGAAATTACCTTGGGTACATCTTTAAGGGTATAGAAAGGGAGTCAAGGAATTGTTAGACCTCACTTTGTCTCTAACGTCCAGGACTGGGTTAGGGATCCTGTCCAGGCTTGCCCGTGGTGCCCTGTGCTTCATTCCTGGTAACTCAGAAGCCTATTTGCCCAACTCTTCACTATCCTGAAGCCAGTGAATGGATAATTTGATGCAACAGCACAGGTTTAATAGCAGGTTGAAAGCATCTAAAAGAAACAGTAAGTGCAAAGTGATACCATCTGGTAGCTTATCCATGAGCACAAATCATCTCAGTTTTCAGAATTCACAGGAATAAGAGTACCTACTCTGTGCCAGAAACGTCCCAATTATTATTTAATCCTCACAACAACTGTAGAAGGATGGATTCTAATCTCCATTTACCAACAAGGAGACTGATGGTCAGCGTGGCCTCATCAATGTTTACAGAGGTAAGATTTAAAACCAGCTGTCTCCAGGCTGTGTTTCTCCCCTCCATGTTGTGGTTCTCTCTCTCTCCCCCCCCCCCCTCTCTCCCTCTCTCTCTCTCTCCCTCTCCCTCTCTCTCTCTCTCTCTCTCTCTCTCCCCCCCCTCTCTCCCTCTCCCCCCCTCTCTCTCTCCCTCTCTCTCTCTCCCTCTCTCTCTCTCCCTCTCTCTCTCTCCCTCTCCCTCTCTCTCTCTCTCCCCCCTCTCTCTCTCTCCCTCTCCCTCTCTCTCTCTCTCTCCCTCTCTCTCTCTCTCCCTCTCTCTCTCTCCCTCTCTCTCTCTCCCTCTCTCTCTCTCTCCCTCTCTCTCTCTCTCTCTCCCTCTCTCTCTCTCTCTCTCCCTCTCTCCCTCTCTCTCTCTCTCCCTCTCTCTCTCTCCCTCTCTCCCTCTCTCTCTCTCCCTGTCTCTCTTTGCTCTGTTACCCAGGCTGGAGTGCAGTGGCGCCATCTCAGCTCACTGCAACCTCTGCCTCCCGGGTTCAAGCAATTCTCATGCCTCAGTCCCCCGAGGAGCTCAGATTACAGGTGTGTGCCGCCACAGCTAATTTTTGTATTTTTAGTAGAGACAGAATTTCTTCATGTTGGCTGGGCTGCTCTTGAACTCCTGCCCAAAGTGCTGGGATTACAGGCATGAGCCACCGTGCCTGGCCGATGCTGTTTTCTTGAGAATGTACCTGCTGCTTCCCCTCCCTTCTCCTCTTCTTATCAGTCTCCTCTTCTGCCTCCTTCTTCATTTTAATTTTTGGTCTATTGGACATACTGCCTTTTATGAAAAGAGTATATGTCTCATAGGGATATCTTTAAATGATAGGTAAATATAGAACAGTCACACTCTTCATGTGAGGGGCTGATAGCCTAGCCATATAGATATTTTTATCTTATTCTTTAAATAAATTTGGTACTGGGTGGAAATAAGACAAAGAAAGAAGAAAATCTACCGCAGGAAATATGTAATCCCCAGGCAAAACCAACAATTCAAGGGGACTGTCTGGGGGTAGTTTATTCTGCAAATTGGTGCATTTCTCAGAGTTTCTGGGGAAGAGAAATAAAAGGTGTTATATTACCTAACTCCTTTCTGCAGTTTTGACTGGACAGATTTCCTTACTTCCTGCCTGAAATGGTTATGAGGTGTTGGCATGAAGAATGAGAGATCTATGATGTCTCCCATGCGAGGGCTGGGTGCTGCAGGGAGAGGCCAGAGGCTTTGCTCTGGGCTCCTGTAGCACTTGTCATTGTTAAAACATTCATGGATGAAAGGCTACCGTGCGTATAAATTATTATTATTATTGCAGTAACCGAGAGTGTATCATTACATCTACAGGGTGTCTGAAAGCCCTGAGAAACTGGAATTTGTGGTGAAAAGTGGCTTGCCAGAGTTTGAAAGCCTGTGAGGGACTTGGGGATCATCTGATGGAGACACTGGACAACCTTGCAGCTTGTGGCAGGTGCAGGAGTGTGTGTGTACGTGTGTGTACACATGCATACCTGCGTGTGCGCATATGTCTGTGTACATGCATACGTGTGTGTGTATGTGTGTGTGTGCATATATGTGAGTTCCTAAGACTAAATGGTACAGAGCATGAGGTCAGAATTGTGGAGAGGAAGATACAAATGGACTAACAGCATCCCTACCTCTTGAAATGCTCTGCTCTGGGCATTTAGGAAAAACGTAGTGGTCCAGGGGAGGGATTGTTAGATGGGCTTTTTGGGCTTAAAATCTTCAGTAGAAAAGTCAGTACATTGTCTAGCTATTTCAAAAGGAACAAAATAAACACTTCGCCACTAATCCCTCATACAAAGTCAAAGATAGGCTACTTTTGGCCTGAATCTATGCAAATGTTTTCTTTCAGACTTCCCTTCCACCCTGAGAAGGGAAGAGCTTGCAAGAAACCATGAAATGTCTGTGTTTTGTGTGTGATTTCAACCAAGAAGTGAGACCACTGTTGAAAGTCTTATTTAAATATAACCAATGTTGACAAATTTTGGTTACATATAGCCACGTGTCCCACTTTAATTATCTCCCCAAAGCAATCAAATAGAAAGCTCCTTTCAAGCCGATGAAAAAAGTGAACTAGGGTTGGTTTGGGATGAATTTATTGTCCTCTGCCTGCACATTGCCACGTAGGGTGCCCACTCTTTTCCCAAGGGCACAGAATGTTGGGAGAAGAGCCCAGGCCTTTCATCTCACTTCCTGACTTAGAAGAAATGGTACTAATAGGTGTCTTCATGGATTTAATCATTCTAGTTTCTTATCTTCGTGTATCATACCTTTCCCTTGTTTCATATATTTTATCTGAAAAGGCTGCCATCTAGAGTTTTATCCCTTTTCCATCCAAGAATAACAAACTCAATGTCACCTTGTATTTCAATTACTCATATCCAGAACCATTCATCAACAAAAATGTGTAGGTAGTTATTATTGTCATTGCAAACCCTCTTTCATACAAATGCGCCCCCCACTGAAGAATGTCTCACACCACAAAGCAGAATAAGGATGTAACATGGGGATCCTCCATGAGTCCATGGAGGAAGAAACTGAGCCCAGCAGGATACACCTGACTACAAGATCCTGTGGTCTCATCTAAGGCCTTGCTCGGCTGCTATTGGGTTTAGGAACCTACGACAGGTCACTTCACTTATCTGGGTTTCAGTTTCTTCTAAGAAGGTTGGATTCAAGAACCTCTAAGGCTCTTTCTAGCTTTACAATTCTCTAAATCCCATAGTTTTGCATGCACTTCCATGATGTATAAAGCCAATCTTATCATTACCCTAATATGACTGCCTGAGACATTTCAGCTGGGTAATGATAAAAGAACAAGGCAGAACTAATGTGAACAAACTTCTTGAGTTTCTGGCTTTCTTTGCAATGTGTCTTCCTAAGGAAGGGACTTTAGTAATAATGTAGTCTTCCCTCTTCCCGAAGAGGCCCATGTGTAAGCATCTCAGACCTATAGGCTCATCAGCTATTAATAAAGCTAACACTATTATTCCCCAGATTCTCTTCGAATCTCCCTTGCAAATAACCAAGGAGATAAAGCTTCTTTTTGCTTGAGAGTTGGAACCAAAGCTGCAAACCTACCTTAGGAACACTGTGTACAGAGCCACTAGGCAAGGAATGGCAGAGAAGTTTCACATGGTGTGCCTGCTCTGACGGGTAGGATGTAGACAGCTGTGTTGGGAAGGGGGTTGTGTTCAGACCAGGATTGAATGGCAGTGTCTGCCATGGCCACTCGAGGCAGAGGCTGTGGTAGTGCACGTGCCAGCTATATGCCGTTCTTACCTTTGGACAAATAATGGAGACAAATTTAGGTCAGACTAAATGTCAGTTTCAGTTCCTTCAGACTAAGAAAGGAGGAGCAATGTGCAGGGAAAAGAGGTGCTCTGGAAAGAAGCATCCTCAAGTGCTTTCCTGAAGAAGAGGGAAATCAAAGGACATGTATGATACTAATGACAGAGGATGAAGGTCTGGGAAGCAGACTGGCTCTCCTTGCTCCTCAAGCTTGCAGACAACCTATTGTGGGAATTTGTGATCATGTAAGTTAATACTTAGTAAATTCCCATATAGATAGATAGATAGATAGATAGGTAGATGTCTCCTATTAGTTCTGTCCCTCTAGAGAGCCCTGACTAATACACATGGATATATTGTGTAGTGGTAAAGTCTGGGCTTTTAGTGTAACCGTCATCTGAATAGTGTACCCTGTACCTGACTGGTAGCATTTCACCCCTCTACCCTCCCCCTTTCTTTAGTCTCCAGTGTCTATTAGTCCACTCTGTATGTCCATGTGTATTCATTGTTTAGCTCTCACTTACAGGTGAGAACATGGGTTTTGACCTTCTGTTTTTGGCTCATTTTACTTAGGATAATGGCCTCAAGCTCCATCCATGTTGCTGCAGAAGACATGAGTTCTTTCTTTTTCATGGCTGAGTAGTATTCCATGGCATATATTTACCACATTTCCTTTATCCAGTCCTTCACTGATGGACACAGGTTGATTCCATGACTTTGCTATTGTGAATAGTGCTGCAATAAACATACGAATGGAGGTGTCTTTTGATATGATGATTTCTTTTCTTGCAGGTAGATACCCAGTAGTGAAATTGCTGGATCAAATGGTCATTCTCTTTCTAGTTCTGTGAGAAATCTCCATACTATTGTCCATAGAGGTTGTACTAATTTACATTCCCACCAACAGTGTATATGTGTTCCCTTTTCTCTGCAACCTTGCCAACATCTGTTGTTTTCTGACTTTTTAAGAATGGCTATTCTGACTGGGGTACTTTTCTTTTTTAAAGGTTTAAATAATGTGAATCACCTACTTTCTGTTCTTGTTCTGAAAGTATATCACTAGCTTTTCTTTCCTGTTCTTCTAACAGGTCCTTCTTTTTTCTTTGGAGTGGCTATAGTGAAAAACTACTCCATTTGCGGTTGGAGAAAACACAACATCAAGAAGAGCTTCTTTCTTGAAGTCTACTCATATTGGTGGCTGCTTCCAGATTGATTCAACATCATTATTTTTACCCAGCAGCTGGGCATTGGGGCACAAGCAGGCTCTTTGGAATTTGCTGAAAGATAATGGGGAGATTGGGTCAGGGGTACACCACCCAAATTGAGTCCAGTTGCGGTCATTCTGAGATATTCTAATTTTTAAAAATCCTGACAGATGGCTTTGCTCAAAGAACAATGTGCAATCTGATTTTTAGTTTCAGTTATTGGCCAGTTTTATAAACTGAAGGTAGGGTCATTTGCTGAGTTTAAAGTCAGAGCCTGAACTTGATTCAAAGTTTGAATTCATTTAGAAGGTATGAAGTGATTACAATGTGTCAGGCATCTTACTAAGCTCTGGGGAACAAGAAATAAGACACAGTTTTCAGGGAGTGTAAACATTTCCTTTTATGCACATATATTGTATGGGGTTTTTTTGTTTGTTTAGTTTTGTTTGTTTGTTTTGAGACAGAGTCTCGCCCTGTCCCCCAGGCTGGAGTGCAGTGGTGCGATTTCGGCTCACTGCAAACTCCGCCTCCTGGGTTCAAGCGATTGTCCTGCCTCAGCCTCTTGAGTAGCTGGGATTACAGGTGCCCACCACCACGCCTGGCTAATTTTTGTATTTTTAGTAGAGATGGGGTTTCACCATGTTAGCCAGGCTGGTCTCGAACTGCTGACCTCAGGTGATCCACTCACCTCTGCCTCCCAAAGTGCTGGGATTACAGGTGTGAGGCACCACGCCTGGCCCCTTTTATGCACATATATTGGCTTTAAAATTAGTATACATGTGCAGCATTGCCCCCTTATCCAAGGGGGATATGTTCCAAACATGGATATGCTGGACAAAGGGATGATTCAGGTGCCAGGTAGGATGCAGCAGTATAGTGAGAGATTTTATCATACTACTCAGAAATGACGTACAGTTTAAAACCTATGAATTGTTTATTTTTGAAATTTTCCATTTAATATTCTGGACCGCAGTTGATCGCAGGTAACTGAAACTGCAGAAAATGAAACCACAGATAAGGTGGGACTACCGTAAGTATTCGTTAATTCATTTAGCGGGGCTCTATACTAGGCATTGGCAGAAGGCAATGACTGTGACATAGTGTTTACCCTAGAATCATTACAGATAAACACTTCACTGCAACAAACTATACTGACCTGGTGGGGAGAAAAAGAATAACAACTTCAATTCCAGTACAATGTGATGAAGTGCATGAAGGAGCACATTCCAGGCAACCAGAGCAGGCTGCCCTGAGGTGCTGAGCTCTGCAGGGTCTTGAAAATGGTAGCTCTTAGGAGAATTGTGTTGAGGAAGAACTCTGGTGCATGGCTGGCCAGATACCTTGGTTACCAGAAGAGTCACTCCTCTCTCATTTCAGCTGGTCTTTTTCATCAAATTAGTTTTTCCTTACCTTTCCTGTCTGATTTCTTTTGGCATCCAGTGAAGGCATATAAAGTGTCACCTAGAGGTTATTTCTGTCTAGCCAGCCCACTTCTCCCAGGTGTCTGGAAGAGTGGGTTTTGCAAAGGGTTGTTAGGCAATTGTGTGATTATCTCTTTCCCTTCTTCCTTTTGTTTTCCCTAGGCATATCTCTACTCTGTTAGAAGTGAACACACACAGTTTGGAACTACAGTATCTAATTTTCAAGGAAAGAGCTCATGGAGAATTGCTTCTTACAGTGGCTAATAAGTATCTGTCTGCAGTACTACTTCAGAAAGTCCATGTATCTCTGAGTTGATATAGCAAATTTCAATCAATCTAGGTTTTGTTCTGTCTTTAGCTCCAAGACAACGATCCCATTGGTCTGTTGTATCTAATGACCAGAGTTTTATTTCTGTTGTTACTGCTGTTGGACATTTCTTGGATGCTTGATACTGTGATCTGAGCATTTTTATCATGGCTGACAAACACTTGTATTGGTCTATCTGGAAAAGTCCTTCCCTGTTTGAATCTTATTTTTCTCTGTGTATGGAGTTCATTGTTTTTGAACTCTGAGTTTCGACTGTGACCTAAGTTGTTCCTTGATGCACGAGGAATTGGGGCAGGAACTCATTTTACTTAGCATTTAGGTACTTTTTTTGGCCAGCATTGTTTTTTAGGGTAGTTTCGATCCAGTATATTAGACATCTTCAGATCATGACCCCAATTTGTCTATAAGGGGCACACACTTCATCTCCGGCTTTCTGTTTTTAATGTGCCCTTGGATGAGGAAGCCTAAAAAGCAGTTATGCAAGAGTTTTACAAAAGAACACCTGGGAGAAATCCCCTCAGAGTTAACACAACACAGGTGAGTGTGAGGACGGGGTTGAGGTAGGAGAACCACACCAGTGATTGCATGAAGACACCGACTCACTGTTTTTTTATGAGGACAGCCTCTTTCTGGCAGCCAATTATATTTTATTGTGTTCCAGTAAATCAAAATAACCAATTGTAACTAAAGGAAATTTCAAAATGAATAAGATAGAAGTTCAACCATTATTATACAAACATGCTACTGTATGAATACTATGTTAAGAAAAATTCCAAAACTCTACCTATAGGGAAAAATAAAGGCTGGAAGGAAATAATCCAAAACATTGACAGAGAAGGGACTATGGAGAATATATCCTCCACATTTTTCCATTTTCAAAACTTCCTTTCATGTACACATGTTGTGTTTTTAGGATAAACATACAGAGAGATTTATTAATTTATGTTGCTGGGCTCTATGCTAGGCACTGGTGATAAGGCAATGAGCAGGACATAGCCTTTGCCCAAGAATTACTACAAATAATCAATTCACCATAAGAGCTACTACAATTAATATGTGAAAAGTGCTCCTGGGAGCTCAAGAAATAAAAAAATAGGAAAGCTCTGCATATATCTTAAGTTTATCCCTAAGTATTTCATGTTTCAGATGCTATAGTAAAATGTAATGGTAATGTTTTTCACTTTATTTTTGAGACAGGGTATCTATCGCTCTGTTGCCTAGGCTGGAATATAGTGGCATGATCATAGCTCACTGCAGCCTTGATCTCTGGGCTCAAGTGATCCTCCTGCCTCAGCCTCCCGAGTTGCTGGGACTACAGGCACCACACCAGCTAATATTTTGTATTTTTTGTAGAGATGGGATTTTACCACATTGCCCATGCTGGTCTTGAACTCCTGGGCTCAAGTGATCCACCCACCTTGGCCTCTGAAAGTGCTGGGATTACAGACGTAAGCCACAGTGTCCAGCCTTTCTTTCAATTTTCAGTTACTCATAGCTAGCATATAGGATGCAATTGGTTTGTATATTGACCTCAAATCCTTTGATCTTGCTAAATTCATTTATTAGACCTACTGCCTTTCTTTTTTGTAAAGTCCTTAAGATTTTGTAAGTGCATGATCATAGAATTATCAAATATAGGCTTTTGTTTCTTTCTTTCCAATGTACATATGAATGGCTATAAGCACATTAAAAAATGTTCAAAATTACTAGTCATCACAGTGAGATACCACTTCACAACCTTCAGAATAGCTAATGTAAAAAAGACGGAAAATAGTTTTGGTGAGGATGTGGAACAACTGAAATTCTCACATGCTGTTGGTGGGGAAAGGAAATGTTACAATCACTTTTATTTACATCTTTTCATTCTTTATTACAATGTCTAGGAGCTGAAGTACAATGCTAAATTGAAGTGGTGAAAGTGAATATCCCTGCTTGTTCCTGATCTCAGTGGAAGGCATTCCATTTTTTATCATTTAGTATGTTATTGTAGAAGTTTTGCTTTTTGGGTTTGTTTGTTTGTTTTTGAGACAGGATCTCACTCTGTTGCTCAGGCTAGAGTGCAGTGGTGCCATCATAGCTCACTGCAACCTTGAATTTCTGGGCTCAAGCAATCCTCCTAAATAGCTGGGACTACAGGAGTGCACCACCGTGCCTGGCTAGTTTATCATTATTGTTACTATTTGTAGAGACAGGGTCTCATTTTGTTGCTCAGGCTGGTCTTGAACTCCTGGCCTCAAGTGATCCCACCACCTCAGCCTCCAGAGTCATTGGGATTACAGGCATAAGCCACTGTACCTCGTGTATAGGCTTTTTAAACATAGATTTTCCTGGCTGGGTGCAGTGGCTCATGCCTGTAATCCCAGCACTTTGGGAGGCTGAAGCGGCAACATCGCTTGAGGCCAGGAGTTTGAGATCAGCCTGGCCAACATGGGAAAACACTGTCTCTACTAAAAATACAAAAATTAGCCGGGCATGGTGGCTCACACCTGTAATCCCCACTACTCAGGAGGCTGAGGCACGAGAATTGCTTGAACCTGGGAGGCGGAGGTTGCAGTGAGCCGACGTTGGGCCACTGCACTCTAGCCTGGGTGACAGAGCAAGACTCTGCCTCAAAAAAACGACAACAAAAGAACATAGATTTTCCATATCAATGGGAAGACGTTATCTCCTATTACTAGTTTACTAGCTCTCATTATGAATAGGTGTTGAAATTTGTTAAAGGTTTTCTGAGCATCTAGCGAAATAATTTTTTTGCCTTATTAAAAATACACAAATTACATTGATTTATTATTGAATGTTAAATCAGGCTTTACATCTCATTTGTTCAAGATGTAGTCCTCCTTTTACATTTTGCTGTATTTGACTTGGTACATTTGGCTAAGAATTTTTTGTGTCTGTATTCTTGAGGGATATTGATTTGTAGTTTCTTTTTTGAAACAAGGTTTTCAGCCTGGTTTTATACCAAACTAATGCTGGCTAAAAAAACAAAACAGAGACAGAGTTGGAAAGTAACTCTTTTTTTTTTTTTTTTTTTTTTTTTTGAGACAGAGTCTTGCTCTGTCACCCAGGCTGGAGTGCAGTGGCACGATCTCGGCTCACTGCAAGCTCCGCCTCCCAGGTTTATGCCATTCTCCTGCCTCAGCCTCCCGAGTAGCTGGGACCACAGGCGCCGGCCACCACACCCGGCTATTTTTTTGTATTTTTAGTAGAGATGGGGTTTCACCGTGTTAGCCAGGATCATCTCGATTTCCTGACCTCATGATCCACCTGCCTCGGCCTCCCAAAGTGGGAAAGTAACTCCCAAAAGACGTTATGTGAAATTTGTATTTTTTCTTCCTCAAATGTTTGATAGAACTCACCACTTTCCTTCTGGAAAAGTTTTTATTAATCCAATTTCTTTTAAGACAAGGCTATTCAATTTTCTATTTTTTCTTGTCTCCATTCTGAAAATTTGTGCCTTTCAAGAAATTTTTCAATTTCATTTACGGTGTTGAAACTCCTGGTGTAAAATTGTTCATGATATTTCTATATTCTCATTTTAATGTTTGTTGGACCTGTAGTGAAGTTCTGCTCATATTGGTAACTTGTGCCTTCTCTCATTCTTTTTGATCTTTCTAGAACACTATTAATTTTACTGATTCTTTCAAGCTAAACTTTTTTGGCTTTGTTAATATTTTTTGTTGTTTATTTCTATTTCTCTGATTTTTTTCTTTTTACTCTTTACTACTTCTTTCTTCTACTTACTTTGCATATAGTTTGGTCTTCCTTTTCTAGCTTCCTAAAATGGATAGTTCAATTATTGATTTTATACTATTTTTTTCTACTATCAGCATTTAAAGCCATAAACTTCCCTCTAAGTAGGACATTTGCTGCCTTCTGCAAACTTTGATATGTTGTGTTTCATTACTATTTAGTTTAAAATATGTTAAAATTTTCTTCATAATTTCTACATTGTGTCATGGATTATTAAAAGTGAGTTGTTTGATTTCTAAATATTTGAGGTTTTCTTAAAATTTTATTGTTGTTGAGTTTCAATTAAATTTCATTGTAGTCAGAAAAAGCACTCTGTAATATGGTAATCTTTTGAAATATATTGAGACTTGTTTTAGTCAGCATATGCTCTACTTTTGTGGATCTACCATATGAATTTAAAAGAATATATATTCTGCATTTGTTGGATATAGTCTGCTATAAATCACAATTAGGTAAAAGTGGTTGATAGGGTCACTTAATTCTTCTAGATCCTCAATGACTTTTTTTTTGGTCTAGCTAGCATATCAATTACTGAGACATTTGTGAAAGTCTGTAACTGTGATTGTGGATTTGTCTATTTCTCTGTCAATTTTTCCTTGGTTATATTGAAGCTGTCTTATTAGATACATAAATATATATAATTATTATGTTTTTCTGATATATTAGGTTGGTGCAAAAGTAATTGCGGTTTTGGCAAAAAACACAATTACTTTTACACCAAGCTAATATTTACCCATTTGCCATTATAAAGTTTCCCTCTTTGTCTCTAACAATACATCTCATGTTGAAGTCTATTTTTTCTGCTATTAATATAGCCAATCTTATTTTCTTGTGCCTACTATTAGCATGACATGACTTTTTCAATCTTTTTACTCTTAACCTATTTGTTTCTATATATTTCAAGGGCACCTCCTGTAGACAGCATATAATTAATTCTTCATTTCTTATTCAGTCTGACAATCATGTCTTTTGATTGGATATCTGACTAATTTAAATTTGGTGCAGTTGTTGAAATAGATGATTTTAGGTCACCATTTTGCTGTTTATTTTGTTTGTCTTGTCTTATCTCTCTTGATGCTTGTTTGTTCCTCCTTTACTACCTTCTTTTGTGTTAATCAAACATTTTTTAGTATTTTGTTTAATTTCTTTACTGGCTTTCTAGCTATATCGAGCTAATTATTAAATTTTAATAGCATTGTTCTAGAGGTAACAACATATATCTTTCATCTTTCACTTGTCCCAATCTACTTAGAGTTCATACTGAATAATTTCAGATAAAATATAGTAACCTTGCAACAGTATATTTTAATTTCCCTGTCTTCCTATTTTAGTGTTATTGTTGTCATTTGAATATGAAATCAATATGTTATCAACTCAATAATACAGTTTTACAAATTTTGCTTATGACACATTTGCTGGTGTCATTTCCTTTCAGCCTCAAAAACTAACTTTATAGGTATGAGCTGAGAGAAGTGAAAATAAAAAAAATTAAATTTGAAACCTACTTTAGCTTTTGTAGTAGCACAGTTCTGCTAGCAATTAATTATCTTAGTTTTGTTTATCTGGCAATGCCTTAATTTCTCTTTCATATATGAAGGATAAATTCTTTGGATACAAAATTCTTGGTTGCCAGTTTTTTTCTCTCTCCAACAGTTGAAATATGCCATTCTAATTTCATATGACTTTCATTACTTTGATGTAAAGTCACCATTGATCATATCATTGTTCTCCTGTATGTAACATGCCATCTTTCTCTGGCTGCTTTAAAGATTTTCTCATTATCTTTGACTTTCAGCATTTTCACTATGAAGGTTTATTCTGGCTAGGGTTTGCTGAGTTTCCTAGATTTGTAATTTAAAGTTTTTTCCATAAAATTTTTGAAGTTATAGGCCATTCTTTCTTTTAACACTTTCCTGCCCCTTTCTCTTCTCTCCTATTCTCTCCGCCTACCATTCCAATTACACCACTTTTTATCTCTTGATATAAATAGGTCTCTGATGCTCTGTTTATTTTTCTTCAAGTTTTTTTCTTTGTGTTATTCAGATTGAGTAATTTCGGTTAATCTCATTTAAAGTTTATTAACTCTTTCTTCTGATACTTCAATCTGTCTTTAAAACTAAATTTTAGTTAATTTTTTATTTAACTGAAATGAGTAAATTCTTCACTTAAGTGATGGTGCTTCTTAGCTCTAGAGTTTCCCTTTCTTATAGTGTCATTCCTCTGTTGAGATTTTCTAACAGCTCTTTCATTAAGACCATTTTCCTTGAATACTTTGAAAGTATTAGAATACCTGATTTGAAGTTTCTTTCCTGCTAAATCCAACATCTGGGCTCCATTAAAGTCAGTTTCTATTGACGTTTTTTGTTTTTCTTGAGTATGGGTCACATGTTTCTGTATCTTTGCATGTTTAGTAATTTTTGTTTGAAAAGTGGACATTGTAGAAAATACAATGTGACTACAATCAGTTATGTTCTTAAATACTCGTGTTATTGTTTCATTAAGCAATTAATTTGCTTGAACTTAAACAGAAAACTTAGTCTCCTCTGTGGTGTGTAGCCGTTGATCTTGTCTCAGTTTTTATGACTTCCAGCTGCTAAATATCCTCTTGGTAAATTCAGAGAACTCATCTGGTGCAGTTCTATCTTTACAGACTAAAATCCTGTCTGGCCTTTGCCTGCTTTTCTAATGCCTTTGTCAGATTCTGCCCCACATATGCATACTTTACTAGCCAACCAATGATGTGGGCAAAAATTTTTACTCAAGATTTGGGGGTTTCAATCCTTTTCCCATTATCTTATAGATTTTCCCCCAAAATTTCTCCTGTCCTCTGTTCTCTGTTACCTTGAGCCTGGAATGTGACTGATATTTTTCTTTGCCCTGGCCAGGGGTATTGGGGAACATCTTCAGGCAGGATAACTGCAAACTCCCAATTCTTCCCCCTTCGAGGTGTTTAAAAGTAATCTGCCTTCTGTCTTCCACTTTTGGATGTGTTCTTATTCCTATAAATAGTTGTTCTTTTTTTTTTTTGTTTTACAGATTTTATAATCGTCATCTGTAGGAGGGTTTATATAGCGACTCCAACACCATTACTAGATGTGTTTATGGTTATGTCTTTAGTCTTTGTCTTCTTTATGTACAGCACATGAGCACGAGGGTAGGTACATACTTTATTACTGTACATCCACGATTTCACACAAAATAAATGCTTCATAAATATTTGTTGTATGATTAAATAAAAATTCTGACTGCTACTGCAATTACACAATTGATTCCTCAGTGTACATTCACAAATATTTATTGCTTTAAAAAAGAAAGATTCTCATAGTCTCAATCACAAGGTCTGTCCCTTGAGGAGCTAGTCCTCATTTTTTTTTTACAGGCTTTTTGGTCACCTTCTGAAACAACAAGCGAGGGGACCATATTTACTCAGTGGAGTTTCTTGTATGACCAATAAGAGAATATACTACAAGCCAATTATGTGTCTTTCTTCAACTTCTAGAAAAAAAGAATGTCATCTGTGAGTACTGTCAATGGTCTTGGAGATTCCACAGGCAAGGGGTTCCCAAATATGAGTGGATGTGGCTTGATGACCACAAGGCATTTTGCTTGTGTCTTAAGGCTTATTTCATTCTGAAGGTCACAGACTATGACTTCCCCAAGTGAGAAGTGAGCCTCCTCCCAACCTTCACTTTGGACAAGGGGCTTAGCCTACAACTATTAACAACAACCAGGCACCAACCAGTGTAGGAAGCAGATGCATTTTTCTTAGGCCAGTTGCTATTAAAGCAGAACAAAACACTTCCCTCTATACAGAAGAGTTGGTATCTTTTAGATTGCAGCTGTTTTTGCTTCTCACTGATGGCTGCATTCCTGTTTTGGACAAGAGACAATTATCTACAAAGTGTGTAATATCATCAGGGGGCCTGGAATTAGAGGCAGTGTATCAGCATTAAATATAAGTAATTATTATTACCAGTTTACACTTTTGGATATGGGGGTTATTTTGCTTTCTACTTTGAGCTACACAGATGAAGAGTACTATATAGGTGTTACTGGCTGCATGTTGGGAATGTTATATATTTAAACAGTTTGCAGTTAATTAAGAGTATTGACTTGGAACTAAATCACTGGTCTCACACAACATCTGTGCTCTCTTCCTATCTGTCTATGTATTTAGATGGCGTCTATCACTGTGGTATCTAAGTGCTCTGAAAATCTAATTAGGCTAATTTCAACTTCCTCTGTGAGGGAGAAGGATCTACCTCTCTTCATCACCCTTCCTGCCAGAGCCTTCTTGAAGGGAGTCATTATTATTCCTTGAAGAGAAAGGCAGTTGAAAGAGAGCCTCAAGCAAGAAACAGCATTTCTCACCTTCCTTGAAAGTTGGGGGTTTGGCTTCTAGAAGTGTTTTCAGCTTGTAAACGGTACCAGAAAGGCAAAAGGGCAGATGCTGCTGAAGAGTCTGGTAACATGTATACAGGGGAAGGAACTCTGGAAATTTCCTTGCAAGCCCTGAGTTAAAGAATTTGCTGGTAGATGATGCTTGATTGTGTACTTACAACATCCAGGCCACCACCACCTGACAGACGCACAGTGTTTGTTTATCCAAGGAGCATAAAGGCAGTGTTCTCTTTCCAACAATGAACAAGTGTTGTTGTTGTTCCGTCTGTGGGTCTCTGTTAACATTCCGACATCTTAATTTCTGGGCTGAGGAGAGCTGCCTGATTTCATTGGTTTTCGATGCCTAGCCTGCAGCTAGAGGTATGGAGAAGACAGCAGCACAATCATTATGCGTTCCTTTTTGTGGTCGTAACCCACAAGGGTTACTCTTCCAGAGCGAATCCAAAGGCATACATTCATGCACAGGCAGAGAATTGCAGTCACACAGCAGAGCTTGTTAGTTGGAAACGAGAAAGGATCAGAGATGGCCAAGTATGTTAGTCTGAGCTGGGCCAGGAGCTCTGTGATGGAGTATGAAGGAAAAAGAGGGAGGTTAAAAAAAAATCACTGCTTTACCTCAGTCACAGCTCAAACACAACATGGCTAGTTGTTATCAAGTTTTTGATGTTAAAGTTTTTTTTTTTTTTTTCACTCTCTGCTTGAAATTTGCATTATGTAGAGCAGTGGTCCCCAAACCCCGGGCCATGGACCAGTACCAGTCCATGGCCTATTAGGAACCGGGCTGCACAGCATGAGGAGAGCAGTGGGCAAGCGGGCATTATTGCCTGAGCTCCGCCTCCTGTCAGATCGGCAGCAGCATTAGATAATCACAGGAGCACGAACCCTGTTGTGAACTGCACATACAAGGGATCCAGGTTGCCCGCTCCTCATGAGAATGTACTGCCTGATCATCTGAAGTTGAACAGTTTCATCCTGACACCACCCTCAACCTTGGTCTGTGGAAAAACTGTCTTCCACAAAACCAGTTCCTTCTGCCAAAAAGACTGGGGAACCACTGATTTAGACTATCCAAGAAAATGATGGGAATGTTTGGCTGGGAATATTGAGATCAAGTTCATTTTTAAAAAAGGAATTTTTAAATTTCCTCATAAACTGGGTGCAGTGGTGCCTGTCTGTAATCCTAGCTACTAGAGAGGCTGAGACGAGAGGATTGCTTGAAGCCAGGAGTTCAAGACCAGCCTTGGCAACACAGACCCCCATCTCTAAAAGAATATTTTAAAAATTGTCTCTTCTTTTTTGGGATACAGAGTTTCACCGTGTCACTCATGCTGCACTGCAGTGGCATAATTATAGCTTACTGCAGCCTCTACCTCCCAGGCTCAAGTGATCCTCCCACCTCAGCCTTCTGAATAGCTGAGACCACACATGTGTACCACCACATTTGGCTAATTACAAAAATGTAGACATAGGGTCTCACTATTTTGTCTAGGCTGGTGTCAAACTCCTGGGCTTAAGTGATCCTCCTGCCTTAGCCTCCCAAATTGTTGTGAGTACAGGCATGAGCCACTGTGTCCTCCTTCTGGCAAAGACAATTAAGAGTACTGGCAGTATAAGAGATTTGGTATAAAAAGACTGAGACCAGAAATGGTAGGGTGGCAGCATTTGGGACTGTCCCTCTCCTCCAAGCTCCCCTTGGTCTCTGGAGAAGGATCGTGGGGCCTCTCTACAGGTCTGTCCAGGATCTCATTAAAGAGACTAGTGGGGACCTAGCATTAGAGAGATTTTATAGCCTGAGGATGTGCCCAACTGTGACAAGAAGATGACTGCTGACCAAAGCCAATCCTTCACCCTCAGAAATTCAAAGACCAGTCCTCGGAGCAATAGCATCTTTCCAGAGCTGACACTCCGAGGAGAGCGCTGCACGTGGCACTGCCACAGATATGAAAAGCAGAAACTTCCACGTGCAAATGACCGCGTGGAAAGAGAGGAGAACAGTCCTCCCCACCCCCTCCCTTAAGCAACATAATTACTAGCTGAAATCTCTCTATGAGGGTCACCTAAATGACTGAGCCATTTCACTGGCCCATTAAAGGAACACAAAAATTTGTTTGTAAGCTTAGTCCTTGGCCTGCCTCCACTGACCTTCTAAATATGGAAGACCTAGGCTAACTTCAAGATTTCTTTGGGAGGGTGTGGATTCCCCTGAGTTGCTTCTCTACCTAAAAGTCACATTTGTGAAGATGTAGCTACCACCGTGGGCTGGTCAACTGCAGGATGGGGCATCTCGGGGCTGCTTTCGGAAAGATATGGTGCTCAACGAGAGTCACTCAGAGGGCAGCAGAGTGATCGCCAACAACACTGAGAGCATCCCAATGCCCTACGATCATGTGAAACTTACGTTCAGTGACATGAATAATGTGCCAGAGGCCTCCAAAGGGACCAAGAAAGGCACCATCTACCTTACCCCTTTCATCTTTCTGTCCAGGGCGAAGGATGCCACGCAGTCCTTCGTAATGTCATTTTATCTCTTGAAGGCCTATGAGATCAAGCAGCCTGTGTTTGACACAAACTGCATCAAGGGAACAGTGAACACCGAAGCAGGCGGTGGCTGGGAAGGCTCTGCTTCCGGCAAGTCCGCCTTCACGGCAGGGGGCGCCACTGAATCTGGACAGCAGGTGCTCCAGGTGACATCTCAAGCGTCCAGGGGTGAAGCCCTCAGTGGAGCCTACGGCCACTCTCACGTGCCTGGCAGGACATGTGTCTTTCCCCCGCCAGTCACTAGTGGAATGTATCCCTGCCCTCCTGGCTGCCCTTCTCCACCACCTTCCCCTGAGTTCTATCCAGGACCTCCCAAGATGGACAGGGCCATGGGGTATGTGCAACCCCCGCCACTGCCCTGTCCTGGGCCCATGGAACCTCCGGTCAGCCCAGATGTTCCCTGCACTCCTGCAGCCGAAGCCAGGGCCACAAAAGCAGCTGCCAGCACCTATTATAACCCAGGCAAACCACACCACGTCTCCATGCCCACGAAGCAGCCTCCGCCATCTTACCCGAGGGAAGATAAGAAGACCCAGTAGACGCCTCCTACCTCCAGCCTCCTGCCTACCTCCCAGTCCTTGTTTCCTACCCCTTCCCTCAGGGCTGCGGCTGGGGCTGGGGGAGGTGAGAAAGGGCCTCGTTCTTCCTCTAGGTCTGATCATAAACAGTTACCAGGAACGAGCGCTGGGGGACAGTTGGGTCCCTGGCCTCGGGAGAGGCCCTGCTCCGCTTCCCAGCCGCATGCTTCCCTCACATCTCGGGGCTCTCGGGAGCACAGGGCGTTACCCCCGCCCCCCACCCTCCCGGTCCCATTTCACTCTCGTAGCTTCTCCCTACACAGGGACTCTGGCCACCTCATCCACTGCAGTCCAGCTCTCTTGGTCTGGCAGCCACTCTACACTCAGCCTCATGAGCCGCCTCAGACCAGCCAGGTGTCTTCCCAGAGACCCCCGCCAGGCCTGGTTCACATTCCCTCCTCTGGTCTGTGCCTGGCCTGGAAAGGCCACCATGTGCGGACGGTCAGCCCAGATTCCACTCAGCCAGGTTCTGGCCCCAGCCACTGTCACCCTCCCCTTCCCTGTCCTGGGTCATGGTGTTGCCAACTCCATGTGACTTTTGAGGCTGTAAAATGAGCTTCTAGGACTTGAGTGGCATCAGGACAAGCCCACTGAGGCTGGGGAGGAAGCCTCCCTGCTTTCTGCTAGTGTTTCTGGAATTTGCTTTCCGTCTCCTCTCTCTTCCCTCTAGAAGGGGCTTCTCTACTGGAACTAGAGAATGCATATCTGTGCCTTTGTGCCACCTGGGTGGGCCAGGAATGAGGGCCCCTGACCCTGCATGCTGGCTGGAGCCCCTCAGCCTGCCTCTTTCCTATAAGCCTCATGCCCCCGGACACACTGACATTTGCTCTAGTTCATTCCTGCACTGGCCATGAAGTAAGGAGATGGTTATTTAAAGAGAATTCCCTATTTATTTGACAAAAAATCCAGTTAATATATTAATGTGAAATAAATTCTGTTTGTACCTTGATTTGTTGGCCGAAAATGTGAAATAGTAAAGATGAAGTAACAGGGAAAAAAAAGTAGGATGGTCCAACTCCTCTCTGCCTGAGAATCATTGGATGATCTTCTCCGTGTCTTTGACTTTTTATCTGTAAAAGAGATTATACTCAGGTCCTCTGTTCCATATGTGGGATGACAATAGGGGCAATATTTAATCTGGACCATAAATCTTCAAAATCATTTAATTTTCAGCTCTTCTGCCATGTAATGCAACTACCACTTTATATATTTAGGCTACTTGATACTTTTGAAGTAATTCAATATGACTCTTTCAAGAGCAAGAAAATGTATCAGATAGCTTTTTGAGGCCATTTAGGGATGGAGGCAAGCCATGAGTTCAAGATTCAAGGGAATATGAAGAGGCAAACAAATAACACTTTCTTCCCCGCTGGAGTTACTAAACAGTGCGAGAAATAAAATAAAAAATATGACAGACAAGAGACCACAGTATCACCTTCTTATCCTGATACTGGAGAATGTGGCTTATATCTGCAGGCAAGTCGGTTTCATAATATAGAGCCTCAGAATGAGACAGACTTTATGGGTGGGTCACATTAGCTGGATCACCACCGGCCCCCACCCAGGGGAGCCTGCCCCAGAGAACTTGGGGTGTGGAGAAGCAGGGCAAAATGTTTGCTTCCTATGGACTGTTAATTCTCAAGAGCAGGAAGAGAGAAAACGGCTGGGAAATATGCTCAGTTTCTTCTCTCCAGCTCATTCCCGGATAACTGATTCCTCCTCCTCCCAGGGGAAGAGTGAAGGACAATATGGAACGAGGCCAGGAGTGTTGTGTTCTCTCCAAATGGAAGGAAACCTCTGGAATGGGAAAGAAGCATTCCCTCCTAACATGGTGTGTTCCTAGAAGGTAAGTGAGTATTTTCAAGAAGACTTCTTATTTTTTATACCACCCTTAGAGAAGGTAATGTTGTCTAGTCATCTACCACCCTTAGGAGTTAGGCCAAGAAACTTGGTACCCAGGGATTTTGCTAAGTCAGTTTTTGTATTTTAAAACAGCATCAGGAGAAGACATTTAACCAACTCACCCCAGTATAATTCTTGGATTTATATTGCTTTGATATGTTCAAAGCTATTTATTCTTTTCTGAATTTTAGAAAGTAGGACCACACCTGGGTGACAGAAAAAAAAGCTTCATTCTAGATTTTATCATGATAGCCACGATCCTCTTCAAAGTTGTACTCACTTATATGTAACTTCAAAAAGCATTCACTTATTCATTCTTATATCTACCTATTCAGTCAATTATGCATGTATTTTAAAATTCAGTAAGAATTCATGAGTTGTTTTTCACCTATGTGCCAGATGCTATACTAGGCAGGAGGAAAACAAAACCAATTCTGTGTATATAAAAGGTGCTAAATAAGGGGCTCACATAGTCCTAAAAGAGCTAGGACACTGTATTGGCCAGCACCCCACCACATACCTATGTGTTTATCTGCTTTAGACCCTTTAGATCCTGATATGCACTGGGGGTTGCAGAAAAGAGACATAAACATCTTTACTTGATTTCTCCATATAAAGTGTGTAACATTAGATATGTAACTTAGATATTTACATGTGTCTGAGAGATTTGTACAAGAATTTTCATAGCAGCTTTATTTAAAATGACCCCAAACTGAAACAACCCAAATGTTCATTAACAGATTAATGGGATGCTAACACTCAGCAATAAAAAGGAACTACTAATTACATACAACATAGATGAATCTCAAGCCATTACAACATAGTAACACATACAGCAGTAATACATACAGCAGAAGAAGCCAGCTTAAAAGAGCAGGTACTATCTGATTCCACTGTGTGAAGTTGTAGAATAGGCGAGAATAAGTTATAGTGAAGGAAATCATAATAGGGGTCACATCTGGAAGTAAGTAGTGGGGAGACAGACTACAAAGGGATATGAAGAAGCTTAGTAAGATGATGGGAATGTTTTGTATTTTAATGGGGGTGTTTGTTACGCAGCTGTGTACATTCATCAAAACTCACCAAATGACACACTGTACATGCATTTTATGTATAAAGTATACCTTAAAATGTAAAGAGAAAGGTACAAAGGTACAGATTGATCAGAGAATAAAAGCTCAAGCATATTTTTAAAAAATGAAACCTATCAAAAACATTTCAAATGTTTCTTGGCATTTGAACTACACTTAAATAGGTCGTGATTTATAATCTCCAAGCACAGAATGTTTTTCTTCCTAAACTTTGTACCTTTAGGGAAAAAGTTTTATTACAGAAATGGAATACAATAGGAAAAATAAGCTGCTTCTTAAATATTTAACTTAATACATAAAGAAAACTAGGGACTGTCATAATTAGAGAGAACACATGTAAGTCTTTTTTTTACATATGTATATTTATAGCTGACTGCATATAATTTTAGATGATAGTAATTGCCATTGTGTGTGAGTTTGTGAGTGTGTGTGCTGTGTACCAAGCAACGTGGAGAAATAAAAGAAGGAAAGAGGGGAAGCAGTATTAGCATAATTTGAAGAACTGGATGAAATTATTTCAGTACTGTCAAATTATAATCATTTATAAAAAGAATATTTATTATTGGTTATTTTCATGTGTATTAATTGCCATTCAAGCCATTGTATCATTTACTCATATATATTTAATGGGGATCATAAATATTCCTCTGCCAGCTAGAGAAGAGCCATCTATCAGGAGAGATGACAATCTTGGGGCTATTACTCAATGACTTGGTAGTAAAGGCTGAGCATTTTCTTGAGGTTATTAGAGTTGGATTTTAAACTTCTTTTATAGTAATGTACAGTGGCATATAAAACACATTGCTTTAATGGATTTTTAAAACTCCCACCAAAAAAGTCCACTTTAAATGTAGTGAATGCTGATCTATGAAATGAAGTTTATTTCATAAGCCATAGTTAGCTTTTGAGCTTTAAGTCATATACTCTGTCCTAGAACACTAGTCCAATTTTAGTAGACCTGGAAATAAAAGTGGAAATTGTTATTGGCCCATTCAGCTCCCATGTAGCAACTTTTTTTTTTTCTATAAATGTAGTTGTGCACACATTTCTTGGAAGGGATAGAAGAGTTTCATTCCTGATATTGTCAACCACCTTTCATTCTGATAGTTGTGTCAATGTGTCACAGTCACCAGCACTATCAAAAGGGGCTTTGAAATGAAATTGTATATTAAAAAGAAAAGCCTGGGGTGATTTGATGTGTTTCAGTTCAGCCTGGGAGTGGAAAGGGAGAACCTTGTGCTAGGCCCAGGACACCTCCTGAATGCTCTGTGTCAACCTGCTCTGTGTTAATTTGCTTGGCTAATGTCCAGGGAGGCTTCTGGGACTTCTCAGTGCCCCACAATGTAGTCCTGGGACTTGCAGTGGCACTGCAGTTAGGGTTGGCTCACAGAAGACTGTCAATTTACTTACATGGTGGCCAGCACAATTCCCCGTTTTCATATGCTGAAGCAGAAATATTTCTTTAGATAAGACAAAAGTATAGATTTAGTAGCATTCTCCCCTCTGTCTGGAATCATTTCCTCAAGTGTATGCTTCTAGTTCTCTGGTCTGCAAACTGGACTTAACGGTTGTAGACCACCATTTTAAGCAACTAGAAAAAACAAGTGCCATTCTTCCTTTGGCCTGATTGCAGAGCATTCACTTGTATCGTTTGTATAGTTTCTGACATTCACCTTTCTGACATTCTGTCTCAAAGAGAGTTGGAATCTGTGTCTTTAAGAACGAGGACAGTTTGAGACTTGGTGAGAAGAATAGATAAATGACCTCTCCCTTCCGATTTGAACTCTGAGTTCAGAATTAGCAGTTCAGATGTGACTGGCTGAGCGTCGAATTGCTTCTCAGCCCTGCCGGTACATTGAAATCGCCTGGGGAGCTTTTAAAAAATTACTGATGTCCAGGCCCCACCCCTAGAGAGCTCATTTAATTGGTCCAGGGTGGAGCTTGGACACCAGTAATTTTTTTAAAAGCTCCCCAGGTGATCTTAATGTGTACCAGGGTTGAAAACTACTGGTTTACAGCAAAATAGTTTCAGTCATAGAGCAGTAGCAAAAAAGGGGGCCGGGGATTGAGTGTGGCAAAGAAAGAGAAGGTTTGCATGGCTTCTGTAACTCTAGCAAATACCCACAGCAAGGATCTGGAGATGCAAACATGAATCAGACAGGGCTATGCTCCAGGGACTCATGGACAGTGAGAGAGGAAGACCTAAACTCAGCCCTGCAGTAGAGGGTGGTAAATGCTGGCCTAGTGGGGATGGGAAGAGGCACAAGGCTTGTCTTGCAAACCAGAGGGAAGTGAAGCCTCCCTGGGCATTAGCCAAGCAAAAGCTGAAAGAATTACTCTTACTTAACCGAATCACACCTTAAATACTCGATTTACATTATTCCTTCATCTGATCCTCACAACCATCCTGGGGAGGTGGTTTAGTCACATTCCATAGAGGAGGAAGAGGAGATACAGAGATGTTAAGGATGTGACCTATAGTCACAGCAGTGGAGGCCAAGATGGCAATTAATCCTAACAGGCATGGCCTCACCCAGTCCTTACAGGACAGCCCTGTAAAATAAGTGTGACTGCTACTTCCCTTTATAGATGCACAAAGTGAGGCTCAACCTGGTTAAGCAACTTGCTCAAGAGTAAGCTAGCACTTCCTAAGTGCTAAAGTAGGGTATATTCATTTCGTATTGGCACTGTAACAGAGCACTATAAACCTTGTGGTTTAAAAATAGCACAAATGCATTTTCTCAAAGTCCAGGAAGGTCAGAAGTCTAAAATGGGTTGGCAGGGCTGATTCCTTCTGAAGGCTCTAGGGGAGAATTTATTCCCTTTCCTCTTCCAGCTTTTAGAGGCTGCCTGCATTCCTTGGCTCATGGCCCCTTCCTCTATCTTCAAAGCTGGCAGCATAGCATCTTCAGCTCTCTCATCTCTCTCCGACCTCTGCTTCCGTTGCTCCATCTCCATCTTTTACTCTGACTCTCCTGCACCTCCTCTTTCCCTCATAAGGACCCAGGTGATTTGACAGGACACACCCAAATAATTCAAGACAATCTCCTAGCTCAGTATTCTTTTTTTCTTATTACAATTTTTAATTTTTTTTCTTATTTCCATAGTTTTTTTGGGAACAGGTGGTGTTTGGTTACAAGAGTAAGTTCATTAGTGTTGATTTGTGAGATTTTGGTGCACCCATCACCCGAGCAGTATTCACTGAACCCAATTTGTAGTCTTTTATCCCTCACCTCCCTCCCACCCTTTCCCTCTGAGTCCCCAAAGTCTATTGTGTCATTCTTATGCCTTTGCTTCCTTGTAGCTTAGCTCCCACTTATGAGTGAGAACATATGATGTTTGGTTTTCCATTCCTGAGTTACTTCACTTAGAATAATAGTCTCCAACTCCATCCAGGTTGCTGCAAATGCCATTATTTCATTCTTTTTTATGGCTGAGTAGTATTCCATCATATCTATCTGTCTATCTATCTATCTATCTATCTATCACAATTTTTTTTTTGAGATGGCATTTCCCTCTTGTCACCCAGGCTGGAGTACAGTGGT
This sequence comes from Homo sapiens, assembly GCF_000001405.40. Classification (NCBI taxonomy): domain Eukaryota; kingdom Metazoa; phylum Chordata; class Mammalia; order Primates; family Hominidae; genus Homo; species Homo sapiens. Next base: position 25,009,856 of record NC_000018.10, on the reverse strand, counting down.
GTGATCTCAGCTCACTGCAAACTCCACCTCCCAGGTTCAAGCAATTATCCTGCCTCAGCCTCCCGAGTAGTTGGGATTACAGGTGCCTGCCACCATGCCTGGCTAATTTTTTTTGTATTTTTAGTAGAGACAGTGTTTCACCATGTTGGCCAGGCTGATTTTGAACTCCTGACCTTAAGTCATCCACACGCCTTGGCCTCCCAAAGTGCTAGGATTACAGGTGTGAGCCACCATGCCCAGGCAACAATTTCTTTATCCACTCATTGATTGATGGTTTTTGGGGCCATTTCCATATTTTTGCAATTGCAAATTGTGTTGCTATAAACATGTGTGTGCAAGTATCTTTGTTGTATAATAACTTCTTTTCCTCTGGATAGATACCCAGTAGTGGGACTGCTGGATCAAATGGTAGTCGTACTTTTAGTGCTTTAAGGAATCTCCACACTGTTTTCCATAGTGGTTGTACTAGTTTGCATTCCCACCAGCCGTGTAAAAGTGTTCCCTTTTCACTGCATCCACACTAACATCTATTATTTTTTAATTTTTTGACTATGGCCATTCCTGCAGGAGTAAGGTGGTAGTGCATTGTGGTTTTGATCTGCATTTCCCTGATCGTTACTGATGCTGAGCATTTATTCATATGTTGGCCATTTGTATATCTTCTTGTGAGAATTGTCTATTCATGTCCTTGCTCAGTATTCTTAACCTAATCACTTCTGCAAAGTTCCTTTTGCTATTTAGGTTAGCATATTTGCAGGCTCTAGAAATTAGGATGTGCTCCTGTGTGTGTGTACGTGTGTATGCATGTGTTTGGCAGTGGAGGCGGGGGGGGATTATTCTGCCTACTATACAGGGACAAACCCAAACAAATGCAGGTCTGACTCTAAATCTTTTTATTCCTGGATGATACTCCTTGACCCTTTTTCTAACACACACACACACACACACACGCACGTGCGTGCACACACACACACACATACACACATTTAGAAATAAAATCTTTTGACTTCTGCAAAATGGAATCTTTCCTCTTTCTACTATTAGATTCTTTCAGACAAAAATGTTATTGTCTGAGTTGTTGGAATAATTGTCCTATGCCCCTCTTCATCAACAACCTGGGCACATAGGAGTTCTGAAAACTGAACGTTCTTGAGAAGGAGCTGGACCTAACACATAATCAGCCCACACACAAACATGAATACATCCTAAACTCTAGAACCTGGGACTATGTTACCCTCCATGGCAAAATGAACTTTGCAGATATGATTAAGCAAAGAACATTGGAATAGGAGATTATTTTAAATTATCTGGGTGGACTCTATCAAAATCTAAAACAGCTTTGAGGGCCTTAAAAGGGGATGGCTTACCCCTTGGTAATCATTATAGTAAAAACATGTACATTCCTATTGCTTCTTATCTGGTGCCGCTTGGACCCAATCTTTTCATTAATACCCCAGAGAGTCTCTTCTTGTATCTCCTGTAAGTTCAGAAACAGCATCTGCCACACCTGGGTTATTTTTATAGGATCTTGACTGAATAACATCTGTAATTTTTCTGAAGTTGAGGGGAGGAGAGGCTGGAGACAAAAAACCTACCTTCTGACACTGTCGAACCTTCTCAGTTCGCTGAGAACAGAGATTCGCTGAGAAGCCAAATCTCACTTGAATAAAGGCAAAAGGAACAATTTTGCCCTCTGCCAAAAAAAAAAGAGTTATAATATTTATAAGAATGTTAAATACATTTTCCATGAGTGTCAGTAATACATTCTTGGAGTCTCATAATGCAGGCCTTGAACGAGTGGATTTAGATGAGAATACTTTAGACAACATTAAAAGTAACTTGAGTTTAATTTAGTACATGGGTAATGTAACACTCAACAGCAGCCATGGTACCAAGGATGATTAAATATAGTGTGTGTGTTAACTGAAGTGGTCTCACATATACTATATTATAGTCTATTAAGTTTCTGCTTTTCATACTTAGTTTCTTTTGAGATGCCTAAAATGAGGTAGGTGAGTGTTTGTGCTTGGCCTGCAGTTGGTCCTTGGCCAATGTTAAATGGTGGTAATATTCAGGTGAACAGAGGGTTAACAAGCTCTCTAATTTCTGAGTAGGTTCATCTGAACCAAAAGTAGAGTTGACTATTTAAAGGATCAGACAAGCGAGCACAGTGAGTACCACCGTGGAGGCACCCTGGCCACAAGAGTGTACAAAATGTCTCCATGGATGATGGAGAACTCACTGGGCCTGGGTATGCAACCTTGGGAAGGTCCACATAAGAAACTGAGTTTCTGGGTTGAGCTCAGTGGCTCACACTTAGAATCCCAGCACTTTGGGAGGCCAAGGCAGAGGATTGCTTGATCCCAGGAGTTCGAGACCAGCCTGGGCAACATAGAGTGACCCTGTCTCTACAAGAAATACACAAATAGTTAGCTGGGGTGGTGGTGTGCACCTGTGGTCCCGGCTACTTGGAAGTCTGAGGTGGGAAAATCACTAGAGCCTGGAAGGTCGAGGCTGCAGTTTTTCAGCCTTGAGGTTACTGCATGAGCAAATTCTACCTGTCTCTGAAGCCATCATTCATATTCTACCTCTTCCAGATGATGGTTTTTGATCCTAGAAAACTAGTCTTCTCTTCCACTTCTGGATTCTCATAGCACTCTATCTGGTGGCTGTCCGAAGTCCTCTGGCTGGGCTGCCATAACAAAGTACCATACACTGAGTGGCTTAAATAACAGAAATTAATTTTCTCACAGTTCTGGAGGCTGGAAGTCTGAGATAAGTTTTTGATAGGGTTGGTTTCTTCTGAGGCCTCTCTCCTTGGCTTATAGATGGCTGCCTTCTCCCTGTGTCTTCCTAGGGTCTTCTCTCTGTGCCTGTTTCCAAATTCTTTTGATTATAAGGACACCAGTCCTGTAGGATTAGGGCCCACCCTAATAACCCCATTTGGACTTAATTATCCCTTTAAAGGCCCTGTCTCCAAATATAGCCACATTTTGAGGTACGAGGGGTTAGGATTTCAACTTACTAATTTTGTGGGGGACACAATTTATGTTCTTATCTTCTCTGCTTCTTCTTTGGCACTTCTTCTCTCCTTCAACTTTATTGTATAGTTGTTTATTTGCCTGTTGTTTCTCCTCTATTAGATGGCAAGCAATGAAGGGAAGGAAGAGAAGGAAGGCAGAGGCTAGACCACATCAGTAAAACACATGATTCACAGGTTAAACAATCATGCAACTGAACAAAAATAAAGACCAATGAACTATAAAATGGGAGATATGGAAATGTACATAACCAAGGAAAAGTCTTCAAACTTATCAGCGCTATCCAACTGGAAAAAAAAAAAAAAAGTTGGCCAGGGCAGATGAACACTTTCTTAGAGAGTGTTATTAACAGAGCTAAAGGGAGTGGGCTTTTGTCTGATTCTGGGTGGCATGTTTATGTCAGAATAGATGTGGTCTATTTTTCCTGGAACAGTCACCCAAAGAAGGTGTTCAGTAATCAGAACACTGTTCCCCGAGCTCTCCAACACCTCTCTGGCTTCCTGTCTTTGTTCTGTTCTCTCTAGAGGCCCTGTGCAAAGCAGGACTTTTTGTTGCTTTATCCAACTGTGCAGTCCTGTGATGTGGGCCTCTCGAAGTCACCCTGCTCAACTGGGCAGTGTTTCAAGGGATCAGGAAGCCGTTTTCCATCCCAGGAGCCAGCCTCAAAGTTAGAAAGTTCTGTGGTTTGGTTTGGATTTCGCTCATCCCTACAGAGAACTTGCTTTGCCAATCTCTACATACATGTCAGCATAAATAGCAACAGATGTACCTTCAACATGTAAAATCTCCATAAAATATAACAAACTCTGTTTTTCCATTTGGGATGAGTCATTAACCATATGTTTGTGATACTCTTTCATTTGCAGATCTGAGGCACACATTTTACCTTGCAGGAGACCAAGAGCTATTTTTTTTTTAGGAGGTTCCTTCCTGTCTTGAGAATTGATTAAGCAATGCCTTGGTCTATTTCTATGGGTATCTTGAATCAGTGCATGGAAAATGTATGGAATTTTTTTTTTTTTTTTACATGAGCTGCATGGCGTGTCTGGGCTCTGCCCTTGGAACTATTCTTGGCCAGAATATTTCAAAACCCATTCTGGTACTCAGAGTGCTACTCATGTGACGGCTTAGTGGCTGGCCTCTTGCAATGGAATATGCTGATTTCAGGAGAGTTTGTTTGCTTTTTGATACTTCAGAGAGAGAAATGTGGCATGTGGCAAGGCTGCAAGCAGGGAATACAGAAGAGGAGTAATCAGTGGATGTCATTTTGCAGCAAGTAGGAGGGTATTTTTTTTTGTCTTATCTGAAAGTGGTGTAGAAAGTCTTTTCTGTACTTAAGTCCCTGAAAGTAAATGCTCTTGAGGAATTTAGTCTACTGTCAAAGTTAGTATTTTCTTGGAATTTGAATTTTTCTCTTCAAAAGAAGAAAACTTTTTATTATGAAAGATTTTGAAAATACACAACATAAGAAGTATAATATTATAGTATAATGAACTCCCAAATACTTATCACCCAGATTCAACAGTTAACATTTTGCCACACTTGTTATATTTATTCTATTTTTCCTTTCCTTTTCTTTCTTTCTTTAAGTACTGAAAAATTCCACTGATCTATGATTTTACCCTTATGCATCTCCAGATAAAGACCTTATCTTACAAACATCATATAATTATCACAACTAACCAAATTAGCAGTAGTTTCTTAATATCATCTAATGCTAAGTCTATATTCAAATTTCCTGGATTATCTCAAATACATTATTTTACAGTTGGTTTGTTCAAGCCCAGATCTAATCAATGTCCACATGATGTTTTTGAGTGTTTTGTCTCCTACATATTTTTAATTTTCTAATAGTCCCCTTGTCTTTATTTGGGGTTCCCCCAAAGCAGACCCTATGATAAGGACTTGAGGGCAGGCATTTTATTTGTACAGTAGTGCTAGGAAGAAAAAAATGCGGTAGTAGGAAAAGTGAGGCAGGAGAGGGTGAAAGACCAAGAAAAGATGCATTAATGAGCAGTGTATCACTGTAGGCAACTGGGGCTTAATTCTGCTGGTGATGCTCTGAGGACCTGGATACCATGCACCTCAGAGCTGTCCCACCAAAGCTGGGGAATGCAAAATCTCTGTCTACAGACTCTCACCCCTCACTCTTCACTTCTGGGCTGCCTTGCTCATGGGCTGAGTGAGCTCACTTGGTTCCACAAAAACGCCCCAGACAGAGGAGCAGAGAGACCCACGTGATATTAGTCCTTGTTGGTACCCTAAACTTGTTCCTCCCTCCCCTATATTTCCTGCACACTGGAAATCAGACTAAAGGCTCTATTAGAGTCAGTTTCAGTCTGTTTCAGCAAAAGCTTCAGAGGTGGTCTTCTTTCTCCAGATTTGATGGGGAAGTTCCTGGGTAATTTGCATCAAGGAGAATGAGCCTTACTTCCACTCAGCAGCTCCTATTGCAAAAGGCACCTTGGAGATTATCAAGTCCAGCTTCATATTTTATGGGGAAGGGAACTGGGGACCAGAGAGATCATTGGCCATTTCCCTTGCCATATACTCTTCACATCTATTTCACAGTGTTTTAAAATGTATTTAATAACATTCTGCAGTTTCTTCACTACTGTGGACATTCCACAGAAAACTTCTCCATCCAAGCTTCATCAGTGGCCTCTCTGTTGTATAAATTTTATGGACTCCTCTCAGTTCCTATTCTACCTGTTGTCTCTGCATTATTTAATAAGTATACTCTCTGTCTTAAAATACTTGTTTTACCTATCTTCTCTTATCACACTGTTGTAATTCATTTCCAGTCTTTCTGACTAATACCTATCAATCATACCCATTTACCTCTAGAAAATAAATATTTGCTAAGATTTGAGGGACACCCACCAGATATACTACAATTTAAAAGAAGATTCTATATCAAATTAAAAGAAGATTCCAGGAGCGAATGTACAATTTCTATACTTGTGAGAATGGTGGAGAATTAAGGGAAGTGAGCAGAGACAATTCTGTCAATTCCTGATAACGTTTTCCAATTTGGGGAGATGGAAATGGGGATTGGAGTGGGCCTCTGAAGAAATGGAACCACATTCCCAGAAGCTCATTCCCTCCCTCTGGCTCAACAGTGGGCAGCGAGCTGGTGGAATTCCTTGGAGTTCTCAGGCTCCTTGTTGTATTCCTCAAGCTTGAGAGCATGGTCTGGAGACAAGGTTAACAAGGATGAAAAGTGCGAGGCAATCTCCTAGAAAACAACATTCAACCCTGGATTGGCAGCATCAGACAATAATGATTGTGTTGAGAAAATATCTAACTGACCAAATGCAATGCCTAAGTGCTCTTGGGTATCAGAATAGCCAAAGTTCCCAGCAATCCTACTTCTGGGTACATATCCAAAAGATTTGAAATCAGGATCTCGAAAGATATCTGCATTCCTGTGTTCACTGCAGCATTATTCACAATAGCCAAGATATGGAAACAACCCAAATGTCCAATAAAAGGTGAATGGATAAATAAAATGTAGTCGATACACATAACAGAATATTATTCAGACTTAGAAAGGAAATCTTACCATTTGCAACAACATGGATGGACCTGGGGGACATTAGGCTCAGTGAAATAAGACAGTCACAGAAGGACCAATACTGCATGATTCCTCTTATAAGAGGCATCCAAAATAATCAAATGTATATAGAAGTAGGCAATAGAATGGTGGTTATCAGAGAATGGGGGAAGGAAGATATCGTAAGTTGTAGCTCCATGGAGGAAAAGTTATAGATGTTGCCTAAATTCTAGAGATTTACTGTGCAACACAGTACCTGTAGTTAGCAAGAAAGTATTATGCACTTAAAAATTTGTTAAGAGGATAGAGCTCATGTTAAGCATCCTTATCATTAAAACAAAACAAAACAATAACAACAGAGGGACACAAAGAAACTTTTATAGGTGATGGATATGTTTATTACCTGGATTGTGGTAATAGTAACATGATTGTATACACCTATGTCCAAATTCACCAAATTATATACAATAATCATGTACAGTTTTTTTGTAAACAAATTATACCACAGTAAAGCTGGAGGGAAAAATAACTGTATTAGGAAAACAAGCAAAACCCAAAGCCCCTCTTTCTTACTCCTTCCTCCAAGAACTGACCCTCAATAAAAGAGTTTCTATTTATGTCTATCAAATTCAGTGGACCAAGCTGTGTGTGATCATAGCTCCTTCTCTAACTTCCTTGGGAAAATGAATGAATAAAGTGATATTTTAATCTACAACATCTAGCTGTCCATATTAAATCCTATGGAATGAGGGTTTAGAAGATTTGGTTCTCTCTATATTGATGGCAAATTCAGAGCTACAAGTTCCTCTTTCAAAGGTGAAAATGCAAATAAAAACAGAAGCTTGAGACCTAGAAAAATTACACAATGAAAAGGGAGGAAGTGACCTCAACATATAAGAGAAAGGTAAGAAACAAAAGGCATAATTTGACATAAATTTTATACAAAAAGACATAATGAAAATATATATAACTTTATCACACTCCTATGAAGAGGAAAGGATAAATGGACTTATTAAATAAAAAACGGGAGAAGATAACAAAATGAAAAGGAAACTACTAAGGTGAGTTAAAAAAAAAAAAGCAAAGGAGAAAAATAATGTTATTATGGAACTTAAAACTACAGTAGAAGAATCAAAGCCAGAACTGACATTAAAAACTAGAATCCATAGAGAACTATCCTGGGAAAATAATCAGTCAGAATGAAGAAAGAGAGACAAAGGAAACAAAAAGATCAGTGTGAAGATAATAGCTATGGAAATCAAACAATGAAGATTCAGCACATAGTTTGTGTGCCTACAGAAGTTAGAAATGATAAACAAACACAAAAAGAGGAATATACAGGTGGCGAAGGCTCACTGTAGCCAAATGGAAAGAATTTGTCAAACCCAAAGTGTCTCTGAGCAAATGTACAGAACTTTAAGGACGAAAAGAAAAATAATCCTTTAAGTCAGAATAGCACTGCTTAAGACTACAGTCAGATTACCTGGGTACAAGCTGCATTGCTGTGATATTAAGCAGGTAGTATGTAACTTACAAGATTATAATGAAGATGAAATACAAAAATGTTTGCAAACGTACTTAGCCTGTTATTTGGCACATAATAAGTACTTGGTAAATGCCATCTATTGTCACAAACATCCAGCCAGAGAAAATATGTAACCAACAATGGGAATCATCAGGCTAGTCCAGGATTCACATTAGCAGTATAGGAGAATTTTAAAAGGAAAGCTGTGGCCAAATATCCCATAAACCGTCAGGTTGTTATTCTTGTAAAGGCAAAAGAAAGGCATACTCACAAAAGCAAGAATTTGGGAAGTATATTACCAATGAACAATTCCTGGAAAAGGTCATTTGCACAAGTTTTCTAGCAATGAGAAAGATGAATAAAAAAGAATAGGAAGTTATGGTATAAAAGGACTGTGCATGTGGATTACTTAATTAATTTGTTCTTAACCCCTAGGAGATTCTGAGGAAGACATGGACCTTCTCAGAAGAAAGTGCACTCCAGATACCTGAAAATGTACATTCTACTTGGTGTTATTCAGAAATCTATGGAAATCAATCCATGGCCTACTTTGGAATCCATAGATCACAAATCCCATTTTAAACACAAATCTAAGTTTAAATAACTATGTTCATTGTGATTATAAAACAAAAATTAAATCTTAAATTTTTGATGGAATACATATATAATAAAAATAATATTTTAAATACAATAGATATGGACAAAACCTTCAAGGAAAGCAATACACCTAAATACACACGTGCACACACATACCAGGAAGCAAGGGGGTGAGTGGCAGGAAAAAAATGCATATTTTTTCTCATTTGTTCAGGGAATAGATTAAAAGATATGGCAATGTTTGGTAGGTTTAAGCAAGTATATAAAGATATAAAAGTAACATTTAGAAAAATTGGAGAAAAAGAATACATTCTAATGGTGAGAAAAAATAAATACAGAATATTACAGATAGATTAATTAAACACGGTAACATTTTAATAATCAGTGTATCTAGGCAGTGAGTATATGGCTGTTCGTTGCATATCATTCTGTCAACTTTTCTATATATTAAATTTTTTTCACAATAAAACCATGTGTGATGAGAAAAAGAAGCAAACTATGCAGTAAAGGCTAAAGAAGAAAAATCATAAAAGCTATTCTAGAATTGCTCTAATAAAATTTAAAAACAAATCTCAAACGGAGTAAGCTGAGTAATGTAGCTGTTTCCCTCTCACAATTCAAATACTCCTTAAAATAAAACCAGTAAGTCCAAATTACTCAGAAACATAATACTCATAAGGTGTGGCATCTAATCATCTAATCAAAAATTATAAGATAGAGATGAAGCAGGAAACTGTGACCCATAATGAAGAGAAAAAATTCAATCATAGAAACGGGTATAGAAATAACAGAGCTGGTGAAATTATCAGAAAATGATGTTTAAAACCACAAGTGTAAATATGTTCAAGGATTTAAAGGAAAACATGAAGAAATAAATAGAACATATGGAAAAAACAAAATAAAAATTCTAGAAATTAAGAAATACAACATATGAAAAGAAAGTGTTACTGGAATGAAACTTACCTCAAATTATATGCTACATAATAACATATCAACGGATTTGAAAACACAGCAATGGAAATTATGCAAAATGAAATGTAGAGACGAAAAGACTGAAAAACTTGAATAAAGACTCCGTGACCTGTAGGACAGTATCAAGTAGCATAACATACATGTAATTGGGATCCCAGAAGAAAAGAAATGAGAAAAGGACAGAAAATATATTTGAAAAAATGATGGCTAATCAAGAGCATCAGTGAACAACTACAGATAATATATTTAATGGAGAAGATCAAATATTTTCCTCCTAATGTTAAGAACACAGCAAAAAATCTGTTCTTACCCCATCTATTTTACATTGTACTGAGATCCTAGCCAGAGCAATAAGGCAAGAAAAAGAAAAGTAGAACTGTGTGAAGTTCTTTGAGATGTATCCCAGCAGTGAGATTGCTGGTTCATGGGGTTTACATACACATATTTTGACCAAATGTTAACAGAATGTTCTCCAAAATGTCTGCATTAGTCTCTACTACCCCCTATTGTGGTGGAAGCTTGCCCTATCACCATACACCTGCCAGCACCTGGCATTGTCCAGTCTTCCAATTTGTCCCAATGTGAGTGTGTAACGTCTATCACTGCCATTTAAATTTGCAGTTATCAAAATATACTACATTTGAGCATATCTTCATTTACTAGTCGCCTTTTAAGGTTCATTTTCTAGAAATTTCTTAGTCAATCTAACCCTTTCTCTATTGTGTTCCTGTCTTTTTCCTGTTGGTTTTTCAAGATCTCTTTTCTTGATTCAAGGCCCTTGGTTGTTTTTGAAATTGCAAATGTCTCATGTATCTGTCAGTTTTATCCATAGTTTTCTTTGTTGAGCAATAGCCTTCATTTCACTGGTGTCAAGTTATGTCACTTTTCACTTTGTTGTTAGTACTTTCAGGATTTTGTTTAAGAAATTCTTCCTCACTCCTAGGTTACAAAGGTATTGCCCTACATGTTCTTCTGGTTTCTTTTTTTTTCAGTGTTTTGTTTATACTTAGGTTATTAATCCTCTGTATATTTGTTTATGGTGTTAGGTAGATGTTAACTTTTAGTTTTTTCATATAGTCATCCATTTTTCTGAATGGCATCTACTAATTGTCTATATTTTCCCTATATCTTTGTGATGACACCATTATAAGACATTAAATTGTGTGTCTGTCTCTGAGCTCTTCATTGTGTTCTATTGACTCTATTACTATAGAGAATGAAGCAATTTATCTTTGCTTTTCTGTTCTTTTTCAAATTTGTTTAACTTTATTACTCTGTATGGTGTGTGTTTTTTTCTTTTCTTTCTTTCTTTTTTTTTTTTTGAGACAGTCTCACTTTGTTGCCCAGGCTGGATTGCAGTGGCATGATCTCAGCTCACTGCAACCTCCCAGGTTCAAGCGATTCTCATGCCTCAGCCTCCTGAGTAGCTGGGACTACAGGTGTGCACCACCACACCCAGCTAATTTTTGTATTTTTAGTAGAGACAAGGTTTTGCCATGTTGGCCAGGCTGGTCTCGAACTCCTGACCTCAGGTGATCTGCCCACCTCAGCCTCCCAAAGTGCTCACATTACACCATGCCTGGCCTCTATATGCTTTTTAGAATACTCTTATCAGGTTCCTAAACAAATGTAGCTGGAATTTATTTCAGATTGCATTGAATTTATATAATAGCTACATAAAATTTATATACATATAAAATTTGGGAAAGAATTGACACTTTTCTACTGTTAAGTCATTCCATCCAAGAGCATGTAATGACTGTTTATTCAGGTCTTTAAAATTATGTTCTTCTATGAATTTTGAATTTTTCTCTGTAGAGGACTTAGGTATTTGCTGCAATTTGTGTATTCATTATCATTTTGTGGGGGTTTATCTTTGTTTGGTTTGCTATTAAGAAAAATAACTTTTTGTTATATTTTGTATTTGGGTATTACTGATGTAGAAAAATGCTACTGATTCTTTTAAATTGATCTCAGATCAGGCAACCCATTAGATGTAAAGTCCATGGATTCTTCTTTTTCTATGTAAGGGTCCTGTGACTTACAAATGATAACTGCCTATCTTTTCCTTTCCAGTTCTTACTCCTACGATTTTTTCTTTAATTTATTTAAAACATTGGGTAGGATCTAAAGTAGGAATAATATATGCCTATTCTGGACCAAAGTGGTTAAGAAACAGGTATATCCTCTTTGCTGTTTTTTCTCCATCTCCTGGCAGAGGATGCTGAAGCAAGGGAGAGGAGGGACAGGATGACAACATGAAAGAACCTTTGATCCTTGCATCATTGACTAGCATGCAGCCTTGTGAATATTCACTTGGACTTTTCGTGTTAAGCCACTACATTTTTAGAAGTTACCTGTTTTGGCAATTAGTGTTACCATAACTAAAACACACACACACACACACACACACACATACACTCACACACACACACAGACCTTGAAAATGGATCTTTGTACTTTGTTCTGGGCAAGAGAGCTAAACATAGAAATGTAAATTTTCTTTAAATCAATATATAATTTAAATATGATCCCAATCATCCCCAATAGTGTATCAATGGAAACATGACAGGTGTCTGTAAGTTTTATCTTTTAGTAAATATTTGAAGACAGAGATATAAAAAACTAAAAGTAGATTATTGAATAATTTTTCTTGCAATACACTGTGAAATAGGTTAATGGTATATAATAGAGAAACTGACTAATGTAAGAAAATGTGTAGTACCAGAAGATAAAGGGAGTATAGGCTAAAGGAGATTTTAATTCAATAAGGGAAAGGACTAAAGTAAACTGAGTACTTACTTTATAACTTACAACAAAATAAGCGTCAGGTGGGTTGAAGCTTTAATTTCAGTTATTAAACATGTGTTTTGTTGAACACTTACTATATGCCATGTTCCAGCTCCTAGAGATACAATAATTAACAACAACAACCAAAAACAACCTCGAAAATTCCTACCCTCAAGGAGCTTACCTTTCAGTGGTAGTAGAGAAACAGTGAAATAAATAAGCAAAATATATAGTAGGTTGAATGGTGACAAACACTATGAAGGAAAATAAAGCCATGAATAGAGTTAGTGTTTCCCCAGTAGGTAGGTGTGGGATGCAATTTAACTGGAAAGGTGACATTTGAGTGAAGACCTCAAGAGTGTGAGAGAGCATCGTTGTGCTCCCATGTCAATAACAAAAGCATAAAATGAATACAGGAAAAGCTAGGTGCCTATTTCTGAAATCTTGAAATGAGGATTTTTTTCAAAGTCTGATACTGAAGCTGGAAATCATAAAGAAAAACTGGACAAAATTTACAACATAAACATTTAATCAAACTTAAAGATGAATGACAAGCTGGGTAAAAACAGCAACAGATTGGCAAAATAAGGGGTTATATCCAGGGTACCCATATAATTTATTTTTCAGACCAAAGTACTTTGGAGAGTGAAAGGAGGTACTACTTGTACTTATGCCAGGAGACCAGGTGTAATGTAGGACTTCCCCAGATAAACTAAACTGAGTCCTTCTAAATAAGTAAGACAGATATCTCAAGAGAGAAGTGCATGCAGTTCACAAATGACCAAATGCAATGGCTATGAACATATGAAGTTATGTTAGACCTCACTAATTACAAAAGGAAAACAAAACAACAATGGAACATCATGTTTTTTGCTCATCTATTTTAAAGATACATATAGTGATAATGCCTCTGATGTTGAGGATATGTTGGTGGGATTTCAAAATGATGTAAATTTTCTTCAGGGATACTGGGCAGAATGCATTAAATTTAAAATGTCCATATTCTTTAACCCTGCACCTCCAATTACAATAATTAATTGTAAGAAAATAATTGGAAAAGTGGACAAACTGTAGTATCAAGATATCCAAAGTAGAGCTTTTAGCAATGGCAAAACAATTGGAAACATCCCAAATGGTCATCAGTAGAGATTTGTTTAAACAAATTTGAGATAGTCGTACAATAAAATACTCTGCAGCAATATTAATTAAAGTGATAGATTTTATAAAAAACACAAAACCAAAAATGTCCACATGATAAAAGTTTTATTATTTCATTAAGTCCAGAACTGAATTATCTCCAGTGTCTTTCATCTGTACTTGAAAACTAGCCAGTTCTGGCCTCAGCATCACTTTTTCTTATAAAGCCTTGCTAAAACCAGATAGTAGTAGCCATCACATACTTATACGGACTCTTGCCAACAGTTTTCTTGAGTTAACAGTCTTGGTATGTATATGGTCAGCCTTCCAAGTTATTGCAGGCAACAACTTTGCTAAATGTTTTGCCAACATATAATGAGGCACTCAGCCTTCATTTCAAAGAAAGGATACCGCTTGTTTCTTTACTTCCTGCCATTCCATCACTAGGCCAAATGACATTGATTTCAGGTTTTGCTTATGGAAGCACTCTACTTCACAATACAAATTTCTTTAAAAGTTAATGTGGTCTGCTGTTGTAAACAAAACAAAAAATGTGTAATGGCTCAAAAACCATAGAAATTTACTGTCACTCACATAACGTCCAACACAAGTGTTCCCAAATGGTGGGCAGCTCTCTTATAAGCAGTATTTCAAGGATCCACAATTTTTTTTAGCTTGTGGCTCCTTCATCTCCTAGGCTTCATCATCATCAGGAGAAAAAGAGGAAGAGAAGGTACACATACTTCTTACTCATCTCAACCCCAAAGTAACATGGTTAGCTTTTGCTCACAATTCATTGGCTAAAATTCGGTCACCAAGTCTGATCTAGTTTTTTATAAGGAATTGGGAATGTCATCTAGCTAAGTAACCAGGAAAAGGAGAAAACGGGTTTGGTGACCAATATGTTAGTCAGAGTAGGCTTACTAATGCTGCAGTAACAACTCCAACATCTCAGAGGCTTAACCAACAACATGTATTTCTTTCCCACACAAGTCTGTATGGCACTACAGGCAGGTGTCCACATGATGACTCAGCAGCACAGACCACTGGCATCTTTTGGCACCATCATCTCAATACAAAGCCTCTTCCATGATTGCTATAACAGGGAGGAGGAAACTGGAGAAATATGCCTGGTCTTTTCACTCCTTCCGCCCAGAAGCAGCATCTGTTACTTGTGCCGAGTGGTCAGTCTCTGTCACAGCCACCCCCAACATCATGATGTTTATGGAGATATATATATATTTGTCATGAATGGCCTTCAAATATTTGTTACGTGAAAATCCATAGAGTGTGAAATAACAGAAACAGCATGATACCACTTTTTAAAACTATGTACGTGCAACATAGATGAAACTCAAAGGACCTTACCCTTTGAAATTCAAATTAAATTCACTCCAACCCCATTTCACATTCTCCCTCTCTCTCCAGTTCTCTCCAGGGACTCTCTTCCTGAGGTCCAGGCCTCAGGATGGAGGGGTGGCCACTTACTGCTTTCTTCAGTGCTTCTGACCCTAAGCTTATGCAGTCGCTGAAGTAGGTCAGGGAGTAGATAATCTTGTCCTTTTTGCCATCCTGGGTTGACATCACAGGACATCACCCCAGAAGTGTGGAGTGAGACAAAGCATCTTTCCTTGATGTCTTCCAGAAAGATCACTGAAGGCATTGGAGATTTGAAAAAATAGTGAGAAGAATTACATTTCAGCTGCACATAGAAGAAAAGTCCAAATGAATGTTAGATATCCCTAAAGTGGCTCCAAATGTCCCTCTTCCATTTTTACAACTCCACCTCTGAGTATCAGCAGTTTAACCATCTCTTTGGCCTAGTTGTCTCTTGTGAATCGTGATTTTAGTGTCATACTATCTAACTTTGAGCAGTATATTAAGACAGTTTCCTAATGTTATTGTATTTATTGTATTCAGAGAAATTCTGATTTCTTAAGGTAATTAACATTATTGAGATAATATTAAATTATAGATAAATAGTTACACTTGAGTACACAGGCATTCGAAGAGAGAAAGAAAGGGGAGAGAGAGCGAGGGAGAAAGAGAGACAGAGAATGTTTCAAACCAACATGTTAATAGCAGTATCTGTAGGATTAGATTGAAAATGATTTTTCTGTCTTTTTGATTTACTGTATGTTTTTTGCTTTTTCCACGATGAGCAATAATTCTGTAGTAAGAAAAGATGAAAGCAGTAATTGCCATTAAAACACTACATTTCTTACTAGTCTGTTTCAAACACCAGAAATTTTGCTAACTCCTTGTCACCCTTCTGTTGCAGAGTCAGTCTTGCCAATGATTGAATCACATAAACTAATAGGTTTTACTGAGATGGTGGAGCATTACTCGCTTCCGGTCTCTGGCATTCAGTGGGGAAGTGCACACGTGAATGGGAGAAAGGCAAGGTTAGCATCCTCTTTTGTTTCGCTCTGTCACACTACCCTTTAGGCCAGATCACATGGCACTAGGATCTGTATTCCCCAGGGAAACCGTCTCCTGAATTTAAAGTCAGAGCGGAGAAGAGGGCAAAGGTGATAAGAAGCAGAGCTGAAATTTTTAATAGGAAATACCTCATGGAGCCTACAGAGGAAAAGAGAGAGAGAAGATTGTGTATTTTAAGGTTGTTTGCAAATCAAGCAATTTCCCTTCTAATTCTACGTAATAATTACATATTTTTGAGGAAAAGAAATTCTAGAATATTTCTCAGGGAGTTTGAAATAGACAATCAGGTAGTTGTTTACTTAAAAGGTAATTACTTGCTTTAGCTCAGTTGAGTGAATCCTGTGTTTGCAAGCTCTAAGGTGGGGTAAGATAAGAGTGCAATAGATTTGTTCATTCAAAGGATATGTATTGAATACATGCTCTATTCAGAGGTCTGATATTTACATTAATAAATAGTGGGTCATGGAGGCTAAGCAATATCCATATGGGATGAATGCATTCAGAAGCCTGGCCAAGAAAACATCCCTGAACCAAATAAGAATATGTGGTTATTAAGCATTTAATAAGTATTAAGTAATAAACACACGAAAGAGGTCAAATAATGGTGTAAGGGGTGGGGGCTTTTGAAGGCCTATGGCAAGGTATCCCAAAGCATTAAATATATGAGCCCACTGCTATCCTCCATCATCTCTGTCCCTGTCATCTGATGACTGATTTGTGAGACTATAATTCAAGAATTTGTGTAAGGAAGGTGCACAGATGTTTATAGCCCCATATGTCAGTGCTTCTCCTCTGAATTTTCCACAACACGCTCACTGAATTCACCCTGAGCCTATCAGCCTTCCAGGTTCCTTGGGCTCTCAAGTAAAGATGAGTGCTAATTACTCACCGTGAAGTTGAAGAAACAATCAGCTGAATCCTTCTGACACTGAGTAGTGGTCTATTTCATAAGCATGCAAGAAAGTGTTTTAGAACAACTTGCCTGCTCTAGTCAGGATAGGCTATCTCCCACCCCAAAACTCAGTGGCTCATAACAGTAAACATTTATTTTTCACTCAAACTCTGCTGTGGGTTTGGGCAACTCTCCAAGACACTGCTACTCTCCATGCGGTGACTCAGTGATCCAGGCTGCTTTGATCCTCTTGCTCCGCCATCTCAACATGAGTCCTCCATGATCACCACAGCAGGGAAGCAAGTGCTTGGAGAATTCTGCCTACTTTTATGTGCTTTGGCCCAGAAGTGTTGCATGTTCCAGTTGCAGTCCATTGGCCAGAAAACATCATATGCCTCAGTCTAATGAGAGTATAAGAAAAGTAGGTATGCCCACAAAGTATTTTGGAACTTTATTATCTCTGATCTTTATTTGCCTTTTCTTTATTTTTCTGAAGGAGAGATTTAATTGAGTTTGCATAGGTGCATTCAGTGTGGAGCACCTGAATTGGGCAGGATTCCTCTTGGCATCTCCAAGGTGGCCAAGTTTCCTGTGCTGGGTACATATACGATTGCTTTGTGCTCATCCAGCATCTCTAGCTTTGCCTCCCCAAAACAATGTACCCAAGCAACTAACATAAAAAAAATCAATTGGGGCCATTTTTCTTTTTTAAAAATCCCTGAGGCTTCATAGATTTTCCCCTGTGGTGTATCCATCACACACAGTCTGTTACCATGACCAAAGGTCCACAGCCCAGGTCTATATCGAAAACTAGTGTCTAATGTAGGAATGTCCTCTCCTCACCAAACAATTATTGAATCATTGTCATGTGCCAGACTGGGAATATAATGGGATTTCTATCTTCAAACACTTTTTGGTTAGTAGGAAACATAGATCAATGAATTATTCTAGCTCCTCACATAGTGAAGAATATGAGGTATGCTAAAAGACAGCTGGGAAGGGTAATCTAAGTCTGCTTAGGAAATCCAGGAAAGCTTCCAAGAGACAGTGACATTTGAACCAGATGAGAAAGCTGGGGAATGTGAAGAGCAGTGAAAAGAAACCAATAGCAGATCCTCAGTCTTCCCAGAACTAAAATGCAGGAGGTTGCAGGAGGTGAGAAGGAGGCTGGAGAAGTAGGTGCAGCCCTAACAGGAAGGTCCCTCTGCCATTTCCCAAACAAAACTTTTCTGCACCCATTTCTAATTTGACCGTAAGATGTGGAAATGAGAAGCCACTCAGGAATTCAGGAACTCATGGGCTCACTTCCTCCCAAATGTTGGGATCTCCTTAACGTAGCCCTGAGATCAGAAACCCCAAGGAACAGGGAAAAGCTCATTTGCTTCCTCTGCTCTGGAGCCAGCTGGCAAAGAAGCGAGCAAATAAAATCGATGCAGTACATCTTGTGGCGGGTCATCCAGACACCCGCACGTAGCTGGTTACATTTGTGTCCCTGACTATCTTCATGGCTCACAGTGTCTACTTCACCACCACCGATCTCACTCCCGGTCCCTGACCCAGGAGGGGAGCGCAGCAGCCGGCAACCTGCCAGCCTTCTCACCTCTACGTTCTCCTAGACTTCATAACCCCATTCGCTCCCAAGTCTCCCCAGCCAGGGTTTTCAGGGCTTGGCAAGAACATAGAATTAAATACGTGGCAGATGTGCTCAGGGTCAAGGGGCTTTCATTCTTTTGCTGATTTGCAGTTTCTCTGACAGTCTAACTCCGTCCAGGCCTCTCTGATTATTTCCTATCCCATCACACTGTGAGGTCTGGAGGTCTGTGAATTTAGCTTTGAGCATATGACCAAATCTAGCCAGACAGTGTCAGGGACCCAAGAGCCAGTCTACAAAAGAGATATAATAAAATATCAGTGGCTGGTGACGGGAGAAACCAGTCACGAGAGAGTTTATCTCGGGAGGTGACAGACAATGATAGGTGTTGCAAAGTCTTAATGTCCAACCAGTATCTTGGCGGTTGAAGTTCAGCTCGCCTAGGGTAAGAGGACATTATCAACCTTTGCTCATCCTCTGAGGAATAGATGTGTCTGTTACCAATCCAGGGGGCCCAGGACACCATAGTAATAAATGTTATGCAACCTAGCAACAATGACTGTGACCCAGCAATGAATTGTTTGGGGAACAGGTCATATCAGAGTGACTTTTAAATAACTGTTCCCTTACAACCTCCTGTTTTTCAACTGGGCAACCATTCCCGGCGTTAATGCCACTCTTTGTCCCTTAAGGCGGTATAAATTTAGTTTTTTGTGTGTCTGGAAAAGCACATGCTTTCTGGCCAGACTTGGAGCACATCATCAATTTTAACATGATGGAAAAGGACTGGGATGTTTGTGTTCAGTCATTCTGCATAAAGGAGAATGAGGTCTTGGAACTGTCACTATCTTTAGAATCCACTTCTCAGCTCCTTTCCTGAGATGGCAGAGACAATGGCAGTAGCAGGAAATGATGCGCCCATGTAATATACTGGTCTGTATTATAGATTTAGAATGGAAAAAAAATAGAATGCCAAAGAGTTATTGTTTTTCTATTCTATTGGGCAAGAAACACTTCGTAACAAGGCAACTGCTGGCTGTTGTTAATGAAGGGGGATTTCCGTCTGTGGTAGGCTAAATAAAGGTCCCCAAAGATGTTCACATCTTTATGCCTGAAGCCTATGAATGTCACCTCATATGGCAGGAGGGACTTGGCAGATGTGATTAAATCAAGGAGTTCAAGATGGAAAGATTATCCTCATTATCGGAATGGGCCCTAATGCCATTGCAAGTGTCCTTATAAGAGAGAGCAGAGGGAGATTTGATTCCGGAAGAAGAGAAGGCAATGTGACCCCAGAGACAAAGCCTGGAGTAGATGTAGCCACAAGCCAAGAAGCTGGAAGAGGCAAGGAACGTGTTCTCCCCCTAGGGGCTCTGGAAAGAACCAATCCTGCTGACACCTTGACTTGAACCTGGTAAGACTGAGTTCCTCTATCTGGCCTCCAGAACTGCAAGAGAACACATTTGTGTTGTTTTAAGCCACTTAGGTCATGGTAAGTTGTAGGAGAAGCCTTAGGAAATGAGTACACCAGTGGGTTACGTTCAAAGGGAAGCCTCAGCTATGTGGTTACATTCTATAGCTCTTTCTTTCTTTCTTCCTTCCTTTCTTTCTTTCTCTTTCTTCCTTTCTTTCTTTCTTTCTTTCTTTTTCTTTTCTTTCTTTCTTTTGTTCATTTGTTCTTTCTTTCTCTCTTTCTTTCATTTTATTTCTTTCATCTCTTTCTCTCTTTTCTCTTCTCTTCTTCTCTTCTTTCTCTTCTCTTCTTTTTTCTTTATTTTTTTGAGACAGGGTATCACTCTGTTGCCTAGGCTGGAGTACAGTGGCATAATCATGGCTCACTATAGCCTCAACATCTGGGGATCAAATGATCCTCCTGCCTCAGCCTCCCAGGCAGCTGGGACCACAGTTGCATGCCACCACACCCAGCTAATTTTTCTGATAGAGGTGCAGTCTCACTATGTTGTCCAGGCTGGTCTTGAACTCCTGGTCTCAAACGATATTCCTGCCTCGACCTCCCAAAGTGCTGGGATCACAGGCATGTGCCACCACACACAGCGTGGTTTTTAAAATGGGATATATATAAAAATGGATATATATATGTGTGTATATATATATAAAAATGGATATATATGTATGTATTTAATACGGAGTCTTGCTCTGTCAACCAGGCTGAAGTGCAGTGGTGCATTTTTGGCTCACTGCAATCTCTGTCTCCTGGGTTCTCCTGGGTTCAAGTGATTCTCGGGCCTCAGCCTCCCAAGTAGCTGGGATTACAGACATATACCACCACGCCTGGCTAATTTTTGTATTTTTAGTAGAGACCAGGTTTTGCCATGTTGGCCAGGCTGTTCTTGAACTCCTGACCACAAATGATCCACCCGCCTTGGCCTCCCAAAGTGCTAGGATTACAGGCATGAGCCACTGTGCCTGGCTTGGTCTTATATATTTTTAAATGAAGTGGTTGTGTGGGTAGTTACCTGTCGGATTTGCACCATTATAAAAACAAATACAAACTACTTGGCTCATTTGCAACAAAGTTTGTGCAAGAACTGTGGCAAGTGAGCCTCCTGAAGTTCAGGAACTGCAAGAGAGAAGGGTTCCTGTGAGAGCCACTCCCAGAGGTCTTGGCCAATCAGGATGGCTTCAGCAGTGAGCAAGTGCTGAGCTGAATTCAGGGGCCTCTGGAGATCAGTGCTGCTGGGCGTGGAGCAACTTACAGTGCCCCACACAGCCACCCTGAGGCCAAACAGGATGCCCCCTTTTCCTGCTTCCACACATATTCCTTAGACTTCTCCTTTTTTGTGATATTTTTCATTTTCAACTCAAACCTGCCCTCAAAATCGCTTAAATCTGATTGTGTCTTTGTAAACATGTAGGGAGTGAAGACACACCATGTGATTCGCCTCGGGCCCCACACACCCTAGGGATCATTCTTGGATCCTCTATGCTTGGACGGGACACAATTGTTTTAGTTACGTAGGACCAGGAGAATTTGCAAAGTTATCAACAAGAGCATAGGGTCAGAGAGGAAGAGTGAAGCAGAGACAGTGAACTTTAGAAGCATAATCTCATTTAATCTTTCCAATATCCAGAAATTGAGGATTTCTTAAATTCACATATACACTGAGGACCAGGAAGACTTGTTATTAAAGTTACCCATGTAAGTGGCAAAGCTGGGCTCCAAATCCAGGCTGGGTTGATTCCAAGGCTCTTGTTTTTCACTGCGCAATTCTGAAGGCAGCACAGGTTCCTGAACAAAGTGTTCTGGGCATTCCAAACTTTCAACTGTCACCAAAAAGCCCAGCAAAAATGGGGGGAAATCCTTCAGGGAACTATTCTCAAGTGAGCCACAGGAAGAGTCCTGTTTTGAGGGCAAGGCTTTTCTTGAAAACTACACTCTCTATGCAGCTCATTCCTGAAGAAGGGCTTTGGCATGTGGAGATTATGCCCTCTTGCTAGGGTACTGGAAGGGATCCATGTGGTATTGTCCCAGCAATAACTCTGCCACAGAGATATGCGATCTCCAGCAGCTGTCGGCAGGCTTCACTCCCATTCCATCCTCCTTCCTGCATCCAGTAGTCTCCCAGCCCCGCCTCACCCTCCCACTGCTCCAGAAGAATGACAGAACTCAGAGCTGCAAGAGAAAGAAGACTGAATTCAGTCTCTCTTGCAGAAAAATTGTTTTCCGTCAAGTTGATAATAATGATCACACTGAGAATGAATGACTCAAGATGAATATCCAAAGATATATCAAAACCTGGTCAGCAGTCGTGGGGAAAGGAAGAAAGCCTGAGTTGAGTTTATGAAAGTTTTCCACTAAAGTCAGCAACAGCTTAAATTCAAACCAGGCACAAGACGCTTGAATCTCCATATGAGTTGTTCATCAAAGGGCTGAAAGAAAAGAAATCTGAGCCCGAGCACGGTCTGGCCTAAAAGCTTTCAAGTGACTCCTTTCTGGTAAGGAAACTATTTCCTTTGTCTGTACATGTTCAGGAAAACTGCCTTTTTGGAGCCTGGTTCATTCTCAATTCAGGTCACAGTTATTTTCACCAGTTAAAAGAAAAAATCCTAAGCATGGAAATGTCTGCTGTTCACCATACTCACACTCACAGATGCACACACACACACACACACACAGTTATAAATACACAGATCGTGTTTATTCATACTGGAATACTATATGACTTACATGTTTATTCTAGGCTGATTTCAACTGGGGTGAAGCAGCTAGCACTCTGGTATTCAGGTTATCTATGACTCTGTTTGCTAGAAATCAGGGAAGTCATGTACCATGATATTGCCAACACGCCTTTAATAAAAAAAAGCAAGCTCAGAGCTTAAATCCAGACTTCTTTGCTAAGGAAAGTAGGCTATTTAGACAGGATTGCATTGATTAAAAGTGAGGAGGAATAGCCAAACTCCACAAGGAAATGAATCTTCGTGGCTACCCCATCTCGGGCTTCCTTTCTTTCAGCACTTGGTTTAGACAAATGGCTCTGGAGTTCGCAGGGTTTGTTCACAGTCAGTTGAGAGGGATCTCCCCTCTGCTCACTTGATTTTCAGCTTGCAAACCCTTACACAGCATTCAGATGGAACAGTAGCTGGGAGATCATGAGGGTCTTCCGGTGTGTTTCTTAACAGTGTGCCTTAACATTATTTTCTCTTCTGGCTTTTGTTTCCTTTTTTTCCTGTTTCATTTTTTCTTTTATTTTTTTTCTCTGTAGTCTAATGGGATTCTTAGAAATTAGAGCTGAAAGAATCTCTTTAAGCTTGTCTCCCTTATCCCTTTTCAGGGCACAGTTTTTAACCTAGGGTTACATTTCCATTTTTCCATCAAGGCCCCTTCTAAATGCCTCTAACTGTGGGGCTCCCACCACTTCCCTTGGGAGACTATCCCCTGACCTCACAGACTTGGCTGTAAGGAAGATTTTTTGAGAACCCATCCACCAACTCTTCTTTCCTTGCTTCATGCTACTCCTCCAGGCTGCCTCTCCTGAAGGTGGATTTGGGTTTCTGCATCCACTGCACTCCCTGCAGGAGGCACAGATTTGATATCTACACAGAGCAATGGCTATTTTTACAGGGTTCTTTTTTGGGGGAAATGTGAGTCTGCTTCTAGATAATCTGTCAGTGGACCGAGATTATAACACACCCAATTCAGGAGACTTTTACATTTACATTTGGTGTGGGGTGAAGCAATAGATGAAATGAAATCTGAATTTTGCCTATTAGCTTGTCTTACTTGCATTAACTAGTTAGTGGAAAATAAGTCATGTTGATAGTACCCTTTTCTGTTTATTAACAAGATGATTGGATTTCTCACAAGGCTGACAGGGTGTTTCTGTCCATTTTTAGAAACTAGTCCAAATAGTACTGGGGGAAAGAAGAAAGTGTTTCCCCCTAGTCCATAGAATTTCTCGGCAGAGACGACCCCAAATCACGCCCTTTGTAGACATGTTAGAATGTTCTGGCTGATGGCCTGCTCACACACCACCAAACCACTGGTGGAATTTGGTTCCCTGTCAGCCTTTCTCCATGAAACTTGAGACTCAGGAAACATTCAAACAGATCCTGAAGTTTTAGAATCATAAAAGCTGCCCCAAAATGAATTAATAATAAATATTTTAAAAGATTTATGACTATTTCTGAAACCTTAAGTAAGACAGGAACCAAGTCGGGATTTGCCCAGAGTGCAACAAATTGTCTTTTAACCCTAGTTGGGAAGAGAACAGCCATTCTTGGAAAACTTAGAGATCTGCCTGATTACAAATTTACAATTTCCTTCCTTATGGCACTGTGGAAAAAATACGTTAATGAATAAAAGCATGTGCAGCTTCCTTTATTTCTGTCACACAATGCATGTCAGTTGTGTAACTATTGCCTACCTTTTAGGGGGTCTCCTTGGGGTAATTGCCAGAAACCTAATGAAGTTTCAGGAGCCCAGAAAATTTCCCAGCTGAGTGGAAATGTTGTTTCAGGGGAAACAGTTTAACACAGCAGAATTGTCTTCTCTTATAAGCCAACACCCTTCCCTTCTTTTCCCTTCTTTGCCCAATGTCTCAGTTTTACACATTTTGCTTTAGCAGTTACTCTCATTTTGAAAACATCCCTTTCTCCAATGCTAGGCCCTGACCTACCCAGGTGGGGAAAAATTTTTGCTTTTAAATATCTTGTTACACCAACAGTTCTTTCCCCGCCTAGCTATAATTTTCATCTTCAAACTCATTTTGGGCATAGGAGTGAATTCCTAGTAAAGGTCCCCAAACACCTAGAGGTCCTGAAGGTGGTAATGGGAGTCTATATATTTTACATATTTCAAAAAGCCTAATGGAAATCACATATTTACTCAGAATAAGGCTGCAGAAAAGATCGGTACAAGTTCTTTGATTTGGTTAGAAATATAGCACGTCCATGTGTTAACGACGGATAATTTGTGTGGATGGGAAAGATGTCGATGTCAGCACAGGGACTCTGGGGTATGACCAGTAAATCTCAAGCTGTTCTTAGAGCCCCCCCATCAACTTTGGTAGATAAAAGCCTTTGGAACAAATAGTGTGAGGTGGGGAAGGGGGTGCAATTTCTAGAAGGGAGTTTGAAGCTGAGAAGGTCAAGAATCATTGCTCTGTAATGTTCCTTAAGTGACCCTGTGGTCCTATAGGGCCAGTGCCTTTACTTTTGATGGCTTTCCAGAAGGAAGGGAGGTTCTAGGAGGAATCCAGTGACCCAAGGATTGTTAGAGCATCTTATCTGACTTCTTCCTTGCATTTCTTCTTCTGATAGAGCAGCAATGTGTTGCAGATTCCAGGAGATTGCAGGTTCCCATTCCTGCTCATCGCGGGCTGCATCAGTGCCTTGTTTTCTCTTTCTAGGAAATTAAAGGAGGTGACACCATCTATTTCTTCATTCCCTGCAGAAGAGGGTGAATAAACCAGATATTATCAATGTTCAAATTCCTTGGAGTAGGATACTTTGTAAATACAAGTTGTTATGATCTTATTAGTCCAAGAAAAGCAAGAATACAAAGACCGATACAGTCTAAATGGGGCCCTATATATTTTTATATACAGGTAAAGAAATATATGTGTATAAATATATACTTATGTATATTTTATACATATGTGTACATCTTACATGTGTATGTATACACACATTGTTTTTCCATTTTTGGTCTGATTTATTAATAATTAGTGTTCCACTAGAAAATGAGTTTTATGTGAATCATGCACACACTGCTGAAATTGTTTCAATGGCAGATCATATTTTACCGTTGGGGTTTCATAAGTCACTGCGGAGCACAACACCATATCCATATTCATATTTCAGATCTGTCAAGACACCCGGATAGTTCATCTGATCACATGGATTTCTATTCCAGGCCTTGAGAGACAAGAAATCCGGTCATCACAGAGAGCCTGGGCAATTAAACTGAATCAGTGCTCCGGGTCTCAGCGGATGTCTTCTGGGTTACCATGGGGGACATGGGTTGGTATGAGGTTTAATCAGGCACTAACAGCACCTTGCTGGGAACTTCATGGTTGATAAAGGCAGCCGCATCAGACCAAGTAGCTCCTACTTTTTAAAGAGAAAGCAGCCTCTTTTGAAATGTAAAAAAGGCAGGCTTTGTTGCAGCATGCAGTATGAAGAGAATCTGAGAGGAGTTGCAGTTGTTTCTTTCATAGGCCCTAGCATTCTTTCTGGGTCTCGATAATAAAGTGAAAGGCACCCCTAAGGCTAAATTTTTAAAGGGCCCTCTATGAACCCCAAGCTGGCCAGCCCTGTGGGCCCCATTGCTGGTCCACTATTATGTAGGATTTCGCTATTACACTTGTCATTGTCATGCTGCTTTGTGAATGACATTGGTCACAACCAGGTTCTTGTGCCATTTTGAATAGCTGGATCCATGTGCAAAAAAAAAAAAAAAAAAAAAAATGAGGGAGAGAGGGAGAGAGAAATACCATCCAAATAGGGCCCAAGTATGTGTGAACGGGAGCCTCTTCTGAGGTCTAATTGCACTTGTCTCTGAGGAGGAGAAATGATCTTGAAGGAGTTATTCTTTGCCCTGGAATTTCATTTTGCAGTAACTCTTTTCAGGCAGTTTTTAGTCTCAATGAACGTGGGAGGTGTGGTTGATAGTCCTATTAAAAGAAGTCTTTAATTTGTCTATATGTAGACTGACTATGTAATTTCTCATTAAAATCAGGACACTTTAGTGAAAGGGGGTATTAGTCATAATCACTCAGAGACAACAGGCATAAACCAGGGTTATTCCAGGCACATGGTGACTCAACAGGCAGGCTGGCTTTACAGCTTCTAACAGCAGAACCCAGGCTTCCTCACAGAGGACCCCTGCCCTAAACTCGGAGGCAGGTCTTGGAGAGTCACAGGCTAAGACAGTCCACTTAGCAAAATCACAGGAACCCCAAGTATGCAGATGAAGAATATATAATTTAAATAAAATAAAGAGACAAAATGTTGCTTCATTCACAACTGGATATCTCTGTATTCTTTTCTAGAGTTACAGAATGCTAGTGGCATCTTCTTTACTATTATTTATCCCCTCTTTCCTCTTTTTCTTTTTCCTCATCTCTCTTTTCAAGCTCTGAGACACTCAGCAGTGCCTGTGTCTCTTGGTGGCCACAGCAATCGGGGTTTACAAGTGTGGTCCTTCCCCATCCCCAACATCCTTCACTTCTGCAGCTGCCAGTGGCCTTCAGAAAGACACATTGAATCCCTTGTAGCTATCGGATGGGAGCCTCAGCGCTTGCCTTTCTCATCTGATTCTTCTAGAGCTACTGAGTCACAGCATCAGTGCTGGGATGCTTGATGACAAAAGTCACTGCACCCCTGCCAACCACCCTGAAGCCTCGGAGGAAATTTTCTTGAAGATAGTGAGGGTCAGGGAGCAGGAAGGGGGTGAAATCAACCCCAGAACTCCCGTCACCCACTTGCCACCACTTCCACGACTCTATCCTTCCCAGCACTTGCCGGGAGCCTTGCCCCAGAAAAGAGAAAGGTACCAAAATCTCTTCTCAAAAGCACCCAGATACTGCCACAGGGTTTGTGTTATTTTCCCCACATTTTAATTCTATTTAGTTACTGTATTCCACTTCAAAACAGGACAAAGAGGAGGAAGAGTAAAAGAAGAAAGGGAAGGTTGAGGTGCTCCTAGGGAATAGTCTTGGGGTAAAGTAACACAGGGTGACAGCTATTTTGAGGCAAAGGAGAGAAAGAGCAGGAGGCTAGGGATATGATCAGGATAATGAAATGTTGGTGACAAAAAGGTCCAGGAATGTAGTCAAGTGTCA
The DNA here is from genome assembly GCF_000001405.40 of Homo sapiens. Lineage (NCBI taxonomy): Eukaryota > Metazoa > Chordata > Mammalia > Primates > Hominidae > Homo > Homo sapiens. The sequence continues at coordinate 24,982,008 of NC_000018.10, read as the reverse complement.
AAGGGCCCTTGAAGAAAAGAATTCCCTTTACTCGCCACAAATCTTTTTTTTTTAAGCCAGTTCTTAAAAACTGAAACAAAACTTTGTGTCTGTTGTCACAATTTCTCTCCAGCGTGAAACATGACAGTATTTAAGCCTTCATTGACACATCCGGAGTGCCCCAAAGAGAAAGGGGTTAATTGAAAAGGTTGCAAACCTTCCAGTACATGGGACTTGAAACGGATGTACATGGGTGTTCATGTGTATGTGAGTGTGTTCCTTCCTGGGCTTCTCTTTCTAGAAGATTTTGATGGTGGCTGCACTGTATCTTAACTGTCAAGCTATTTTTTCCCTGCTAGCTTTCATTTGTGTTTTTCCTCACCTTTCCGAGACCCTTACCTCTCCTCTCTTAAATCTACTCACCACAGAGCAGACATAATCCCAGATTTTCAGTAAATCAACACTATATGCTCCCCACTGACTGAGAGAATTTGATACTGACAGACTGTTATACCTAAAAGAAAAATACTGCCATGGTTCCTCACATTCTTCGCCAGGAAAAGAAGGCAGGGAGGAGTGTGTGTGGGATCCATTATAAATTAGGCAACACAGAGCCCACTATTCTTAACGTGTATTTCATGAAAGTGGATGCATATGTTACCCTACCCTTGCCCACGTCTTTGACCAAACCAACCTCAGTACCTGGAGTATTTCCAAACGCAATTAACTCCCTTCAGTACCAGGGCACTGGTGATTTATTCGGACTACAGCAAGGGTAGAGTCCACTGCCCGAGAGAATGCACGGCCCTCCACATGGGAGATCGAGGCTGAAATGTGGGGACTTTGAACGCCACACGTTGCAAACTCTGGGCTCTGTCTTATGAAGGCATGTTCTGGCTGTGGGGTTGAAAGAGCGGTTTTCTTTTGTTATTCATCCCTGTGTCGATGATGGGCATGGTGGCAGGATTTAGACTTTGTGTTACCAGGTCAGAATTACTGAGAGCAGAACTGTCTTCAAGGTTTCTGAGTCTATCTCAGCTTTAAATATCAGATCATGAGCACATGCATAGATTTAGAACTGACTGTTTTTAGGAGATTAGGACTTCTACCCATATGTTCCAGGGCCTGGGGTTGGGAATCCAGGTAACGACTATCTAGGGACCACAGTAGGCAAAAATGTCTGGGGTAAAGTAGTTGGCAGTCGTGGTCTTACAGTGATCCAGTCATCTCTCAGACCAGTGAGCATGGAAGACCGAGTTATTGCTTGGCAGACCTTGGATGGAAGTGGCTACCAAGAGATCAGGAGCTACTCAAGGGCAGGTGCCATGCTTTCCCCAAGGAACAAACACCAGTCCCAGTATACACTGTAAAGGTGTGTGCAGAACAGGGAGTGGGTTTTTAACATCAATTATACTTCAGAAAGGATGCAAATATATGCCCCTCTTGGGAATTCACAAGCCATATTCACTTATTGAAGTCTATGAGAAATCCTTCTGAAATAAAACCAAACTTCTTATGTTTATTTGGTCAAAGAACTTCCTCCTCCCTACCCCTTCATAACACCTCTTAGGTGCTCACAGAATTCTTCAGGAAGGGCTGACTTATTCATCTCTCTGTTTCTAGTGCCTGTCACCATGACCAGCACCGAGAAAGTGGCAATATGATCTGTTCCTTTATCCCACACATACGGATTGGGCCCCAGGCAATGTTCCAGGTCCTGGGGATATAGAAGTAAACTAAATAGATAGTTCCTGTCTAGTGAATCTGATGTTCTAGTCTGTTCCCTGTAATCTCAGTTTGATCAATGAGGTTCAACATCAACCCAATCCCTTAAAGTCCCTTTAAGTGAACTCGAGCCAGCCCAAGCCAAGCAGGTGAACTGCTGGTGGACATGACCCAGCAAAGGAGTCCCCAGCCACTCCTACAGGGTACTTCAGGCAGCAGACGACCCCGCTGCTAGGTGGCTTATGGGGATCCTGGGCATCATTGCATTCAACTGCATGAGCCCCCACAGCCTGCTGGTGTCTCTTCTGCTTTGCAGGGCGTCATGCTTTTGTCTGTCAATCCCAGCCCTGTGGCTGCCACAGCATGTGAATCTGAAGGAAAATCACTCATTTTCACTTTTTCTCAGTTTCCTAACATATAGCAAATAGGGATGATTAATAATATTCATCTCCCATTTCATATCCCCTTTGGGAGATAGCAACCTCTCTGTAACACATAATATAGTGCCTGGGCCCTCTGGGCATTCAAGACTATTTAAATTATTTCGTAAAAGCAAATTTCATTCCTTTTATTTCCTCCTTTTCAGCCTCTATATGTATTTTTTTTCCATAGGCAATGTTTCTCTTCTGGTTTTTGTTTTGTTTTCTGAGGGCAACGGCTGATGAAAGGAAACAATCACCCCATCCTCTGTGAAGCTGAAAATCCCCCAGTTTCTCCTTTGGTGCCCAGCGATACCACTGAGTGTCAGCATGCGTCTGTCTCCTTCACTCATTTTCCAAGGACCCTCTCCATGTTTTTAGTAATTGATTAGGGGCCCTGCAGAGGTCTCCTGCACCCCCTGTGGTCTGTTTCATTTGTGATGACCACACCTCCCTCACAACCCACTGAGATGTCAAAAGCTGCTATTCAGAGGCTGGCTGATCCATTGAAGTAGGTTTTGGCTGGGAAAAGTCCCCCTCACCTCTTCTCCCCGCCCCTCCCCACTGTCTGGATCTTCCTGAGGTCCTCTGGATCACCAGGAGCTTGGCAAGCAGGGAGCTCAAACTCAAAAGTGCTGGAACCACGGTGCAGGGTTTGTCTGGGCTCCCAGCCTCCTCACCCAGCACATGGAACCTTGCTGGGAAATATTCAGCATGTGCCTGTTACAGATTAGTTCTTCTCTTCCTCATGCTCCTTTTTTTGCCACACTGTTTAGGGATGGAGGTTCTCCTCAGCCTCTGGAATAAAGCCTATTTGCTTAGTATAATTCTACCCTCTCCTGGCTTTATGCTGGGTCCAATCACAGATTTTAATCAATAGCCACAAGTACCAGACTTTCTTATCTCTTCATTACTACTACATATCAGAACCCTATTTGCTTGTGTTCTTGAGAAAGACAGAGAAAGCGAGAAAGAGAGAGAGAGAAAGCGAGAGAGAGAGAGTATACTGACTCTGAGATCTTGAGAAACTAGCCCAATTAGAAGCTACCATAAATGGACTCTTAGGAGAAAGTTGTGCCTCTAAAAGTTCTAAGTAAGCTCTTCAAAGATGCCAGACAATCAGCAAATGTGTGATGACACAAATGAGTATGTGTAAAGCTGGTGAGACCTGCAATTGACATTGGGACAATGTCCTGGTCCTACTATAGTTACACAAGATGTTACCATTAGGGGAACCTGGGTGAACGGTCTATAGGACCGTTCTATATTATCATTGCCATTTCCTGCCAATCTATAATTACTTCAAAATAAATAGTTTTAAATATTGCATGGCGAGACTAAGCAAACATTTTGCTCCAGAAAAGTAGTTTAAAATTTGGGTGCTATTTATAGATCCTGCCCACTTTTTAATGACGATAAGACTACAGCACCCAAGCTTTTCTCAATAGACAACTTACTGCAGACCCACTAAGGTGGCAGGCACTGAGGATGTATATTTAGCATGGTTTTCACACATGTTGCTGAGAGTGGACATTGGATGAATGATTGGATGAATTTAAAAATAAATGAAATACCTTTCACAACATCTGGATGGCAGGGGAGTCAGAGTTGTCCTTTTTGCAGCAAAATGGCTTAGTGGTTTGCAACAGAAGGTAGAACCTGAATATATAGTGTGGTTGCTACATTTGACTATAAAAACAGGGCTTGGAGCAATAAACCAACCATGATTATAATAATAGTGACCGTGTCTTTCAGTGTTGGGGACCCTGAGAGTCAGTATGGTTTATCTCTATATCCCTACTCTAAAGAGCAGGTGACTACTTTCACAATGAAAAGAGGGGAGCCACCAGATCTTCTATGTACAAAGCCTCTTTGAGCCTTTTTGAGCATGTGGGTGTCCTTCAGAACTGAAGCAGACCTCCAAGGCCAGATATTTAATACCTGAAATGAAGTAATTCCACTGGAGTAGAATAAGAAACATCAGCCTGGGAACAATCAAGTTTCAAGATGAACCATCCATGTGAACTCTTTCTGGAATATTAGTTCTATACTACCTATGCCCTCATCCTCCCTCCAGATGGTGGACAGCCTTGCCTGCCCTAGCCAGGCTTAGCTACTCAATCTGCCCCAGGCTGGAAAAACCTCTGCTCATTTTTGACAAAGTTGAGAGGAACTAGGCACAGTGGGCAGAAAGTAACAATCTCCCCTGTGCACAGAAATTAAATATGGCTGATAGCCCTGCACAATCTCATTAAATCATTCAATATCTGTTACAGGGAAGAACAGTTAAGGACTCTGTGGATCCAGAAAGCTGATAGAACAGAATGGTGGAAACTACGGTCTTCTCTAGGCAAAGCCTTAGTGCAATGAAAGACTTTCTGTTAGAGCTCTCACCAAAGAGAATGAGCTGTTGCCTGAGGAGGAGTGTGTCTCCATCCCTAGAGGCATCCCTACAGAAGCTGGGTGGTCATTTAAATGACGTAGGATGGAAGGGATTGATGCTCAGGTTAGAGACTTGAGTTCAATAGATGGTCTGTCCCAACCTTCTAGATTCTCAATGCACACACTTCATCCAAGGACAAAATGGACTCCTGAGAAAGGTGTGAGACCCAGGCAGAGATGGGCAGCCTGTGAAACAGGCAACAGATGCTCACCTTGTCATCTCTATCTCTGTCTCCCCACCAGAGCTCAGGACAATGGCCCCCAGGAGCCACTGGATGTTCCATTTTAGTCCTGGCTTGTACGGAGTGCGCCCTCTTTCTGAGAGGAGGTGAGAGGGAAGGGATGGAAAGGGCCAGGCTCCCTGCATGCTCCCAGGGACTGCAATTCTCTCCCAGTAGGCAGGAGGATGGGCAATTACACATACAGAGGGGTGTCTGGTCAAAAGAACCAACAAAATCCCATGGCTTAACAAAAGCCTTCAAAATCTTCTCTGGGAAAGAATTCCAGGCTCTCCCAAATTGTAACTCATTGTATCACGAACACTTACTTTGGAAATCATGTCAGATTCTAAATTTGAAGAACACTTCTAATATCTGAGCACCTACCTACTGGGTGCCCAGGGTAGTGCTTGGCGGTTTTACATCTTTGGCACAGAGATAGGCATACATGTCTTATTGTCTAACAGTAGTAATTTTTTTTGCAGACTTTGATTCTATTATAACAGCTCCAGTATTGTGCAATAACTGCCGTCACTCCAGTGGAAGCATTGTTCCTGGTCTGTGACTTTTATTTCACGAGTAGATAAAGATTTAAGAGGGAAATGACTGAGAAACTTGTGTTTGGATTAATGTAAATAAGACACAAGGTTTTCATGCCCTTCTGCTTTCACTGGGGACTCATTTCCCTAATACAGTCTCGTTGTAAAACAATCCACTCCTGAGGAGGTCAACAGTGAAAAGTTTGTCTTCTGAAATTAGTAATCAAAGAGTGAAAATAATTAATAGAGAAAACAGTGCAGTTCCACACTGCGTTCCCATGTAGATGTCTATAGAACAATAAATCAGTAGGGGAAAGAAACAATATAGGCATTTACAATTAGGCCTCATGCATAATGCCCTGGAAGGAGAATTTGTGTTAAAAAAGACAACATCTGCTGCAAGTTGGTTTATAAATAATACAGCTAGATATTCAGGTAATGACATGACAGACGGTCTCTTGTGTCCTTGTCCTTTCGTGTCCAGTGCTGAGTGTGTTTACATCCCGCAGCTTATGACATACATGCCTGGCCTGCTTGTGCTCGGGCCAGGAGCCTCTCTCTTCTCAGTTAAATGCTTCTTTACCCAAACCATAGCATTCCACATTGACGACCCAGATATCCAGAGAAATCTGCTCCATTTGGTTTTAATTGATCCCTTACTGTGAGAAGGTAAGCGCCTGAAAGAAGTGTGATCAGATGCTCATTCAGTACTTTCATCCATGAACCAATTTCTTTTGTGTTGACACCCAGGCTTGACAAAAAGAGTGATGGTTAAGGTCAAGTGCATGAAAGCTAATTCTAAACAATGATGGATGAGCCAAGGCTTGGGCTCTATCTTATCTAGGATGTTCTGCTAAAAGGTTGGATATTTTCTCCCCATTTTTAAAAGTCCTCTTATTCTCAAATTAATGGAGTTATCACAGATCCAGTATTTGTGGGGATCTTTTCTTTTATTATTCAGCTCTTTGCCACTCTGCTGACAGCAGTGTGAGTGATGGCCTTCAAGCAGATGATTCTTCTTTGCCATGAAGGAACTGATAAATACTGCCTGTCTCTGCAATAAATTGTGCATGAAATAGTCCACTCTGGTAATCTACAGAGTTATGGTAAGGAAAATGGCTTTGTGAGGAAATACAGCAAAACTGAAATTAACTGAAATCCAGTTAAACAGAATCTCTAAAGAAGCTGAATTATATGTTTGTTTATTTGCTATTGTTTGTTTCTATTTATATTCATCTTTGGGGGAAAATAGTAGTGTTGTCTGGGGCTTAATCAAAAAATTCATTTTCAGGACATTTAATGTAATTAGAGATTTATTCCCAGCTCTGGTACCTTCTATGTCCTCAGTCCTTACCTATGAGATTTCCCATTTATAATGATGACCCAGAGGCCAAGCAGCACCCAGAATTCACAAATAAAAATAAAAATAAGCTTATGAATTTCCATTTCCTAAAATGAAGCAAATTTATGTATGACACACATTTGTCAATAGTAAAGACCGAATAAAAAGATGCAAAAATTAAAGATTTTAAATTAGAAATCTCAAGCTCCATTTTAGTATATAAGGATTTTTACCATACTTAGTAACACATAATGCATTTCTAAAAAGATTTAAATGAGTTGTTGGGATAATTTTTGTTAGTTTATTTGGATAGGTGCTTTAGACTTCAGTGTTTTGTTGAAGTGGTTATAGAGTCTTTTCTGAAATATACACATGCTGTTAGATATCTCTCTCTAGGATATCTATATCTATGGCCACTATAGAGATGTTACCCGGCTTGTAAACTAACTGAACATGTTCTCTTTCATTTCCACACATTGACCTAATATGTGCTAGGAACTCATTTGTAAACCCAAATATTTTGTGTCTTTCTCATGGATATTAAAATGTGCCCTGGTGTTAGCCTTTCACAATAGAGTATAAATTTAAGTCAATGCGTTGACCCTTCCAGGCATCTTACCAGTGTCAGGATGATCTCAAAGAGTGAAATCAAAATGTTTGTCATCATTAAAAAAGCATCAGTGAGCAAGTATTGTGATGAAAACCAAAAATCTCTTAACATCATGGTATTGTTGAGCTGAAAGAAAACTTGGAAAGCATCCAGTAGCTCATTCCAATGATTTAGGCTCAATTCATATTGAGGCCCTGCTTTATGTCAGGCAATACACTGTTTTGTGAAATCTGCTGTTTCATTTAATTCTTACAAAACCGTATGAAGTTAGGGTGATTATCATTGTTTCATAGATATGGTAACTGAGTCCAACAGAGTATTAATTTATGGGCTCAAGATCATACAACCAGTACACAGCAGAGCTGGTATTTAAGTATTCTGGTTCCCAAAGTAGAGGTCTGTCCGTTACAAGACTAATTGGGAAGCATATTAAAAAGAGCAGGAAACACAGGACTTACCACTGGTGTTCATAATGAAATTCTTGGGAGAAAGAAGAAAAGAGAAATCCTGGTATCATTAGCTTTTGCTACAGTAATGCTGTAACAAATACCCAAAACTCAGTGGATTAAAACAACCATCAAGTATCTGAGGATCAGCTGGAAGTTGGCTGATTCAAGCTGGGCTCAGCTGGGCTTAGCTTCAAACTTCAGTTTGGGACCAGGCTTGGTCTATATGTCTCTCATCTTCCTTGGACCAGTGGACCAGTGAGAGCATTCTCTTATCATGGTAATGGAAGAAGCACAGGAGAATAAGATTAACCACCTAAGGACATTTCACATCTCTTGTTTGTGTCACTTCTGATGGCATTCTATTAACTCTAGAGGAAGAATAACCCCCATGGGTTCTTTGTTGGGAACAGACCCCTGTAACAAAAGTGATTACCAAGAGAAAAACAAACAAGTTTATTAACATGTATATTTCATATATACATGGAAGACACCCAGGGAATGAGTAGTTCTCAAAGTAGTGGCTTTGAATTTCTGCTTATATAGCATCTTCAACAAAGAAAGTTAAATTTTTAGAGAAATGACAAGACATAAAAAGACTTTGAGACTCTAGGATAAGTAACTGGGAGGAAGGCAAGTAAATGGCAGATAAAGGCTAGTTAGCAAAGTTAGCAAATGTGAATTTCTCTAGTACTGTGTCAAAGCCAATAAGGATCTCAGGTTGTCTTCAGTGGTTTATCTTTCCTCTCTTTGGTAGAAGGGAAGGGTGGAGGGGCAGGATATCCTCATGTCTTGGTAAATCTAAGTCTTGCTTTTAGACAAGTAAAGGCAAATAGAGGGATGGCAGACAGCATTCCTGTATCTGCTTCTTACTAATCATCTTCAGTCCAACCATCCTTCATATTTGGGGATGGCATATTCTGGTCTCCCACATGACCAAAGCAAATTGCAAGGTCAAATCCAAACTCAAAGGTGCCATTAGTAGGAGAAACCCCATCTCAGGATCCTCAAAAGCCTCATCTAATCACGGCATCGGGCTCAAAGCCCATGATTTCTTAAACCACATCAAGTTTGGGTTGATTTAAAGACCAAAGAACTGAAAAGGCAAGATATGTGCTCCCTCCTTGCCTAACACACATGGTAGAACAGGGACAGGCCCTCTCCTCTTTGAAAAGGAAAGGATAAGTGGCCTATTGCTGCTCTCATTCACAGCAAGACGAAAAGTCTGCTGGGCAAAAGTGTCCAAGCCCTTCCCTGGGATTAGTAATGTTTCTCCTCCAGGCCCCAGTTCTGCTCCTTAGGGGTAGACCTTGTGTCCGCTGTTCTCCACCACTCTTGGCTCCACCTTCTGGAAGGTCTTTTTTCTTTTTTTTCTCAACATCTTCTTTGGCTACTTCTGATGAAGACAAGAAAAGAAACTCTTTTTAAAGGCTGAGTAGCTTCTTCAGAGAAGGGATGTTTATAGCTCAAACAATTTCAGTCCTTTTCTATGTCCAGCAGTGCTTTTGCCAATACAGCAGTTCTCTCTTACCCAGTTTCACTTTCCACGATTTCAGTTACCCACGGTCAACCATGGCCCAAAAATATTACATCCAATTAGATATTTTAAGAGAGAGGGACCATACGCACACAACTTTTATTATAGCTTATTATTATAATTGTTTAATTTTATTATTGTTAATCTCCTTCTGTGCCTAATTTATAGATTTTATTGTAGGTATATATGTATAAAAAAACATAGAGGCCAGGTGCGGTGGCTCATGCCTGTAATCCCAGCACTTCGGGAGGCCAAGGCGGGTGGATCACCTCAGGTCAGGAGTTCATGACCAGTCTGGCCAATGTGGTGAAACCCTGTCTCTACTAAAAATAAAAATTAGCTGGGCTTGGTGGTGCACACCTGTAATCCCAGCTACTCAAGAGGCTGACATGAGAGAATCGCTTGAACCCGGGAGGCGGAGGTTGCAGTGAGCCGAGATCGCACCATTGCGCTCCAGCCTGGGCAACAAGAGTGAAACTCCGTCACAAACAAACAACATAGAATACATATAGTTGGGTTCTATCCATGGCTTAGGACATCCACTGAGGGCCTTGGAACATAACCTCTGCAGATAAGAGGAAACCACTGTGTACGTTTCTCAAAAGTTGTGTGGGTTTTCTGTATATTTGATTCCAGTCAATTCCATGTGCCCAAAACTCACTCTTAGTTATTTCCAAGACAGGCCTCTCTCTCTAGAATCAACTAGGAGTATTTTGGCCTCATTAGATGTCTGTAGAACTATGCCTAATCTTCCTACAAGCCTTTTTGCTTCGCTGAGAAAGCATGTTAGACACCATCTTATTTCTTTTGTAGCTCAGACAAAGTGTGGAACAGCCATCCCTCTGATTTGGTTTTTATGTTGAGAATATATCTTTTTGGCAGTTGGATTTGATTTTTTCATAGTCTCTATCATCATGACCACACCCTTGGTTAAGTAAAAAGTCAGTTTTATTTTCTACATTGAGATTTCTGGATTTTCTATATTTCCTCAAAATTTTGCTTGCAAAAATAGTCAGCTATTTTCTGAGTTCTTCTCCTTCTCAGAGTTTGTCAAATGCAGCTAGGCAAAACAGCTCAAGCTTTCAACGTTCTGCTTCCTATCTCCTCCCTCAAATCTACAAATTCATTAAGTACACATTCAACCTTCCAGATTATTGCCGGCAATAGCTTACCAGTGTTTGCCATGGTGTTAACATGTGCATGCTCATGTCATACCATACGCTCTCAGTTTTTCAGTCTCCTGCAACATGTGTTTGCATGGCTGTTTCTGTTTTGGTTTGTTTTTGGCCATTTTTTTTTTCTAGCTCCCTATGGTAGCTTTTACACCAGTTACTATCCGGCTCCCACATATTTTAGGTTTTCGTTATGGAAGTAATCTATTATGCATTCCTGTATTCATCATTTATCTACCATAATGTTCCATAAGAAACCATCTCAAAATCCAGTGGCTTTTAAAAACAGTCATGTTGCTTATGCATCTGTGGGTTGCCTAGGGGCTGGCTGATCCAGGCTCGGCTAAGTTGGGCTCCATTCCAGGCTGCAGTTTGGGTCCAGATTTGGTCTGTGTATCTCTTTAGACTAGTAGGTTTGCTGCATCATGTACTTCTTATGGCAATGGTAGAAACCTAGGCACATTTGGTGTCTCTCATGCATCCTGTTTCTTTACATCCTATTGGTAAAAGCAAGGTAGACCTAGGATTAGCTTTTTATGGCTGTCGTAACAAATGACCACAAACTCAGTGACTTAAAACACAAATTTATTATCTCACACAGTTCTGCAAATGAGAAGTCCACCATGGGTCTCATGGGCTTAGCTCAAGGGGTTAGCAGGGCTGTGCTTCTTACTGGAGGATCTGGAAATGTATCCGCTTCTAATTTCATTCAGATTGTTGGCCAAATTCAGTTCCTTTGGTTTGCAGAACTGAAGTCCCTGTTTTCTGGCTGACATTCCAGCAAGGGCTCATCTTTGCTTCTAGTGCCTTCCAACATTCCTTCCCATGCCTTCCTCCCCATCTACAAAACCAGCAAGGACACATCAAGTCCTTCTTGTGCTTCAAATATCTCTGACTTCCCTTGTACTGAGTCTCTTCCACCTTCCTTTTCTGCCACATTTCTCTGACTGACTCCAGCCAGAGATATTTCCCCATTTTTAAGGGCTCTTGTGATTAATTTGGCCTACCTGGACAATCTGGGCTACTTTTCTTGATTTAAGATCTGCAGCTTTAATTTCATTTGCAAAGTCTCTCTCAGGCCGCATATATTCTTGTTAATTGAATAGCCAGTGGACAGAAACATTGAGTTTGGTCCACTGCAGACCCTAAGTCAAGGGGTGCAGACATGCCCTCTAGTCCACCATGAGGCTAAAGCATGTCACATGGCAAGCCAACATCAATGCGGGTGAGAGAAGCATAATCTTATTAGAGACAAGGGAGAAAGAGAGTGAATATATTTGAAAAATCAAAACCAAGGATTGGCACACTTTTTCTGTAAATGGCCAGATAGTAAATATTTTAGGCCTTGTGAAATATATGACTGCTGTCCCAACTATTTAACGCTGCCATTATAACTCAAAAGCAGCCATAGACCATACACAAATGAATGGGCATGGCTGTGTTATATTGCAATGACACTTTATTTGCCCACAGGCTGTAGTATACTGACTCTGATCTAAACTGCCCCAGTTCCCCATCTGGCTTCTTCACATATAGAAGAGGCTTTGGCATTAGAAGGTTGTGTCTTCTAATATCAGGTGAGCCCCAAAGATAACAAAACAACAGAAATATTAGATTCTTTAGTAATTTTACCATTGACAACTATTTATCTAAAAGTTTCCTTCAAATTGGTATGTTCCACCATTGAAGGTGAGGTTCATAAGCTGAAATATTTCACCTTATTATCTGTTGATAGGTCACACAGTGCAAGATTGCACCATGCTTTTGTGGGCAAATAACACACTGCCCACAAAATAAGCCACAAATTTCCTCCTTCCCTCTGTGGGAAATATGCATGAGGAATTCTGCAAGATTTCTCTTTCTATGTGTTACAATTGCAAATAGAGGGAGGCTGCAACTTTTTCCTATAGGCCATGAGACATAGAGCTTTCTAAGCTTAGCTTGGGGCAACACTCACAAAAATATAAAGGAGGTAAAGTCTCTGGATGTCTGTTGTGCTTCATGCCTGCCTTGGTGGCTGAAGCAGGTATAGCCTAAGCTGCCTAAGTCCCTTGTGGACATGAAGCAGTGGCCTCCCTATGTAAAGACTGCCCGCTATATTAGTCCATTTTCTTACTGCTATGAAGAAATGCCCAAGACTGGGTAATTTTTAAAGAAAAATAGGTTTAATGGACTCACAGTTCCATGTGGCTGGGGAGGCCTCACAATTGTGTCAGAAGGTGAAGGAGGAGCAAGGGCATGTCTTACATGGCAGCAGGCAAGACAGCATGTGCAGAAGAACTGTGCTTTATAAAACCATCACATCTTGTGAGACTTATTCACTATCATGAGAACAGCGTGGGAAAAACCCGCCCCCATGGTTCAATTACCTCCCATGGGGTCCCTCCCACAACACATGGGGATTATGGGAGCTACAGTTCAAGATGAGATTTGGGTAGGGACACAGCCAAACCAAATCACCCCCAACTCCTATGGGTGCAGCAGAGGCATATTGCTCTTATTAAGAATTTCTAGCACATTTCCCATGGGAATGGGAAGGAGTGCCAGAAATCCAGAAATGCTTGTCTTATGGAAAGACCCTTGTCAGAAACCTTAAGAGTCCTCCAGGGTTTAGTTCACTTCAGCCTGATAAACACTGAACATCTACTGTGTGTCCAGCATGGGGCTAATAAAATAAAAATGGCCACCAGGTCCTTCATGTGGCCCGTTGACTGTAATGGCAGCCCATTATTGGGGCCCATCAGAGGTGCTCAGGCAGCCTCTTTACATTAATCTTACTAATTGTTTGACTTTCTTGAGCATTTATTTATGGAATATTAAGGATTTTTTTGTAGCAGCTGATTAAAAGATTGCTATTACTGAAGAAAAACATGAATTAAAAACAAAAGCTGCTGGTAGCTTTTATCCATCATCAAGGAATTAACCAATTGGCAACAAGCAGGACAGCTCAATTTCTTTAGATATCTGAGGCCTACATAGCTTAATTGGGGAAGTATGTTAAAAGGAATGGAGTGACATTCATTATGGATTAAGTTAATACATTTCTGACCCATCACATGGCTTAATTTAACAAATTCCACATCTTACTGTTTGGCAGGAAATGGCATCTTATGAACATCATTACCAGTCATTCTGACTTGAGTCAGTGGAAAAGCCTGACTCCATCTGAAAACCGTTAATCTTAATAATACTGTGCCTTGTCTTGGCAGAAGTCTCCATATGCTTGGGAAGCCTAGGACTTGCTCCATACTCTAACTTAGCCTCCCTGCCTTCCCTCTCCTCCGTAACAATCAAAGTGAGAAAGGGAGGAACAGCATCTCCACCTTCCAGTTAAACTCGTCTGGACTGGAGCAGTGTTATTCACTGCTGGGAAAACCAGATACCTCCTGCTATGATTACCATTCGATTTTAAATATAAATAATTAAATTATGATATGTACATGTTTCTATGTCATTAGATCAATTATAGTATCTTTTCATGTAAAAAGGGAAAATGAGAAATTTGGTGAAAAATACCACAAATCACTGTTTTTTTATTATTGACCATCTACCATGAACCATAGAATCTACATGATCATCTCATTTACTCTTCTAAATAACTGTGCAAGATTGATACTGCTACCCTGAATTTGCTTATGCGGAAATTGTTTCAATAAAGTTACATAATTTTCCCTGATGGAAGCAGGTTTCCAACCAAATCATATTGACTCCAGTCCTTCCGATTTACACCTTCTACTCCACCACGTTGCCTTTGGAGAACTGGGGCTTTACTCACAATGCTTGAAGCAATCTATTTCCCTTCCTGAGTCCAACCAAAAGGTTTCATTTCCAACTTACATAGGTAGTACTTGGTTAAGTCGTCTCTTAAGTACTTGGTTATTATTGAGAAGGGATTCTCCCAAATTTCCTCCTTCCCCCTGTGGGAAATATGCATGAGGAATTCTGCAAGATTTCTCTTTCTATGTGTTACAATTGCAAATAGAGGCAGGCTGCAACTTTTTCCTATAGGCCATGAGACATAGAGCCTTCTAAGCTTAGCTTGGGGCAACACTCACAAAAATATAAAGGAGGTAGAGTTAGCCTACGTTTCAGCGTCTCCTACTCTCCCTTAATTACCCATATCCAACAATGCTACATGAAAAACACCACAAAATCTTAGTGGCAGCAATGGTAAGCATTTATTTCTTATTCACTTATCTACAGCTATCTTGGATTGCTCCACTCTAGGCAGAGGGTGTAGGTTTTAGGCGCTACTGAAGTGAGCACCTAAGCTCACCGAGCTCACTGAGCTGTAGGCCCTGCTGTGGATCAGCAGATTGACTAGATTTTGCTAATCTCAGCTTGTCTTGGGTAGGTTTCAGGTCTGCCCTATTCTGGGGCCAATGGGGTATTTATACTAATAGAGAGGCACTAAGTCACAAGACAGATGAGAAAAAGGAGGCAGTGCTCTTAAGGGTCAGAACAGATGCACTATCCCCTCTACCCATATCTGTGGCCAAATCAAGTCACATGGCCAAGCCCATCTTCTATGGAGGTGAGAAGCGGGAGTAAATACTTCTTAAAACTGATCTAGCCTACAACATTCTTTGCTTAACAAAGGGCTTATTAAAATAATTTATACTAAGGTATAAATAACTGATAAAGATTGGTGTTTCATTCCCTTTAGTACCATTTATACCACAACAGGGGCAGTGAGCTTTCACTTAAACAAGAAGTAGGGTGCTAACTGCGTAATTTTAGATGTTAATGAAGCTAGTGAGTAGAATTTAGGGAGAAGGAATATATGATTAGAATTCATTGAACTGCAAATAAAAGAATACCCTTCCAAATCTGGCTTGAGCCAGGGATTGGAAAACTAAGGTCCATGGCCAATACCTGTTTTTGTAAACTAAGATTTATTGAAATAGAAAGAGCCACACCCATATATTTATATACTGTCTATGGTTGAGTTTGCATAAAATGGCAGACTTGAGCAATGACTATGAGGACCCTGTGGTGAAAAGACCTAAGATATTTACTATCTGGCCTATTAAGAAAATGCTTACTAACCCATAGCTTAAACTATAACAAGAAGTCCAAAGGCAAGCACTCTCAGTCCTGCCTCTTGGTTTTGCAACTCCACAATGCCATCAAGGATCCAGGCTCTTTCTATCACTGCACTTACTCATCCTTTTTGTGTTCGTTTTTCATCCTCATGCTTGTAGCCTCATGGTTGCAATATGGATGCCATAGCTCCAGAGATCACATTTTGTGTTTAAGAAAGAGAAAGAGGTGGTGCCAGATAATTCTTCTCTTGTGCCTATCCTTTTAACAAGAAAGCAAAAGTTTTTCTAGAAGTCTCCCCCAGGAGACTTTCTCTTAAACTTCATTAAAAAGTATCATAAGGCCATTAGTCACAGGGGAATCTGGAAAAGTGATTATATCACAAGGGAAAAATCAATTTCCATGTTTGGCCTAAGCCAAACATGATCCAATGTCTTGGGCCAAACATATCACTGACCTAAGAAGGAAAATTACAGTTCTATGGGCAATGAAGAAGGGGAGAATGGAGCTCTGCCACAGGAATGCTGGGAATAACCTATAAAATATAGTTTACTAGCAACCAGAGGCAAGTCTCCATCCCAACCCCTCTGAACACCAGCCTAAATTATGTGCACATAATAAATGCCTTGGTAAATACAATGAGCACCTGATCGACCCCAGTGGACCACCTGCCAAAATTGTCCTTGTTATCTTGGAGTGGCTTTGAGGTTCAGCACCTACCAATGAGCATGTTCCTTGGATGAGACACTAGTCCAGCTTCAGAACTTAGGGCCTTTCCCAGAAAAACTGACCTGGAGCTGGCCATTTTACCATGGCCATAAATGCAGTTACATGAAATACAGCCCCTTACAAGAGTTTTCTAAGATATGCAACTCACTTGCAGACAATGTCCAAACCTTACTTATATCTCCATATACAATGGCTAGCTTTTATTCATTGCTTTGGCATTTATAGATCTTCAATTGTGATCCAGGTACTGCTCTAGGACTTAGAAGTAGAAAGATGACAAATTCACAGATCAAGGCCTGTTGGGAGATCACCATCTAGTTGAAGAGGCAAACATGTAAAAGAGCAATAATAATGTTTTTAAAAGCTAACATTTATTGATCACTGGTTACCTGCTGGACATTCTTCTAAGTGGTTTGGTTTTGATTTTTTAAAAAACGTTTTAACTCATTGAATCATCAGAACAAAGTATGGGGTAGGTGGTACTACCTTTTTTTTTTTTTTTTTTTTTTTTTTTTTTTGAGACAGGGTCTCACCCTGCAACCCAGGCCAGAGTGCAATGGCCCAATCATGGCTCACTGCAGCCTCGACATCGTGGGCTCAAGTGCTTTTCCTACCTCAGCCTCTTGAATAGGGACCACAGACACACATTACCATGCCCAGATAATTATTTTAATTTTTGTAGAGATGAAGCCTCACTATTTTGTCCAGGATGGTCTTGAACTCCTGGCTTCAAGCAGTCCTCTCACCTTGGCCTCCCAAAGTGCTGGGATTACAGGCCTGAGCCACCATGCTGGGCCCAATGCTACCATTATCCTTTCTTTTGTAAAAGATGAGAAACTGAAGCAGAGAGAGATAAAGTCATTTGCCCCAGATCACACAGCCAGTAAGGCATAGAGCCAGGATTTGAACTCAGTGAGTCTGGATCAAAGCCTATGTGCTTAATCGCTCTGATGAATTTCCATCAAAATATGATAAGTGCTAATGAAACCTCCATTGCAAAATTATGATGGTAAGAGGAACCTGACACTGTTGACTCCATCTTGCTTCTAGCCTCCCAGCTGTCTTTGGTAATTCCTGGGTGTAGGCCAAGTGAACTTTGAGAGGAATTTAGTTTATAGTCCCAAAACTAAACTGCATTTGTAAAACTAACAAAAGGCCACAAAGTTAGGATTGTGAGAGGGGCCCAAATTCTGCTAAAATGTAGGCATAGTTAAATGATAACCAGCCATTGTTTTGGAGGTCACAAGATTTGTGACTTCCCCAGTTACTCCTGTAGTGATGTTATCATTACTATTGTGGAACCTAAGATTGGCCTTTAAAGATGTCTTTTCAGACTTCTGCATTGCTAACCACAAGCTGACTCCACCCAGACCTGTGACTTGTCACTCAACTGGTCCTTTGGCCCCACCCAGAGGCAGACACAGTGCCCGAGGACCGTGAAATCATAGGCCACACCCCTGTGATTTCATCCCCAACCAAGCAGCAGCACCCATTTCCTAAACCTCTGCCTACCAAACTATCCTTGAAAAACCCTAACCTCTGAGCCTTCCGGGAGACGATTTGAGTAATAACTCCATCTTCTGTGTGGCCAGCCTTGTGTTAATTAAACTCTTTCCTTACTGCAATACTGTGGTCTCAGGGAATTGATTTTGTCTGTGCAAAAGGCAGGAAGAATCCATTCTAAGAAACCTTCAAATCTGGTGCTTTTGGGTGCAGAGAGGTGAAAGCATTTAAGTCCGTCTACAGAGAGTTTTCATGAAGAAAACACCCCATGGACTGGGCCCTGAAAGACAGAGTTTGCATATAAAAATGAGTGAGAGGACTGGATTTCAGAGAGAACCTCATGGGCATGCATGCAAGAAGGAGAAAGCAGAATTCAGAGTTCAATATGCAGGAGTTGCAGGTAACTGAACTACTTTTACTTGGCAACATAAACTGGTTTGAGATGCACCTCCTTTCGTGTACCCTTCCAATCATTTATTAGAAGAAAATCGCAAATGCTGGAAAGCTGGAAGAAGAAGGAATTCAAAACATATAGATAATATTCATGCAGAACAGTTCACCCATAAATGAAGAATTGAATATTTGTGGGAAATATTTTTTTGCTTCTGTGGAAAAGTGCCCAAATGCAGCTTGTCTTGTTATGGTTAGATGAGTCTTAGCCAAGGATCGGTCTTTGCCAACCATTTAGGACCAATCGAATGCAAATTTATCTGCGATTGAGCAAAACAGAATAAATAAAATAACCAAGCCCATTAGAAGGTACTTTCAAGAGATTGAATCATTAAAGAACAGTGCTGAGTTGACTAAAAAGTAGAGGAAATCATCCAAAATCAGTTTTCACTTAGATAGATGGAAACTAACTAAATAATTTAGCTTACTTGGAGATGACTTCATTAATTTGTTCATTCATTTAAGAAATATATACGTAAGTGTATATTATCTATATTATATATATTTATATTATATATATTATATATACACATAAGTGTATATCTATATTATATTATATTACATATATAATTATCTATTATCTATATTATATTACATATATAATATATAGTCCCAAAACTAAACTGCCTTTGTAAAACTAATTATATGTAATTATATATAATCATATATATAAATATATATTACATAGATTATATATTATATATGTAAAATTATATATATATTATCTATTGAGCACTTCTTATTTAGCCTCCCTTCCAGGCTCTGGGCACACAATGGTAAACAGCTAGACCAAGTTTGCCCTCATGGAGCTTATATCTAGTAGAGGAACTTACTTAATAAGGAAATGCTCAGTGGGTACCTATTAGTAAATGGACTGGATTCCACATGCAGGCTTGTAAAGCATACATCTCTCAGGAGACAGCCTCTCACCTCTCAAGCTGTTGTAGGAGAGAATATTTGTGTAAGAGCATTGCATGTGCTCTGAGCATTTGTGTGGGTGGCAGTGGTGTGCATACAGCAATAAGAAAGATCATATTCAGTCTCTACTTCTCTCTCAGTGGCATACATGGGATCTATTAGGTTGGTGCAAAAGTAATGGCAGAAACCACCATTACTTTTGCACCAACCTATAGACTACTAAGAAATGGGTTTGTAAAGCCATTAAGGCAGCTTTGTCGGTTGGCAAAACGGTTCTGGAGTGTGAGGGGCCCAAAGCACCTTCGCATAAGATTCTTCTCCAAATTCTAGACCTATTAAGAGATGGACACAGCTGGGTCTGGTGGCTTATGCCTGTAACCCCAGCACTTTGGGAGGCCAAGGCAGGCAGACTGATTGAGCTCAGGCATTCGAGACCAGCCTGCAACATGGCGAAATCTCATCTCTACAAAAAAATTAGCCGAGTGTGGAGTCACACACATGTAGTCCCATTTACCTGGGAGGTTGAGGTGGGAGAATCGCTTGAGCCTGGGAGGTCGAGGCTGCAGTGAGCCAAGATCGTGCCACTGCACTTGAGCCTGGTTGACAGAGTGAGATCTTGTCTCAAAAAAAAAAAAAAAAAAAGGGATGGACCAGAAATTAGGCAGATGGAGGGCCACATATGAGCTTTGTCTCTGATAAGGAGATTTTAAAGATTACAGAGTGCTTAGATGTGTGGCCACAATTGGGCTTCCTCACAGTTTCCTCTCTGAACTGAGCTTACCCACCTAGCTGCAGACTATTCCCTGTCACCACCAACGGGTAGAACCCACATAGTGAGCATGGTGCAAGGAGAAACAAAGAATCTCTATATCCTGAGGACAGGCCACTTTGAAAAAAAGAGGAGAGCCAAAAAGAACTGAAACGTGAATACCTAGCCCCTTCTTCCATCTTTAGCCTTTGGTAGACAGATTACATATGTAACAGGAACTCAGGAAAAATAGTCTAACCAAAATGTAGTATTGTTCTCACTGACACATGTTCCAGATGTAGACAGTCCAGAGTTAGCACTGCAGTGCCATCAGACCATAAGGGGTCCTAGTTCCCTTCGCCTTTCTGCTCCATCCTCCTTAATCTGTGTTCCTGTCTTCATGGACACAAGATGGCTGCTCCCCCTCCAGTCATCACATCTAGTCCTAGGCAGGAAAAAGGGGAAGAACCAAAGGCAAAAGCTGAAAAGGGACTTGTCAGTTGAGTTGTCCTCCTTTAGCAAGCTTTACCCCAAGCCCTATCTGGATGACCATTTACATCTCAATAGCCAGAACCAAAGCAAATCTACCCCTGGCTACAAGGAAGCCTAGGGAGGAGAAAATACTTTTTTGGTAACATTGGCACACTCAACAGAATCAGGGCTCTCCTACTAAGGAGGAAGAGGAGAACACATATTATACAAAAGGAGAATGTAACTGCATCTGGATGCCTTAGGGAGAATCCCTGGAAGGCAGAACCTATTTTGCCAGATTTCTGTTTAAGGACTGTACATTTCTTCCAATGGATGGGAAGTCAGAAATGTGAGATAAGCTTTACCCCAACAGATTGTCCCCCAACAGAAATGTGGGATAAGCTGCTCTTGTGACAGTGCTGTCCCTCTCTGGCACCCTATCATTTTGTGCTCCACTCACTCCTGCCCCAAATCCTTTCCTTTCACATTCACTGCCCCTGCCCCATTAGGTGCCTGTGTCTTGCTCCTTCTTCTGTGGCTCCCTTCCAGACAGCACCTCAACCCTGGGGACCTTCCCCACCCTCACTTCTCCCATTACGCTTTCACTTCATCACACCTGACCACATCAAGGCTTATTCTCCTTAGGGGGAGCTGACTGGAGAATTGGAACAATGAACCTCATGAAAGGAGTCATGGCTGTGATTGCATTAGTGGAATGCCCCTTCCAGACAACATATTTTGACACAGGTTACCCTAGGCCAAAGAAATATCTAACAGTGGAGTTTCAGGCAAGGAATTAGGAATTAGCAGGGGCCCCTCAAAATATTCCACTTCCATGACTCCTGGTCGGCTCCTGAAAGCATTTTGATAGCTCAGCCTTTGGAAAATGAGACCATAGCGTCAGACTTTCCGGAAAAGACTTGGTTACTGATTGGGAGCTGCATTGCATGATGATAGGAGAGTCGTGCTCACCAGCCAGAAGCCCAGGCAGTGGGTGTAGTTGCGCCACACAGGTCCCCTGGGGTCCCCTTCTATGGATATCACACCCACCCTCCCCACTCACACAGCACACCTGTCCTTGTCCTCTGGGGGTCCACACTTAGGCTACCAGAGCCTGCTTTGCCCACATTCATGAGAAATTGAAACACCTGGAGATTCCTATTCTCCCTGATGCATCTTTTAACCAATGACAGATGGAGATGGAAGTCCCTTAGAGCAGACAATGCTGAGGTGTAACTCAGGCTCCAGAACTTCCTTAGAGATCAGGGTGAGATCCTCTGTGGGGCTTTGGCTGAGCCACATGCTTGCTTGCTTGCTTTCCTCCCTTTCCCTACTCTGTTTCCCTCATTTTCTTACCAGAATCCCCGGGAGCATCTTATACATTCATTTTATACATATCTTCATCTCAGGGTCTGTTTTGGAGGAACCCAACCTGACACTGGGCAACCTTAACATGTTCTTTTACTTCCTAATTTCAGACTTTCTTTATACATGAGTATAACCCAAGGCGCCTTTCAAGAATTGCCTTCTGGTTAGCAGGAATGGAGAGTTCTCTGGTTGTCAAGTGAAGCAATGGGGCGGGGGGGTGGGGGGGGTGGTGTGGGGACTCGTGATACAGAGAGAAGAGTTTTTCTGTAATAATCAGAAGAAGACAGGAGAGACCTACTAGTTCTAAAGTAGCTCCCTTCCAAGAGTGTTTAAGAGGTCCTAATGACAAACCTTTAAGAGATAGCACAGTATTCATGCAGTAAAATATTACCTATCATTTTGCTGCGATTTTAAATCTAGTAGTTAACTAAAGTGAAGCCTAACTACTAAAACTGTAGATCTGGCATTGGTTTATAAAAGGCAATAATTTGGTCCTGGTAATTTTTGGTAGCTTCTACCTTCAGAAAGTGAGTCCCAAGAGTCCCTAGTTTATTATAAATTTGCTTTCAGCACTTACTCTGATTTAGGTGCTATGCTAGGCACTGAAGAGACAGTGGTGACCAAGTTAGACTAAAACCCTGCCCTCTTGGAGCATTAGGTTGGACCTAAGTGGTTCTGTCTCGGAAGGCTTCTCTTTTCTAGTAATTTATAGGAATTAATGTTGGCTAAAGCAGCAGGTGCCATGAGGAAAGGGAGTATGCAGATAGTATATTAGCCACAGAAGAAATGATGATGGGAAGAAGAAAGCACAGGCACCTTAAGCCTTAAATTGCTTCTCAAACAGATCAACACCATGAATTTCCTGTGTTAACTATGAAGCTGTTTGGAGATGAACACCACATGCAACAGGTCAGCCAGGAAGAGCCACTGAAGTTCATCGGCGACTCATGGGCTCAAAGGCACAGCAATAAAGCAGGTCACATGCTCTTCCTCTCTGGAGGACAGTGCCGTATTTCTCGGTTTTACGAGAAATCTCCCTGTGATTCTAGGCTCCACCCAGAGCCATGTGTGACTGCCTGCGAGCAGACAGCTACCTGGTTTCCATCACCATGTCTGAGACAGCTCGAGGGCTCAGGCACAGATTATATATCATTCTTAGCATTCTGGGTAATTTGTAAGGGAAACACCACTTGACTTCCAGCCTGCTTGCCATGTGTCACAGGAAGGCTTCAACCTGTAGAAATCAAGCTTTGGTAAAAAGATCATTTTGAAATTGAGCAACTTTTGCAGAAACAGTGTTGGGGGAGCTTAAAAAGCACTGAGTTGTAACACATCCTCTCGGGCGGCTGATCATTTTCTCAGGACTCAGGAACGAGGCAAAGACGAGCTACTCCGACAGCCAATCGACTTGCTTGAGCCAGCAGATGTGGGGCTGCCCCTGGACAAAGCAGCCTCAGGGCCCGCTGTGCACACTCAGGCCCTGGCAAGGGTCTGTCAGGCCTTGTTTTTACCACCCTGCAAATGGGGAAGAGAATATTTACCTACCAGGTAGGAGCAGAAAGTTTGGAGTTTTCAGTGGAAATAATAAAGTATTTGTGCTCTGCATTAAGCAACTTTGTAAAAAATGAAGCATCTGGAGTCTTAGCTGCTCTCAGAAGTGCTTCTGAAGCCCCATGGTCATCAGACCCCAATGCTAATGGAATCCACACTCCTGCCTTCCTCTCCTGATCCCTTGCTCCTCCATGGTCTTTTTCCACAGGACATTTGTCAGCGCTCCAAACCCATGAAGATGAACTTCCCTAATCATTCCCTCTGAATGAGGGAGAGTTGGGAGGCTGGTGAAAGTTAATGGCATTAACTAACAGTATCATTGTCAATAACATTTATCAGACACCAACTGTTTGTCAATCATTGTTAGAAATGCTTTATGTGTATTTTTTTGTTTCATTGGCAAAGAGAGTGAGAGGTATTAGTACCATCTCCATTTTGTGAGGGAGGAGACAGACAGGCTCAATGACTATAAAACACTTTCCCAATGGTCATGCACAGCTGTCAAGTAGCAAAAGTGAGATTTGAAATCCCATCTGATTCCAGAGCCAGGGCTCTTAACTTTTCTGGTTTCCTTTTCACACCTCCCATACCTCAGCCACGTTCCTATAATCCAGTGGCTCCCAGCCATTTGTTGCAGGCTGTCACACTAATTCAGGGTGGGCTCTGTTCTTGGCTCGACTATAAGAGGTGTATTGTTTGGGGGTGTCTCTGGCCTTTTCTAAGTACATCCTTTTCTCTTTTCCATTTCTAGGCATCCAAGTTCCCTCTCCTTCCCAATATAGAAATCTCCAATATAGAAACACACTGGGTATTTCCACCTTGGTTTGCATTTAAGTTCTCTTTTCCAGGACCAATCACCTCCCACAGTGAAGACTTTTCACTTGTTAGGGAAGCACCAGACCACAGTAAGAAGGTGGATGAGGCATTTCAGAAAAAAGAAACTGATATGCTCTGGCTCTGTGTCCCCGCCACCCAAGTCTCACCTTGAATTGTAATAATCCCCACATGTTGTGGGAGGGATCCAATGGGAGGTAATTGAATCATGGGGGTGGTTTCCCCACGCTGTTCTCCTGATAGTGAATGAGTTCTCATGAGATCTGGTGGTTTTATAAGCATCTGGCATTCCCCCTGCTGGCACTCATTCTCACTCCGTCCTGCCACCCTGTGAAGAGGTGCCTTCTGCCATGATTGTAGGTTTCCTGAGGCCTGCCCAGCAATGAGGAACTGTGAGTCAATTAATTCTCTTTCCTTTATAAACTACCCAGTATCAGGCAGTTCTCTATAGCAGCATGAGAATGCTACTATCAAGATCCTGGAAGTTACAATTATAAGTGACTGCACCTACTCCAGGTCCTGGAATTTACAATTATAAGTGACTGCACCTCTGCCATTGCTAAAGTTAATCCTTTTTTTTTTTTTTTTTTTTTGTTTTTTGTTTTTTGTTTTTTTGTTTTTGTTTTTTGTTTTTGATGGAGTCTCGCTCTGTCGCCCAGGCTGGAGTGCAGTGGCACAATCTTGGCTCACTGCAAGCTCCGCCTTCCAGGTTCATGCCATTCTCCTTCCTCAGCCTCCCGAGTAGCTGGGACAACAGGTACCTGCCACCACACCCTGCTAATTTTTTGTATTTTTAGTAGAGATGGGGTTTCACTGCATTATCCAGGATGGTCTCGATCTCCTGACCTTGTGATATGCCCGCCTCGGCCTCCCAAAGTGCTGGGATTACAGGCGTGAGCCACCACACCCAGCCCAAAAGTTACTCCTTAAAACAGTCCTCCCAGGATGCAGTCCCAGGTCCCACAGTAGGTTGGTTGGTTGTGGCTGGGAAATAAGAAAGGGTATTCACCCAAAACAAATCTATGATGTCTAATCCTGGGCTGGATCAAGGGACACAACACTCTCAGATTGTAGCCACTCCCTTAAGGGGCATGTTTTTGAGGGTGCAGATTGAAGAGCAGGGGCGTTCAGAGGCCCTAAATTTAGAGTGGGCCAAAGTAGATACTATCTGATTTAAGGCAGCCCTTTATCTCCAGGGTCATTCTATGGCTCTGGGAACATTCCATGCTCTGAGGTTATCTCACCTGAAACTGATTTCTCACAAAAGGAGCAAGGTATAGTGACTAAAAGCACACCCTTTGGAATTAGTCCTAAATTGATATCCCAGCTTTGCCAGTTATGAGCTGCGTAGCCTTAAGCAAGTCGCTTCCTTCTTGGAGCCTAACTTCCTATACAAGGGGGGAGGGAGTGCCAGGCAGATTTTAAGAGCTTAAGTGAATATTAGCTATTATTATTTATATGCTTGTTCTTAGATAATACACATTACAATGGCACATAACTGCTCAAAAATAATAACTCCTTTAAGTTATAATTATTACATAAGATTCCTAGCAAACTATTTAACTTACTTATAAGCTACTAAAAGTAGCAGAATTTCATTATTGTTGCTATTACTATTCATGTTATTTTCAAGAGCCAAGAGAATTCCAAAATCATGGATGGTGTTGGGTTTTGTAGCTCTGCCATACTTACCTGAAGCTGACAATTTGGGGGCTCACAATTTTTTTTTTTTGAGATGGAGTTTCACTCTTGTCACCCAGGCTGGAGTGCAGTGGCACGATCTTGGTTCACTGCAATCTCCACCTCTCGGGTTCAAGCGATTCTCCTGCGTCAGTCTCCTGAGCAAACTTTTTTTTTTTTTTTGAGACAGAGTCTCGCTCTGTTGTCCAGGCTGGAGTGCAGTGGCACGATCTTGGCTCACTGCAACCTCCACCTCCTGGGTCCAAGCGATTCTCCTGCCTCAGCCTCCTGAGTAACTGGGCTGAGCAAACTTTTTTTAAGAGACGGGGTCTCACTTTGTTGCCCAGGCTGGATGCAGTGATGTGATCATAGCTCCCTGCAACCTCAAACTCCTGGGCCTAAGGGATCCTCCCTCCTGCCTCCCAAGTAGCTGGGACCACAGGCACCTGCCACCATGCACACGTGTCACCATGCCCAGCTAATTTTAAAAAAAATTTTTGGAGAGACAAGGTCTCCCTCTGTTGCTCAGGCCAGTCTTGAAGTCCTGGGCTCATGCAATCCTCTTGCCTTGGCCTCCCAAAATGCTGGGATTACAGGTATGAGCCACTGTGCCTGGCCTCACAAACTTCATAATAGACATTCTAGAAAATGACATGAGATTTGGCATCATGGACTAGGTAACTTCTGTCCCATAATATTGGCCAAGCTACTGTGGTGAGTGGGGAGAAATGTGGAATAAAGAGGCTAAGCCTGACAGGTCCCCTTGGTGAGTAGTTCTGCTCTGGAATAAGAGCATCAAGGAAACTCATATTAATTAAGTTTTCACCACCTGCCAGGCACTTTCACACAGGCTCGCTCATTCAATCCTCTAGGTGACCCTTAAGAGAGGTAACACACTCTGTATTCTTTAGAAAGATTGAACAACCTTAGAGAAGGTAATGAACTTGTCTAAGTTGGGGCAGCCAGTGAAGGGCAAAGCCAGGGTCAGACCCCAGAACTGTGTGGCTCCTTTCTGTTCTCCAGTGCTGCAGGTAGTGTGGTTTTAAGACAAAACAGAGTGAAGGGGACTTTCATAGAAAAGACAAGTTCATTAGTGAATTCCATGTGTGTGTATTGGGCACTGTAGAGTCTCACTTTCAGGGTGGCCTTCCAATTGGTGTGATAATGAGATACCCTAGAGAAACCTTCATCTTCCCTTCCTCCTCAAAGTGCTGCCCACTCCCAGATGAAGGGACCAGCATTTGGCCAACAGTAAGGGCTTTTATGATCTCTGGCTGTGAAAGGTTATGGCAGTGGGATGGACAATGCCTCTATTCTCTCTCAATTTTCTTTCTTGTGGAAAAGGCATCTGCACATGTGGCTTCTTTGAACTGAAGTTGTGTGTTAAAGCATTAGGAAGAAATCAGCCCAAATGCTAATACTCCATCTGATGATGCAGACTCATTTATTATATGTGCTTCTCTCCATTAAAAGTCAGAAGAGAAAGGTAACAATGAGAGACATGTTTACAAGGCCTTATCAAATCAGGATCCTAGACTTCCTCCTCTTCTTATTATTCACAAATTTATTCAGTACAGTTGCAAAGCTGGCGAAAAAACTAGCTTCTTCCATTTTTTTTCTGTGCTTTTTATTCATGTTTTGGTTTTGGTTTCTTTTCTCTTACCACTTTTAAGGGGATTTTCTTTGTCAGGCCCTGGTTCTCTGGCACAGACTCCTGGAATCCACATATCCTTGGCTTCACAAAAAACCTACTCCCACTTCTCAAGGCCTGACAGTTTTCAGATCCCTCTGAATCTCCCAAGAGAGCAAAGGCATTATTCCTCCACATCTGCTGGAGGGCAGGCTGTCTCTGTAGCAGGGGATGGGGGATTTCTTCTATTGTAATCAGCAGTCATTAGTTTTGGGAGTCATAGTTGGCCTACCTTTATTTCAGACTTTATCCATCAGTTTTCAAATAGGAAGACAGTGTTTACTAATGAACTTTATCTTTCCTGGGGTCAGCAGCCCAATAAAGCAATTGTTTGGATTTGGGAATGTAAGGACCATCTCCTCCAAGCTAAACTCTGAAGTATAAGGTGAGTCTATTTCTATCATTTACCTTCTGTTAATGCCCCTTTCCTCCCCTTCCCCAGCCCTTATCTAGATATACAAGCTACAAAACTTATATATCCCGCTCCAAGGCATTGCTCCTGGTGAATTCTTTCATTCATTCATTGAACATTTTTTTTTTTTTTGTATATACTATATGCCAGTCTTTCTGATAGTAGCTGAAGATTTAAAGAGGAGTAACAGTCATCCTCTACTTACAAGACACTCCTGACTGGCTGAAGAGAAAGATACACAAACACAGATCAATTTAAATGTTATAATAATACAGAAGGCCTGGCAGAGATGGGTTTTGTTTGTGCTTAGTGAATAAAAAAGTCTCAATGAACAAATTATCTCTAGAATATTAATTGATGTTTATTTAAGAATTACTTTTTCAAGAGTTACAGGCATAACACTTAGGAATAAATTTAACCGGCCGGGCATGGTGGCTCATGCCTGTAATCCCAGCACTTTGGGAGGCTGAGGTGGGTGGATCACGAGGTCAAGAGATTGAGACTATCTGGCCAACACGGTGAAACCCTGTCTGTACTAAAAATACAAAAATTAGCTGGGCAGGGTGGCGCATGCCCACCTACTCAGCTACTCAGGAAGCTGAGGCAGGAGAATTGCTTGAACCCGGGAGGCGGAGGTTGAAGTGAGCAAAATCACGCCACTGTACTCCAGCCTGGTGACAGAGCGAGACTCCATCTAAGGAAAAAAAGAAAAAAAAGAAAAGGAATAAATTTAACCAAGGATGTGAAAGAAAGACTGAAAACCATAAAATATTGATAAAAATAAATGAAGGAACAAATAAGTGGAAAGACATACCATGTTCATGAATTGGAAGAATTAATATTGTTAACATGTCTATATTACCCAAAGTGATCTAAAAACTCAAAACCATCCCTATCAAAATCCCAATGACATTTTTCACAGAAATAGAAAAAATCCTAAAATTTATGTGGAACTACAAAAGACCCTGAATAGCCAAAGTAATCTTGAGCAAAACAAAACAAAACAAAACAAAAACCCCAAAAAACAAAGCTAGAGGTATCACATAACCTGACTCCAAAATATACTACAAAGCTTTAATAATCCAAACAGCATAAACAGCATGGTATTGGCATAAAAAGAGACAAGTAGACCAATGGAATGGAATAAAGAGCCCAGAAATAAACCCATGCCTTTATAGCGAATTGATTTTTGACAAAGATGCCAGAAAACACAATAGGGAAAGGAGAGTTTCTTCAATAAATAGTGTTTAGACAACTGGATATCCAAATGCAGAAGAATAAAGTTAGACTCTCATCTCACACCAGATATAAAAATTAATTCAAAATGGATTAAAGACAAAATGTAAGACCTGAAACTATAAAACTTCTAGAAGAAAGCATAGGGGAAAATTTCCATATCACTGGTCTGAGTAATGATTTTTTAAAATATGAACCCCAAAATAAAAGCAAAAGACAAATGGATTATATCACACTAAAAAACTTCTGCACAGCCAAGGAAACAATCAACAGAGTGAAAAGACAATCTACAGGATGGGAGAAAATATTTGCAAACCATACCTCTGGAGATTTGGATATTAAGGGTTTACATCCAAAAACCCCTTACACATTTGGATATTAAGGGGTTAATATCCAAAATATACGTTTTACAGTGTCTAAATCATGTTTAGGCAACTGGATATCTACATGCAAAAGAATAAAGTTAGATAAGAAGAATAAACTTAAGAGATCTATCATACAACATGGTGACTATAGTTAATAACAATGTATTATATTCTTGAAAATTGCTAGGAAAGTAGATTTTAAGTGTTCTCATCACAAAAAAATAAGTATGCGCAGTAATGCACACATTAATTAGGTAGACTTAACCATTAAACAATGTGGAAATGGTGTTTGGGCAACTGGATATTTACATGCAAAGGAATAAAGTTAGACCCTCATCTCATACCATATACAATAATTAACTATGTTTTAGAATAACATGTTATACATGATAAACAGTTTTTATGTCAATTAAAATAAATTTTTTAAAAGAGTTAGGGTCATAATCTATGCTAATTCTCTTGAATTCATTCAGATGTTTAACTTCATGGTTACTGGCATTTCTGGGAATAATTATAATAGAGAAATGGTCTTGTTAAAAATTTTATATCAAGAATATTAACAAAAAACTCTGTTATTGATATACCAAGAAGTAAGTAGACTGCATGTCTATTGAAAATTTCTGTGCAACTTCATTCTACAGAACCCTCATTACATTTGCAACCACCGACCCTTTATTTCTTTTATTGAGTGGAGATTCGATGCCTTGGTGTCCAGTTGTTTCTGTTGCTGGGACTCTACAAAATTATTTTTGTCCCTTCCATAGTCACATGATTCTTCTTCAGGAAAACACAACATTATCTTAAGGGTTAGAGTATTTATTTCATATATGCTCTTTATATCAGATTCCATTACTCTAATATGAACATCAATAGCTGATTTTTAGCAAAGATGATTTTTATCTTTTATCAGGTTTATACTCCTTAACTAACATGTTGTAAGCATTTTATATGCCAGGCACTAGTGTTAAGCATCTCTCCATGGAATATTTCATGTACTTCTCCCTTTATTTCTATGATGCAGGTTTTAGTAACCTCATTTTCAGCTGAGGAAACTGAGACCCACAAGGATGAAGTCTCCTGCCTAAGGCTCACAAGTAAAAAGTGGCAAAGCTGGAACTGGAACCCAGGTCTGCTAATTCCTAGTCCAGCTCACCCTCTGCCACACCATAGCACCCCCTGTAACTTGATGCTAATATTTGAATTTCCCCAGAAACATTACAGGCAGACCTATAGCTTCTCTTCTTGTATAACAGCCTGTTTCCAGCATTGAGTAGTGGCCTGTCTAACTCCTATTAAATCATTAGTTAGGACAGACATGCAGAAAGAGGTTTCTTGGAAGAATTCAAAGCCTGCTCACTTTGGTTGTTTTATTTGAAAATGGCTTTTTCTAGTAGTTGGCTTTCAAGTAGCTCACTGGACTTATAACTTCTTGAGCTCGGAGATGCTCTCCTGAGGACACGTTCTTTATTTTAATTGAAGTCTTCGTCATTGGCTGGCTTCCAAGTGGTCTACCAGATGCCTTTTTCTTTGCTCTAGCTGAGGTAGATTATGATGTTCCAGTTCATTTTTCCAATTTGCTGTACTGTGCCTGATTTCTTTAGCAAACCACACTTGAAAGGCCACAATCATGGAGCAGGCAGCAAGTGAGCCTTCAGAATATGTTTTCTTAGGTACTCTTGGGCAAACAATACACACACACAAACACACAAACTCTCTCACCTTTTATTTTAGTAGTTAGGCCTGGATTTTCCTAAACATTCACATACATGCAACTTTCTCAGGATGTGTAACTCCAAAATGGGTCCTCTAGGGATTAAGTAATCCCCCAACTAGGACCTTAAGAAATCTCCTTTCTGAGAAACCTTTCCTTTTCTTCTTGGATGCTTGAAGAAAATAACCCACTGATGTTCTCTATTCTTTTCCTCAGTCCTATACTTTATGTCCTGAGATGCTTCCCATTGTGAAATGAATTGTATATCGTGTGTCTAGGAACAGGGGAGGTCTTAAAGTCCATTCTACTCTTGGAAGCAAATACAGAGTTAATTCTTACTTATAACCATATCTACAGCATCTAGAATAGTTTCTGGTACTTAATAGTAGCTAAAAAACCAATTTATTGAATCAACCAACTCAGAGTCAGGCATCAACTGATTGACTTAGGCAACTGGGAGGAATTTAGTCATTTCTTATTTTTTACACTTCTTTGAGAGTCAGCGTGACCTTTACCCCTAACTTAAGTGGCACATGATGAGGGGTTTCATTTTACTTTCCTGTTCCATAGAGGAGCAAACCAATTAAACGTATAATAAAACAGATGGGAATTTAGACTTTATACGAATCTGGGAGGGTCTGAGGGCCTTCTGGGACCTGTCACTGGAGTGAGGACTGGAAATCTCCATCTCTTAGCCAAGTTTTGTTAGCCTCAGGTGACGGTGTTAACACAGTGTTAGGCTGCCTTTTCAACAAAATACAAACAAAACCAAACAGAAGAAAAACAATCAAACCAACCCCCCACTGCCCACTGGCTTACAGAGGCAGCAGGATTGTTGTGTCGAGGAAGGGGCCAGAACAGGAGGAGGTGGCAGTTTTCTAACAAACCGTATTGTTTGAACAGTTTTATTTAGTGTGAAAAAAAAGGCTCTCATACTGAGGATTTATTTGGAAGTTCTGGGCAGATTAACTTTTGGTAAGAGTCAGAACTAAAAACTTTATTGGGAACGCCACATACACTCCAAAGACCAACAAGAGAATTTAAGTTAGATGTGATTAGTATGAAGAAAGTTACATTTATTGTACTCTTATGTATAATTGATCACATGAAAGGCCTTTTGTAACTATAAAAGAGACAGCCCATTAAATTGTTTTGCCCTGAGGATTATACAAATTTGCAGATATCGGATTGGATTACCAGCCTATTGGTTTCATAGCAATGGTAAATCATTAAGATGTTTATTTTTATTCATCTATCTTTCTTGTTATTTATTATTAACCAAGTAGCTCCTCCCAGTTTTAGCTTTACTTTCAGACATCTGAACCAATCATTCTGCCTCTTTTCTATGATCAAACTGGTTGCTAGAACTCTATGGGTCACCTTTGAGGATGCTTAAAACAGAAAAAAAAATATTTGGCAAGAACAGAGCTATGTTGTTTAGTCATGGACAGAGAGTCTATAGAAAAAGTCAGAGACCATCTTATCTCTTGATTGGAGTAGAGAGGCCATTACATCCTTGGCATTGTGTTGTGCAAATTTGTTGAGCTCATTTCCAACCCTTCCATTATCCAGATAAGAATGTGCTCAGACAGTTAAAGGTTAAGTTATGAATATTATCTGGCACATGTGAGACAAGCACATTTGTTTTAATGTTTATATTAGAAAAGGTGATAGAGGTTGGTGGCTATTCTTTACTTATTTCAAATGGCCCAGAGGAAAACTTAAGCTTTAACTCTTCCTACAGATGTTTCAGGAGGGTATAGCTGCAAATCACAGCCTACATCACAGAATAACTGAATCCAGTGCATCATTGTTTGTTCCCTTGATTTAGCATTTTTATTTGGAGAAATATACCTGGTGGATCTCAGTCATTAGAACTAAGTGTGGTTGGAATCAGATGGTCGTGTTGCCACGTAGAACTTCTCCAGTTAAGCATCTCACATTTCTTCCAGACCCCATAATGAGTACCCAGCCTCACGTTTTTCAGGCAGTGCAGAAACTTTGGGATGTGCTCACTGCCAAGGACACAGCCACTATCTACTGTTTCCTTTGACTCCAAAGCAATCCACTAGGCTGATTTTTGCTTTGTACCAGATCAGTTCCACTTTGAATCTTAACTGGAGCAGTCAGAAGGTGTGTGTGTATCTATAAATATAGGGTTCTGTCAGCTTAGTCCAATTTGGTTGAGAGAGGGGAGAGAGAGAGAGACAGACAGACAGAGAGAGAAAGAGAGAGATGGTGCTAAATAAATGGTATTCAGTTCTAAATGAAGCCTCTCAATTAGTATTAAACATTTTTTTAAACAATCAAGATATTAAAGCTAGAAAGGAGTTAATGAGCCTATAGAGAAAGTAACTTCTAAAGATCATTGTGCTTGGGACGGTAATTGCTTTATGACATTTTGATGTCATTACAACATAAAATTAGGAGGGCAAAATGTTTCAAGAGTGTTTCTTCAGATACCCTGTTAGGAAGCT
This sequence comes from Homo sapiens, assembly GCF_000001405.40. NCBI lineage: Eukaryota > Metazoa > Chordata > Mammalia > Primates > Hominidae > Homo > Homo sapiens. The sequence goes on along the minus strand of NC_000018.10, from coordinate 24,948,393 downwards.
ATTAAAAGGCAAGAGTATGCTGGCAAAATGATTTCAGTGTGTGCCTTTGGATACCTGCTTAGCAAAACATCATGAACTGAAGCTACAATGCAAAATGATTCCAATGTGTGTTTTTCAGAAAACACCCATTCCACTGCTGTTATGTCCGAATTGTAGTGGATGATTAAACTTGAAAGCAAGAACGAACGTAAGGGAAAAAAATCAGTGGAGATTAGTCTCAATTATGATGTCAGAGTGAAATGAGACAATCATAAGCATCAGGATTGAACCTCAAACCCTCCCTGAACCAAGCACTGTCTGAGCAATGACGTTCATGAGATGCTGAGACTTTCCAGTTTTTCTCATTATGGTAAAAATGACATCTTTCACTGAAGGACCAAAACAGTTTTATGTATTAAGAGGTTGCAAAACAATATGGTTTGTGGTAAGGAGGTCAATTTGCAGCTGAAATTCTAAATCTGCATAAATGCAAGAAAAATCCTTTTTCTCTAGAAAACTGGAATATTGAAATACTCTTCTGCTATTGCACCCAGAAATTAATTATAAATGATAATTACAATGGAGGCTGCCTTTTTAAAAAATTCTCTGAAACATATCCAAGAATCACAACCGGGTGCGCACCAATATCCTAAGTCTCTTACACAATCTCTCCTTTCTCCCCCAGATGTTGCCTCCTGCTGTGCAATCTTCACATCCAAAGAGGCACTAAGAAGCAAAACATCTGGGATGCTCTATTATAGAAGTTAGTGCTTAGAGGAAAAGAGGGTTAAAATAACTAATGTCTCTTTCTGTCAGTCCATGAAGCCAATTTTACTTTTCCGATGTTTGCCAGTAAGCACAATGTTCTGTAAATGCGACATATTTTAAAAGTCTCCTGGCCTGTATCTTTCATGCTTATCAATGGGTTCATTGGAACTCACAGTTATGTTTTGTTTTGTGTGTGATGTTTATCTGTTTGCATGTGCAGATATGTATGTGTGTGTTTCTGTGCATATATGCTGTGCTGGTGGCAGTAAATATACTTGTAATGGTAAGAGAATGTGAAACTCAATTAGCCTGTTCTCAGAAATAAAGAAATAAGAAATTGGTTGAGATTAATATCTCCCATCACAAACACAGTGGGAAAGTTGGTTCTCATCGCTCCTGACAGCAGAGTGCCAATGGAACCATTAGGCACCATGCCACCTCTCTTCTCATGGTACCACATATAATTATGTGATGAGGTGTGGAGTCTACATTTTCAAACAAAAGAGAGATGGCCTCTGGATAGATTTAGCAAGACCATGGTCTTTCTACGTAAAAGACGCTGCGGACAAGGACACCTGAATATATTTTCTGTCTTGTATCCCAACATCCTTGCTTTTACCCAATTCTGTTTCATGTTAGAATAAAATAATTGTGGTTTTAGATTAGTTGAACATGAATCAGAGTAAAGAAAGAGACAGGGCCCTATTCAGTTTCAATTCAGTTACAGAATTTGGTATATCTCTTAGTTTTAGGCCTACTGATAGCTGCTTAGAGAGTCACTTCTGTTCGGGCAAAAAATGCCCCTGTCAGAATGTATTTATGAGGTTACTCTGACTGCATAAACCCCTTCAACTTTGCTCAATGATGCTATCAAAGCTCTCAACGGAGTTTGAGTTTTAATTATTTACTATTTATGTATTTTGTAAACTCCTCAGAGAAAGTGATGCTATAACAGCTCAGTATTATTATTAACGTTATTATATGCATATGCACTGCCACTTATTTTTGAAGAGTAAATATTTGTGCTAATTATATCAGTGTCATCCACTGTGCTAATTATATCAATATCAACATGTTGATATTAATATAATTAATTAGCACAAAGATTTACTCTTCAAAAATACATGGCAGCGTCTCTGATTCATTTGCCGTGAGGGGAGCATGAGGGGAGCACGGTTCTGCAGCACTGTATTTAGGCTCTGATATGCAATCAGCTTTAATAATTACCTAATACTGTAGGTGGCCTTAGACAAGTAAAATGGTTTTTTCCAGGTTTCCTGGGAATTGGATGCTGAGATGAAAAGCATATGAGTAGCTTTCTTCCAGCATTCTTCTTGGTGATTAACCAACTATCCAAGTACAAAGTTGCTCCTAATTAACCCTGAGGACCCCAATATAAAGGTAGGTGGAATGAATTAAAGTGTTTAAAAAAGAGAAAAAATAATTCTTCTGAATTAACTGTTATCGTTAAACAATATCTGGCTTGTTATATTTTAATTAAAAAAAAAACTACCCAGCAATAAGAATCAGAAAGGGGATGTAAAAAACATCTGAGTCATGAACAACGAGAGCAGTGAGCAGAATTTAATTTGTGGCTACTCATTATGTAATAAGCTCCTGGTAATTGTATTAATGACAATGACATTATGATAATAGTTTACGTTTATTGATTTCACTCTAAAACAGACATAGTGCTAAGTGTTTTTTATGTACTATTTTATCTAACACTCACAACTCTCTGAAGCACACTTACTATGATTGTTTCATAGATGAGAAAACTGAGGCACAAGAAGAGTAACATCTGCTCCAGCCGCACGGCTGATGCATGAGAGGGCCTAGTCTACACCCAGGTCTTAGCCTCACCATGCTCTGAGGCCTTCCCAATGGATGTGTCCAAGGTACACAAGAAGAGGTGGCCCAGGAACACTTGAGAGATGGTCCTATCCACTTACTTTATTAGGGTAGAATAGGAAAGGTGCCTTGAACATACTTCATCCCAAGAAACTGTACTGGGGCTGCCTAGAAAGAAGCGTCAAACTCAACAATGTCTTGACCAGGAAGTTAGCAGAAGGAAGGCTTAAGTACAGCTGATGCGATTTCTCCCAGATTCATAAGCTGATACCTGGAAAGCAGTACTTTTTTGAAACAGGTATCAGGAGGTAATGAAAATGGCAAAGCTCCAAAATTTTATTCACAAAGTATTGGTGATATGTCAATACAGAAAAAGAGATTTCTTGAGTCCAGTCTTTGAGATACCATAGTTCTGACACAAATGGGAAAACTGAACCTCAGAATCTGGTAACAGGCCAAGGCTGAATGTCCCCAGAGGAGCAAATAAAAGCAGTTGGAGCTTGGGGCCGCCACTTGCATGTTCTTTCTGCCATACCACTTGGCCTCTTCTTGCTCTCCTCTGCGGGGTTAGTCCGATGGCATGAAAGTCTCCCCAAATTTATGAGTAAACTTCAGATATGCTCTTATGTTCTTGAATCAAATAATTAAAAGAAATAAATTAGCCTGGGCAACATAGCGAGACCCTGTCTCTACAAGAAAATAAAAGCTGGGCATGGTGGCATGTGTCTGTAGTCCCAGCTACTTAGGAGGCTGAGGCAGGAGGAATGCTTGCCCCTGGGAGGTTGAGGCTGCAGTGAGCCGTGATTGCATTGCTGCACTCCAGCTGGGGCAACAGAGTGAGACCCTGTCTCAAAAAAAAAATTAAATTTAATTTAAAAAAAAAAGAAAGAAATTACGAATTCCATTTAAAAGCAAGACTCATTACTCTCACCATTTATTCATCTCTTTGGCCTCGTTTTCTAAGTCTTTGAATGGTCCATCTGCTACCTTAGAAATCTCCCTAAGTGGGGGAAAAAAAAGAAAAAGAAATACACTAATACACATGGTTCATGTAAACAGGTCCCTACCTTTGTTCTGGATGCCACTTTTTGCTTTTCCTCATTTTTGAGTATTGCCTATTGTCATTTCAGCTAACTTTGATGAGTGTTGGATAGATAGCAGAGACACACAGAGGCAGGAGAGAGAAAGACAGGGAGAGAAAGGCCATTGAGGAGCAGCTTTCAGCTTCTACAGAGTTTCTCATCCAGGAGCGCTGTTCTGCTTTTTGAGAATTTCTTGTTCACGTCCCCTTTCACTGTTTTCCCAGGCTAGTAGTAAAGTCTTGGTGCTTGATGCCTTTAAATGTGGGTAATGAACCTTCTCTAGACATTTAATGACTTCTACCTCACCATGACACAGTTCTTTTCTTCTCACATGGCCCAGTCTCAGAGTGGCCTTAGTTTTCTCTTCTCAGTTCCTGGCACTTGACATTTCATATTGGTAGTGTCCTCTCTCCCACCGTTCCCTCCTCCTTCTGCCTAAAGCCTTCTTTGTCACCCTGTCCAGTGTGTGGCATTAGAGAGCACCCCTACCAGGCCTGCCCTGGCCTCTCCACCTCCCTCAACCCCCTTCTCATTTTTCTCTACTTCCTTATGTATGCCTTCCTATGTTTAGAGGACACTGCCTTCAAAGGGTGCTCGTAAGTATTATAACACATTTAATATGTGTTTTTATTTCTTTCCCCATGGAGTTAACAGCATTCGTGGTCATCGTCCGAGTCCACACTTAAAAGTGCTTTTCATCTTCAAAGAGCTCCAGAACTAGGTGAGGCTCTGGAGGTGGGCCTGACTACCAGGCTCCTCTGGTCAGGCAGCTAAATGCATTAATTAAGCATCATGTGCTTTGTTTCAGGAGAGGGTCACTGACAGATTTATCACTTCCTTTGATTCACTTTCACCAGTTTTTCCTTCTTTTTTCTTCAAAAGCTATAGTCTGCGATGGACCTTTTTCGGGGGGGGTGGGGCAGGGTACTTCAAAGACATACATTCTTCTGGTGGAATATACTGTTTCATGCCTCAGACTCCTACGACGCCCTTTGCTTCAGTCCTATAGGGAAGCCATTCAGAGCCTTCATGAACCCAACATTGGCGTTTTCTTTTCACATCTTTCTTGTCCCTGAATTTCTCTGGAACAAATTCAGCTCTTCCCCTGCCCTGTTTCTGTAGAAACTCTCACTTACACTTTTCCTCCTTCTGTTTATCCCAGTTTCAAGCCTTCTCCTCCTTCTTGCAGCAGGTTCTGGACTTCTGATTGGAATCTTGGATTCAAGAAAATATCCTTTAGAAGGCAACACCAAGCGCCCTTTGACCTTCAGTGGCTTGGCACCACCAACCACTTCCTCATCATGTATCTTCTGTCTCTGCCTTGTGTAGAGAATGGTCCTCTCCCTCCCTTCCTTGCCTCTTCTCTTTTCTTTTTTTCTTTTTCTTCTCCTTCTCTGCATTTTTCCTTCCTCTTTCTTTTCCTCCCTTTCTCTGCTTTTTCTTCCCTTGCCTTCCTCCTTTCCTTCCAAAGGTGGGGTTCTTTCAAGTTAAGTAAGTTTTTTCACAGCCAGAAAATGGTCAGACCAGGATTTGAACACCAAACAGAGAGACTCAAAGGCCTTTCCTTTTCTAATTTTGAAAGGAACTGATACATTAATTATGACATGAATCACTGATAAACAATTGAACATGATACATATTCCCAGAGAAAATCACAGCACCTTTCTAGGCCTCATTTTCCTCGTAGGTAAAGCAGAAGGGGTTAGTTCAAGCTAATAGGAACTTCCAGTTTCATTCAAACCTATAGGCATCATAATTAAATGTGAGCCTCAGTGTCTTCATTTTAGTACAAGGATATAAACTGCCTCCTAAGTTTTGAGTGATAATTAAATTAGAGAATGTACATAAGACCCTGCATGGTTTATTCAAACATAACAAGAATAGGATAAGAGGTAGTTGCCATTAAGTACTGTGAAACTTAAAGCTAAGCACTGTGCTAGGTACTTAAACCTTCAACACTTCATTTAGACTAGCAAGAGAGAAGGGGCTACTCACAGCTTTATTTATATTCTAATAACTAATATCTCTTAACCCCCTAAAATATTCTTATAACATGCCTTGTAGCATAAGTAACTGAAGGCAAAGAGGATATTTTGGGGCCAGAATCTTCCCATGCCTCACAAATAATGCTTATAGATAGTTACCAAAGGGACCCTGCTCATAATATCCTTTACTGGAAAAACATCCAAGGTTGGAGCATTTCCACAAATAGGACCAGGAAAATTCCCATGGTGCCGAGGCACTTGTTTCCAGGGGGTTAGTGGGTCAACTGCGGCTCCCTATTCCCAGTGGAAAAGTGCAAGTTATCCCACAGGCCACAGGGCCAAAGGAGAGTTGATGTGGTGTGTGGGAAAGAACACAGGGTTGGATGGGGAGACCTGGATTCTCTTCCCCGGCCCCGCCCCAGCCTGGTGGGATCCTGGGTAAATCATTCCACCTGCCTGGAGAGATGAGTCATTCACAGTCTCATTGTGCACCAGAATCACCTGGGAAATTACAAATAAATACCAATGCCTGGGCTTCTCCCCAGAGTTTCTGATTCAATTACTCTCAAGTGGGGCATCAGCATTTTTCAGAAGCGTACCAGGTGATTCTAACATGCAGCCAGAGTGGAAATCATTTGGTTACACAATAGTTCCATCCTCTTCTAGGTTAGTCTGTTATTCTGTACATAGGCTTGAACACTAAACCTGGGCCGAGATGCTCTGTTGTAATGGAATGTTCTTTTTCATAAACCACTTGCCATCTTTTCTTTTTTGGTGGAAGAATGGTATTGATTTGTGCATCTGACAAATCACTATCATGTGCCTACTATGTGCAAGGTGCTTGGAGATGCCAGCCAACAGCTTGATGCATGCAGGCACAATTGCCTCGAAGAGCAAAAGTCTCTCCTCATCAAATTCCCTTTATCCTCTGGGAGATGGTCAGAAGCTCAGAGCACTTTTCCATCTGGAAAAGTCACTGGGGAGATCGCCTTTGCTGCTGTAGCAGATGAGGAACTTGGCTGACCTCCCTCTCTACTGATAAATGCCCAGAGACTGGGTGAGAACCATCTTTCTTTGCATCCCCCGGCTTTACGCTTTCCATTCCCAGTCACCCCACATTTCCAGAGGTGATGGGAGCCACAATCAGAGAACCAAGGCAAAGTTAGGCTTGGTTTTGGGGTTGACTCCAGAGAGAGGAAAATCCACTCTTAGGTACTCAAAAGATTTGCATCTGAAGAAGAGATAATGTGGTATTTTTCAGAGATGTTTAAACTAAACTAATTCCTCCTAAATCCAAATATTTATTCATAGCCCATCTCTTTCCAGAAAAGATTTAAGGCAAAGGATCAAAATTTGGCTAGACACCAAAGTAGATCTCCTCTAGCGGAAGCCAGGCTGATGAGCAGTCCTCATATCTTTCTAGAATGGCAGCCCTCCTGTTTCCATCTGTTAAATGTCTGTGTACCTTTCCAGACTCTGCTTATGGTGCTAATTTTCCCTCATCTTTCCATCTTCACATAGCCGGGCATTATTGAGGACTGTTGAACATTGTGGAGGGAGAACTACTTACATTCTGGGAACCAGAAATAGGAGGGTGTGATAAAATAAAAAACACAAACAACTTAAGACACGAAATCAATGAATGGGGGCTGGGGGTGGCCTCAGAAAACCTTCTAGTCCTTGTACCTCAGGGAAAACAGGCCCTCTTTGGTAAACCAAGTTTCATGGATAGTAAGACATTTCAAACAGTATTTTCACCCGAAAGCAAACACAGATATATTACTAAGTAAAATGTAGAAGCCACACAAATTATTAAGACAGACAAATTCCAATATATTGAGTGCATTTCTCACTTGCACAAGGTCACTTATTGCCACATCTCCAAGCTTCTACTCTAAACATCATCCATTCCACTCTCCTACGAGGGGCACTTTGGTGAACTATGGAGAGCAATGGACAAATCAAATGACTTTATTTTACAAATGAGGAGTCTGAAATCTGGAGAAGTTTTGTGAGTTGCTCAAACACACGTGGCTAGTCAGTAGCAAAGCTAGGGCTAGGATGTGCATCTTCGTCTCATACCCTCATGCTCTGCTGGTGCATAGGGGAATATCACTGGGGAAAGCCTAGGGGAAAATATTTTTCACTCTCACCTTGAATGGGAGTGTTGAAATTGCAGTCAGGAAGCGTGCACTTGAGCCCGGCTCTGTTACCTACAAGTTCTGTGGTGCTGAGCTTGCTCTTACCCTTGCAGGCCTCTGTTCTGGCCCTGGCACCAACAGGTGAAGACGTACAGGATCTATCTCTAAGGCCCCTTCTTGCATGGTCACTCTAGTGCTCAGCATTTTCCTGGGTTTAATTGCCTCCCATGGTATCACTTCTAAAAGTGACCGGTCTGGTGCTGATTTGAATAACAAAGTCAATACTGATTTGACTTCCCTGTGGCTGGCAAAGTGTGGGAGATTCTAGCATCATCAACCCTTCCATGCATGTTGGTCTTATTTCACTCGCTGAATCAATCACTCCCGAGAGCAAAATCCATGGCGTGTACTCTTTTTCATCCCCGATTGGAGTAATGGATATTTGTTCCACAAACCAATTCTTGGCCTTGCTGACCCTCTAGGGGACATACAATGAGGAGCCACAAGGAGTGCCCGTTTATCCATTCAGTTGTGAATACAGAAGTATTTCAATCCTGGTACACCGAAATCACTTTGGCTTCAGGTTGAGGACTAAGTTATTTGGAGGCATTTATCTGGAAAAGAATGAGGGAGATGGCTAAAACTTAAGACATTTTAAGAAAAGGATGCTTTATATTTGAAAGGCTAGGCCATTTTTAGGAAAACACCCCCAAAATATTATATTTTCCATGCTAAGTAATGCCAAATTCTGTGCTTTTGTGTGTGTGTGTACATATATATATATATATATATATATGTACACACACACACTACATATAAACATATGTAATTTTATATATTAAATTTATTATATATTATATTATATATTCTGTTTGGTGTTATATATTATATATAATTATATATTTCTAAGTAATATATATTACTTAGAAATTTATATGTGTATAAATTTACATGTATATAAATTTACATGCACATAAATTTACATGTATATAAATTTACATGTATATAAATTTATATGTATATAAATTTACATGTATATAAATTTATATGTATATAAATTTACATGTATATAAATTTATATGTATATAAATTTACATGTATATAAATTTATATGTATATAAATTTACATGTATATAAATTTATATGTATATAAATTTACATGTATATAAATTTATATGTATATAAATTTACATGTATATAAATTTATATGTATATAAATTTACATGTATATAAATTTACATGTATATAAATTTACATGTATATAAATTTACATGTATATAAATTTATATGTATATAAATTTACATGTATATAAATTTATATGTATATAAATTTCTAATATATTGTATATACTCTATACCTATATATTATAATGTATATACTCTATACTATATATTATAATGTATATGCTGTACACCTATATATTATAATGTATATGCTGTACACCTATATATTATAATGTATATGCTGTACACCTATATATTATAATGTATATGCTATATATTATAATGTATATACTATATATTATAATGTATATACTATATACCTATATATTAGAAGTATATATAGTACTATATAGGTATATATAGACACATATATAGTACTATATAGGTATATATATACATAGACACACCTATATAGTACTTAGAAATATATATACTTCTTAGAAAAAGAAAGTGCCATCTCCACCCACATTATTAAAATTATATATATAAATTTCTAATATAAATTTATATAGAGAAATATATATTACTTAGAAATATATGTATATATATTACTTAGAAATATATGTATATATATATTACTTAGAAATATATGTGTATATATATATTACTTAGAAATATATGTATACATATATTTCTTAGAAAAAGTGCCATCTCCACCCATAAGCAAATAAGTAATGTCTTCCATTGAATTTTTCTAAAGTCCCAGGAAAATTCTTTGAAAAAAACTTAAAATAATCAATAAAGAAAAAGCTCTGCTCCTGTTGTAAATCTGATCCAAGTCTTGTTATAATGTTTTCCCACTGACGTTGTTCTGCAGAGATCCTTCCTATAAGCCTCAGTTGCTTTTTTTTCCTTCCCTTTTTGGTGGATCAGGAATAAAATTGTTCATCTGGCATTTGGCACAGTCTTCCTACGAAAGATCGAAGGAGGAAGGGGCATGCTAAATGTATTCCTTTCAAGCAGTAGAAATGCTTCACTTTGTATTTCTGCTCTTTTACCTCAAGGCCACTGGCACGGAGGGTCCAATTGGAAGCAGCAGCTTTCAGTGTGGGAGGAAGTGCATCTCATGCCGCTGTGAACCCCTCCTCTCTCAACCTTAGATTTTGAGCTCATTGCATGCAGCAATGTGTGATGTCTCCAAATCTTTTCACTTGGCCAGGCCAGTCCTGAACTGATCTCACCATCTTTTGAGTTGAGAAGAAAAGACCTCCATGGTTTCCTGATACTGTGCCCTCTGGAACTCTCAAGCTCCTCTGTGTCCTGACAGAATGTTCTCTGACTGCAGAAAGTGCCTATTTAGCCTCTTCTCTCTGTATGTCTGCAGAGGTTTGGCCCATTCTTTACCTCCTGAGCACAAGCTTTGCATTCAGGAAAGAAATGAACCACTCTCCAGACAAGGACAGGCTTAGCATGATAACTGTCCCCGAAGGGTCAGAAAACACAGCCAGGGTAAAGAACTGCTAAGGAAACACCATTGCAAGGGAGGAAAGGGCACCCGCTTTCACGATGTGCAAACCTTCTTGGCTGAGTCAGCTGACAGGGCTTTTGGCCAATGCCAGATGAAGGGGAGTTTTATAACAGTGACTCCTGGCAACTACAAAACAGGCTGAGCTTGTCAGTTCACTGCACTGACACTAAACTTCAGGCAAGAGAATCATAGCTTTGGGTCTTTATGGCTGCCTCGCCAATACCGTTGATGGAGAAGGAGGCCCCCATAACATGGAGCAGCAGGTCGGCTAATCGATGGTGTACATCATCCCCAAATCATTTCCGTTCAGTGTTGGAGTGCCCGGCCACAATTTCAGTGGAACATGTCAGGATTCTGGAGGTCCACTCTGTTTTAGACTAAATAACAAAGTCGGGTTTTGAATAACTTCAGGAGAGTCTAGCGTGCTGGTCACACTTCTGATCCTGGTCTCTGTTCAAATCAGCCCCTTGCGGGCTTCCAGGACAGAGTCAGCAGCCTCAGAGCATGCACCTGGTGCCCTCTCTCTGACGGGTTCGTGGCTCCCTGAGGCATGGAGCCTATTAGGAATCTTAGCTTAAAAGTTCTCCTTTCCAGCCTCCTTCTGAGTCAGGTTAACAAGGGTTTCATTAACCTCAGCAAATGGGTTAATTAAATTTGGTTAATTAGATTTGGTTTAAAAAATGGGTAAATTAAACTGATTTTCCCAGAAGCTGTTCCTTCATACCAGATCTTGGAATTTAGAAGCCACTATCTGTGAGCCTCCATCAAGGTACAAAATGGGGTTTCCACCAAAGCGGACATGGGTCCTAAATGTGACTCCATCAATTTGCCAAGTGGGTACTTGAGGAGTAATGGGTCAAAATGACCTAACAGTCTCTGGGCCTATATGCATTGCTTTCTGGGCAGCCCTTGGAAAATGTACCCTTATATGTATTTTATCATGTCACTTGCAGGACTGTTTATCTGAAATAAGAACCTGTTTCAAAACAGGGCTGCTCCCAAATGTTACCTTAGCCACTGGCTCACACCATTGCTCAGCAAGAGGCTTGCTTACCCCCAGACCTGCCCAACCTTCTCAGAACAGGCTGCTGCAGCTCCTGCGTGCCAAGTTGAAGCTCACGTTTTAAGCCACACTAATTGGAAGTGAACATCTTATAAATAATCCATGCTCACAATCTTTGACGTGCATATACATTCAGCAAATCAAACCCAACAGATTAAATTCAGAGTGGCTCAACAGGAAGGCCAGTGGTATCTGTGACCTTTCAGTGCCCAGACAAAGGGGTGCAGATATACACTGGGACAGTATTCTCTTTGCCTTCTTCAATGATATTTCCTGTCCTGGGTGGTTGTATTCTAATAGGATTTGTAGAATTCAGGTGGTTTCTTTCTCTCTCTACCTCCCTCCTTCGCTCCCTTCCGTCCTTCCTTCCTGCAATCCTTCCTTCCTGCCTTCTTGTTTCCTGTCTCTTTATTTATCTGGAAAAAGTGAACAGGATGATAAAAACAGAACTTGCCTTTTATGTGCTGGGGGGCAGGGGTGCAAGGCAGGTCTGAGTAATTGGAACAAATCAACTTAAGTGAAAATTTCTGAAGCTGTATTTCATTTGAGTGTTTGACATTTTCAGAAGAAAGCTGTTATTATGTTGCTTGGAAAAATAATTGGTGGTTTGGAGCCACACAGATGTACAGTACCCCCTGAAAATAGATGCATTTTCTGAGAGTGATAGGAAACGTGGTGATTCTTAGGACCCATTCCCCAAATTCCTTTTATACTTACTATGTCTCTTGCATCTGTTCTTTCCAAGCCACAGGAGCTTAGCACAGTTCTGCAGTGCTGTTCAGGGAGTGGGGTGGAGGAGCTGGAGCTGAATTTTCCATATTCATGCCCTCAAATAGACCCTCAGAGGTCCCCTGTGGGAGGGAAAGAGAAACTCAAGCCCAGTACAATAACATACACTTCTGGGGTCTCCATGCTCCTCAAATCTATTTTTAAAAGCATGCTTTAGTAAATTATATATAACATATAACACATCATGAATGTATGTGTACAAAATGATGAAGTGGAATCACTTCGGGTTGCGAATGTCATTCAGTTTTTTTCCTCATCTAAGTTCACATCCAGGGTGAGCTACATAATCTCACTTTAAGAGAGTGCCATCCTCCAATGTCTGGATTACTGCTGCCTGTCTCCCCATGGGCATTTATGCAGAACCATGGCATGGGCTGGTGGGTGCACTGGAGGCCACCAGATTAGTTTAACAAATGTTTCATCTGCATTCCTTGGCATTGAGGAGACCTGGACATGCAGAAACCACCTTTGTCAACCTGTTCTACCTCAACCATATCATCACCATGAATCCATGGGTTCAATTTCTCCACTCATAGTCTTGAGGGTGAGGAATGTGTGGGACAGGTTGAAATTGAATTTTCCAAAGCCACGCTGGAGTTCATAGCAAAACAACTTGGAAGGTGTTAGATGTGATGCCTGCCTCTCCAGCATCCCATAGGAAAGAAAGTGACTGTCTCTCCTAGGTCACTGCATTTATTGCATCTTCCTGAAGGTCTGGCAGCTTCAGGAAGCAGGATCTGCCTTTGCACATGGCTACCACTCCAATAAGAGCTTTTGGTTATTTGAGAGCAGCTATATCGAATGGCGTTACAGGGGTTCATTCATCCAATTCTCCTTGGCCAGCCCACAGCAGCAACCCAACTCCATAGTGACTCATCCGAGCCAGGGGAACAGAAATAAGGGAGTCAAGTGAGATTTTTCGTGCTTGGACATTTGTGAGGAACTGATGGAAAAGGCTTCCCAAAACTGAAGTCTTTCAGGACTAGTTGGTGAGTCCTGGAAGAATCTTTAAACCCCCTCAAAACCTAAAACCTCCTAAGCAGAGTCCAGACTGAAAAATCAGCCTCAACTGATAGAAATACTGGAGAGGAAGAGGGCATCTCTGTCATCCCTTCTTGAACAAATTAGTTCAAGGAAGATGAAGAAAAGGGCTGCAAAGTAGAGGAGGAACCTGGCCAGAGTGATGATGGGTTCACCCACAGTGTGCCGAGTGGCAGCACCATTCCTGGTGCATACAGCCTTTCGCTATTGGAACAGCCAGAAACCACACAGGTTATGCTTAACTAACCACGAGGCACAGAAATAAATCAGACAAACCAAGCAGGCAGTAATGCTGAACTCAACAAGGCTATTGACATTTGTCTGCAAGCCTCTAGATAACAAAATACTATAAGGCGAGATCATGAAGTAAAAGAAAATGTATGCATTTTGAAACCAAATTAAATACTCTGGCTAAGTTCCAGAGCATTTTCTTAAATTCCTCTTTTTTGAAGGAGAGAGGACTAAATTTCATTAGCTAAAATCTTTTAAAGCGTCATTTAAATTCAGCTTTTGGAAATGAAGACTTTGCCTTTTAACGACCAATCTGCATTTCATCACAAAGATGGAACATGACATCCTTGGCTTGGTTATTCTCCTGAGGAGTAGGCCCCTGTTTGTATAGCACACTTAGAATAGAGACAAAGACTACAACAAATTTATCTCTGGCACAAGGGAGTGGATTCATATAAATGCAGCGAGGTAGATTCTACTCCAAGTGGTTCAAATACCCTTTAGCAAAATTTTTGAAGTAATCCCATTGTTCTATTGTTTTCTATTACAATTTTAAAAATAGGACAAGTCACAAATATAAGAAATATTTTAGAGTGACTGAAAAAATTTATTAACAGTTTTGACAATGTAGGCCCAGTAGGTCAGAAGTATTGTGTTAGGAGCAGATAGGTCAGAGGCAAGTTCAAATGCTTACACGATGAGCAATGAGAAAGAATTTGGTACTGCATGTGGCTATAAATTCAGAACACAGCACCTTTAACACTAGAATAAAATATTTTATGCTAGTATAAATAAGATTTACAAATACTGTATCATAAATTATGGTAAATAATAAATAATAAATTAGTATAAGTAATATAAATAAAGAATATTATATAACAAATGTATACTATTGTATAACAAATTTGTATAAGAAATTGATAATTGAGAATTTATTATAAATTATTATAAACAATTTATTGTAAGTTTATTATAAATATTACTAATTTATAACAAATAAATTAGAAAATAGTAATTTACTAATTTATTATAAAATTATAAACTAGGATTTACTAACGTATTTATTATTTCAATATAATTAAGTAATATTTATGGCCTAATTTTGATATGCATTTTTTTTCAAGTTGCAAATGAAAGAAGTCCTGCTACTCTAAAGAATAACTAAACCAGACTGGAGTCACTGAAACTGATGGAAGAACATCTCAGGCATGAGTGCCATGGTGACGTCATCAGCTCCGTTCACAACCACTCACCATGAGGCCATTGCTCCTGTGGAGGACACTGGCTTAGGACTCATGAAGTAGTACCTCAGGAAGGTGTCTCTGTAAGTGTTCCTTCCACCAGCTCCAAGACACAATGAGATGGAGAGAACTGGAACAATTCCCTATGATTGCAGCTGGATATTTTCACATGAACTATCTAGTAATGAAGGCAATGGCATGTGGTGTGGCAAAGACTGGCCCCAGATTACATTTCCAGTCCTTTTGTACTGAGGAGGGGCTTTGGGACCAAGACAGTAGGAGTGAGGGTACAGGTTCCACATTCTATTTCTCTCTTAGTTTTCTGTGGTTATCTTGGTGACTGCATGGTAAAGATGGAGGTGACAAAAGATGGAAGGAGCCTGGATCCCTGAATGACTTCATGGTGCAGAGCCTTACACTACCCCCAACTCATACTAAAACAGGGGTGGGAGGAACAATAGACCATTATTCTGTTAAGGTGCTGAAATTGTAGAGCTGTTAATTTGAACAGTTAGAGTTTCTTATACTGATACAGTATCCTTACCCTGGATTGTTGAAATAATTAGTCCAAATAGTTTCTTTGCCTAAAACTGTGGACAGAGCCTAAGCAATATTGAATCCAAGACAAGGTATATTTATCATCAAATGCTACTCACTATACAATACAGATGAATGTGGCACTTACTTCCCGTGTTGTTACCCAGCCTGCTTCTAGTATTCTTTACACAAAATAACATTCATGAGCAACCTGGGCACAAGAGGTCTCTGTCAAAATAAGTCTTTGATTTCTCTCCAGATAAACTCGTGTGTGTGTGTGTGTGTGTGTGTGTGTGTGTGCATGTCCATTTTATATTTGGTTTTAGTTACAATTCAAGGAGTCTTTCCTTTTAGACAATGGTCCATACATTCATGGAAGGCAGAACTAATCAGAGAACCTGGTTCAAAAGTTTTAGGGGATTCTTTGAGAAATGTTTCCCAGAATTTAAACTTGGGACTTGACTATAAGTATTAGTGTACAAAATCACAGAGGATATCAAAGCAAGATTCTTCCTGTTCTCCCAGAAAAAAAAATATATTCTTGGAAAATTATTTTCCTAGACTGTCAAGCTCAGAGATGGACAGTTGGCCAATGAAGGCCTCATCTACAGCAAGAATGAAGAATCTGAGCCTCAGCAGTGAAAACACTGCCTACTACTTCACTACCACCCTTTGGACTAAAACCAGAACAAACTTGCATTTAAACCATTAAAAATGCCACACACATTAAATTCTGTGCCTGGGCCAGGCAGCTCCCAAGGCAGATGGTGTGTAGTGTTGGAAAACTTGGTATTATTTAAATGAAACAAGCATTCCATTGCTCTCGATCACACTGAACAATGAAGATTTCACACCCAGCGATTCTATCATCAGTGGAGCTCTCTCTGTCTCCATTTGCAGCATTGGACAGATAAATAAATATTCTTTAGATCAAGTTAACTGCCTGATGTTTCTTAGAGAGACAGAAACTCTAATGATCAAGTTGATGTAGCAGTGGGTCATTATCATCTTCCTCTGAGACCCACTGTTTGAGGGAGAAGTGTGCAGTATGCTGCAATATGACTTTAAGAAAGTATTAACATGCCTAAGATGACTTGAAATTGCCAGTCTTCTGGGCTGTTGTGGGGGACATTGGAAGGAATCAATGAACATTTCCAGGAGATTACAGAGATCACAGGGGAAATTGTTTAGTTAGAACTGTGTACACAAAGCTGACTTTAGACACCTGCAAAAATCAGAATCATTGAAAAAAAAGAGAGAGAGAGAAAGGAAAAGATAAAAGAAAGCCAAGATGCTGTGTCCCATTCCAAGTAATACTGCTCTCCCCTTCCAATGCTTCCATACCATTCTCCAAACCTGAAGCTCCCTGGAGCCAGGTTCCATCACTAATGGGGCATCTCAGTTCCGACTAGATCATACTGGGTTGCCTGATTTGCTGGAGAACCTCAGTGAGGAGCTGCAAGTGACTTGGTTTCTGTGCTTAAGAAACAGCAGACTACAAGGCAAAGAGCATGGCAGAAGGGATCAACTCAGCTTTTGTCTCTAAAACCATCCCCATGTCTTTTGGGGATAAAGCCTGACTTTTATTCCTCCCTTGATAATCTGTCCTTTACCTCTTGGGATTTGGCATTAAGCCACTCCATAGCTTTGCTAATTCTTGGGAGGAAGGCATTTATCAGGACAAAAGAGGAACCTGCACTCTCAAAGGCTTACAGGGGCAGTCATCACGTTTGTTTGCTATCTACTCTGAAAACAATGACGTCTGGATCGCATGGGCAGAAGTCACAGGGGCCTACAAGAACCAGGCTGTGACAGCCGGGAAGCTAATGTGTGTTACCACGGAATCCACCAAGGGGAAAAACTTTGAAACATTTTAAAAATGCAGGTGCACAAATTACTCATGCCAGGAGCGGCAGTGGCACTTTGTAATAAAATCTTATGTTTATTTTCCACTGTTGAATACACATACCTTAGTGTTCCCAGAGAGGGAAGCCTACAATGCTATCCAATGAATAGTTTGCAGATGGATTAAATACATGTACCAATGAAATAAAACGTGCAGATTTGGGGCTTTTTGCCTCCTACCTTTGCTCTGGGCCCAGAGCTCCCCGATGATGACACGGGAGGTTTGTGCAAAGATCTGAAGTCAAGAAGGATTAGTTTAAAGAGTCAGATGAAAAAGGACACAAATGAAAATGCTTCTGCATGAGCCTGAAAACCAACACTTAGCAATGAGTGATTCTGACTTTGGGGCCTGTAACAAATAATAGCAAATGAGGGAAGTTTCCAGTGGCTTCACAGCAGGAGGGCAATGGCCAGGGAACCACTGTGAAACAGATCAGTCAACGGGACTTCCTGGTTCTTGAGGAAGCTTTGAAGGCAGGGAGTGTGGCATACATGTAAGGGTCTTTGTTGCTAATATTTTTTTTTGAGGCATATACTTTGCAGGGGCAAATCTTCAAGTTGCCACTTCCTGAGAACTCCCTCATTTTAGTGAATATATATTTCAAGCCCAGTAGTTGAATAGCACTATTATTGGCACTGTGCAGGAACACCAAAATGTGCAAGACAGGGACTTGAACTCACTGGAGTAATGATCTAGTGGCATTCACAAACCACATCGTGTGCAGCAGAATTCTATGAGATATTCAGACAATAAAGTGCATAGAGAGAAGGAAGAGGTCCCTCTGGCTAAGGCGATGGAAGAGATTATGAAGGGAGAGCAGGCTAGACTCTGGCCTGCAGGTAAGTAAGATGCATGAACCAATGCTTACGGAGAGGAAAGAAGAGTTGAGTTTAGGAAGGACAAGAGGACCTCTGCCGTTGCTATGCAGGCTTTGGTTTAGAGAGGAGAAGACAAGAATCTTAGAAATGCATTGAGTGTGCTGCTCTGTGGGCTCAGGAGCATAACCCAGGCTTTCCACGAGCTCTTCATTCCATACACTGCCATCTAGACACTGGGGCTTCTCATGTGCTAGGTCCTGCCAGCTTTCCCTGGGAGCCCCTCAGACCGCTACTTGAACTGGTAACGAAAAATTGAGAAGATGTGTTGACTACACACCACAAACACACACACACACACACACACACGTGCTAAACTGGCCACTCCCCTACTGACACCACCATCAGTATGTCTGGGGCTCGGCTGCCAAGGGAGTTGACCTCCTTGAGGACAGCAGAGTCCAGCCCTCTGTGCAGGGAGTTAAGCTTCTGGTGTGCCTATTTTCGTAGGGAAGAAGAAAAGAGAGGGCACAAAACGAATCTCTATCCCTGTCGAAATCCTAACAAAGGCCGGGCACGGTGGCTTGTGCCTGTAATCCCAGCACTTTGGGAAGCTGAGGCAGGCAGATCACCTGAGGTCAGGAGTTAAAGACCAGCCTGGCCAACATGGTGAAACCCCGTCTCTACTAAAAATAGAAAATTAGCCGGGGGTGGTGGTGGGAGCCTGTAATACCAGCTACTTGGGAGGCTGAGGCAGGAGAATCACTTGAATCTGGGAGGTGGAGGTTGCAGTAGCCAAGACCACGCCATTGCACTTCAGCCTGGGCGACAAGAGCAAAACTCCATCTAAAAAAAAAGAGCAAAAAACAAACAAACAAACAAACAAACAAATCCCAAAAAGACTGCACAGTGGCTGGCTTTTCTCCAGCCTGGTGACAGAATTTGCATCTGCCACAAACAGGAACCAATCTCCTGTCTATCCTAAGCTCTCATGTTTGGATTCTATTGGCCCTCCTCAGAGGTGGATGGAGGCGGCACCAAACATCGTCTAGTGGGGCACTACGTATAAGATGGTGTGGTGCTGGGAGGAGAGGACCCCTCACTGTCCCCTCACTGTCTCCTAGCAGGGACAAAGGCGAGAGCAGGGGCACAGAGCAGAATCCCAAGAGTGATTTTCTCCCTCCACCAAGCCCCCCTCACCTGTGCATGCTCCTCCCAGCCCACTCCACATCACATAATTGGCATGTGAAGATTGATCAGCAGTGGTGTGCGGCCTGCTCAACAGACGGATCAGCTGTGGCATGTGTTCAGCTGGGCAAACCTAGCACGAAGATGTTTCTGTCGGTGTGCAGGGGACAGCCGTCCATCAACAGCCATCTTGTTTTGTTTATTTGTTTAAGCAACCACAGATGCGAGAGAGAAAGAGACAGAGAGAGAGAGAGAGCAAGTGAGTGAGGAGAATATTTCCACCCCCCCTCTCCCCTACAGATCTGTCCCGAGGCTTCGAATCTTCTTTCCCACTCTAAGCACTCTGGGCCACATTCGATTCTATTTTTGTGCCCCTCTTCAACTGCAATGAGGCTTGCTTTGGCATCTGAGCTACCACCTGCCGTCTGCTCTTTAGTTCCTGTTTGCTGTAAATCTCGCTTTGGGTCTTGGGTATCTTCACAGCTAGTTCTGCAGAAGAGAAAGGAGCATTTTGGTCTTGAGGTAACTCCCAGTCGGTCTCCAGCTTCCTCCAGATGGAACTCTGCCCTGCTGTAGCCTCTGTGAAGACCAGCTGCCTCTGGCTTTAGCATTTTCCTGCAGCTAACAGGCATCAGCCCGGAGAACAATTGTCTTGGAGGAGAGAGGGAGAGTCTGGGCTGAAAACTGCCATGCAGGGATGGGAGCCATTTTTAAAGCCCTCCTGAATGTTCAGTTGTGAAATCAACATCCTGATTGTTGTGGAGCTTCAAGCAGGTGAAAACATAAGATGAAAGGAAATGAAGTGACTGCTGACAGGCTGGAGAGCATGACTTAATCAGCAGCTAAAATCAATGAGTCGAAGGCTGCTGCCCCCAGCAAAAATCAATGGGGGAAAAGGACTGCTGGCCAAGATCTCTCCTACATTTTTATTTGCCCCAAGACCACCCAAGACTTTCCTATCCTGCTCGTGCCCTGCCTAAAATGCTAATTTAGGCTGTGACTTGATAGGCCCTTGAAAATTTCCTGGAAATCTAGCCTCCTACCCTGAATTAATAAGTTGTAAGGAACAACCTCAAATCTCGAAGGATTAATCCAATAAAAGTTAATTTCTCCTGCATGCTGAGACCAATAAAGATATTTCTCTTCTGGCAGCTTTCCTGGTGGCTCTCCTTCAAGCCGTGACATGGGGATCTAGGCTTCTCCCATCTTGAGATGTCTCCAACTTTAATCGAGGGCCTCTCCGGTGGCTGTAGAAGCAGAAGAGAGTATGGGGAAGGCACATTAGGTAGTTAACCATCTTGCCTGAAAGTGACACCTGCCACTTCTGTTCACATTCCATTGGCCTGCATTCGCCAGTTGGTCCCACGAAGATGTGAGGAGTCAGGAAAATAAAAACCCTGGCTGGATATCCTTGGACTCCACATAGTTGGCTCTACCATATTCCCCTAAATAATACTCACATCCCCTGACAAACAACACTCAGAATCCTAAAACCACCAAGTGGAAAAAAATTGCTACATTCCCACCTACTTTGAATCTCCTCTTTACGGCTTAGAAACCCAACCGTCACTGACATTTGCCCATTGACATTTTCCATGTAGCCTGTTAGACCATTTCTTCCCTCTTAGCATCTTCTACAGAACTTCCATAGACCTGTTTTCCTTTGTCTTTGTACTTTCTGGTTGTTTTCTAGAACTTCTCCAGTTTCTCTGCATGTAGTGTTGGTTCTTGTCCTTAAGGTAAATAAGTTGTTACTGGACCACATCCTATTGTGGGCAGATTTAAGGTCTAATTTAAATAGACTTGGGAGATTAGAGGTATAGGTGATATTAAAATGATTATTATTTTTAAATTTATTCTGGTCTTCTAGAACTTCCAGGGCACCAGCAGCTCTTCCCATATTATTCCATCTGAAATCTCAGGTTATCAAATAGCACACGGCCCAGCCAAGGCACAATATACATGGGACAGTGTCTAGCTCAGATCTCACCTGTGACCTTCCTCTACAGATATATTTATTGAATTTAAAGATGCTGGGATGCCAAGGGGTTATTATAGAAGTATGAGGTTGTATTCCTCTAGGGAGAAGCTCCAGCCTTCTTACCTATTCAACGAATCATCTTTAGACTCCCACTTCCCATGCATATTATTTTCTTTATAAGTAACCTAAAACAGAATCATCCCCTATTTAAGAACTGATAGCATCAGCAAGGCCACACTCCTTTGATGTTTAGGGGCTTTCCCAAGCTGAAAATGCCCTGCTCATAAATCATTCAATCATTCACTGAGGAAATGTTTACTGATCACTGCTGTGTGCACTGTTGTAGGCACCAAGGAAATGAAGGCAGATAAACATGGTCTTTGATATCAAAGAGGTCATAGTCTCATTCAGAAGATAGAAATGGAGACAAACAGCTCTAATACATATAAGCCCTATCTTTTGCCTTGCTCAAGATACCAGGGTGGTGCAAAATAAAAAATAACTGAACTCTGTGTAGAAGGAATAAGGTTAGGAAAAATTTTGCTTCGTGGAGAATATGATGCTTAAATTGAGTATTGTGATATGAGACAGAATCTTCTCTATAAATAAGAAGGCGATATAGAAAGAACAATCTAGTCTACAAGAATAACATTTGCAAAGAAATAAAGGCATAACTTCGTAGTGCGTGATGAAAAAATTCTCAATGAGGTTAAGAATTTAGAGAGGATATGTGGATGCAAGGAGGGGAAGAGTGAAAAGTGGCAAAAGCAGTTTAGGTAGAAAGATAGATACAGAATCATGATTGCCATGGCTTAGGATCTAACGAGGCTTCAGCAGGAGATAAGGAAGAAAAGCTGCTTTTCTGAGTATTTCTTGCTGTGAAGAGGAAGCCCAGCAGTGCTGCCCTCCAGACAGTGCTCCACAGTCAGGCCATTCTGCTCTCTGGCTGTACCTCCATAGCTATCGTCCCCAAAGCCCCTTCCTGCTCTGTGCCTTTGCAAACGTCTGTGAAACCTTCTGCATATCCCAAACTTGCCTACTCTTTCTCAAACACCCCGTTCTGCACCAGTTGCCTTCAGGGCAGCTTCAGTGGCCCTGCACCCAAACTCTCAGTTGATGTGGAATTGGCCCCAAGCCATTTGGCCCTGAGTAATCACTCATATAAGGACTTTCCTCTCCCCACCTAAGATCGTGCATTGTGTGATGGAGTGGAGTGGAGTTATCATCCACAAATTGTGTCTCCCACCACACTCAGTAGAGTGCAGGCCACATAGAAATTATAAAATACAGACTTAGTGATTAGTCGAAAGGGAATGTTGCTAAGGTTATCTTAGGCTCACCTACATTAGAATTAGCTTCTGTAGTTCTTAGAATGCAGATATGGGAGGCCCAGTCCAAGATCTACTAACTCAGATATCGGGCGGGGTGATCTGCAGATTTAATAAGTGCCCTAAGTGGTTTTTATGAACATGGAAATTTGAGAATCAGTGACCTAGATGGGGGTTGGTAAACTCTTTCTGTAAAGGGCCAGAGAGTAAATAACGTAGGCTTTGTGGGCCAGATATGGTCTGTAGTGCATATCCTTCTTCTTTTCAATTCTTTAAAAATATAAAAGCATTCTTCGTTTTGGGCTGTACAAAAGCAGGCCACAGGCTAGATTTGGCCCATGAGCCATAGTTTGTGAACCTCTGGCCAAGATGAGGGGTTCCTCATCTCCTCTAGAGGCTTCAGAGACATGTGAAATCCAGTGGCTTCAGGTGTGGACAGTCTAGAGAGAAATCTCCACTTCGGTTCTTTGCAGGGAGCAGGGCCCATTTGCCCTACAACTTTCCCTTGTGCCCTGGCATTATAGGAATGTGCCCAGGCTTCTTGGCGGATGTCCTCTAGTCTGGCCAGCACCATAGGACAGTTCTCTCTGCCAGTTCCTGGAGCCCGCACCCTGTGGCTCGCCTACATCGGGCCCTAAACACAACCTCTCTCCATGTTATTACATTAATACAGGCAAGGGAGTTCCTAAAACCAGAATGGGACTGCAGTTCCCAAACCCCCTACCTCCTCCTGACCTGCATGGTTAGGTGCTGCCTTTCTGCAGGAGCCTGGATGTCAGCATCTAGATGCCTCAGGACCAGCTGTCCAATCCCCCTTCCACCAATCCCTGTTTTAGGTCCTCCATGAACTTTTTCTTAGGGGAAAGCAGAAATCCTATCCCATCCTGCTGCACTCACAGGAAGAGTTTGACAGTGGTTAAGAGATCATTCTCCTCATTCAGCACCTCGGTGAGGTGTGAATTTGCACAAGATGATTCAATATATTTTCTTTGTGTATTCTTCAGTATATTCATGCTGTCCGGTGAATTTTTGACATTTCGGTGTGCTGCTCTAAGCTGCCCGTGTTGGGGACCTGATCCTGACCCTGACTATGGCTTTTAAGCAAGGAGAGCCAGAATAAACCCAGACAAATAGTCCTTTGCAGTGTGCACTGGTGCCCAGGTAGCCCTTGGTTATCTGCTGTGTTCAGTCCTCCGGAGGGAGTGATGAAAAGGGCAGTCGGCCCTCCTTCCAAGATAGCTTGTAAGCAGTCCTGCCTTGAGGCTGAGGGTAGACGAGATGACCCCTCCAGTCCCATCCAGTCTTGGTATCCTGTGATTTCTCACGTGAGTCCATTTTGTGCCCTGGGCTCACGTACATCAATTAAAAACACAACAGTGTATGCTTCCACAGGAGGGAGGAAAATGAACCATAGCAGTCTTCCTATCCGAACCAGACCCCATTTTTCCAAGTCACCACCTTACTCTCATCTGTAAAGCGCTAAATAGCCTGAGACCCAGTTATCTTTGTGACAATCTCTCCCCAGGTGCCCCATCACGGTAATTACGCTCAGCGGGGAGCCTGGAGCTGCCCATCTCTGGAGTTAAACTCATTAAGACAGGAGACTGAGAAATCTCCGCAGAGGGTCCCTGCCCCTGAAATCATGGGCATTCCTCTTCCTTGGCTACCAGTTTTGGGGTTTGGAGGAGTCTGGGGTCTGGTCTGAGGCTCCACATTGCCACAGAGCTTGCTTTAACCTGGATTTGCTGTTGTGATTTGTACTTTGGGGAAGATACTTACTATGGGAGTCTGCAAAGAGAACAGGTTCCATTTCATGAAATGAAATGAGGATTGAAACAAAGCCATGGAGGTTGCTTATTCCAAATATTGAACATGATGAACAAGTTGATTTGTCAATATTTCTCAAAAAACTTAAAAAGAGCTTTTTCTCTGACAGTGCAAATGACAAGATATTTTTCCCTCTGTGCTGTAAAAAGAGTAAGTTTCAAGAACTTTGTAGGGTAGAGATCCCAGGGATGGGAAGAGGGAGGATTCCTGATCAGTAGGATTGGTATGGGTGATAAGGGGGGACACTCCCTTCTAATTAATTAGTGAAAAGAAAAGGAAGTTTCTGGAGGGAAAACAGTAAGAGTCAAGATATAGAAGATAATTGGAGCCCGAGATAGGAACTTGGTTATGAAGAGAGAAGTATGTTCAAGGAAAAGGAGAAAAGAGTAAGAGAAGGAAAGGGGAACTGGAGGAAGACCTAAGGTACTCTCTAGGAGAATAAGAACTTTCTAATGTCTCATAGTTTGATGAAGGTTTGGATAAGATTTTTCAAGAGATTAAAAAAAAAATCTCCATTTGTTTTGTTTAATGGAATGAAATGTCAGACAGGTGACCTGCACTAAAAGATAAGAGGAACTGAGAAATGTGCTCATGGCTGTGTAACGTGTGGCTTTTCTAGTCAAAAATAAATGCCAGAAAGGTCACAACCTATTTGCCTAAGTTGGGCACCAATATTATTTCTGTACTGGTCAACAAGGAACAACCTTGTACTCAAATATCTATCTGTGACAATACCTGGAAGAATCTGTGGATGTTGGACTTTATGAAGACAATAAAAAAATTAACTGAAATGACTGTGCTTATGAAATGAGAACTATATGGGGCAAATCATGAAATAGAATTATTGCAAGAAATCATACATGAATCTATACTGGGGTTCTGTTATCAAGTTCTATTTATTCCTCATTAAAAGAGTGGTTAAAAAACAAATTGAAACAAAACAAAAAAACCCTCATGGATGGTTGTGGATAATACTAGAGGGTTTGTTCTGATTTGGTTGGGATTTATTTTCTTCTCAAATTGTCCAGGTGCTTCTAAGCATCTTGAAATGCATTTCATGTGGTTTTTAGCCCACGGAAGTTTGTATTGCAATCATTGCAAAGCTCTGGGTTCTGAGCCTGGTAATTTAGAGAGGGAGGAAGAAAATCCAAGGTATTTCTTCCCTCTCTTTCTGCTTCAGGTGGCATTTCTATCTCCCTTGCAGTCCCAGATCCTTGGTGCAGGCCTGCCCTCTGTGACCTCACTTGCCATCAGACAGCATCTGGGTTCTGAAAACACCACGGCCTCAACTCAGACCTTCGAGTCCTAGAGGTTTCCTGTTGTTGTAAATCTCTGATTTGCCTTCCTGCCATTTTTTATGTGTTTGTTTGTTTTTGTTTTTGTTAACTGTTCCAACACCTTTATAACCAGTACCCCATATAAAATTCCCCCCATCGAGCTGATATGAGCTCTGTTTCTCTGGCTGGATTCCAGCTGATTAAGGCACTTATTATTTGGAGAAAATAATTAGAGAGTATATGTGATTTTTTTATTTAAAAAAAGAACAGGGACTATGCTAATTTATTGCTAAAGAGCATTTGTCCTTCTCACTTTAAAATATCTGCAGCCAGTTAATTATTAGTAAAGAGTCGTTTCCCTCTACTTTGTGGATGGTCTGGTAGCCCGCCTATGCTGTAGAGAAGATGGGTCTCCATTGCTCCTTCTGTGGGAAGAATAACTTCTAGCAAGGACCAAGGCTCAAGATGCATCCCTCATTGAGCAGAAGCTTAGAGTCCATGGCATTTCCTGTGAATCACTGTTAAAACCCTCCGTGGCCATAGCAGATTGGGATTTTAGTCTCTCAACAGTTCATACTCATGGTAGGCACAGGAGAAAACAAGGTTGGCCCAGAAGCCACTCAGGTCACTTGTGAGCAAAGACAAGAGGCAATTTCTCAGTGAAAAATTATGGCGGAAAGAAAAGTACAAGAGACCCACACACAGGAACTGAGGACATTTTGAGGCCCCAGCAGAGCTGAAGAAGTTGACCACTTGCAAGAAAGGCATGTCGGAGTTCGCAGTGAGTTAGGAAAGGGTAATTTTTAAGACCCATTTTATTAAGGAATCCCAGAGGACACACACACACACACACGAAATGAGAAGTGATGATTAGAGGGCCACATTCAGCAATTCAATTCAATAAACACTTTCAGAAACACCTTCCCTATGCTAGAGACTGTGCATCTGGTTCAGGGAATAGGGAGAAATAAATGTAACTGTTTCTGCCCTCACGAAGTAAATAAAAACTGAGTTGAAAGGAATCACAAAGAATTAGGTGAAAGAATACAGATGGTGCATAACATATTGTAGAAGTCAAGGTGTGAAAAAGAGAGATGAACTAAGGCAGAAAACTAAGGCAAATATGGATATGATAAAGGCTTTTGAGAACCACAGAAAATAGAAGCTTTGATTCCTCGCAGCGAGACGGACTAGGTCAGGTAGCAAGTTTCTAACTTTGACATGTTTTGCACATTTTTAGGAAGTCAGATGCTTCTTTTTGCCAATGTAGCCACTCTTTTAGAGCATCTTGCTATAACTTTAAATGGAAAGAGATGTGGAGAAACATACACACAAAGCAGTGGCCTGTTTGGGGCTCACAAATTCAAGATTTGGCCTGGCACGGTGGCTCACTCCTGTAATCCCAGCACTTTGGGAGGCCAAGGCGGGTGGATCACCTGAGGTCAGGAGTTTGAGACTAGCCTGGCCAACATGGTGAAACCTCATCTCTACTAAAAACACAAAAATCAGCCGGGTGTGGTGGTGGGTGCTTGTAATCCCAGCTACTCGGGAGGCTGAGGCAGGAGAATCACTAGAACCTGGGAGGGGGAGGTTGCAGTAAGCCGAGATCGCGCCACTGTACTCCAGTCTGGGCGACAGAGTGAGACTGGGTCTCAAAAAAAAAAAAAAAAAAAAAACAAAAAAAACTCAAGTTTTGTCCCCTGGAAAAAAAAAATCAAGAAAATCCTCATGTCCACTAGCTATTCTGTGCTCTTGGGCACGCACCTCATATTGACTTTGTCCGTAATTAGAGTTAGCTTGACATGGAAATTGTGTGTATTTATCAAGGGCTGAACAGAATAGAATTTACTTTTTAGTACATAGGCACGGTAGGTCATCATCTCCATAAAACTCTGGTTTGCTTTGTGTGTAGACTTTAGAGATTTAATTCTTAATTGTGAGTTTCTTTATTTTGCAAGTTCCTTTTCCTAACGTGAGGGCCTTTTGCATGTAGTTTTCATAGACTATTTTATCACATATTTATGTACTTAGGATTTACTAGTTTAATGAGGCAATGAAAATAAATCATGTAATCGTGTTTATAAGGCTTAATGACAGACCTTCATATATACAGACACAATTATGACATATAACCTTATTATAAAATTGCTGCTTAAAATTTCAAGAGAAAAAGAATTTTCCCCTTGAGTTTCAATGTCTCAGGTGTTTTCAGATTTACTTGGCAAATTGCTAAAATGAGTATATCTGCTTTTGAGGCTCAGCAAATGAGAATTTTGAAGAACACAGTGTGTGAATGTTCGATTTTCAACTTATTTTTAATTTATATAGCTAAAAATATGACAGAACTTTCTTTAAATTGAAATTCACTCCTACTTGACATCATAATACAAAATATCAAGCTCATATTGTCTAGAGTGAATTTTTGTTATTTATTTATTTATTTGAGACAAGATCTTTCTCTGTCACCCAGGCTGAAGTTTAGTAGTGCTATCGTGGCTCACTGCAGCCTTGACCTCCGGGACTCAAGCAATCCTCCTGCCTCAGCCTCCTCAGTAGTTGAGACAAAAGGCAGGAGCCGCCACACCCAGCTAATTTTGTGGGGTTTTTTTTGTTTGTTTGCTCGTTTTTTTTTTTTTTTTTTGTAGAGACAGGGTCTCACTATGTTGCCCAGGCTGGTCCTGAATTCCTGGGCTCAAGTGATCCTCCCGCCTTGGCCTCCCAAAGTACTGGAATTGCAGGCATGAGCCACCACCCCTGGCTGTGAATTTTTGTTATCTGAGTTAATAGTTGGGACGGGATAGCTCCTTCTCTCCTCCTAATTGACACTCTTTGGGAATTCGGCTTTGCTTTCACTGAAGCCTGGGCTATAAAACAAGTGCATATGACCATCACAACAACCACGGCAATAATAACAGGAGCTACACTGTGTTCAGCATTTACCCATTCCAGGCACCGTGTTTTAGGCACACATTCTCCCAAGCCTCTGAGAGTTCAAGGTTTATAAAAGTGGCAGAGTGGCTCTCCGGACGCAGTTCTGACCAACTCACAGTTATGCCTGTACCGTGGATGAGCCTGTGTGGTACTGATTTGTGATTCTCAGACAGCCCCAGTGTTTACTTCTCATTATGGAATTGGTATTTAACATTCTTAGCACAGGAATGCCAAGTGAAGTCTCATTTCTTCAGTGGCTGACGCCCCTCAGCCTGGTGAAGGCCTTTGTTGAAGCTTATTGACTCTGAAGGGAATTTGCCTGTGTGGGGGCTTTCAGGGAGTAGAGACAAGGGGCACCAGCAGCTTGTGTGCAGGACTCTGTGAGGATGTAGACGGTGAAGATGTCCCCAGATCCATGGCCAGAGATGATAGAGTCCAGTTCTCTTTGAGACTATCTTTGGCTTTCGGTGAAATGCACTTGCCTAATTGCAGGATACTAAAGCCCCCACCATCACAGAGGGTACAGTCCAATCCCCATTGTTCCTCAGGAAGCAGCCGCGTAGTTAGCACCATGACTCTTCCTTTAAATCATGGCTGCATTATGTCAAATAGAATTTGTCAGCCATCAGCTAGCTGAATGCAATAATTGATCATTATTCCCCCAGAAAGGTAAAAAAAGCAACAATTAAAAAAGCCATGAGAGAATTTATTAAAGCAAGGAGGGGAGGAAATCTCCAAAACCCTTTCATCAAGTTAACTGGAAGGAGACAGAGAGAAATATAGAAGTGGTACTTTAGGTTC
Source organism: Homo sapiens (assembly GCF_000001405.40). Classification (NCBI taxonomy): domain Eukaryota; kingdom Metazoa; phylum Chordata; class Mammalia; order Primates; family Hominidae; genus Homo; species Homo sapiens. Next base: position 24,918,939 of record NC_000018.10, on the reverse strand, counting down.
TTCATTGATTTGCTCTAAGGCAGAGCCCTGAAAAAAAAAAATAGCTGATCAATCCAGAGAGGACTGTGCTCTGCTAGATGCCCTGTCAACAGCCCCCTGCGAATGGCAGCATATTAATTGCAGTGGTGTTTGCTGTGAATGAAGTTCTTTAATGTTCATTCATTCATTTATTTGTTAATTCATTATTAAGTGTGTTGTTCAATAAAAGAGGCTATATCACCTAGCTTCTGCTGCATTTGTTCAGCCAGCATGGCAAATGCTGAGCTGCCTCTGAAAACAGAAACAGAAAAAAAGACACATTGAATTTTCTTACAGTTGTAGATTGGGGTGTAATATCAATAACTTTAATGGAAGCAGAGTTGGTGCCCTGATAGGAGCCCTGCTGCTCCTCAAATAAATGGCTTGGCTGCACCTCAGCATTTATCTGCCAGGGCTCGGCTTTATCAGGGCACCAACTCAGATTCCATTAATGTTATCTCTTAATTAGCTATGCGATTAACCTGTGTTACTCCTGCACGATAATGAGTCGAAGACAGAACCAGAGAAGTTCAGCTGCCTTGTAATTCCCTCTCCAGAAGCCAAATCATTCTGGAAACCATTCCAGGAAACAAAAAAAATCAAAGCAGTTCTGATTCGTTCTTCACTTGGATACAAGGGCGAATTTTGTGCTCTTTGGAGGAGAAAGCAATTGGGATTTTAGCTAACATTTATGATAGTTACGTGGTACCTGACAATCTACTAGAGCTTTCTATGGATTACTTCATTTAATCTTCATAGCAGGTCTATAGGGCAGGTCCTATGGTTACCCCCACTTTACAGAGAAGGAAATTGAGATGCAGAGAGGTCAAATAACTGTGTTCCAAGGTCACACAGGTGAAAGATGACCGGAGCCAGGATCCGAAGGGAGGCAAGAGGCAGGAAGCCTGGGCACCCAGCCATTGCTCTGGGATCCTGAGTATGGGAACCATCAGAGAGCAGCAAACGCAGCCCCCACACCGGCTTTGAGGCAGAATGGTCAGAGCCCCCAGGACATCTTCCTCCCACAGGGCACCTCTGCGGCAGGAGCGCTCCCAGCTGCGCGCAGCTGAGAGGAGCCCTCTCTGCTTAGATTTTCTGCCTGTAGAAATTTGCTCTCCAGCAGATCTCAGGGGAACCGGGACTTGCACTGGTGGACTTGGATGGCCCTGAGCAAAATGTAAAGATTGAAAAATACCCTGGCTTCCCTGTCTCTCCCGTCTCCTTTCTGTGTCCTTTGTCCACTCAAAGCCAGATCCCATCCCCCCGCCCTCTTCCTCCCCTGCCCTGCCTCCTCCCATGCACATCATGCAGGCCCTCCTCTTCCTCCCCTGCCCTGCCTCCTCCCGTGCACATCATGCAGGCCCTCTTTTCTGCTGAAATTACCAAAATCACCAGAACTGTACTGTCTGGACAAACAAAATTGAAGAGATCCTGACCTCATTGACATTGTCACTGGTAAAGACCTAGGCAAGAGCACCTCCTTCTCCTCGGTTCCCTCCCCTTTCCCTCCCTGCCTCCCTTCTTTGCTCTGAGCCAATGGGAGAAGCGGGAGAGGTGAACAAACTTTTTAATCTAAACCTCATGCTGGTGGGGAGAGAGGGCCCTTCATGAAGCCCCGCAAATTGCATTACTACATTGTACTTCCCTGCCCCAGCCTCATGGAACCAGACCACGGTAGTCTAAGACAACATGGAGATTTGCTCTGGCTGGAGAGAGAAGAGGCACTTCCTGCCCACCACCCTGTGCCCTCCTCTCATTCCCTGCTACTCTACAGCCTTCACCCTCCCACCCCACGAAATCTCACAAAGCAGTGTTTTCAAATAATATTTAGTAGTTGAACTCCTTTTTAGACCATTCATTTCCTGTTTTTCCCCTCAGAATATGCCATCCCTACACTTCCTAAACCACTTCTAGAATCCCAGGGCCTCTTCTTATTTGCAACTTTCCCCATTAAGATCCGACCATAAGGCCGGGCTCGGTGGCTCCCACCTGTAATTCCAGCACTTTGGGAGGCCAAAGCCAGTGGATCACTGGAGGCCAGGAGTTTGAGACCAGCTTGCCCAACATGGCAAAACTCTGTCTCTACTAAAAATACAAAAATTATCCAGGTGTGGTGGCAAACGCCTGTAGTCCCAGCTACTCTGGAGGCAGAGGCATGAGAATCACTTGAACCCGAGAGTTGGAGGTTGCAGTGAGCTGAGATCGCGCCACTGCACTCCAGCCTGGGCGACAGAGCAAGACTGTGTCTCAAAAACAAACAAACAAAAAAAAACAAAGATCAGACTATAATATTATAGATCAGTTCATTACATTATAAAGTTTAGATGAGAGGAAAGAAAAATCTACAATGTGATGGGTGTCTGGATGTTCCATTTTATGGGTTGATGTCAACATGGAGTCCTTTAAGATGTCAAAGTCATAGATATAAGTGAGCAATTCTATATATAAGTAGGTTTGCCTTGAAGTGCATTGCTTATAGATGATTGCTCCGGTGTTTCTTAACATAAAATATAACAATTAGAAATAAGAATCTTTCGGAGCCATATTTAAAAAATAACCATCATACAAGTTTTTGCTGTTGTTCTAAGAAAATATACAACAGTTCTGCTAGGAATTTAACTGGAATATCTCTCTATTGCCTTCTCCTACTTTTGTTCCCAGGCTGGGAAAATGAGAACCATTTCTATTTTACAATCCATACATTGTAGCCTTCTAGGCAAATCCACAAAACACTACTTATGTGGGAATTAAAGCAGGAAGAAAAGATGAAGATGAAGAAAAGGAGGATAGGGAGGAAAAGGAAGAAGCTGCCTTCATCACATATAGAGAATATCACAGACAAAAGGCACTGCAATTCACATTTTACTTCCATTTCAGCAAAGGGTGGGATAGAGAGGAAGGGTAGACACATTTGACTACATGGTCAGGACAGACCAAATTCATTCCTATTCAGCTAATGGGGAATTTTGAGTAAGGTAAATGTTGCCTGTCTGATATTTACATAGGGCATTAAAACTTGCAAATCTCTCGTGTGTGTGTTTTTTTCCCAAAGACTCAAAGACCAGTTTATCATCTAAAACTTGCTTTATTTTCAAAATTATGTCTGCCTAGGTGAATGCATTTTCTCCGAGAGCTCGAGTTTGTCTTTAAGGCAACATTAATGACTGATGGTGAGTCATCCCGTTTTGTGGCTTGTACAGTAGTTTATATTTATGCAAGAGCTTAAAATTCAACTTTGAGCTATGTCCACAGCAGGGAAGAACAATTAGTGAATTCATTAATTGTACTTTTGTGTACACTTTTATTCTCAAGACTAATTATTTGTTTAAATTATTTTTCCTCCATCAGAAGTGTCACTACATGGAAATATTTCAGCTTAGGTTTCTGGTATGAAATATAAGGTTTAAGAAGTTCCGACGTTCTTATGAAATATAATCAGCTTTCATTTGCTAATGACAGACACTCATAGTGGAGCCTCTTATTTAAGCAAATGAGCAATTAGTTTGGGGAATAAAAGTGTACAAAGAATAGTGATTCATGGTGCTGCTTATCCTTCCTCCCTGATGTGGACAATGGACATCTTGCATGTTTGACTTTTAAATATAATCAAACTCTGGTGTACCATAAGTTGGAATCATGCAGTTTTATGCAGAGCAATGCTATAAAAGAAACACATCAGTTGCCAAGCCAATATGCTAGTGCACATAATAAAAGTGGGGGCTTCAGACTTTGTGGAGAGGAAGAAAAACCTCCTCCTCCTCCTCCTCCTGTTTCTAAATTCTCTGTGTGTCTGGGCTGTAGCTATAAGATGAACCAGCTGCTGCTGGAGCGGATGCCTCTCAGTGCACACAGTTCCAGGTGTGTGGCCTGAAAAAAGATTGATGACTTAGTATAGGCACAGCCAGCTTCCTCCACCAGGTACAAGGGAGGGACGGCGGAACACATCAACAGCCAGCCGTCCCTTCTTGTGTCTTCCCAGCCTGGCTCAACCCTCCGGGAGCTGCACAGTCCAGAATGCGCATCAGGAGAAGGACGATAAGGACTCAGTCAAGGCCTCCTGAGTCCTGGTGCTGTGCTAGGCACGTGACCAAGGGATTTCATCACCACCACCTCCCGAGGAGGTGGCATTGTTATTCCCATTTCTCAGAAGAGGAAATGAAGGCTCAGAACCTAGAGTGAAACCCAAAACAGTGTGCCATAGGACATGGTTCACTCATTCACTCACTCATCCATTCAACAAATATTTACTGAGAGCAAATTACAAGCCTGGGGATACAGCAGTAAGCAAATTAAAGATTCTTACCTTCGAAGACTTTAGTGATACATAGATGAATTGATACTATTCTAGTGAGAAATATTTGTCAAATGAATGAAGTTTGGACAAACGCAGCCCAGGCCTATACCAATATTATTATTGCAGCATCATCACTACCATCTCACAACCACATGTGTGTCCCTGCTGTGGTTTTCACTCCAAGAGAAAAAAAAAAAAGCCAAGGACATGTTATCAAGCCTCCAAGAGGGAGAAGCAGGAAGTCTGCAGCCCCACCCTGACTGCCCTAGTTATATCAGGGGCCAGTTTATCAATGGTGGCCATGGTGGGCTGTGGATTCATTTCCTCCTCCCTTGTTCAGGAAGGACTACAGTAGGAAGTGATTGTAAACCCCATGGCCCGGGGAGGGTGGACTCTAGAAAGTGTTTTTGCCATCTCTGCAGGAAGACAGTGCTTCTCCCACCAACAAAGCCAAGGAAGGAATGCTGCCAGCCCCAGATATCAGGGAGAGCAGAGGTGATTTTCGGGCTGAAAATATAGAGAAGGAAGATCTGTCTGTAACTCCACAGGGGCTGGTTTGTTTTTTAAATGCCTGTGTTCTGAATCTGGTCACACTGTAAAATCTGTTCGGATCATCACAGGAATTACAGATGGGAAGGACCTATGAGGTCATCTCTCCCAGCACTGCCTGAGGAGGATTCATCTCCACACAATACTCTAGGAGCACTCTTTCCAGCCTGGTTTAGATGTCCCGGAGGAATGTGCTTCCGCCCTGTCCCTCAGGAGCCAATTCCAAAATCCACACGCAGTACGTTTTAGACTAAAGATGTGGCCTGGGTGGGGGTCTGTTTTTAATTATCCAAAGCACTGAACAGAAGCCTGGTGTCATAAAAAATTGCTGAGGGCCCTCTCCTGCTTTTCCCCATGGTGCCTTCCCACCCTGCGAGGCTGCACTCTCAACTGGGAGGCACCAGCCCCCTGGCAGGGTTTCAGAGCTCATGGGAGGTGCCAGGTGGCAGGACTGACGCAGCTCAGTGGGGTGTGCCATGGGTCTTGGGTTGGCCAATCATCCTAAGCACATGCAACCAGAAAAACAATGCTTTCTAAACCAAGCTGCTGTTCCTGCAGCCTCACACAAGGCTTTTTCTAAATCCAGCCTTCCTGCCTAACACCCTTCCTAGGCTTAGGGGTAATCATTTATGGACCCAAAGATTTAGCTGCAAGATGTTCATCACAGTGTTGTTTATGACTGTGAAAAGTTCAAAACCAATCTTCGTGCCCAGTGATAGAAGACTGGTTAAACAAATCATGAGCAAACCATATAAGGTATAGAACGTTATGAAGGCATTCCAAATACTGCCTCAGAGGAGCACTAATGATGGGATTTTTTCATCATACTCTCAAGTGAAAAAAGAGAGGTTACAAACAGCTTGTATCACACACTATTGTTCTCTGTATGTTTTTCTAAAATACATGCCTGAAAAATAGGATATTGACATGATCATCTCATAGTAAAGAAGTGACAAGTGATCTTTTCTTCGCTGTTACTTTTCATCCATTTCTACAGTGAAAATCTTTAGCTTTTGCCATTAGATGTAGAAATGTTACTTTACAACATTAAATGCTCCTTCCTTTTGAATGGCTGCATTTCCCACCTTCATCATTAAGAGGATCCCTATAATCAGAGGAGGAAATGGGAAAGACAATTAGCCCCTCTCGCCTGAGCTGGCTGCCGGATAGCCTGGGTGTGAGCCTGTCTCTAGGAGTGCTAAGCTGATGACAACAGCAAGCTGTGATTCAATCCCACAGTAGCTCCAGCATTAATTTACTAAATGGGCTTCTGGAAGTTTGAAAGGGTAAATGCCCTTCCCACTGCAGAGAAGAGTAGGGCCAAGGAGTTTGATGCTTATCTGTGGAAACAAGAAAACCGGCCTAGGGTTTTCTGATGTAGCATCGTATGTTCCAAACCAGAAGGGACCTTAGTGAAGATCTGTAGGTAGCTATTGTAACATTTTGTCTGTGAAGAGGAGATGGAGACCCAAAACAGCCAAGTATCTTATTCTTGTATATACAAACCATGTTGGCCGAGCCAGGACTGGACCCTGAGTTCTACTCTAACTCTGTCTCCAATGTTCTGTCTCTCCTTTATTTGCTCCTCAAACTCTTACTCATACTTCATGGTCTGACTCAAGCATCATCTTCTTAGTGAATTCTCCACTGTCCCTAGGCATAATTAGTCTTGCATCTTTTTTATCACTGTCCCTAACACATAATTCTATTGTTGCATTTTCTATACTACATTGCAAAGAGGTATTAGGAGTATGATGAGGTGTGTGAGTAGTCTCATGACATTCTACGAAGACCATAGCCTTAGAGCAAGATGCAGAAGAATTTGAATCCCCAGTATCGCCCTGGACACATGATTACACTTCTTTGAGTCTCACCTAATACCCACAGTTACTTTGCTAGGTTGTTGATATCATTAGAGCTCATGATTGCAAAGTTTTTGGCACATAGTAGGTGCTCACTAAATCACGGTCCTTATTATTATATTTCCTTCACTCGACAGATGGTAAGTCAGGGACCACATTCTGCTTAATTGTTCCTCCACATAGCAGCTGAGAAGAGAGGCCATATGAGAGCTTCAATTGACCCCTGAGGGGAAGGAAGACCAGGAAAGAACTCTAGGCCCCTCAAATTCAAACAAATGAGCTCAGCACAATACATTAGTCTCCCCGTTCTTCCTGAAGTAGAGAAAAGGATGAGGATCTCACTAGTGACACTGTCCTGCCTGCATCTACTCAGGAGGCTAAAGCAGAAAGCAAACTATTCTAAAAAACGATGGCACCAGGGTGCTCCAAGAGCCCAGGGACAGCACTTAGGCAGGAACAGTGGCACTGCCCACCAGCATGTAGAGGAGTCCTGCAGGCCATGGCCACTGGTCTTGGGCGCTGGATGGAGAGATAGCGGCAGACTACAGATATACCAAGCCACCCTCAGTCAGTACCCTCCTCTGCCCAGAACTGGGAGTGCCAAACTAGCAAGGGCATTGGCAGAATTTACCAGTTGAGAGTGGGGAGTAGGGGCAGCAGATTCTTGAAGAAAGAACAGGAAAGGGACCCTCCTTGCACAGGAGAGCAGACATACCTCTGTCTTTTTTCCATCTGGGCCAGACCCTTAGGTAGGGCTTTCCACCTTCAATCTCAGTTTGAGCAGCACTTCCTTGGGGAAGCCATCCCTGATGCCCTACGCCCCCTTTAATTACCATTGTATTTCACAACGCACTGTAGCAGTCTATTTATTTACCTATTTTTTCCACCTAGATTTGTAAACATATACAGGCAGGCGCATGTCTGTATCCCTGGTATCCCACCACACTGCCTGGTACATAATTTGGCACCCAATAAATAACAACTGAATGAATGAATGGTGAAAGAACTTTGTAACTTAAAAATGACCATTATTATCATATGTCATGATTTAATATTTGAGACATTATAGCACAGAGAGTAAGCATGTACTTTTTCTTTCTCTCCATTCAAATGCACATATCCACATATGCACTTGTATACACCCAATCATCGAACCAATAATTTAGGAATAATAAAATTAAATACTTATTGTGCACCTAAAAACTGCCAAGGACTTTTCTAGGTGCTTAGGACACCAGTGAGCAAAACAGCAACAAGCACTTGGATAAAATACACCATTCTCATACTTTCTTTAAAAACCTGCCATACAGCCATGGCGAGAATCTTACACATGAAGTTTGTATTTAGAATTAGACTCCTTAAGATTCTATTTTGATTCAGAAATTTTCAAGAGTAGAGCTCCTCATGGAATCTTGAAAAGCAGCGCAATTGGGAGATGATTTGCCCTTCACTATAGCAAAGACAGCAACTTTCTGTAGATGACATTGACTGTAAATGTCCCCTGGAGACACCACTTTGCAAACCACTGGACATACCCCCTTGACTTTCAATGTTCTCTTTAGGATAAGTGCATAAACAAATGGATTCCCTTTTTCACCTCTCTGTTCAACTTTTATCAAAAGAGGGCTGAGCTTACCTATCTATTTTTCTCCTTAACAATGGAAATACAGTTTTTATGAACATCATCTTCAGTTTATCCTTCAGCTTTTAAAGAAACAGATTGAATCCCATACTTTCCCCTCCTCTGGCTAAGATAGGGACACTCCCCATCTGTTGGCTGCCTTTCCATGCAGCAGGCCCATCTACTGAGATCACTAAATTGCTCTCAGTGAGTCAGTTTTGTGTGCAAATGGAAATTCTATTCTACTCCTGCTGAATGTAGAGATGTAATCCTGATCACTCATGGTTTACAGGGATGACACTAGTCAAAAGGAAGATGGGATGAAAGATTACAAATGGTCTGTGCCCATTTTTTATCACTATCTGGGAAATGATTCCAAAATATCTGTTTGGCTCTTGGCAAGTGAGTAGTGCCGTCTTACCATGTAGAGTCATGTCATCAAGAATTTATTGTTAGTGAGTTATCTGGGATGGCCACATGCAGTGTAGAAAAATCAAAAGAAGTTGACAGTACCTGCCCTCAGAAAGGGATTAACTCCTTGGTTGAGGAAACCAAAATTAAATAGTTGCACAATTAGGAGATGCTAATTGTTCATTTAGAGCTAACTGAAATATTTGGAGAAATGGAGGAAGAGATCTCTAGGCTGAGGCAACTCCCAGAAGACTTCACAGAACTGATGGACTTCAGCTGCCCCTTGCAGATGTAATTTTGGATCAGAGCGAACTTCCAGAAAGACAAGCAAAAACATCATCAGAAGAGCTGTGTGATGGGAGAGTGAGGACACCATCCAGCCCTCCATGGATGGCCCCTGTGGAAAAGAATGAGAAATAAGTTTAGAAAGGAGAGTTTAAGTCAAACTGTAGATGTTATTAAATGCTGAGCTGAGGGGTTTAGATTTCATCTGATGTACAATAAAAGGCCATTGTCCAGTTGTGAATAGAGGAGCAGTATGAGGAAAGTGATCAGAGAAATATTCATTAGGCAGCAGCCTTCACAATGGACTAGGAAAGAGAATGGAGTTAAAAAAACACACAAATCAATCAGAAGGAAGAGCCATCAAGAAGTTCAGTTAGAGTCACAGCATTGTGATATCAGAAAGAAGTTGACATATTGAAGAATTTGTGAAAGAACAAGTGATTAAAAATTAGGGTAGATTAAAGATATGAGAGGGAGGAAGAAACATAATTCTAGAAAGGGCTGACAAGAAACTCCAGAAATACAATATTTGCAACATTTATAACAGCCTCAGTAAAGTACAAAGCCCATACAAATCAATAATAAAATGAAAAACAAATTAAAAACACGACGAAGGATATGAACATGCAATTTTTCAAGGAAATCTGAATGGCTGTTAAATATATGAAGTCATGTTTCACCACACTAAGGAATGTAAATAAAAACAATAACAAGCTGTTTTTGCTTGTTGATTTGGGTAAAAATAATAATGATTCTTCAATGATAATGAGTGTTTACAACTAATACACTGCTCATGGGAAGGTTATTAATGTAACCCTTCTGGACAGCAATTTAGCAGTATCAAAAACTAACCAATATATTTATTCACCCTGGGCCCAGGTCTCATGTCTAAGTGTGCACATCAAAGCCTTACTCATGGGAGATATAATTGAAAATAAGCTAAATGCTCAATAATAAGATGTTGGATGTAAAAAGTAGAGACTACTGTATGGAAATTAGAATCACTGAAGAAAAATATTTAACATGTGGGAACATGTGCATAATATGTTTTTAAGTAAAAAGAGATTATAAACATTTTGCACAATATCTTCCTAATTTTCTAAAAATCTGCATATATATAATGCAATATGTAGATGACTTTAGATTCTAATTCAAAAAAATTAACTGAAAAAAGACTCTATTGACATGATCAGAAAAACAAAATATGGACTCAGTACTAGATGAAAGTGAGGATTTAATGTCACTTTTGTTAGGAATAGTAATGACATTTTAGTTATAATTTTTAAAAGTTTTCTGTGTTGGAGATATATACTGAATTGATCTTAAAGGATAAAATTATATGAACTTTGGGATTTGCTTTACAATGCTCAAAAGTAAAGGAATCATGTAAAACAAGAATGACAAAATGTTGATAATTATTCATTATACAGTTCTCTATTTTAAAAATTCCTGTAACAGAAATGTTGACTAAAAAAAGGAAAGCAAAACTCTACCACATTTTCAAAATAATGTGGATGTATGCATAGACAAAGTTGGAAATTGTATATACCAAAATATTTATGATGATTATTTCTCCTTAGAAAGTAAGTCGTTTTTATTTTCTTGGTTTTAAAAAATATATTTTTTAATTTCTACAATGAACATATATCATTTTTGTAATCAAGAGAGAACTCTGAAAGCTATTTTTAAGGTTTCTTTGGCTTTAGCATTAAAGAGGTAAAGAAAACAGTGACACCAATAGCTGAAATGGAGAAGATGAGAACTAGAGAGTATTTGGGAGGGAAACATACTCAAAACAGAACTTGTAGAGGTGGGTGGTGACAGTGGATATCTGCATAAACAGTCCCAAACTCAGTTGGGAAGGGGAGCTGAGATGAAGAAGGAATTAGATAAGGTAAGGGCCTGGGTTTAAACCTCAGAAGTATACTAATATCATGTACAACAGTCTTACAGACTTACCTTGGAGATAATGGTTTTGAAAATTGAAGTTAGTTTATTCTCTCATTCATTGTTTCTACTTGGCCTAGGCACTGTTCTTGATGCTGGGAGCATAGAGGTGAAAGAATGAGACTTAAAATAGTCCTTGTGGACTTACAAACTAGCAGAAGAGAGATTAAACCAACACTACACAAATAGACCACTGTAATAACTATTATGACCAGGTACCATGGGAGCCTGGAACAGAAAGACTCAATACAGTCCTGAGAGGTTCTGGGGAACTTCTCAAGGATGTTTGTTCCTGAAGGATAAACAGGAGTTTAGCAAGAGAGGAGGCAGGAACATTCAAAGAGACAAGTTTACGCAAAGGCCTTGATGCTGAAAGAAATGTGATTATTTGAGGGACTAAGAGAAAGCCAGTATAGTCCACAGCAGAAAGTAGCTGATAGAGACGTCTGAGATGAAACTGAAGAGGGAAGCCATAGAGAACATGCAGAGCCTGCCAGGTCATGACTAGGACCATTGCTGCTATTCATTTTTAATCTAAGCATACTGGCAACTCATTAAAGGAGTTCACATAGAGAAATAATCCTGGCAGTGTGTAGCATGCCTCTGAAGAGTGGTCTTGCCTAGGATGTTCAGAAGCATATTGAACTAGTCAAGATGGAAGAAGTTGATGCTTTGGATTGAAATTGCGGCAGTACAGGTGGAGAGAAGTAGGTAGATTGAAGGATATTTTTTATTATACTTTAAGTTCTAGGGTACATGTGCACAATGTGCAGGTTTGTTACATATGTGTACATGTGCCATGTTGGTGTGCTGCACCCATTAACTCGTCATTTACATTAGGTATGTCTCCTAATGCTATCCCTCCCTCCTCCCCCTACCCCACGACAGGCCCCAGTGTGTGATGTTCCCCACCCTGTGTCCATGTGTTCTTATTGTTCAATTCCCACCTATGAGTGAGAACATGCGGTGTTTGGTGTTCTGTCCTTGCAACAGTTTGCTCAGAATGATGGTTTCCAGCTTCATCTATGTCCCTACAAAGGACATGAACTCATCCTTTTTTATGGCTACATGGTGTATATGTGCCACATTTTCTTAATCCAGTCTATCATTGATGGATATTTGGGTTGGTTCAAAGTCTTTGCTATTGTGAATAGTGCCACAATAAACATACATGTGCATGTGTCTTTATAGCAGCATGATTTATAATCCTTTGGCATATGCCCAGTAATGGGATGGCTGGGTCAAATGGTATTTCTAGTTCTAGATCCTTGAGGAATCGCCACACTGTCTTCCACAATGGTTGAACTAGTTTACAGTCCCACCAACAGTGTAAAAGCACTCCTATTTCTCCACATCCTCTCCAGCACCTGTTGTTTCCTGACTTTTTAATGATCACCGTTTCAACTGGTATGAGATGGTATCTCATTGTGGTTTTGATTTACATTTCTCTGATGGCCAGCGATGATGAGCATTTTTTCATGTGTCTGTTGGCTGGTTAAATGTCTTCTTTTGTGAAGTGTCTGTTCATATCCTTTGCTCACTTTTTGATGGGGTTGTTTGATTTTTTTCTCGTAAATTTGTTTAAGTTCTTTGTAGATTCTGGATATTAGCCCTTTGTCAGATGGGTAGATTGCAAAAATTTTCTCCCATTCTGTAGGCTGCCTGTTCACTCTGATGGTAGTTTCTTTCGCTGTGCAGAAGCTCTTTAGTTTAATTAGATCCCATTTGTCAATTTCAGCTTTTCTTGCCATTGTTTTTGGTGTTTTAGTCATGAAGTCCTTGCCCACGCCTATGTCCTGAATGGTATTGCCTAGGTTTTCTTCTAGGGTTTTTATGGTTTTAGGTCTAACATTTAAGTCTCTAATCCATCTTGAATTAAGTTTTGTATAAGGTGTAAGGAAGGGATCCAGTTTCAGCTTTCTACATATGGCTAGCCAGCTTTCTCAGCACCATTTGTTAAATAGGGAATCCTTTCCCCATTTCTTGTTTTTGTCAGGTTTGTCCAAGATCAGATGGTTGTAGATGTGTGGTATTATTTCCGAGGGTTCTATTCTGTTCCATTGGTCTATATCTCTGTTTTAGTACCAGTACCATGCTGTTTTGGTTACTGTAGCCTTGTAGTATAGTTTGAAGTCAGGTAGCGTGATGCCTCCAGCTTTGTTCTTTTGGCTTAGGATTGTCTTGGCAATGCTGGCTCTTTTTTGGTTCCATATGAACTTTAAAGTAGTTTTTTCCAATTCTGTGAAGAAAGTCATTGGTAGCTTGATGGGGATGGCATTGAATCTATAAATTACCTTGGGCAATATGGCCATTTTCACAACATTGATTCTTCCTACCCATGAGCATGGAATGTTCTTCCATTTGTTTGTGTCCTCTTTTATTTCATTGATCAGTGGTTTGTAGTTCTCCTTGAAGAGGTCCTTCACATCCCTTGTAAGTTGGATTCCTAGGTATTTTATTCTCTTTGAAGCAATTGTGAATGGGAGTTCACTCATGATTTGGCTCTCTGTTTGTCTGTTATTGGTGTATAGGAATGCTTGTGATTTTTGCACACTGACTTTGTATCCTGAGACTTTGCTGAAGTTGCTTATCAACTTAAGGAGATTTTGGGCTGAGATGATGGGGGTTTCTAAATATACAATCATGTCATCTGCAAACAGGGACAATTTGACTTCCTCTTTTCCTAATGGAATACCCTTTATTTCTTTCTCCTGCCTGATTGCCCTGGCCAGAACTTCCAACACTATGTTGAATAGGAGTGGTGAGAGAGGGCATACCTGTCTTGTGCCAATTTTCAAAGGGAATGCTTCCAGTTTTTGCCCAGTCAGTATGATATTGGCTGTGGGTGAGATATGTCCCATCAATACCTAGTTTATTGAGAGTTTTTAGCATGAAGGGCTGTTGAATTTTGTTGAAGGCCTTTTCTGCATCTATTGAGATAATCATGTGGTTTTTGTCTTTGGTTCTGTTTATATAATGGATTACATTTATTGATTTGTGTATGTTGAACCAGCCTTGCATCCCAGGGATGAAGCCAACTTGACCGTGGTGGATAAGCTTTTTGATGTGCTGCTGGATTCAGTTTGCCAGTATTTTATTGAGAATTTTTGCACCAATGTTCATCAGGGATATTGGTCTAAAATTCTCTTTTTTTGTTTTATCTCTGCCAGGCTTTGGTATCAAGATGATGCTGGCCTCATGAAATGAGTCAGGAAGGATACCCTCTTTTTCTGTTGATTGGAATAGTTTCAGAAGGAATGGTAACAGCTCCTCCTTGTACCTCTGGTAGAATTCAGCTGTGAATCCATCTGGTCCTGGACTTTTTTTGGTTGGTAGGCTATTAATTATTGCCTCAAATTCAGAGCCTGTTATTGGTCTATTCAGGGATTCAACTTCTTCCTGGTTTAGTATTGGGAGGGTATATGTGTCCAGGAATTTATCCATTTCTTCTAGATTTTCTAGTTTATTTGCGTACCAGTACCAAATAATATAAACAGTAGTTTGTATTTCTGTGGGATCGGTGGTGATATCACCTTTATCATTTTTTATTGTGTCTATTTGATTCTTCTCTCTTTTCTTCTTTATTAGTCTTGCTAGTGTTCTATCAATTTTGTTGATCTTTTCAAAAAACCAGCTCCTGGATTCATTGATTTTTTGAAGGGTTTTTTGTGTCTCTATCTCCTTCAGTTCTGCTCTGATCTTAGTTGTTTCTTGCCTTCTGCTAGCTTTTGAATGTGTTTGCTCTTGCTTCTCTAGTTCTGTTAATTGTGATATTAGGGTGTCAATTTTAGATCTTTGCTGCTTTCTCTTGTGGGCATTTAGTGCCATAAATTTCCCACTATACATTGCTTTAAATGTGTCCCAGAGATTCTGGTATGTTGTGTCTTTGTTCTCATTGGTTTCAAAGAACATCTTTATTTCTGCCTTCATTTCTTTATATACCCAGTAGTCATTCAGGAGCAGATTGTTAAGTTTCCATGTAGTTGAGCGGTTTTGAGTGAGTTTCTTAATCCTGAGTTCTAATTTGATTGCACTATGGTCTGAGAGACAGTTTGTTATAATTTCTGTTCTTTTACATTTGCTGAGGAGTGCTTTACTTCCAACTATGTGGTCAATTTTAGAATAAGTGGGATGTGGTGCTGAGAAGAATGTATATTCTGTTGATTTGGGGTGGAGAGTTCTGTAGATGTCTATTAGGTCTGCTTGGTGCAGAGCTGAGTTAAATTCCTGGATATCCTTGTTAACTTTCTGTCTCATTTATTTGTCTAATGTTGACAGTGGGGTGTTAAAGTCTCCCATTGTTATTGTGTAGGAGTCTAAGTCTCTTTGTAGAACTTGCTTTATGAATCTGGGTGCTCCTGTATTGGGTGCGTATATATTTAGGACAGTTAGCTCTTCTTGTGGAATTGATCCTTTTACCATTATGTAATGGCCTTCTTTGTCTCTTTTGATCTTTGTTGGTTTAAAGTCTGTTTTATCAGAGACTAGCATTGCAACCCCTGCTTTTTTGTTGTTTTCCATTTGCTTGGTAGATCTTCCTCCATCCCTTTATTTTGAGCCTATGTGTGTCTCTGCATGTGAGATGGGTCTCCTAAATACAGCACACTGATGGGTCTTGACTCTTTATGCAATTTGCCAGTCTGTGTCTTTTAATTGGAGCATTTAGCCCATTTACATTTAAGGTTAATATTGTTATGTGTGAATTTGATCCTGTCATTATGATGTTAGCTGGTTATTTTGCTTGTTAGTTGATGCAGTTTCTTCCTAGCATTGATGGTCTTTACAATTTGGCATGTTTTTGCAGTGGCTGGTACTGGTTGTTCCTTTCCATGTTTAGTGCTTCCTTCAGGAGCTCTTGTAAGGCAGGCCTGGTGGTGACAAAATCTCTCAGCATTTGCTTGTCTGTAAATGATTTTATTTCTCCTTCACTTATGAAGCTTGGTTTGGCTGGATATGAAATTCTGGGTTGAAAATTCTTTTCTTTAAGAATGTTGAATATTGGCCCCCACTCTCTTCTGGCTTGTAGAGTTTCTGCCAAGAGATCTGCTGTTAGTCTGATGGGCTTCCCTTTGTGGGTAACCCAACCTTTCTCTCTGTCTGCCCTTAATATTTTTTCCTTCATTTCAACTTTGGTGAATCTGATAATTATGTGTCTTGGAGTTGCTCTTCTCAAGGAGTATCTTTGTGGCATTCTCTGTATTTCCTGAATTTGAATGTTGGCCTCCCTTGCTAGCTAGGGGAAGTTCTCCTGAATAATATTCTGAAGAGTGTTTTCCAACTTGGTTCCATTCTCCTCGTCATTTTCAGGTACACCAATCAGACGTAGATTTGGTCTTTTCACATAGCCCCATATTTCTTGGAGGCTTTGTTCATTTCTTTTTACTCTTTTTTCTCTAAACTTCTCATTTCATTTCATTCATTTGATCTTCAGTCACTGATACCCTTTCTTCCACTTGATCAAATCAGCTATTGAAGCTTGTGCCTGCGTCACGTAGTTCTCGCACCACGGTTTTCACCTCCATCAGGTCTTCTCTACGCTGTTTATTCTAGTTAGCCATTCATTTAATCTTTTTTCAAGGTTTTTAGCTTCTTTGCGATGGGTTTGAACATCCTTCTTTAGCTCAGAGAAGTTTGTTATTACCAATCATCTGAAGCCTACTTCTGTCAACTGGTCAAAGTCATTCTCCATCTAGCTTTGTTCTGTTGCTGGCGAGGAGCTGCATTCCTTTGGAGGAGAAAAGGGACTCTGTTTTTTAGAATTTTCAGCTTTTCTGCTCTGGTTTCTCCCCATCTTTGTGGTTTTATCTACCTTTGGTCTTTGATGATGGTGACATACAGATGGGGTTTTGGTGGATGTCCTTTCTGTTTGTTAGTTTTCCTTCTAATAGTCAGGACCCTCAACTGCAGGTCTGTTGGAGTTTGCTGGAGGTCCACTCCAGACCCTGTTTGCCTGGGTGTCACCAGTGGAGGCTGCAGAACAACAAATATTGCAGAACATCAAATGTTGCTTCCTGATCCTTCCTCTGGAAGCTTCGTCTCAGAGGGGCATCTGGCTGTATGAGGTGTCAGTCAGCCCCTATTGGGAGGTGTCTCCCAGTTAGGCTACCTGGCGGTCAGGGACCCACTTGAGGAGGCAGTCTGTCCATTCTCAGATCTCAAACTCCATGCTGGGAGAACCACTACTCTCTTCAAAGCTGTCAGACAGGGACGTTTAAGTCTGCAGAAGTTTCTGCTGCCTTTTGTTCCGCTATGCCCTGCCCCCGGAGGTGGAGTCTACAGAGGCAGGCAGGCCTCCTTGAGCTGCAGTGGGCTCCACCCAGTTTAAGCTTCCCGCCACTTTGTTTACCTACTCAAGCCTCAGCAATGGTGGACGCCCCGCCCCCAGCCTTGCTGCTGCTTTGCAGTTTGATCTCAGATTGCTGTGCTAACAGTGAGCAAGGCTTCATGGGCGTGGGACCCTCTGAGCCAGGCGTGGGATATAATCTCCTGGTATGCCATTTGCTAAGACCGTTGGAAAAGTGCAGTATTAGGGTGGGAGTGTCCTGATTTTCCAGGTACTGTCTGTCATGGCTTCCTTTTTCTAGGAAAGGGAATTCCCTGACCCCTTGGCCTTCCCGGGTGAGGTGATGCCCTCCCCTACTTTAGCTCACACTCCGTGGGCTGCACCCACTGTCCAACAAGCTCCAGTGAGATGAACCTGGTACCTCAGTTGGACATGCAGAAATCACCCGTCTTCTGCGTCGCTCACGCTGGGAGCTGTAGACTGGAGCTGTTCCCATTCGGTCATCTTGGAACTGGGTCGAGAAGACTGAAGAATTTTTAAAATTCCCAAAGGGAAGGAAGAACTAGCCAAAGAGACTGAGAAGTAACCAGAGAAGTTGGAAGGGTCAGGAGACCAACCTTAAGGAAAGAATGTTTTTCCAGAAGGAAGGAATGGTCAAAAACATTGGATGCTGCCCAGTGGCACCCATTGGATTTAGTAGAATCCGAGTGACTGGTGACTTTGACTTTGCAAAGTCAGACTGGGTTGGGTGTTCAAATATTGACTGGGAGAAGCGGGAGAAGGAATGGAGACAGTTTACACATATAGATGTCTTCTGGGAAAGAAGGAGAGAGAGAGATGAAAGGGGGAGATTTTTAAAGATGAGAGAAGTCTGAACTTGTGTTTAGGAAAAGTCCTGGAAAGAAAGGAGGTTGAAAAACATAAGAAGTGCTAATCTAAGGTTTCTCAGAGGTAAGAGGAGATGAATGATGTGGTTTGGATGTTTTTCTCTGCCAAAGCTCATGTTGAAATGTGATTTCCAATATTGGGGGTGGGGCCTGGTAGAAGGTGGTTGGATCATGGGGGAAGATCCCTCACAAATGGTTTAGCTCCATCCCTTTGGTGATAAGTGAGTTCTTGCTCAGCTGGTTCATGTGAGATCTGGTTGTTTAAAAGTCTGGGCCGGGTGCGGTGGCTCACACCTCTAATCCTAGCACTTTGGGAGGCTGAAGTGGGTGGATCACAAGGTCAGGAGATAGAGACCATCCTGGCTAACATGGTGAAACCCCATCTCTACTAAAAATACAAAAAATTGGCCGGGCGTGGTGGTGTGTGCCTGTAGTCCCAGCTACTCAGGAGGCTGAGGCAGGAGAATCACTTGAACCCAGGAAGTGGAGGTTGCAGTGAGCCAAGATCACGCCACTGCACTCCAGCCTGGGTGATAGAGTGAGACTCTGTCTCAAAAAAAAAAAAAAAAAAAAAAGTTTGGAATCTCTCCCCCTTGCTCTCTTGCTCCAGCTCTTGCCATGTGATGCCTGATCCCCGTTTGACTTCAGCCATGATTGTAAGCTTCCTGAGGCCCTCACCAGAAGCATCACACTTCCTGTATACCCTGCAGAACTGTGAGCCAATTTAACTTCTTTTCTTTATAAATTACCCAGTCTGGGGTGTTTCTTTATAGCAATGCAAATGGACTAATACATAGCACAGTGGGGAACTGATCCAGACAGAAAGGATTCTTTTTTTTCTCATGTATCTTTTTTTTAAATTTATTATACTTTAAGTTCTGGGATACATTTGCAGAATGTGCAGGTTTGTTACATAGGTATACACGTGCCATGGTGGTTTGCTGCACCCATCAACTGTCATCTACATTAGGTATTTCTCCTAATGTTATCCCTCCCCTAGCCCCCCACCCTCTGACAGGCCTCAGTGTGTGATGTTCCCCTCCCTGTGTCCATGTGTTCTCATTGTTCAACTCCCACTTATGAGTGAGAACATGCGGTGTTTGGTTTTCTTTTCTATGTTATTTTGCCGAGAATGATGGTTTCCAGCTTCATCCATGTCCCTGAAAAGGACATGGACTCAAGAAAGGACTCTTTTGACATAGCAGGAGGCAAGGAGTTGAGATGGCAATGGAGTATGTAGTTTTGTAGATGTACTGTCAGAAACCTGGAGGAATTCTTTTCCAATTCCATGTGTTTTCTCTGAGAAGTGAAAGGACAATTGTATTTATTTGGTGTGAGTAGGGTGTGTGTGTTTGCTAAGAGGAGAGTGAGGGGAAGAATGGCTTGCAGAGAAGGATTAAAACAATCATGGCACAGAGTGGGGGAGTAAACTGACTAGAGAACTAAACAAGTGGGAAGAGGAGAAGCTGAGCCAAATTCAAAGGGAGGCTGAGTTCCAAACATGGCGGAATGACGAGAGGAGGGGCATCCACTTCTGAAGTCATCTATACACCAGAATTCCTGTGCACATTCATTTGTTCATTTAATAAATACGAAGTGAAAACCTACTACATGCCAAACCCTGCTAGAGACACTGAAAGTAGCTGGTGAACAAAATAAACACAACCACGGCCTCATGGAGCTTACAGTTTGGAAGAACAGAGAAATTCACTTAATATTGACACAATTAATTAATTTCAAATAAAACCAAGTTTTCTCCAAAACTCTCCATCTTTTTTCCTCTTTTTTTTTTCCATAGTGTTACCAGAAAGGGGTCCTGATCCAGACCCCAAAAGAAGGTTCTTAGATCTCACACAAGAAATTCAGGGTGAGGCCACAGAGTAAAGTAAAAGCAAGTTTATTAGAGAAGTAAAGAACCAAAAGAATGGCTACTCCATAGGCACAGCAAGGCATTCCCAAAAGCAAGAGGAGAAGCATGCCCACCTTAGGTGCAATGCCTGTTTATACATAAGCTGGCAAGGCAAAAATAATCATGGGGAAGATGTGCTTTACTACAAGGGCTCGTGATAAAGGATTGTTAAGATTTGTGTAACTACTGTCTTCTGCAATAATCTATATTATTATCTTTAAAGTGAAACTTAAACTAAGAACTCTTTTGTTCTTTAGATATTCAAGCATCCGGACATTTCCTGGGTCTGTTATGTCCTGGATCTGTTCAGTAAACATTATTAACTTGTTCCCTTGACTGTAAACATCTTGTGACTAACAATGCTAACCTCCTGGGAATGCAGACCAGTGGGTCTCAGCCTCATTTTACACAGCCCCTATTCAAGATGGAGTTGCTCTGGTTCCAATGCCTCTGACGGTAGCACTTACCAGTGGCTATCATACTACATTGTTTGCCTATGTATTTTACTTAGTATCTTACTCCCTCCAGGTTTTCAACCCTTGCCACTCATTTTAGGTTTCACTACTCCTCTCTCTGCATTTTGAGTCCATGGTGACTATGTCCCTCCTACTCACTTACAATAAGCCATAAACAGTTCCAACATCAGGCTCATCCATCACTATGAAATTACCTATGGATGTTCTTTGTGTGACATTTGGGTGTTGGTACTTGCAAAAATACGGCTGTTCTTATGAAGCATTTGTGGTTAAATCCCAGCTCCAGCACTCACTCTTGGTACAGCCATTAACTATTTAATCTCTTGGCACAGTTTCCTCATCCGTAAAATGGGCATAATAATCCCTACCCATAAGATTGTTGGAAGGATGAACTTAGTGTGTACCATATCCTTGCTACACCGACGGTGCTTTATGAATGATAATTTCCCCAGCCCTTCTCTGGCTCACTGTTTGGCCTGCTGTTACCAACTCCCAAAGTAATGTGACCAGGGACGCTTCACTCGTTTCTTTTCTACTGCCCTAGAACAAAGGGAACATAATGAAGAGGAGAAACATTATTTGATATCGGCTTCAAAAACACACTGTGTTTGATATGTGATGCTGATGTGTGATGCTCAGTCTATCAGATATTAATATTACACTCCAGGCTTTGTGCTGTTTATATTGGTAACATGACCCTAACCAGAATCCCAGCTGGAAGAATTAAAATGTGGACTTTCAGTTGTTGGGCATTTTTCCCTTCCTACTGCCAGGTTGAGGTTGAGTAATCATACAATGTAACAGCCTTCAGCTGGGTCTGCTGAGCTTCAAAAATGCTAGAAACAGGGTTTAGGGACATGGGCTGCCTCCCCACCTCCAGGCTACCTTGGGTGCTCCATGAATTCTGTTTCTGAGGGCAAATCTACTATCCCTCCCTTGTGCTTGCCCCCCTGCAAGCTCCCCAGGTTTTGCTTACACAGACAGAGACATCAGGGAATAAGAGCTGCAGAGAGAGTGGTTATGGTTCAAAAAAAAAAAAGAGGAGGAGGAGAAGGGGGGAAGGAAGAGCCCAAGGAGAAAAAGGAATAAGGAGAAAAAAAAAGGAAAGAGAGGAGGACCTAATAGTTCTTGAGCATTTTACTACATGTTCTAAACCCATTTCATTTCATTTCATTTTCATAGCAATCCTACAAAGTAAGTCCTTTGTTCCTATAAGGACAGGTCTCCTTCCTGCACTCCTTTCTTTTTCCAAGCAATTTGAGTCATCAAACATGTTTCACCTCCCCACCCAGAGAATCAAATCCAGACTCCGTAGCATGTCATTCAGGGCCCCGCATGAGCAGGCCTCCGTAGTTGAAGGGACCGTGTAACACCAGCCAGACCCAGGCTCTTCAAAGAGAAAAAGTGGATGCCATTATTATGCTAGACCTACCAATGAAAACCTGATTGTCATGGGCTAACCGGCTGTATGCTTACACCACCCCCAGGTCCATCCTAAACCACCCACCCTGCAAGTTACTGCATTTCCCCAAACCTACCATGCCTGTTTATGCATGTGGAAAACGAACCAAACCCCACCCACCCCATCCCAAATTTAAAAACTCATCCCTCAACGCCTAGTTAAAAAGAAAAATGACTGTCTCTGTGAAGTCTATGTTCAAGTCCAAGTTTGAGAACTCATCTCAAGTTCTCAAAGCCAGTTTGCAGAGTGGTGGGAGCCCAGACACTGTACCCATGTTACACTCATAGGTTCAAATCCCAGCATCGCCACCTGCGTACTGTGTGAGCATGGCCATCACTCAGCATTCTATGCCTTGGCTCCCTTTTCTGTAATGTGGGATAATAATGTCTACTTCCCTGGGTGGCTGGGAGGGCTAATAAGTGACAGTGACTGACTCTGCACAGGGACTTCTTGTGGTATGTTTGCTACAGAAAGATTTTGCCAAACCTATAGGCACAGATGTGCATGCATGTACACACATGTGTGCCCTGCCTGTAAGACATGAATTTTCTCCTTTGAGGTAAAAAGAACCCCACAAAAAATAAAGTTGTCAAATGACATGTTAAATTTCCAAATGGAATGCTAAAGAGCTCAAAGAACATTTTGTCTATAGTAACCCTTAGTTTTTGTTATGATGATTTTGACATTATCTTAATCAATACAGTAAATTAAAATTTCTTTTTCTTCGCTTTCTTTCTTTTTTTTTTTTTTTTCTTTTGAGACAGTCTCTCTCTGTTGCCCAGGCTGGAGTGCAGTGTCATGATCTCGCCTCAGAGCAGCCTCTGCCTCCCAGGTTCAAGCGATTCTCCTGCCTCGGCCTCCCTAGGACCTGGGATTACCGGCGCACACCACCACACGAGTTAAAATTTCTAAGTCTCCTTCCAGGACCCAGATAATTTCATGAGCTATCTCACTTAGGCTTCTTGCCGGCAGGAACATGGGATAGTCTCAAGATGGCTTTTGTGAATAAGAAGAGTAGGCTCCTATCCATGTGATGCAATTGCAGAGGTCAGTAACATTTATTTTGCCTAAGACCTGCCCTATTAAAACGTTAATACTCCGAGGTCTTTTCTATCCTCAGTTATTTTCGCCTCAGTGTGGAGGCATTTCAAACCCTTTATGAGTCAGGTCCTCAGGACACTGGCTATTCACAAGGATTGGAAGCAAGAACTGCAGTGTGGAAAGGTGGGACTGCAGAGGCCTCAGGTGAATCCTGCCCATATCACAATATTGCTCAGAGCAAAACACCCTTGCAAGGGGGGTAAGCTGAGTCTGGGGCTGAACCTTCACCTAGGAGTGGCCGAGATAAACCTCCAAACACACACACACACATACTTGACTCAACTCAGTGTCATCTGGCTGCTTGAAGTCTTGGTTTACAATAACTTTTGTTATTGTTGTTATTCTCTGGCTGTCATTTTGAGGCTTTTTCCCCCCACAGATTTTAATTGAATGTTCCAGAGGGGACATATTTCTAGTATTTAGTTTTGAACTTTTACTTCATATTGTGACCAATTAAAATATCACTAACCGCAGAATACACTTTTCTTTTTCTTCAAGCGTCACCCCCAACAGAGAGAATAGAGCTTGAACACCAGAATATTATTTTCCTTGCTGTTTTGACTTAAATAAAAGAAAAGGTTTTTTTTTGTAAAGTTCTTTGAAAACTTTTTTGACAGCCCCATTTGTTGTGGTTTTCTCCCCATTCCATGTTTAGATTGGGTGACATTTTGCAGTCTGTTTTTTCTCCTCATGCCAAGCCTCCTTGTGTAATATAAAGCAGTGATCCTCTGCATGACTGAAAGCCAGGATATGGCAGACGACTTTTAAAGATAACACTAATATACAGATAGAGGATGTAAATCCATCTGAGCCCAGCCCTGCCAGCAGCCCTTCACTTCTGTTCCCTCGTGGCTTCCTTTCCCTTTTCCCACAAATCTTTAGCACATTCCTCAGGCTCCCAGCCACCTCTCAATGAAGAGCCTTGCCTTCCACCTCACAAACAAAATAGAGCTCATTATTGATGAAGAGCCCAGTGACTTGCCACTCCATGCCTGAAATGCATCCATAACAGAACCCTTTCTTCCCTCCTCATCGTCTCTTCTTCAGGACCATCTCCTTCTTCTACACAGTTCCTCCTTTCCTTTTGTTCCTTCTCTGGCATTTGTCTAGAAATTATTGCCCCCTTTCTCCCTGTGCATTTTCCTTCTCCCTCTCTTCACCTGCTTCATCTGAGAAGATCTTCATCTTCTCAGACTACAGATGCATGCAAAATTCCTTCTTCATTCTAACAAAGTTCCCTGCAAACTCCCTGCCCAGGCTCTATCTGTCTCTTTCACCACCACCAGATTTCAGGAAAGAAGAGTCCATACTCTTTGCTTCAACCTTCTCAACTTCATTCACATCTTGATCCACTGCAATTTGCATCTCACCATATTCCATTCTATTGACAGTGTCATAAAGATTCAAGCCTCAGACAAAAGTCAGGGAAGGCCCTTGGATTCAGGCAAGGACTTTAGTAATAAGGACAATGGGAGCAACTGAAAAAAAAATTCTTAAAATTCAACTTCCCCCTTTTAGGGAAAAAATAAAATGATTTTGTCTGTTTCCTGAGTCAAAACAAGTCGGGAAATGCCTAGATCCAGAGATGCCTAGACACACCTCAGTGGTGGGTAGTAGTTGGGGCATTGACAGTGTTCACGTCTGTCCTTGACACTGACCCCATGAGAGATAACAAGAGAAGTGGGTCTGAGATCCTGCCTTTCTGCAGGGAGCATGGAACAAGCTGGGAGGGAAATAGGCAAAAGAGAAAGCACAGGCCATTCTACCACTTGCTTCTCTGGGTCTTCCAGGCTCACATGATTGCTTATGTGTACGAAGAAGAAACAGAGGCCTCTACCTTTACATATAATCATGCCCATTCTCCTCTGTCCTGCTCCCCTTCCTGTCTGTTCTCCGGTCTGGCTCTCTTTAGCCCAGAAAACAACAGTGGTTTCCTCTGCATGACACTGCCTGCATCGTTTACTGCTGGAAATCGTCTTTTCTCTTCTGCTGAGTGAAATTGCAAAAGTGAATGACAAATCAGGAAGTCAACTTCTTTCATGGGTCTGAAAAGAGGTATCTTCTTTTTGTCAAGAAGGTAGAAAGATAAGACAATGGCTCTCTTCTTTCCCAATTGACTGTGACCTTCCTCCCTTGCCCCATGCCTATGTTCTACAGAAGGCAACCTCAGGGATAAAGCTTCCAGTTGAATTCTTGGCCTCTGTGCTGAAAATGCCAACCAATGTCTGGCAATGCCTGTTCTGATGTGGACTGGCCAGTGAGCTGAGACCATCGCTTCATTTCACATAAACCATAAAATAGCCAACAGATGACCAGTCATTAGACTTTCGGTCACTACTGACCCAGCCTGGACTTGAACCTGTGACCTCTAGGTAAACAGTTTTAGGTTGCAATATTAATGCCTAAAGGGTCTAGAAGCCCTCAAAATCCTAACTTTTTAAATTAACACTTTTGTAGTTAGTCACTGAGGGAAGAGAGTAAATGAAAGAAGACATGAATACCTGATTTCCTTAAGGGAAAGAGAAAAACTAGTAGAGGAGAAACTTGGTCTTACACGACTCAATAGATGAAGCTGTTACTTTTTAAAGCTGTTGCTTTTTAAAGCATGGTACCATTGGAAAGGTGGATGCCACTTACTGTCACTCTGCAGTGCTATTTGAAACACCTGCCTTGGCCTTAGCTCTGCTCCATTGATTGTCTTCATTTGCTTGCTTAACAACTGGGGGTGTTTATACCTTCGTAAGAAAACCACTTTCCTGAACAGAACTGTGATAATGCAAGCTAATTATCTTATCCCAAAAAACTCTCAAGAGTTTAAGTCCACTGCTTTGTTAAGTCATTCTACCCAGACTATGAGGTTGAGAATAAATACTATTGTGCCCATTTTACAGATAGGGAATCTGGGAAGGTCAAAGGCTTAATGCAAACTTTGTTTCCACAAATCAAGAGAGTCCTAGTAATGAGACAAACCTGGTTTACCTCTAAGTGCTGTCATGTACAAACCCTGTCACCTTAGGAAAGTTATGCGTTGTTTCTATTTCCTCATCTATAAATAAGGACAATCATATCAATAGGAATTTTGTAAGAGTGAATGAGACAACACATATAAAGATCACTACACAGTGCCCAGCTCCACAGGGCTACTGCTCCACACAACTCCAGGCAGCTGCACATTCATACCACACACAAAGTTGACTGGGCAGGGTGGCTCACGCCTGTAATCCCAGTACTTTGGGAGGCTAAAGCAGGTGGATCAATTGAGCCCAGGAGTTTGAGCAACATTATGAAACCCCATCTCTACAAAAAAAAAAATAAATAAATAAATAAATTAGCCAGTGTGGTGGCCTGTGCCTGTAGTACCAGCTACTCAGGAGGCTAGAGGTAAGAGGATCGCTTGAGGCCAAGAGATTGAGGCTGCAGTGAGCCATGATCACACCACTGTGCTCCAGCCTGGGTGTTGGAGTGAGACCCCGTCTCAAAAATAAATAAATGAACACAGTCTGAATAATGCCCCCTGGAGTTATGCAACTCAACAGCCATGCCAGCCACACCAGCCACAGTCTGACATGGAATACCTTCTCACTAAGTATTAGCTATCATTATTAGTTTGGAAGTTTTTCTTCTGGCAACAGCAAAGTAGGTGGTTCAAATCAACTCTCTCTGACCACACGATAATATATGAAAAGAAACACTGGGTTGAGGACATTAGAAAGTCACCAAGGCAGTGAGA
This sequence comes from Homo sapiens, assembly GCF_000001405.40. Taxonomy (NCBI): domain Eukaryota; kingdom Metazoa; phylum Chordata; class Mammalia; order Primates; family Hominidae; genus Homo; species Homo sapiens. The sequence goes on along the minus strand of NC_000018.10, from coordinate 24,892,104 downwards.
AATCACACTGCCAAGATCCCAGAGAAGAGGGAAGCCCACTTAAGACTGCTTTTTCCCCGGGACAGTAGTTCTCAGAAAGTGGACACAAAGCAGGCAGCAGCACCTGGGAACTTGTTAGAAATGCAGAGCCTCAGGTTCCACCCCAGATCTACTGAATCAGAACCTCTGGGCGAGACCCAGCAAGCTATGCTTTAACAAACCCTTGAGTGGATTGTGATGACCCTAAGGTTTGAGATCAGCAAGCTACAGGCACCTGAAATTCTGAAGGCACAGCTGAGACCCTGAGAAGCTGGGCAGGGATTTTGATAGTCTTGAGGCTCTGGGGAGTCTGAAATAGGGGTTCAAGCTCTGTCGAGAAGGAGGTGTCCTGGAAAACACCCCAGGATATTAGTTGGGACCCCAAGACCACACCAAAGAAGGAAAAGTGAACTGGAAATATAGGAGCCCTCACAGGGACCAAAGTTTCTTATCTCTCAATTCCTGGGACTTGCTAGCCCCTCAACCCAGCACCTGCCAGTAGCAATGGCAAACATTTAATCAAAAGTAACTGAGCGCTCACTTCTCTCTTGCTCTGTTACATCACGCATACTGGGGAAGTCAGCTGCATGTCAGAGAAATTGCAAGCCCTATGGAGAATCCATGTACGGAGAAACTGAGGCCTTGGCCTTCTACCAATGGCCAGAGGAGTGAACTAACTCCTGCAGCTTCAGTCAAGCCTTCAGGTGGTGAAATTCGGGCTGATACCGGAGTCCAAGCCCAAGGGAGAGCCTAACAAGAACCATCCAGCTAAACTGCACTTCAACTCTGCTCCTAACAGAAACTGTGAGATAATAAATGTTCATTGTTAAAATAAAAAACAACTGGACACACAACCAAAAATACTAGGCATATGAGGAGACAAGACTTGACCAACAACCAAGATTTTATCTTAAAGGCAATATAAACAAACCTGTAGGCAATAGAGTTTTTAGACATACATTTAAAAAGTAGCTATGCTTGTCTGGGAGCAGTGACTCATGCCTGTAATCCCAGCATTTTGGGAGGCTGAGGCGGGAGGATCACTTGAGGTCAGGAGTTTGAGACTAGCCTGGCCAAAATGGTGAAATCATGTGTCTACAAAAAATACAAAAATTAGCCGGGTGTGGTGGCGCATGCCTGCAGTCCCAGCTATTTGGGAGACTGAGGCTGGAGAATCACTTGAACCCGGGAGGTGGAGGTTACAGTGTGCGTGAGCCCAGATCACACCACTGCACTCCAGCCTGGCGACAGAATGAGACTCCGTCTCAAACAAAACAAAACAAACAAAAAAAGCTATGCTTAATTGTTCGAGGAATTATTACTATTTCACCCTAAGTTCAAGATCACCCAACTCAAATGGGCCATCAGTCCTGTCCAACAATCCATACACATGATTTGGTCAACTCAATCTCTTACTTTCTATGGCTGTACAAGTCATCTCTATGCTCTCTCATCCCCACTCCCTGCTCACCCTTCACTTTCGGCATATGACCTCACCCACTTCACAGAGAGCAGAGGCCGTCCAATAAGAATGCACTGGCTTCTGATCTACAAATCTACAAGTAAGCTTTGCTTCTCTCTTTTTATGATAGAGGAGCTGTTCATCCTCTTACCTAAAGTCAATTCTTTGTCCTGCACTTTACCCTTCATTCCCTCACATCTTCATAGAAACCTTACACTATCAATGATTCTTTTACTTTCATATATGCAGACTCTCTTTCTCAAGCAAACCTTTCCCATTGAACTTGTTAAATCATCTTAAGTCACATTTAAAAATACTTGCCAACTTCAGCCCTGCCTCTGTCTTCCTTCCCTTCACAGAAAACTTTCTAGAAGAATTTTCTTATGCTTACTGTGTCCTTCGAGTACCACTCAGTACCCAGCTGTCTCCAGCCAGAGGTCTGTCCCACGTCTTTAGGAAAATGGCTCTTGTTAAGGTCTCAGTGACTGAATTCCATGAACATTTTTCAGCTCACTTCTTCCCTGTCTTGGCGATGTTCCACAGTTAAGCACATCACCCTTCCTTAAGCATTCCCCCCTGGTTTATGTGGTATTCTCCTGATTTTCTTCTTATCTCTGTCATTTCTAGTTGTTATTCTCCTTTTCAGGCAGATTCTTCACTGTCTCATCATTAAATGTTGGAATTTTGTAGGTCTTGGTCTTTGACTCTAGTTTATGTAAACTTTTCCAGATAAGCTCATCCAAACGTACTGTTTTAATCGCCATGTATACGTAACTTATTCACTGACCGTGTATACATAACTTATCCAGCCCAGATCACCTTTTTCCTCTCAAGACCCATAAATTGAACTACCTACTGGATCTTTTCTTCTGTGTCTAAAAAGCCTGATATCAGACTCAACAGGTCCAAAACCAAACTCATCATCTTTCCTCCCAAATACGGTATTCTCCAAAGATTTCTTCTCTCAGTAAACGGCCCCCATCTATCTAGACGTACAAGCTAGAAACCTAGATGTCACCCTTGAAACTTCCTGTGCATCCCATCCTGCCTATGACTGAGTTGTTCTAAATATTGAGAAGAAATTTATCTTCTAAATATTTATCCAAGGTGGCTCCTTCTCTGACTTTATCACTACCACCCTAGTCCAAACCACCTCATCTGCCTGACCTCCTGCCAAGCTGACAGCTTTCACCTTGCTCTTAAGAAAAATCCAAACTTCTTACTTAATGTGGCCTTCACGGTTCTGCACGATTTGACCCCTACCTATCTCTCCAACCTCATCTCCAGTATCGCTTTATCTCCTTCTCAATCCACTGTGGACTCCTTTAATTCCATTGTTCTTGCCATACTCCTTTCCATCACAGGGCTTTTACATGGGGCTAGAATAGTATTTCCTGCCCCCTTCAACTAGTTAATAGCAAGTCATTCCTCAGATCCCTGCTTAATTGATTATTACTTCCTCAGAGAAGCCTTTGTTGATTTTCCTAATTAAATAAAATCTCTTTATTATCTGTTTTCATGAAATGTGTCCTCTGTGTCACTCTTTAGTGGCACTCAGTACAGTCTAATTGTGTATATATATGTATATACGTATGTATATAAGTACATATGTGTATACGTGTGTATGTATATATAGTAGTATATATATAATAGTATAGTAGTATTCTTATACTTGTCTGTTTGTGCTGACCACTATATATTCAGCATGTTTGTAGTATATAAATACTCAATAAATAATCATTGAATAAATGAATACACAAATGACTAATCAGATAAAGTAATATTATTATTCCAAAATGAGAAGATAGACTTCTCTGATAAGTAAGAAACATCCTAGAAGAATACAACACTTGTGGCTCTAGGTTGGCATTCCAGGTCACCAATTAATAATAAATTTCTTTTCCCTTCCTATGTTTGGAAACAGTTGCAAAGTCGACACAGGATAGAAATTGATGGAGATCAAAATATCAACTTAATTACTAATAAAGCTAAATCAGCGAGTAATGCTTGACTAATGGCCACAACTGGGTTTCCTAATACATCCCCTTGGATTTGAACTTGTCCATTCAAACTGCTGGCCTCACCTATGGAGAAGCAGATCAAGACTCATGAAACTTTTTACTGTGTGGATTGGCAGAGATGTTCATATCCAGTCATCAAATTGCCCCACCAGAAACAGAGAGGCCAAGAGATATGGTGGATGGAGTATGCCCAGAATTTTTTTTCCAAACATATCTATCAGGTAACTCACTCTTTCCATGAAAGTAAATGATTAAGGGCATAAAGAAAGGCCAGAAGTGTTATTTTGGCAGAAGCCCTCTGAAAAAACATGAGACCAAGGGAATGCTGGTTTCCCTAACAAATAGTAAAATAAATTAATGTGTAAGTATTAGTGAGTTTTTTTAGAGCTAAGAATTTGGTGTTTAAAAAAGTGAGTTCAAAATTTTTTTTAAATGCATTCATTCTACTACACTGTTTGTTTCCCCTTGCTCAGCTAACCTATTACCTAATAGATTCTTATGGTTATGATTTAATATTTTTAAGATTGTCATTGAAAAGGCTTATTTACATTGCCAATAGAGTATACCTAGATGTATATGCATATGATGTTAATTTCTTGAAGATTACTTTTTATAAAATATCACAGTATCTTCTCCTGTGTGGGTTCAAAGCATTTGATTAGATTTATAATGTTCATGCATTCTTCAAGGCTCTAGAAATATTAAGTTGGTAGTACAAGTTAGGAATGCTTTCAGCTGCAAGTAATAGAATATCTATCTAACAATGGCTTAAGTATTAAAGACACTTAATTATCTCACATGCAGGAAATTGAGAGGTGGTTGCATGTTGACATAGTGGTTCAACAAAGACTCTGAGCACCTAGGTTTTTCCTGTTTCTCTGTTTACCATGAGCAGTGTGTTGAATTTTCATTCTCAGCCTCATTGCCTCATAGTTGCAAAATGATTAGCATAGGCCCCAAACATCCAAATCACAACCAAAGCAGGTAGAGTGAAATATTCAGCATCAATAACATTCTCCTCAAACACTGTGCCCTTTATCAGGAAACAAAGCCCTTCCCAGAGACCTTTAGCATACTTACCATTACAACGTTGTGTGGCCACTCCTAGCTGCAAAAGAAGCTAGGAAATACTTATGAGTATTGCAATTAGCTTTTGCTTGAGATTAAACCACCCAGGTGGGGCATGCTGCTACACTGAATAAAGTCAGACTCCATCAGTAAGGAAGGGGACTGAATAGGCAATTAATAATGTCTGCCATCGTGTGTCTAACTCAAAAACTATCTCTGTAGTTACTCACAATACTATGACAAGCATCATCAATTAATCTGGGGCCAAGAAACAGGGAAAATTATATAGTGTAGTCCAGGAGATACAAGTAATAAGTTCATTCAGCATATGTTAAATCATCACTGGCCATGAAAATGTCCCAGGACAAGAAGGACTATAGAATATCTGTGAGTAAGAAAGAGAGATTGCTGAAGAAGATCAAGACTGGCCAGAGTAGTCTACAGTTCTACACTGTTGAAGAGAGTTTTCAACCATAGGTTGAATAGGAGAGCGGGAGAGGAAGGGAAAAGAACTCCAAGTGAAGAGATGTGCAGAGGAGCAAAAATAGAACTACGCACGGTGTATTCAGGGCAGAGGATCTGCTTAGTGGGAGGAATGAGCTCTCACTGGGGAATGAGGGGGAAAGAAGGGACTGAGAGTGGAGGATCAGAATGCCTGGCTGAACAGTCTAGGGTTTATTCATCAAGAAGAGAGGAGCCACAAAGTTTTATAAGCAAAGCAATGACATAAGGAAAGCAGCATTTTAGAAAGACTAATTCGGTGGTAGGGAGCAGAATAGATTAAAGGGGGAGAGATAAGGTGGGAGGCTATTGTGATGCCCATGGGGTGATGGAGGCTTCAATGAGAACATTATCACTGGCCATAAAAATGGGGTATAAGGGGTGGCTAGCAGAGATATTTTAACCTCCTTTCAGAATATAGCCCAATAGAACACAATAGAGGCAATAGTGAAAAACATAGGTCCTTACAAGCAGCCAAATATTCAATCACCACAGTCCCTATTTTGCATGGTAACCTGAAAAAAATTAATTTTAAATAATGAAGGGAACCATCAGGAGGTTTCACCAATAGTAATTTAAAAAATCTCAAATCATTGCTCTTCTAGTTAGTTACTCCTGGCCTGGTTTCACAGAAATGGGCTGCAGGCATTTCAGGAAATGAAAAGTTATTATTAGAAGAGCCAGGGCTCCTCTGACTTCACCATTCAGAGGATGTCTGTGTTTTCCACCCACAGGGAGGCATTTCTCATGAGGGTGGGAGGGAAGAAAAGACTTTACCTGGTCAGCCTTGGTGGATTCAGCAAGGATTCAAAGCACACGCCAAAGCTAGGAGACTCATACTTCTTGCTTTTCACCACTATTGCTGCCGCCCCTGAAAAGGCCTAAGAAAGTGCAGTTCAGACAGCCAAAGATTCTCAGGGTGGTTAATGCCCAAAGATGCAGCAGCAGGACCACCATTTCTGGAAAGCCTACTGCCCGCTAGGCATAGTCAGTTAGATGTTCTGTTACTTGCAGCCAAGAGCATTCCTAACCCAAGAACCTTTGCCCTCCTTCTCTTGCTGAATTCACCTCACGCCTCTGGGGAACCCTGGAGCCAAGAAGGCACTTCCCAGAAATATGTTGACTGGGTACATAAAAAAATTAGTTACAGGAGGCCTTGCTATCCCTGTTGCAGTGTATCAGGTAAATCATGAACTCATGAGCCAGACTCCTGCCTTCATCTCATCACTCTACTAATTACCCACTCAATGACCTGGAGTTTCTTTATGCTGGAGTCTTCTCATCTGTAAAATAATAATAGTTTATACTCTATAGGTATGTTTTAAGGATTCAATGAGATCATGACTATAAAATGCTTAGCTCAATGCCTCGCACAGGTTTGGAACCTAATAAATGTTAAGCACCATATTATTTACAGATGAGGAAACAGTAATCCAAAAAGCTCATGAATGGGCCCAAGGTTACATAGATAAATGCTGTGCATGCTTATTTTCATGGACACATCTCTTCCTAGTAGTATGTCAACAACTCAGCAAATATTTATTAAGTGACCATGAGGCACAGAGCTCTGAACTAAACATTTGGAATTTATGCTCAAGGATGGGTATAGTTCCTGCCTTAATGGAATTTACTGTCTGTCAAGGATGTTTAGTTTTTCATGGTCAGCCGGCTGCACACAAGGCTGGCCTTTCAGATAAAAGAGACAGCAGCCTCTGTGGTGCTGTTTGAAGGGTCTTAGGAAGGCCACAACAATGTACATCAATTGGCAGAGGGGATCAGCTCAACACAACAGCTTTGTATTGGTCTGCGTTTTATCTTCCTAGAGAATGGATTCATCCAAACAGACTCATATTTTTCCCTCTTCTTTTGCAATTTCTCTGCAAATAAAATAGTTCCTCCTTAAGGCTTTAATGCCTGAAATGTCTCAAGCTAGAGCCAGACCCATGAGTCTGGCTTCTTATTACCTAATAATCTTTTAAAATACAATTTTCCTGGGAAATAAAAGGGCTTCTGTCAATGACACGTATTTTTTATAAATAAATATGTGTATTCATATATATATATATGTATGTGTGTATATATGTGTGCATATGTGTATGTGCATAGAGATATATATTCTTTATGTCTACTGAATTTCCTTGAAGAAACAATGAGTTCCTCTCTTGGGCAGCTAAGAATGATTGATCCTTAGGCAAATTGAACGCTAACATGGAGCTAAAGGAAGAAGCAAGTGACAATCAGGGTGCCAACCTATGCTATGGGGTCCAGCTTGAACTCACCTTTCTTGCTGTGGAACTTAAGCCTTCTCCTGTCTCTACACCAACCTTCCTCTTTGCTTGACTGTTGCCTCCGTGCTCTGTCCCTGGGGCTATCCTCCACGAGAGCTGGATGGCAGAGTGGAACACAGTCTTCCCAGGAGCCCTCTGCCTTACAAACCCTAAAAACCAGCACAAGGCCCCTACATTTGAAAAGCTCTTCTCCAAACCACCCAGCAGAAACAAACAGGCAAATCAAACAGTCACCCTGTGGGGCCATTATAAAAGTCTCCTGTTTAAGGAGAGAATGTTAACGCTCACATTCTCTCTCCTAAAACTCTTATAGGCTAAGGATCTTAGCCTCTCCCTGTTTGGATTTCTAGAGGGTGAGCTTATCAAGTAAACCCTTCTGACTACCCCTTGAGCAAGGCCCATGTGCGTCCCTCTTGTTCGATGACCCCTCATTCAAGAAGCCAGTACAGACTGCAGTCAGGATGAAGGCAGTGCTGTTTTATGATCCTGGGGAAATTTGGCTTCTGAGTATCTGCAGAATAATGGAAGCTGAACAAGAGCCCACTGTTCTTCCTGAAGCAGGTGTCCCCTTGGGCATTTCTTCAACAAATACATAGGTAGGAAGGGCCACATCTTGATGGTCTGGCTCCAGAGCCCACACTCTTAACCCTGATAGTTAATTCACATTAAGTTCTCCATGGCTGGCAATGACTTTTAAAATACTTCCCCTCCCCAAAGAAATTGCATTTTTGAGCACGATTCTTTTTTTTTTTTTTTTTTTTTACAAAAAATCCTCTAATGATGATGGACTTTCTATAACATGGGCTAGTTTAAGTGAAACGTTTGTTTGTTTATTCCAAGAAAGTGGCGTGATTGGTGACATATTCTACAATGCAAAGACCAGCTCACATAGGTGAAATAAAATGCCGGCCAGGTGCCATCTAAGTGGATTTTACTAAAGGGCAGCCCACCAAACAGCCTGACTGGAGGAAACGAGGCACAGTTGAGAGATTGGAGAAGCACCTGTTCCCACCTTTGGGGAAGCAATCACCTGGTTGGATGCTGAAAAGTGATACATGCCAGCCCTTCCTGTCAATGGCGATGCCGTGGCTGGAAACATGCGCTTCCACTGAGCTTGGCTCCAGGTTGCCAAGAGCCTGCACCTGACAAGCAACCAGGGGGGAATCCTTCCGATACACAGCAAGAGCAAAAGAGAGAGTCTGCATTGAAAACCGGCCCTGGCCCAGCTGGTCCATTGAGAATAAGAATAAGAACCTGGTAAACTGCTTCTTCCTATAAAAGAAGAGACAAAGTTCTGGTCCTACAGGCTTCTCTGCAGGGTCCAAATGTGCCATACCACTCTAATTCTGCAATACCTCTGCATGCATTGGCTTTGCAGTCTAAAATTGCTTTTGAGAAAAATGGGCACAATAAAATAAGAATGTATGCCTTTAAGGAAGAGTCCCCCAGATAAGTATTGCTAAAGTCTCAGAGATATGACCCATAAAATATAGAGGGTATTTGTGCTGCGTCTAAGGTTCAACACTGATCATCACTAAAATGATCATCTCTAACAAGTCAACATGTGACATTAGCCAGAAGAAATGGTGGATGTTAAAAGAAACTTGAAAAATCCCAGGAAACAGCCACTTGATGAGCGAATAGTTTAATTTACAGTGTCACTCCCAGGAAATAGATAATAGTTTTATTAAAGTTGCAACAGTATAGCAATTTGCAATTCATTCTCGTTTCACATTAGACAACCCCCTCCTTTCAGCTAATGTTAATTATTATGAGTAAAATATGCAGTTACAACAATTTATTGAGCATTTACAGCGTGCAGGGCACTGTGCCATGAGCTTTAAAAGCATCCTGTGACTTAACTATCATAGTGAACACTTACATAGAACTTACTATGTGCCAGACATATTTCTATGCATTTTGTATTCATTAGCTTACTCCTCGTAAACCCCATGAGGTATTGCTTCTCCAAAACAAACACAACAACCATGAGGTAGGTATTATAATTTTCACTGTTTTACAGAGAAGGAAACTGAGCCATGGCAATGTTAAATAATTTGCCTGGGCCTATATATGTCTGATTAAGAGACAGAGCAAGAATTCAATTCCATGCAGTCTGTTCCAAAGTCCATGTTCTCAATCATTTCTTCATAATTGCACCTTCAAAATATGTCCATGAAATATATACTGCAATTACCCCCTTTTTTAATAAGTAAGAAAATTGAGGTCTAGAATGGTTCAGTCATTTCTCCAGTTGCACATCCAGGAAGTGGCAGAGTCTAGATTTCAACCGAGGCCTTTCTGGTGCCAAAGCCTAGAGGCCATAGGCCATCTTGGGTTAGTTGTGGTTCATTGGCTGTGAGTATATTATTATTTTTCCCACTCAAATATCAAGCCAATATATTTAAATGGCTATTGGGTGCTAGATATTATGTTTGGTGCTGAAGATCAAATGGTTCAGCCTTTCAAAGAGCTTACACTCTAGTGGTGGGGGTGCTGATGCTGAATTTGTTATTAAAATACATGAAGAAACTAAAAGGATGACCTTTTCCCCATGTTCTTTGTCATATGCAAAGACTCTCTTTGACTGGTGGCTTTAGCTATGGGTGTCAAAAAGAACATTGACTGTGTCCTTTCCTCACAAATCAGTCTCTGATGACAAATCAATCTTTTTGTCGCTGCTAATTATCAAGTTCTCTAAGCTATCTGTTGCATGTTGCTTGAGGCTATTGCCAATGAATCTCTGTGGTGGGCTGTCTTTCTTCTGCCCATCCTGATCAAGGGTTCTTCTGTAATTCCCCAACTCTGGCCTTTATGGTTATGGCTGCTGCCAGCCATTGAGTAGTGCTGAGTAAGGCATCACTTTAGAAGGGATTATATTCAAGAACTTCAACAATAGAATCAAGAGAAAATAACAAAACATCTAAAGAAAATAACTGTCTCATTGGTAGCCTCAAACATCACAGTCCTTCCTGAATCTACCTCTTATTGGCAGGTCTGATCTCTGATTACCTTATTTCTGTGTGTGTCTCAGTGTCCTCTCTCAGGGTACGTAGCAGTGGGGTCTTTCACTGGGTTGTTGTGACCATTATATAGGTAAAGCCATACAAAGCACACAAGACAGTGCCTGGATGGTTGATGCTCAATAGATGTGGCTGGTGCTATTGTTCTTTACTCACCTTGTTCTCCTTCTTCTTGTTACTATTATTATTACTTATTATTATACTTAAATACTGGTTCCTTTCAGTGTTTGCTAGGAGTTTGCTTTGTCTTCAGATTTAATAATACACCAGTGGTACTAAATCTTTCAAGCGGAATAAGAGCACGCTGGTCCCCTTCATTTTATTTTCATCAACTCTCAGCACATCTGAGCATATCTTTGTTAAAAACACTTTTCCAGGGTACATTGTGTGAGTAATCATTCAACTGAATAAGATGTTGATGATTCCTTACCACCTTGGTAGAGTAGGTGAACCTAGAAGGGCTCCCGAACTGCATTGGATTTGCTGGAAGTATGATCTTTAACAAAAGCGTAGAAAGAACTTCAAACTTGCCAAAAGGCAAAAGAATAAAATAAATGGCCCGCTTTCATTTACAGCTCTATAGTCACATGAATCTTTTGGAATCAGAAAAAAAAAAGTGGGCTGAAAATGTGTATTTTATTATCGTTGAGTATGTAGACACATTCTGGAAGTGATCAGAAAATGTTAGTCTTGCAGTAGCATCTATCAATCTCTGCTCAACTAAAGTTTGAGCAAGCATTTGACATTAGCTGCTCTATGGTTTTGAATTAGATGTTTGTCCTTGATCCTCTCATGAAAGTCTTTGTCTTTGGCCACCCTGTCTTTACTGAAAAGCCTCTGGTTCTTATTGACCTACATTAACTTTAGCTATTACTTCATCCCCCCAGTGACTCCAGGCTGTGTTCTAAACCACAAACCCATTGTTTCACATCATGAAAAATGTTCTCTACTATCACGACTTGTGGTAGGAGAGAGGCATTAATATCTTCTTGATATGATAACACCTGATAAAGATGCCATTAGTATGTATCAATACTAGAAACGTAGAGACTGCATGATGGTTGTGGCTCTTTTGTTTTCTAAATTAATTGGTTAACATAAAAGACTACACTATTGGACCCTAAATCAAATGAGGTATCTCTAGGAGGTTAGTTACAGCACAGCTTCTGGTAGCAGGAAGCCTGAAGAGAAATAATTGACAAAACTCTAGGAGGTCAGAATGAGCCTAGATGAATGCAATACAACAAAGGGGCAAAGAAAGAAGAAGAAGGAGGAGGAAGAGGAGAAGAAGACCGACTGTATCACTTATCTATAGCTTAGTACAAATTACTTAATGACTTAAAACACAGGTGAGGCTAGTGACCCTGCATGTCCATCACCTTGAGAATGATTGATTCCTTAAATTTGTACCCTAGGTACCTGGCTTACTTCACCCTAGTCCTGGATCTCTAAAACAAGAAAAACATCTTTATAATCTCTCACAGTTTCAGGGGGTCAGGGACTTGGGAACAGCTCAACTGGATGGTTTTAGCTCAGAGTCTCTCATGAAGTTGCAGTCAAGATGTCAGATGGAACTATGGTCATCTGAAGGCTTGACTGGGGCTGAAGGACCACTTTCAAGATGGCTCATTCACATGGCTGAAAAGTCGGTGATAGCTGTTGGCAGGAGGCATCAGTTCCTCTCACATGGACCTCTCCATATGCTGCTGGGGTGTCTTTATGTCATGGCAGCTGACTTCCCGCAGAATGAGTGAACCGAGAGGAAGAAAAGTGGAAGCTATGATGTCCTTTATGATCTAGCTTTAGAAATTTACACCATTGTTTCCACCATATTTCACTGGTAATACAGACCAAGCCTGATGCAGTGTAGAAGGAGATGACACAAAGGCATGAGAAATCATTCATTGGAAGTCATTTTGCAGGCTAGTACTACAAAGATGGAGGAGGAGGAGAGGAAGGGAAAGAAAAATGCCTAGCAGAGAATCTGGTTTTCAAAAGATGACTTTGGCTCAAACTTCTTGGAAAAATTAAATCAAAATAGCAACATGTAAGGTAGAACTAGGACTGGCTATATTATTGGATAATCCAACCCCTTCCTCAGCAGCTGCATATATGTGTGGGAGATGCTGATTGATGGGGTGAGCAGGAAGACCTCATCCAAGACACACACCTTCCATCAAATGTGTCCATCTAGAAAGGACATCAGTTCATAAAAGCCCAGCTTTTGCTAATGGGGGAGCTGAATGATTTGGCAATAGGGGGGTATGATGACTTCTGTTAAGAGGGCTCATCCCATTAGCACAGCTCCTGTCACAGGCTCTAGGATTCCATTGACTTATTCCTAAGTGATCTTGGCATAAGGCCAGCCTCTGTGAATAAGTAACATATCATGGTTCATCCATGTTCTTCACCTGTTATACATAAAGTTACTAAAAGTAAGGGCCAAAAAAAAGAGTTTTCTCTTTAGCAGAAGAGATGTGATTACTTTCCAAACAAAGCCCTTTCTGATTTTTTAACTCAACATTGACTTTCTTTCTGTTATGTGGAAGGCAAAGTCAAGCAGATAGTCTTGCTTTCTTCATTTTGTGCTCAGCCTCTCTTCCTCAAACACTGACTTTCCCAGACACTATACCGTACCTTCCACTGAACCAAGACTCGAAATTAACACATGAATCTTTCTTTACACACGACTCTGCAGTGATTTTTTAAATTCAGAGAAGAGAACACTGGACCCCAGAAACTTCATCCCTTAAGAATCACCAGGTTTCCAATTCTTGTTCTCCTCCCTGCTAATGAGCAGGTCTCCGCCATCCCTGGACATGAGATCTTCCCTTGTACCCAGCATTGGCACCCAGCTGCCTCTCCCTGAAAGCCCTTCATAAGAATGGACAGAATGTGTCCTTCTTCAGTCCTGAGGCTGTCCATCGGAATGGGGGTCACTGTGCACATGCCCCTCACTGCTCTTTTGTCCCTACGCCTTATCATGGCTCCCCAGCAGGGCCTTTGATTTCTACACCTCACTGGGGGTATCTGGGCTACTTTATAGTTTGTATCTCTGTTTGCAAAGATATGTATCCGATTCCACACACAATGAACGAACAATAACAACACAAAATTACAAATGTTATGATGCATTATGCTTTGATTAAATAAGAAATGTGATCGGCTGTGCCCAAAAGGATAGAACTTGAATCCCGTCAAGAGAAGAGATGAATGAACAGAACTACAGTGACATCTGCTGGTCCCTTCCATAGAGTTGTTGGTTTAAGTGTCACCAGAAATGAGTGATGAAAGAAAATAATGATAATCTCAGGCTTAAAATAAATCCTTAAAATGTGCATTTATATAAAAATGTATTCAGTTCAACCATTTTAATCAGTATGTTGCAAATGAGAAAACACAATTCTTGGGAGCAGGAGGTGAAAATTATTTACTCCACAATTGTTCATAACAGGAATGGAAAAGACCACTCACATCATCATTTTAGTACACAATCACCCACGCCCACACACCACAGAGGATAGACAGGTCAGTTAGGAGAAAAGGGAAGCATGGAAAATAAAAATGTTCTACTCAAAAGTATCTCTGAGTCTTAAAATATTGGCTTCCTCTTTAGATGCTCTAGAAGAAGCTGAGGTTCCAGGGGACAGGAATTACCCTCCCCGCCCAGGATGTACAACGTCTTGCACGGTTTCTCTGCAAAGAAATGTCTACTGCTGTGATGCTGAGATACATTAGAAAAACATTAAGATGTAATCAGGCACTCCCTGGGGGCCAGGGTTGCAGTGGGATCAATAAACTTTGCCACCCTGTTGGCTTCCGTTCGGGCAAATCTTCAGTCATCAACATTCCCTGCCCTCTCTGCCAAAAAAATGAAGTGAGATCCTGCTCTGAGGTTCAGCATCCTGAACACAAAATGCCTGAGGCTGCCTCCCCAAAGTCTGAGAAGTCAGTGTAGCATTCCCTTGAGGATTTCTCGGCCAGTGTCTTTTGTAGAAAGGGCAGGGTTTTTGTTGGACCCCCCACCCCCGCCCCCCACCCAAAGCAGTGTCACAAAGGGAGCCGTCATCTGGATTCTGGATAATGACCATTCTGTTTCCAGTGAAATACAAACCCACGTTTTTTTTTCTTAGCACAGCCCTAAATGCCTTCAGTGTATACTGCCCACAACAATAGATTATAAAGCTTTCCTAACATCATTCCTGACCAAAAAATTAGTAGAGATTGTGTCTTTTAGAAAGTACTGAAATTATTCTAAAATGATCCGCACATACCTTAGCTTTGGGGGCCTGAATGACAAAAGATGGGCATTGCCTTACAAACAAAGGAACTTTTCGTTTCTGTCTTGTGCTTGGACTGTGAGGCTGCTCTGAGTGGGGAGGCATGGCTGTCATCTTGCTGTGCTGAAAGCATCCTTATCCCACATCTGAATAAAAGACAAAGAGACCCCCATCCAGGCAGCATGTGGGGATGTTCACATCTAACAATAACCATATATTGTGCGGAAGTACAAGTGTGGACAGTCTGCACTTCTTGGAAGCTAAGCTGCGTTACAGCTATCTGGGTTTCTTTTAATGACTCTGAGGGACAATGCATCACCTACAAGTCTAAAGCACATTCGATAAAACATCTTGGAGTCAGTGCCTGTGGAATTCATTTTCCAGAGACAGTCAAGCTTGGGGATTTGTTTTCTAAGTTTTTTTTTTCTTTCCTTCTTTCTTTCTTTCTTTGTGTGTGTGTGTGTGTGTGTGTGTGTGTGTGTGTGTGTGTAAACCGCAAAGCTACTTTTTCCTCCACTCTATCATCTTTCAGCCCTGAGTGAGTTTGCATGATTCATCATTGTTTAAGCAGGTTTTCTACAAGAGAAGATTACTAAACTAATTGATTATTAATTGATTATCGTAATAGTCCATAACATTCCATTTGCAGTGATTCCTCAAAGCAACGTATGCCCTGGGTAGTTCTCAACAGTGAGGGATTTGCGGACCCACAGCCAAGCTTGCACGTCCTTTAGGGACGCATCCATCTGGCTCTGACAGTGCCACATCCATTATTCCCACAAATAGTACTAAGGGAGGTAGTATTGGGTGGAATGGAGAACATCGTTTCCTCTAGTTTCTTCCATTTGCAACATGTTGAACATTTCCTTTTTCTGCATAACTCTGGCATAGTGTGTGTTTGTGAGGAGAGGAGGAATGCATTTTCAGAAACTTCTCCACCTTCCTGTGGCCACAGACTTCTTGTCCTCCAGGGCCACTGGGCTGTGTTGATGGCCCAATCTGCTGAAATGTGATTCAGCTTATGACTCAAACTCCATCACTATTAAAGAGCCACATTGTCACGTTCATTCGTTTGGCCCTGCATTTGGTCACGAAAGGTCCTTTTTAAGGTTCTCTCTCTGTTTTCGGCCCTGGCTCTAGCCCTGGGGATGTTCATTCAGCAGAGCACAAGGAGTGCCCTTGGGCCGATGGGGCAAAAAGACAATTCCCTTGACCAGGACAGTGAAGTGTCATTTGTGCTGTGGCAGCACAGAAAAGGGACACCCTGAATGGGTGGCAGGAGTCAGGGAAAGCTTCCCAGAAGAAGGGACATTCAAGCTGAATTTAAAAGGGTGTGTGTGGAACTGAGTAAAGAAGGAGATGTGCATTTCAGCATAGCTTCATAGAAGAAGCATAGAGTAATGAAACCACAGCTAAGTTCAAAGTTGTTGTTCCCCAGTGGCCTGAGGGAAGGGTGTGTGTGGGGTCGGGCAGAGAGAGCATCAGGGAACAGAGAAACCCACATGTGGAGCTCCATGGTTCCTCAAAGGCACAGCTTTATGACCTACTTTATTTAACATTTGTCCAGCACCTGCTTTGTACAGGGAACTGTCTGACATGCTGTGGCCTGGAGGGATTGAGAGGAAAACCATCTCTGCCCTCAACAATAGACACACAGTGAGTGCCTACTGCATACCAGACAAGCTTTTAGGTTCTTTCCTGTGGCTTTTCAATTTAATCCTCACGACAAACCTGCAAAGTAAGTATTGTTAGCTCAATTTCACAAATGAGGAAACTGGAGCCCTGAGAGGTAAAAACTACCTATTTAAGATCAAACATCTGGTTTGCAGCCAGCTGGGATCAGAACTACAGAGAAGACACAAGAAGTTTATGACTCAAGATTTCCATTTATACCATACCAGATAGGAGAGGAAGAGCAGGGAAGGAAATGTAAAAATGTGGGCGGTTCTCCCTCTGGTCAAGCCAGCCTATCGCTTTGTACCAGGCAGGAGCCCTGGGCCCAGACTCTCTGGAAATTCCTATGTGGACACGTTCCAGGCAGGAAAGCACAACAAAGACAGTCCCTTTGTTTCTCCTGTTGCCCCCTTATCCCCATGCCCTTTCCTGAAGCTGCTCCTGCCTCTGACCTACATGGCAGTAGACAAGGCTTAAGCCTTCTCTTGGATCCTTTAAATTCCCACAGGTGGTCCTTTCCAGTTATTCCCACTTCAGACATTTCTCAAGCTGAGTGGAGGGAGGTGGAAAGCTTCGTACGCAGGAAAAGAAGGGAGATAAAGAAATTAGGAGGATTCTGAACACTGGGTTGTGGTTTCCTTCATACAAAACTTGTTTCATATTGGTAGTCCCAGATTACTTTTCAAAATATTAGGTTGGTGCAAAAAAATTGTGGTTTCTGCCATTACTTTCAATGGCAAAAACCATTGATTACTTTTGCACCAACTCAATAGTAAAATCCACAAGCAAACACATATATCTCACTCTGTGAAGGTTAGTCTCCTGCCAGTAGCCCTCACTGGGTTTACCAACTCTATTGTTATCCCCTCCCCCTATCTTCTCTTAACCTGATACTAGAAGGCCCAGTAACTAATTATGACATTCCCACAAGAAGGGAAGAAATGTAGTCCCACTAATAGAGAAAGCAGAATAAAGGAAAGGATAGTCAAGGACTTCTCGAAACAACTAAAAATGACAAAGCTGGCTCAGAAATACAGTGTTTTATAAAGTAGAGACATTTATTAAGCAACGGAAGGTTTCCATATAAGTTGTAAGTATATGAAAAAGTCCAAGGAAAATAAAGCTATGGAGACAGTCGTAAAGCATGCAGGTATTGGCTGGACATTTCTAAAACACTATAGGTCTTACTTATTGCTATGGTTTGTATGTACTCCTCAAAGTTCTGTGCTGGAAACTTAATCCTCAATGCAACAATGTTGCAAGGTAAAACCTTTAAAACGGAATTTGGTCTTGAGGGCTCTGCCTTCCTTATTGTAAGAGTAGGTGTGTTATAAAAGCAAGTTTGGACCCCTCTCTCTTGCCCATGTGATGCTTTCCACCATGTTATGATGCATCAAGAAGGCCCCCACCAGATGCAATCCCTCAATCTAGGACTTTCCAGCCACCAGAACCATGAGCGAAATAAATTTCTGTTCATTATACATTACCCACTCTCAGGTATTCTGTAATATCAGCACAAAATAGACTAAGACACTTATTTATGCCTGGATCCCCCTGGTAAAACTTTCCTATGCCTGATTTTTGCACCCTGAGCCCAGCTGTGCAAGGTCACACCTCTAAACCTTGTCTAGTGCTTTATTGTCTCAGA
Organism: Homo sapiens; assembly: GCF_000001405.40. Lineage (NCBI taxonomy): Eukaryota > Metazoa > Chordata > Mammalia > Primates > Hominidae > Homo > Homo sapiens. The sequence goes on along the minus strand of NC_000018.10, from coordinate 24,874,121 downwards.
TAGTGTGTTGTGTGTTTGCTCATTGCCTCTTTGGTCTTTGAGTTCTCCAGTATTCACAAAACATTGTATTTCTGAATCTGTAATACTTCACATCACAGAGGGAAATAGAAACGGAAGACGCTGGAGGGAACATGAAGGGAGAAAAAGACAGGAGACTTTGTCAGGAGTTTTAAACTTTCTTATTGAGTTAGAAGAAGCCCTGGGGAGAAGATGTTTTAGATGTTTGGGCCTTCTGGGTTCACCGTTGCCGCAGAGAAGAAAGAGTGTGGTGATTTAAAAGTGATCGAGACACGCAAGGGACTTAAAGAGACGACTGGAGGAAGGTGACTCTCTCACAATTGCTCTTTTATGTGGGCATTAAGGCTGTGACCAGTATTGTCATCATTTACAGGATATGTTGCCTTCAGAAGGCATGAGAAATCTTGGCCCCTTTGACTATAGGAAGAGAAAACTTTCCAGCCTTTTACCTAAAGTCCTTTATTCCATGATTCACAGCATTAAGGAAAGAACTCAGGCACTTAGGGAAAGAGATTTCCAATTCATGCTGCACTCCTAATTTGCTCTGTAAATTTTAGCAGTTTCCCTTACTTTGGTGATTTTACAATATTAACCATTTGCAGTCAGAGCAAGAATTACAAGGAAAATCATAAATACTGAGGTGGTAAGCATACTTGTGGCGTTGTCAGTCAAGACATTCTAATATGGGGTTTCTGACAATTAGAACAGGGCACCTTCTCTGACCTCTCTCTGGAGCAAAGGACTCCAGGGTGGTTGGAGATTCTGACAGTGCCAAAGGGAAAATGAGATGAAAAAATCATTTTTCCAGTTAATTAATTTCCAAGAAAACTGTATCTGCAGTTTCTATTGTGCCCCCTCCCCTACCATAAATACTTAAGGGTCAATGAAAATGATAGTACGTGATTTGTTACCAACTTTATGAACATCGGTAGGGTCAGCCTCAAAGATTGCTCAGTTTAGCATTTACCGTGATGCCTGGCATAAATGAGGTATCTGTTATGGGCTGAATTGCGTGCCCCCAAAATTTATCTGTTGAAGTTTGAATCTCCAGTACCTCAGAATGTGACTGTATTTGGAGACAGAGTCTTTAAGGAGATAATTAAGTTAAAATGAGGTTGTTAAGGTGGACCTAAATACAGTGTGACTGGTGTCCTTATAAAAAGAAGAGATTAGGACATAGACACACACAAGAGGAAGACCATGTGGGGAAACAGGGAGAAAATGACCATCTACATCTATAAGCCAAGGAGAGAGGCCTCAGAAAAAAAAAATAACCTTCGGACACTTTGATCTTGGACTTCCAGCCTCCAGAACTGTGAGGAAATAAATACCTTTTAATTAAGTCATCCTGTCTATGGTGCTTTGTTATGGTGGCCCTAACAAACTAACAGAATGCCTACAATTGTGTACTATGTGAAAAAAAGTCAATCAGATGATAAAGGAGCACTCCTAGAAAACCTTAAATCTGTAGACATGATGGTGAACAGTTGACACTGTGAAGTGTGGCCAAGGGTTCAGGACTTGTATGACCTCAGCCAAGTTCGCTAACCTCTCTGAGCATGGATCCCTCTTTTGTGACGTAAGGATAATGATGCTGGACTATATAATGTTTATTTATAGAAGAAAACCTGAGGAACCTGATAGGCTCTGAGTATATAAAAATGAATAACATTGTCCCTATTCTTGAGATGTATAAGGTGATTCTAATTAAGGAGAGAGAGAGATGTCCACAAATGCATAACTGCAACACAAAGAAGGAATACCTGCTTCGAGAGAGATATGTACATGAGCTTCTACAGAAATATGTGCACCATGTTAAGGTCATATCCAATTAACTTTTGAGAGGGAGGGTCAGAAAAAATGTCCCAAATGTAACAATTTAGCTGGGTCTTAAAGTGTAAGGTCACATAGCAGCAGAAAATGAGACAAGAGGGCTTTCCCATAAAGAAGCAAGTCAACAAGCATGGGTGGCTAGAGGGGCAAGAACAGTAAAGGGCTCAAAGGACAGTAAGTAGTTAGTGGTGACAGGAGTGCATCACTGAGATTGGCAGAACTTGAGACAGGAAAGTTAGGTTGATATCAAAACATGAATTGTCTTGAATGCCAGGATAACACATCTAGGCTTTATTCTATTAGACATCAGGAATCACAGAAGGTTCTGAAGCAAGGAGGTGATATGAATGGATCCGTCTTTTGGAAGGAAAGCATACCCCAAAGGCAGTGTAGTGAATGGTTACAATGGGAAACATTTGGAAACGGATAGCTGAGTAGGCATGCCATTGCAGTAGCTCAGGTACCCGACAAGCTTCAGGAAGTCAGAAGGATTGTATTGGATAAACTATGTGTTCAATAACACTAATAAATGTAATTATTTTTTAATGGAAGCAGATTTAGGGCGAGAGCTTGTCAATTCATGTCAATGCTAATTAAATTTTCTGAGAGGTGGTGAGAAGTTAGTTAATATTATAACAAGCATGTGATACCAGGTAATTTTCTCAGTTGCAAATATCTTTCTTCATTTAACACCAAAATAACTGCTCATTTTGATTGAACAACCAACCAATATGAAGAGAGAAGTAGAGTTTTGTCAAAATGACTTTTCAATGCGGTTCTATCTTATTTTAATCTTCACTGTAACCTATAATCACTTTTGGTGGCATTATGACAGATATGCTGGCACATGTGGCAGACTATACTGAAGGTTTCAATTCCACAGGTATTGGTTTTGAAATTTCATATATTTAGAAATATAAATAGCATTAAGTTTTAAAAGACAGAATTGTATACATTCTTTACCAATATGTTCCCCTCTCTCTTTGTATCCCTCACCCACCACATAGCAGAATTTCTTACTACGTCCTCTGTGTTCCCAAAGCCCCTTGTTTGGTATTGCATGGATCACTGTGGGAAGAAATAAACATAAGCCTCTGTTTCCATTGTTAGATCACAAGCTCCTTGTCTTCTTCATCCGTGGCTCCCCAGAGCCTAGCACAGTGCCTGCCTGGCCACAACAGATGCTCAACACTCAGTGACTGAATTGCTTTAATGTTACTCCCAGGATGGATTGTGTGTGCATGCATGTGTGTGTGTGTCTCTATGTGTGTGTGTGTTTTTCTGCTATAAACTCAGAGTGAAACGTGATGAAGTGGTGTAGATTCTACTTGATAGCTGGTTTCATAAAGTAGCTCTCTTTTTTAATGTAAAAACCTTCGTGAATGAACTGACACATGCAGTTAAGCACATTTTAAAGACTCCATCTTAGCAGTCAGCTTTAGTGAGCCCGTCTCTCTTTGAATGTTAAGTGTCTGATTCATAAGCGCTTGTCCCACTCCATTGCCCTGGTGCAGATCACGCTTATTTGTTTGACTTGTACAGGACTATTGTGTATACGTCTCCCATACAGAATATCATTACACCAAGGCAGAGAGAGGTTTAATACACATTTTGTACTTTTGACACCTAAATAATCCAGTTATCACCTTGACATGGAAATTGGAATGTCTTTGTTCTACTGGCCTGACATAATCAAGTTAGAATACATATATATCAACATTTTCAAACCATGAAGTATGCTGCAAATACCAAAACTTCTTCACTGTTTCAAACAATGCAGCCAAGAGAGTTCATTATACAGAGATAGGGAAATAAATTATTTTTTTTCTTTTTGCTCTTCTGCAGTTGACTAAGGAAGTGTCAGTAAAGCAGTCAGGTGCTTTGGTGGCTAATGTTTTCATGATCTATGCACCCAGCATCTGGCCTCACTGTCATTTATTATCTTTTTCCTTGGATGTTAATAAAGCCATAGATATTTTTTTAAAGTGTCTTCTTGTTCTTCTATCTGCTTAAATCACACTTAATATTGTTTAATGTTGGTCAATAATAGTTGACCTTTTATTGAGAGCTTGTCATTTGCAAGGTGTCATACTTGATACCTTAAGCACACCACCCCCTATAATCCTTACCAGCCCTATATAGTAAGTACTATTTTTTTCTCTCCTATGTAGAGGCAGAAATCACAGCTAGGAGACACCTTTCCAGGTTCCCACCACTAGTGGAGTGGAGGTGAGAGACTGTATCTCTCTCTTTTGAGCCTGGTTTTAAACACTGTACTACACTGTCTAAGCCTATTGAGGTAGCACACAATCCTCTGTCGCTTCTAACTTTACTGAAAGCCTGTACTAGTTTCCAGCATGAATAGGGAACTCCAAATATGTTAATGAATGATTAATATAGTACTAATCACTAACCGTAGATCCATAGAGGAAGATTCAGAAACAGTGGAAATAGAAATATTTTTGCACCTGTACAATGATAGCATCAATAATGATAATAAGGATAATAACATTTAATTCACTTGTGGAGAAAATATTACAAACTGATCTTAATGCAGGCAACAAAATTAAGGCAATTGGTGGGTTTAAGGTAGCAGTTTCAACATATCTACTTGGAAATACGTTATGGCCCAACAAAGATTCAAGAGACTTCCCAAGCAATATCCAAGGTATAATGACACACGTTGGATAAATCATTCCAAAGCTATTACAGAGAGACTCACTCTGCCATATGGAAAAAGTGGTTAGGGAACAATTAACTTCAACAATGTATATTGCCCCTGGAAACAAAACTGGGTTAAGCCGCTAGGACAAGGCTGACTGCAACCTCTATAAATTAGTCAGTAATAATGGCCATAGTTTGAAACCATAAAGACTTTGAAAAATAGAATAAGTACAAGCCATGAAATCATTTAGGAAAGACCCAACAACAAAGGCTGAGGGAGAGACACCAAGTACTTCTTTTTTTTAATTTATCATAGTTATAGCTTAAGTAAAGCAAATGTTTGATGAGTGTGAAGACTGGTGTAGTGAGCCAAGATAGGATAATTGGCACTAAAATTATTGCAAGGGTTTAATAAAAGAGCCCTTGTTTATGTAGTGAAGAAGATGTAAACAAGTGAACGTAAATGCAGACAAAATGCTTTCATTGCTGCATGCTACCAACAGCCCTGAGAAAAGCTGCTAAGATGATGAATCATCAAGAAGCCATTGAGTACAAGTAAATAGAGGAATTAACACAGAGGTCAGTTAAGACCATAAACTAAGTAAATAAAAAATTTTAAATATAACATATCTGAGATGATAGAGCCATAGTCACAGGCCAACAATTTCTGGCTAAAAGACCAACAGTTTGCTACACTCTCAAACTAATAAAGTAAACGGGATCGTGAGTAAGAGCCAATAAAGAGATGATGAGATAAAGAGAAAGGCATGTGTGTTTGGAAGAGCAACCCAGGCACCTCACAGCTCAGATGCCCCTCCCAACCGGGGATTTAATAAAAGCAAGTTTATATTATTTCGGGACAACTCAGAAAATGAGGCCATTGGATTTCTATTCCAATAATAAATTATCTTAAGGTTTTGTACATGAAGATTTAGTTATTATAATGATTACACACTAAAGCTTCCTAAGAATTTTTCATCATTATTTTTAAGAAAATATCTTGCTTATTTAAGTGCTTGCATGTGTTTTATAGAATTTGGGTTTTCAACAATTCCAACATTTATTCTTAATGCCACATAGCAGATGAGGAAATTGAGCCTCTGATGCGGTGAAATAATATGTCTAAGATAAACACAGATTGTCCGGTAGAAACAACATTAGAACACTTCTTATAAGCTACTTCTATAGCTTTTTTCTCTCACATAATCAGCCCTCCAAGTTTAAAAGAAATCTGAAATGTAAACTATACGTTGATTATAAGAAAAGCATGAATCCAAGTTGGGAGATATATTTAAATCCCATTAAACTAACTGAAAAATTCATGAGCAATACATAGATAATTTGTTTCTTATTAAAACATTAAACTTGTAAAGAATATTTAGCTGTTCAAATGTCAAGTAACAGGATAGCTATAGTAAGTTAATTAGGTACCAATTCATTGCTAAAGATACTTAATTGACATTTAATAAGCATATTAAATACCAATTAACCAACTATATTTAGTGCTAACTATATTTAGTCAAAGTTGTTTTGTTAATTGCTTGCTCAGTGCCTTAGTATCTATGGTCAATAGATTATAACCCAATTAAATATATACATTAATGTGTTTGCCTATATGTCTCCCCAGTGAGGAACATTGCCTGGATGTCCATCTGTGAGTTTAACCATCATCACCCATCTTGGTGAAGAAAACAGCATCTTGCAAACTATCCCAGTTCATAGAAGGCCTTCTGTAGACAAAAGAATCAGTCAAAAGGTGACAATAGGGATGCACCACTCTCCTGTCACTGCTGAACTTGGAGACATGGAGAACTTAACAGGTTCTGGTGAGAGGGGCAGAGGGATATTTGGGGCAGAGTTCACAGCCCCTTTGAGATATCTGTAGAGGGGCTTTCTCAATTCAGAAGCAACAGCCAAGGTGTTTTCTAAATACCATTTTTACTGTCATCTACAGGAGGGAGGAACACACTGATTGTAATAATTGCCTCCAGGATCTCATGGCTTTCCTGGGCTCTAGAGATGTTGGCTAGGGTTCTTTTTGGACCACTGACTAAATAACGCTGTCAGTCACATGCTGTGGGATCTGTATTGTGTATTCTGGTCACAACACATTCCTGCAGACATGATGCTTGCAGCACAATAGAGAAGAGGCGTGAAAAAAGAGCAGGGACCTGAGCACATTAACGTTGGCCACTCTTCCCTGACCCCATGAAGGCATTTAATGCGTCTTTAGTTCCCCACGTTGGGACTCCTTCCTGAGGTTTGCATATGCAGAAGAGCAGAACGGTGATGTGAATCAGTCATTCAGAGGGCTGAGGGCAATGCTGGTGGTCACTCAGACAACTCCAGCAGGCAAGATGCACCCAAACAAGATTAGTCTTTTTTTGGTTGGGGGAATAGGGTCTCACTCTGTCACCCAGGCTGGAGTGCAGTGGTGCAATTTTGGCTCACTGCAACCTCTGCCTCCCTAGTTCAAGCGATCCTCCCACCTCAGCCTCCAGAGTAGCTGGGACTCCAGGGACGTTCCACCACACTCGGCTAATTTTTGTATTTTTGTAGTGACGGAATTTCACCGTGATGGCCAGGATGGTCTCAAACTCCTGAGCTCAAGACATCTGCCCGCCTCTGCCTCCCAAAGTGCTGGGATTAAGGCGTGAGCCCCCACGTCTGGTTCAAGATTAGTCTTAACATGGTAAGACAACTTAGCAGACATTTCCTAAATGAAGATGAATTGATATTGTAGAAGTCAACCTAACCTTAAAGTTTTGGGGGTACTTTCCATTTTTAAAATAACCAAATTGTTGCACCCAGTGTGATCACGGAGCCTGGACAGAGCCAAAGTCCAGGGACATGAACATTCAATTGTGAGGGCTACACGATCATGTGTGCTCTGCAATCCAGAAAAGTCAGCCCCTTGGGCAGTGAGCTGAGCAATTAGTTTTGGGAGTTCCCAATAAGGGGCAAAACTGTTCCAAGGATGGCCAGGCGCTGTGGCTTAGGCCTGCAATCCCAGCACTTTCGGAGATCGAGGCAGGCGGATCACGAGGTCATGAGATTGAGACCATTCTGGCCAACACGGTGAAACCTCATCTGTACTAAAAATACAAAAATTAGCCGGGTGTGGTGGCACATGCCTGTAGTCCCAGCTACTTGGAAGACTGAGGCAGGAGAATCACTTGGACCCAGGAGGCGGAGGTTGCAGTGAGCTGAGATCGCGCCACTGCACTCCAGCCTGGCGACAGAGTGAGACTCCATCTCAAAAAAAAAAAAAAAAAAAAAAAAAAAAAACTGTTCCAAGGGCAATCAGAATTCCAAAGTCCAGGGAAAAGCTGAGTCAGGAACTGAAGACATTACAGCTATGGAAGGCAGGAGTCAGGAACGAGGCACAGAGTGACTCAAAATTATTCCAGGAACATTTTTTTTTTTTTTTTTGAGACAGGGTCTCCCTTTGTCACCCAGGCTGGAGTGCAGTGGTGCAATCTCGGCTCACTGCAAGCTTCGTCTCCCGGGTTCATGCCATTCTCCTGCCTCAGCCTCCCGAATAGCTGAGACTACAGGCGCCTGCCACCACGCCCGGCTAATTGTTTGTATTTTTAGTAGAGACGGGGTTTCACCGTGTTAGCCAAGATGGTCTCCATCTCCTGACCTCGTGATCTGCCCGCCTCGGCCTCCCAAAGTGCTGGGATTACAGGCGTGAGCCACAGCGCCTGGCCAGGAACTCCTTTCTTAATACCGTGGATGGATTTTTAAAAGCTGTGACTTTTGTCTGCAATTGTCTTCCCGTACTGCTGCTCCACCTCTGTAGGCATAACCAAAAGAAACTCCCTAGGATAACTGTAATTCAAACATATTACGGCCAGAGAAATAAATTATGGTGAGACAGAATTTCTAGGTGACAGAATATAGTAAGGTACACAATATAGCAAGGGTAATAATTTCAAATACAAACAGTTACACATATACTAGGCATGATGATAAAATGAAATGAGTGGCTATAAACAAAGATCATGAATGTATTAATTAGAAATTAGTTGAGGGGATGCCTAGCCATGGTGACCCTGGTTGACCTCTTCTATCATTTTTCCCCCATTGAACAATATTTTTTATTATTTTTCATCATAAGTCCATCAGTGATTATCAGCAAGACTGCATTTGTGTGCAGCAGGGGTGGTCTCCTCTTCAATAACTGCCTTGGGTTCTGATGAGAATCTTCCCATCATCTTGAGACTTGGCAGCGTATTAATATGTAACACTCTTTAAACTGTCCCAGGGCCGGTCAAGTAATGCAATTTACCTCATTTGGCTTTTGCATTGCACTTTCCATTGGAAGGGCTTGTGCACTTTGCATGTTTTCAGTTAATGAAGGATTGCAGTGTGCCTGCAAGCTTTGTTTGAAAGTGCCATGAAATGGAGGAAAAAATTAGCACCCAGAAGGAAATAATTGTTGCTCTGGATAAGTTTGATCAATGAGGGAAAGGAATAAAGAGATTGTAAATGACATTTAAAGTCTTTAGTATGAGATGCTCTTGAGTAAGCACAACACTGCAGCTAAGGTTAGCAATGAATTAGTTAACACAACAGAAGAACAGAGTCTGACTCTACAGACTGAACCAGAATTTCAATTTTCAGCTCAGTTGGCAGTAGAAGTGAGGCTGACAAGGGGGCTTGGCATAAATCATAAATTCCAAGATATTGTTCTATTGCCTTCTAGGGGGTTGGGTAGGCCACAGTTGACATATAGATTTGAGGTTCAGAATCTAGTTATGGTGTTTATAGAGAAAAGAAAGACAGACATAAGTTGGAGGGTACAAATTCCACAGGAAATTCAAGATAACTAACCAAATGAAGGATCTTCTGATTGAAGAGAAATGGACAAAATTGGATTCCAGATTTAGTTCTAAAAGTAGGTGATTAGGAAACAATCTGAATGAAGTATTAAATTCAACATGTCATAAATTTTTGGTTGATGATCAGTTTGAGTTTATTAGGTAGATCAGAACAAAAGGACATAAGTGCAAATCGAAGGGGAATGCATGTATGTAAAAGAAATTTAAAGAGATATTTTATGAAGAAAGTGGTGACATTTAGGATGAATCTAATAATGACATGGTTTTTTTTTAAATCAAAAAGAGTATAAGTGGTTACACTTATGAAAGAAACTCCCTGAATCTCAATGGCAGTATATGATGATTAAGGAAAGAAAATAGTGAGTTTATTTTAAACTGCAGAATCCCAAGCTAAATTTGCCACCTCCATGTTCACCAGAGCAAGGATGGGGGAACAGCTTAGAAACACCTTCTGTTTTATGGCTCCTAGCTCTTAAAGCCTTACTTTGCAAAGTGTTGTCCTATGGTACAGCAACATCAATATCAACTGGTAGCTTGTTGGAAATGCAGAATATTAGGCCCCACTCTAGACCTATGGAATCATAACCTGCATTTAACAAGATCCCCAGGCAATCTGTGTGTACGTTAAAGTTTAAAACGCACAGGTCTAAAGCATTTCAGCTACTGCTCTCCCTCCAAGATGGGATTCCAATAGGCTTGGATTTGAATTCTGGCTTTCCCACTTACTAGGCAATCTTGGTTAAATTATTTAATCTCTGAATCTCAATCTCTTTATCTGGGAATGATGATAACACTACCTACTTTGAAAGGCATGAAATTACCATGAAAAGAAATGAGTGTCATGGTTGGCAGCCCAGACTCTGAAACCCAGCAGTCTGACCGAAACACTGGTTCTGTCACTCGCTAGCTACATAATTTTGGGGCAAGTCATTAACTTCACTGAGCCATGGTTTTCTCATCTGTAAAGAGCAGGTAAAAATAGTACCTATATTATAGGGTTGTCATGGGGTTAATATTACATGTAGACCTCATAAAATAAGCCTGGCACCTAGCATAGATATATGATGATAGGTAGATAGATGGATAGATAGATAGATAGATAGATAGATAGATAGATAGATAGATGTGCTATATAGGCACTGGTTAGTATTATTGTTACAAATGCAGTGCTAGGCATACAACTGGTTTTCAACAAATATCTATTCTCAGTAGTATTGCTTGCCCTCAAAATGGCTTCTTATGCTCATGCTTTTAATCCCAGTGTTCTGGGAGGTCGAGGTGGGAGGATCGCTTGAGGCCAGTAATTCAAGACCAGCCTGGGCAACATAGCAAGACCTCCTTCCTACAAAAAGCTAAAAAATTAATTTAAAAAAATTAAAAACTTTTCTCCAGGTGTGGTGGCACATGCCTGTAGTCCCAGCTACGTGGGAGGCTGAGGCCAGAGGATCCCTTGAGCCCCAGAGTTCAAGGTTACAGTGAGGTATGTTAGTGCCACTGCACTCCAGCCTGGGTGACAGAGCGAGACACTATCTCTAAAACAACAACAACAACAATAATGGCTTATTGTTATAGAAGCAGTTAGATTAAGGAAAATAGATGGAGAGCAATAAATTCAAGATTTAAGTAATTACAGGTTTGTAGTAGTGTTTGCCTTTAACTTCTAATAGAATAATAATGTTTTTTGGCAAAACATATAAGAATACAGTTGACTCACTTGGCTTCACAAGCAAGTTGGAAAATAGGGCAAGTTAATATACACTTTATTAAAAAACAAAAACAAAAACAAAAAAACAAACTCTTCTAAACAAAACAAAAGGGCTTTCCCCTCACCAAATCCTAACCCCTTTTCATCTGAATGAACTTCTTTTTGTCTTGGCAAATTGAATTTCCCTAATGCAATCTCCATTTCTTTAAGCCTGCATTTCTCTGTCTGTATAGGCACTGAGAGAACAATCAAAATCTCGGGAAGGGCAGGGTTGATACTAACTTAGTTTTCTCTTTCTTTCCCCCTTAGCCTCCCATGACCTCCTTCCAGGAATCTTAATTCACACCCGCTCCCTCTAGCTAGTTTCTCAAAACCTCTTCTTGGAAGTCTGGCCGCCCCCTCCTTCCTTGTGACCTGGTTTCTGGCTCCAAGTCTCCCCCTGACCCCTGATCAACCCCTTTCACTTTCACAGCATCATTTCTGAGACTTGAGGTCGCCAAGGACGATAGCTTCCAATTCCACTGCCTTTTACCAGCCTGTGCAACCCTGAAATAATTTGCCTCGAAACCAATTCTTGGAGAGAGAAACCTGGTCAGACAAATGAGGGATTGTATTGTATTTCGTTCTTGCAAGCGAGCGCCCGCGGCAACATCTGTTTGTAGCAACAAGATTGGGATGTTGTTTTGTGCTTCTTCGTTGCCCATTCCGGTCCTTTCCCGGGTGTATTGTCTTCCCCGGAGGGGTCACCTCGCAGGGTTCTCTCAGCAGTCTGGACTTCCATACTAAGAAACTCGTAACTAATTACCACGACTTCAATTCTTAACTTGACCAGCTGTGTCTAAGAAAGGAAACCCTGGTCTCTCCCAGTGCTGCAGGATCTATAATTCATCCTCCGTAAAAAAAGTCAATATTGGAGCAAAAATGACATTTAAAAATCATAAAATAAGTAGTCTGGTATTTACCTAAGATGTTCTTTTCTTCCCTTTGCTTTATAGACCATGTACTGTATTGTTTATTTTCTTTGGGGCACTGTGTGTGTTTGTGAGACAGAAACAGGTAGAGAGATGGTTCTCCTGTTTCCAGTGACTTCTGGATAAGGGACAAAACAAGACCACTGAGAAAAGATAATGGAACAGCACAGGAAGAGCCTCTGCGGACACTCTCCTTGCAATTGTGATCTTGTGAAATGGTTAACTTTAAGGACTGAGCTGTGCAATTTAGCTTTTTTCTTGATTCTAAAATTGAGCTGTAAATTTTTATAGCTTTACAGATTAAAGAAAGATTAAAACCACAAAGCACGCATTAATTACAAACAGCTCACCAGGGGCAAATATATTTGTATCCCTCATCAGGGTGGTGCGAACACTCCAGTTTCTCCTCGAATCAGGGAGGCTTCTTCCCCTCCCCACACAACAGTGGCCCCATCAGAAGACGCTCAACAGACTGGGAATAGGAAAGCAAGAGACAGGCTTCCTTACCGCAGGCAAAGTCGGCTTCAAAGACTCCTCTAGGCCTCTGTGCCAAAAGCCTAGATTGATTCCACCCACCATTCAGAGTAGGGAAAATATTTTTAAAGTCATGACCTCCCTGGTAGGCTCAGACAGCAGATAAACAAAGGAGACTAGACCCTTTCCTCGGTCATAATAGTTAGGCATACCCGGGTTGGCCTCCTATGGAAAAATCTTTATCAATGAGCTGAGAGAGGAAGTGGTCAGAACAGGGAAACATAGGTCAGCAATGCTAAACTGGTTAGGAGATCCCTAAAGAAAGAAAGAAAGAAGAGAAACCGGGATAGATTTAACTGTTGGGCAATTGCAAGGATGTTGGAGAATTCAACATAATTTCCTTTTGTTCAACAAGGATTTGCTGAGCCTTGTGCTAAGCAGATAGCAGGCCAAATTTCACTGTGCTAGAAGCAAGATAGGACTGGTAGGAAGAACAGTACACTTATTCATGTACTCTGAAAACTTTCCGGTCATTTAATATTAACTTTAGGAAGTGTATACCTGTGCATGCCTGTGTGCATGCGTACGTGTGTGTGTGTGTGTGTGTAGCCCTTTGCTAAGTAAAAATATATAATAGCAAAACTCCAGGCCCTATTGCCATAATGGGCGATTTAACAGTACGGCATGGGAAATAATCAAATAATAACTCTCAGTGTGTTCATTCAAGTGACCAAATGAAAGATGGGGGAGATTATAGAACACAACAAAATACTGAGATTTTATTCTATCATATTAACTTATTACTTATTTATTTTGAATAATTTATTAAAAGATGGATAATATATGGACAACCTTAGAGATTTTAAATATGGATTTGGAACCTCAGCCTCATAGGGTAGTTGTGAGATACACACAAGAAGCACTCAGGAAATTCTCGGCACTATGACTCTCTCAATAAAGTTAAAACTCTCCATATGGCTCACCCAGAAAATACTCTTCAAGTTCAGTCTGTGGGAAGCTAAAACCACTGGAATAAGCAGCATCCTCTCTTTCCCCACACATTTGACAACAAACTAGTTATCACTAAAGATTTTAAATATACTGAAGGGAAAAACAAAATTGAGAATGTTCTATTTATGAATCTGACTGTATTTATTAATTTTGAAGCACAAAATGTAGCTCATCAGGCTCCGTTGTTCTCCAAAACTTAATAAGAGTAGTTAAAATTTATTGTGTGCTTATGAAATGCCGGGTAGTATGGTAAGCCCTGTACATGCATGATGTTAATTAATCCTCAAATCCCTTATGAGGAAGATTCTATTTCCATCCCCATTTTACAGATGCTGAGACTGAGGTTAAGTTAAATCCCCAAGGTTACATCGCTAGTCAGTGGCGGAGCTCAAATTCTAACTCCGACTTTGGGCCTGGAGCCCTTAACTGCTAAGCCTGCTGCCTTTCCAAACAGTCTGAGAACCATTGCCCAAAAGTGAATTAATTCTAGTGAGGGAAAGGAGAATTTATTCAGGTAACATTCACCCTGAAAGTTACCCTTTTTTTTTTTTTTTGCCAAAATACAGGGTGATTCATTTTTAGCTAAGATCTTAAACCAGACATCTTTCCTCCTGCATATCTTATCTCATCATAGCCTCACAGCAACCCTCTGAAGGAATTATTACCCCCATTTTGCAGATGAGGAAATTGTCCAAATGATTTGTCTAAGGTTACATGGCCAGTAAACGGTAGAGCCAGGATTTGCTACTTGGCCAATGTGAAGTGAATGCCACATGTAACTCCACCAAAACTGATGGTGCCAACAGCATTGATGCTTCTGTCCCCTCAGGCTTCCAGCTGGCTTCAGCTAATGAGGAACAGAATCCTAGGAGAGAGGAGAACGAGGTTGGGCTCTCTCCCTGTACGTCTGTTTCTTGGTTTGGTTCCTTGATCAAATGTTACTGCTCCCCTCAAGGTGGCCTGGTCTATACTTCAGGTTCCCATAACCATTCCCTCTGCTGATCCCTTTGGGGGAGTAGTCACGGCCAGGCTACTCCTCGCCCCAGGTGACTGTACTCATCTCCACGTTACTATAGGATCCCTGACACCAGTAGTCCCAACCCTACTGCTTAGTAGAACCGCAGGGGAGTTCTTTAAAATCCCAATTACAGGCCTTTGCCTAAGACCAATGCAATTAAAAATTCCCAAGTGACTGAGCAGGCACTGAACTAGACCCAGGGTAGGGCAGGAAGGGTTGGTCCAAATGGATGCGGTTCTTGTTCCCACAAAACATACAGTCTTCAGAAAAACAGACATTGATCAAATAATCACAAATTGCTATAAAATGCTACAAAAGGAAAGACTGGGGTCATTGATAGTTTCTAAAAGCTCTCTAGATAATTCTAAAGTCAGCCAAGGTTGACAATCACTGCCCTCACCCACACCTGTGTGAACAGAAATACTCCTTCCACAATTGTCCTGTTTTGAGTATACCATCATTTTTCGTACCCATACATCCCTTTACCTCTTCATTTCATGTTCATCTGGGGGAGAGAGGAGGAGAGAACTGTTTAGTGAATTCTTTCTGCAAGCCTGATAAGCCCATTTCTCCAAAAAGTGGCAAAAGAGAGGCTATCCGATATTTCAAAATGAGAAACATGTACCTATGTACTTAGTGTCTGTGGGAGAGTAAAATTGGCTTTCACTTAAATACTTAGGCTGAATTTGACATCATTCTACCTGGACAGGAGGCTGAGAGTACGTGTTGATGGAGCTTACAGATACCACTCCTGAATTCATTTATGTTCACTCTTTCTTTTTGATTGATTAACGTATTTATGTCTTTTTCTGAACACTGCTTTGCTGTGTCCCTTAGATGCTGATAGGTAATTCCTTAATTATCACTGTTTTCTAACTTGGGTTTTCATTTCCTTGTTGACTCAAGAATTGTTAAGGAGCAAATTTTTAAATTTCTAATGGAAGATTTTTGTTTTTTAAGTTTCAGTGCTAACTTTAGTTGGCTGTTCTTCTTAATTTGTCCAATTAAAAAATTTTAAAGTCTCCTATTTTTAATGTGTTTCCATCTTTTCTCCTTTATTTTCTGTTATTTCTGCTTGATGAATACTGAGACTACGCTAGTCAGTGTGCAGATTTCATCAGTGTGGTATCTTCATTACACATTACTGCACACATTAGTATCTTCAAATTCCTTTTTTGATTCCATTAATGCTTTTTCCCCTGCATTCTGCCTAGGCTGATATTAAGATCTCAACCTCTGCTTTCTTATTGCTGTCATTTGCTGGTGTATTTGTGCCTATTTGTCTATTTCCAACCTTTTTTCAGTCACTTTGTTTCAGGATTATCTCTTGTCCACAATCAGGTGTTCCTTTTGAAATTAAGCTGGATTTTTTTTTAAGTAGGAGAGTTAAGCTCATTTATATTGATTAATATAGCAATCTTGGTTCTGCCATTTTAAGTATGTTTTTCATTTTCAAAGTTTCATTGTTTGGGTTTTTGTCTTTGGAGACTCTGCCCCTGTGAATTTTGGATTGCCCCCTTCTGTCTTCCACCGCTATCTTTTTTTTTTCTCTTTACTCCTTTTAGACTCTCATTTTGTTTGCATTTATTTTGTTAGTGTTCCTCCCTTCTATGTTCTATGTTCTTTACTATATTTTCAGTGCTGTCAATTCTTTATGCTCTTTACAATTTTGCCCTTTTTTTCCGTGACAGTTTCGAGGGTGTTTCTCTATTTCTTTCCTGCCAGCTCACACATCGTCTCCTTCTGTTGTGTTACCCTAGCTTCTCTGATTTCTCACATGCTTCCTTTGGGGTTTTTATTCATAAAGGCAATTATTTCTCTTTTTTTTAATTCAGAGCAAAATGTTTACTCAAAATTTTTATGAATTCTATAGGAACAGGTTTTAGATGGATCTTTTTTTCTACTGCTACTTGTTTCTCCTGTATCTTTAATAGTCTCTATATCAATGTTGTTCTAATGTATTTTGATTGCTCATTATTGAATGAGTTAGATTTCCTGGACCAACTCTATCCAGGAGTTTCCTGTAGGTGAGAGAGAAGTCAGGGCCATCCTCCAGTTGGCAGGTTTTAGAACCCAAAGGCCTTTCTTCTCGACTGCCATAGATATGGCGGCTTCCTGCCGGTATGACACGTCTGTGTCATTCTTTCTAGGGTCCCACCTCCTCTGCTTTTCTGGACCAAATAAGATCCCAAGTGAAAACATGTAAATGTATACTACTGAGAAGGAGCCCCTTGGTATCAAGAAGTGTTTTCTTTCTGGTACTTTCTGAGACCTGATATCTCGAGACCTTCTCTGTATTCTCCGTGTTTCTCTTCTCTTTCTTCCACTTGGCTTCTGCTATATCTGAGTCACTTTCGGCAGCTCTTTTATGTATTTTGGAGTCCAAATACTGCCTCTGTCTTCTAGTTTTACAACAACAACAATAACAACATAAAAAAGAGACAGTTAAACTAATTTTCTTTCTCTGTATTGTTATAGGAGACCAGTTCCAAAAAAGGAATGGGGAAATGTTAATTTATGCTGCCATGTCTATATCAGAAGTTCCTAGTGTTACCAGATGAACAGGTCAATTTAGTTAAACAGATAATTCAAGCCAAAATGAAATTGTTTATTTACTGATAAAATTGACCAGTTATTTAACATCGTGTAGATCAAGACAAACTAGATACTGGGAGCCTTTTTCTCTCTCCTTGTAAACAATCTCACCAACTCTCATGATTTTTAAATGCCATCATTATGCCAATGTCCCCAGATTTTTATTTCCTCCCCAGATCTAAATAGCAAACCATTAACATGACATTTTCCCTTTGTATTTAAGACATCTTAAACTCAACCTGTCTCAAATTTAGCATTTGCTCTCCAGCTTCCAAATCTGTTCCTCCCTAAATCTTAACCAATATAAAAAAAAGACCTCTCTCTACAGCAAGCACTCAAGGAAGAAATCTAAGGCTTATTCTGACACCACTATCTCTCCCTCCACCCATCTTATGCAACGCTGAAGCTTCATGGTTACTTCTGGTTATCTCCAAACTATCTCTTAAATGGATCCACTTCTCCTCATCTTTTCTACCTCTCCTGCACCCTAAAACACCTTTGATTGCTTTCTAACTGCTGTTACTGATTCCACACTCTACTCTTTCTAACCCATTCTCCAGAAAGGTCTTTTTAAAATTGCAAGTACAATCACATCACTCCCTGCTTAAGTAGCATCAATAACTTTGCCTGTTACAAATTTCAAACATGCTCTACAAAGTTGTCTTGACCATCTCTTCAACCTCACATCATCTCTACCATTCTCACTCACTGATTCATTTTGCTCAAGAGCCCTGGCCCTCATTAAGTTTCACCATTAAGATAATCTTGCTCCTCTTCAAATCTTGTATTTTATTTTATTTTGAGATTGAGTTTCACTCTTGTTGCCCAGGCTGGAGGGCAGTGGCACGATCTCAGCTCACTACAACCTCTGCCTCCTGGATTCAAGCAATTCTCCTGCCCCAGTCTCCTGAGTAGCTGGGATTACAGCTGCCCACCACCATGCCTGGCTAATTTTTTGTATTTTTAGTAGAGACAGGGTTTCACCATGTTGGCCAGGCTGGTCTCGAACTTCTGAGACCAAGGTGATCCACCTGCCTTGGTCTCCCAAAGTGCTGGGATTACAGGCATGAGCCACCACACCCGGCTCTCTTCCAATCTTTTCCATGCTGTTTTCTCTACCTGGTGCACTATCCCCATACCTCCACTCCTTTTGCTTCCCTAGCCCCTACTCAATGTTCAAGTTTCAGCTTTAAAGAACTGTAGGTTTCCCATTTATTCTCACTCCTCAGCATCTAGCTCGGTGCCTGGATGCACTAGATTTTCAATACATATTTTTTAAATGAAATAAACTATCTAAACCTGTCCTAGATATTGAGAATGAGAAGTAGCCTTTTTTTTTTTTTTAAACAGAGTCTCACTCTGTCACCCAGGCTGGAGTGCAGTGGCACGATCTTGGCTTACTGCAACTTCTGCCCCCCAGGTTCAAGCGATTCTCCTGCCTCAGCCTCCCGAGTAGCTGGGATTACAGGTGCCTGCCACCGTGCCCAGCTAATTTTTGCATTTTTAGTAGAGACGGGGTTTCACCATCTTGGCCAGACTGGTCTTGAACTCCTGACCTCGTGATCCACCCGCCTCAGCCTCCCAAACTTCTGGGATTACAGGTGTGAGCCACCGTGCCCGGCCAAGAAGTAGCCTATTTTAAAGGAATTTTTGCAAGTCTTGTTGTTCTTAAGTATTAATAGTTTTAAAAGTAAAGCATTTCAGAAGTTATAAGCATGAAGTGTATACCTGGCTTTGACTGTTCCTGCATAAATGAGGGACTGGGGAGGTTGAAACCACAGGTC
Organism: Homo sapiens; assembly: GCF_000001405.40. Taxonomy (NCBI): domain Eukaryota; kingdom Metazoa; phylum Chordata; class Mammalia; order Primates; family Hominidae; genus Homo; species Homo sapiens. The sequence continues at coordinate 24,855,201 of NC_000018.10, read as the reverse complement.
GAGGTATCACAGACACATGCATGCAAGGCAGGGCAGATCCTGCCAAGAAATCTTAGGGCCAGCATCCCCATTAATGGTAGATCTGCTCCTTTGAGTGGACAGGCTAAGGAGAGTGGTACAGAAACAGAACAGCTTAGGCACAACAATAATTCTCATCGACCAGCCCAAGTGCAGAGGCTCAGGCCCAGGCTGTGAATGAGAAGGGCAGATGCTAGCGGGCATGGAGTGACATAAAAGGAATAGCAATAGGCCCAAGGAAAATTAGGAGGGCCTTAGGAGCCTTCCAGCCCCACAAAAAGCAGGAGGCCTTCGACACTGTTCATAACACGCTCCTGAGGGAAAAGGAGTGAGAAGGGACCCCAGATCATACTTCCCAGAGACTAAGTGAGAAGGGGAATTTCTGAAGTTAATTTGGGAATTTGAGAAGGGGTGTTGATTCTGACTGTTAGACAACGAGCTATTTGGGTGCGTTCAATTTCAAGGGTAGACAGGACTTAGATATCCTGGAAGCAAGAGAATAAATGGAACCCCCCAAAAGACCAGGAGTCCAAGTAACAGAAATAAGTAAGGAACTTGCTCTGAAGCAGGGCAAAGCTGAAACTGTAAGGATGAATGGGTCTTTCTGGTCATGGCTACTCAATTGAGGCATTTGAGAAGCAGCACAGTTGATTATGTTTCCTTAAAATAAGAAAAGAGAAAGTAAAGCTGCTTCAGGAAAGAACTAAAATGTGTTCTAAGCAGTAAAACCATGAACAGGAAATTCTCCACAGGAGCATTTCCAAATGAATAGGCAGGAATACATTTCTCTCGCTGATTTTCAGTGTTGAACTTTTTAAGTGCTGAACACCAAACAAGCATCAAGGTGGCTTTTCTCTTTGTTAAGTAGAGAAATAAGCAGACATAATATTTATTAAAATTCTGCTCAGTAGCATGCCTTTTTCAATTACACCAAATTATTTTGCAGTCTTTTATAATCATGTGGGTTATTCTCTCCCTTCTGTGATCTCATGAAAATTCACCTCTCTTCCTGACATCACGTTCAACTAAATTCTATTGTTTTATATTTATAAAACTGCCTTCTAGAATTCTGAACCAGAATCCAGGTAAATCCCTTAACACAACAGAGACTGAGTTTGTTCACATTAAACTGAGTTTGGTGCATTAGGGGTGATGCTCAGATTCATTCGTTCATTTGTTGCAAAGATAATTATTGAGCACCTACTATGGGCTGGGTGCTTCTCTAACAACTTAATGTAGGAACAATGAACAAATCAGACAAAGCTTCTGCTCCCATAGAGCTTAAACTCATGGAGAAGGCAGATTAAGCAAGTAAACAAACAAACCAAATACTCCGAGATGACAACAAATGCTAGAAATAAAATAAAACAGGCTGGTGTGAGAAAGACTGATGGGGGTAGGGCTCTGTGTTAATGAGGTGCTGAGAAAAGCCAACCTGGGAGGCGATATTGGAGTTGAGATTAGAATTAGACAAAGGAGTCTGTCCGTCCTGAAGGCAGAGATGACAGTTGTAGGCAGATGGAATAGCAAGGGCACAGACTCATCTGAGGGACGGAAAAAAGGCCCTCAGGGAGGTGCAGCCAGGAGAGGCGTGGGGTAGAGGTCAGAGCCCCACAGTGTCGGTGGTCACCACAAGGCATTTGGATTTGGGAAGAGCTCCCAGAGTCACCCTCTTAACAACAAGGCTCCACTGGGTGACCTGGCCATCTCAAATTAGTCATTCTAAATTCTAGGCAGAATCAGACATGCTTTTGCAGGTAGTTTGGCCCAGGTTAGCCACCTGCCCCTCAGCATTCACCCAAAGCTTCTGGAGCCAATGTGAGAATCATAAAGCTGCCCCTCCCCCACCTGCCATCACTGTCACCAATGATGGAAGTGGAGGGTGTGGCCTCGCTTGACTCCTCCTCATAAACCCAACCCTCCCCAAGCAGCTGGCGACAGCAGGTGGCCTCTGCAGGTCCCTGGACCTTCTCTCCTTTACCCAGCACTTCTGCTCCTGATGAGCCCCACCACTGTGGTGTCCTGCACATGCCCTGAAGCACAGCGCTGACTCCCTCTGGGGCCTCCTGCACCCACAGTACCCCGCCCCCCTCCCAAGGTGAGCCCAGCCCCAAGAGCTGCCAATGCCCCACCCCAGCTACTTTTAGTGCATTCCTGTGTTCACCCCACTGACATTCCCTGAGCAACTGTAAAATGTCAGGGCCCTGTGCTGGGTGGTTTCTGCTGCATCCCAATCCCTCCCCCAACCCGGGGGCAGTGGAAGACGAAGTACTTACTCCCAGATTCACTGGTTTACCTCCATTCTACCGCCACCCATTCATCCAAGCCCACCTCACCTCTCACTTACAATACAACAATGGTATGCTGGCTCTAGTTCCTTCTTTGTTTTGTTTTTGTTTGTTTGTTTGTTTGTTTGTGTTTTTGAGACAGAGTCTCACTCTGTCACCCAGGCTGGAGTGCAGTGGCACGATCTCAGCTCACTGCAAGCTCCGCCTCCCAGGTTCACGCCATTCTCCTGCCTCAGCCTCCCGAGTAGCTGGGACTACAGGCGCGCACCACCATGCCCGGCTAATTTTTTGTATTTTTAGTAGAGACGGGGTTTCACCACGTTAGCCAGGATGATCTCCATCTTCTGACCTCATGATCTGCCCACTCAGCCTCCCAAAGTGCTGGGATTACAGGCATGAGCCACCACGCCCAGCCTCTAGTTCCTTCTTGAAATTACTTTATACCAGATCATGGAATAACAATCACAACACTCTTATTTGGGACAGAGTCTAGCCATGTGATGAAGGGTGGGGTCTTTACAGCCAGGCCAACCTGGCTTCCAATTCCAGTTTTGCTACTTCCTACTGTGTGACGTCGGACAAGAACTTTAACCTTACAACAGTTCAACTCCCACCTCTATAAAATATGAAGATATGATTTCTACCTTAAAGCGTTGCTGTAAGAAAGAAATGATATAAAATAAACTATGTAAGTCACTTATCATAGTGCCTAACCCTGTAAGCACTTGATAAAAGGTCATTTTCATTTTGCTTTTGTTATAATCCCCAGGGTTTGTAAACAGGGCCTGGCTTTTGTTTGTGTCTGTGTTCATCCTCTGGTCATTACATACAGATAGTATCAAGAAACATGTGTTCTAACCAAAGGAGTCAATTCCTGAATGCTTCATGCCAACCAACCAGAGAGCACACTCTATACAGTAGAAGGAAGGTGAGGGAGGAGGTGAAGGTGAAACAGTAGAAAGAATTAATACCCACGGAGGGCTACTCTGGGCCAGGCACTCTTCTCAATATGTTATAGCTTTCAAAAAACTTAATCCTCAACACAACCTCAGGAGGTAGATATTATTAAGCCCATTTTTGCAGAAGAGGAAACTAAGGCACAAGCAATTTGAGCTTCAGTAATTTCAGCAAGGCCACACAGTCAGTAAGTGGTAGAAGTGAGATCTGAACCCCAGCAGACAGGCTCCAAGACTGTACTCTTAACCACATGCTAATCAAGACTCGAGGTCATTTTTGAAAGAGCAAAATGCAGGGATGAGGAAGTCAGCAGTTTGATTACTTCCAGGATCCACATGACAGTTACAGATGAGCTGAAAATTTTTCTGGACATAGGGATTTAGGGAAGAAGACATAAAAGTGTCTCAACTAGAGTCAGAATGGATGGAAAGGAAAAGATGAGAGAAGGAAACCCAAAGGCTGGGCTAATCTAATGCATCAGGTTAAGAGGCGGGAGCAGAGCTTTTACAAATACATCAGAGAGAAAAAAGAAATATCAAGGAGAAAGTGGTCCCATTAATAAATAAGGAAGGGAAAAATAAATCAATGAAGATCTTTCAGTGGCTGAACTCCTCAACTTGCTTTTCAAAATTGGATTTTAAGGAGAAAAGTAAAGAGGTAGAAGTCAGAAGAAGCTGAGCGATACCTTGATAGAAGCTATCAAAGGAAGCAGATGTGAATAGAAGGACATGCTGTTTACCTGAATCAGGTATTCAGGTATATGCGACAAAAGCAAGCAAACAGGCTAAATGTCAATCAGGGGATAGAATCCAGAAGGTAGAGACTGTCCACGTGTTTTTGGCTCAGTCTCCTATGTCAATGAGTGTTGCCTCACTTTCCAACCCAGTCTCCATGGATACCCCTTCCCCATTTATTCGTTTGTTTATTACATATTTATTGCCTAAGAGTGGCTAAACCCCCTTCTTTGCCCTAGAGGAGCCTATGATCTTGTGGGAAAAGCTGACGTGTAAAGAAATCATAAATATGCAGCGTGAGAAGCCCTACAATTGAGAAACATACAGGGGCATAGGGATCAAAAACAGGAGAACAAGGAACTCTGCCTGGAGCAGTCAGGAAAGGCTTCAACAAGGCAGGGCGTTCAGCTGAGAAGGAAAGACATAGGAAAACGGCAGGGCAGAGTGGTGGGAGGAATAGGACGTGCAGGAGTGTGGCATGTGGAGGGCGCTACAAGCAGCTAAGTTCGAGTAGGCACAGGAGACAGAAGGGAGGGGGGAGATGAGACTGGACAGGTAGGAGGGGTTCAGGTCATAAATGGTTTGTATTCCACGTTAAGGATTTTGAACCCATCTGGTGGGCTACAGAGAATGATAAGAGTATTGAAAGTGGGAAAGTGGTGTGATCAGACTTTCTTTTTTTAAGAAAAATAACTTTAATAGCAATAAGTGACTAAGACTAAAGGTGGAAAGGCCACTAAAGGCCACTAGAGATGGGTAAGACTAAAGTAGGAAGTCATGAAGAATACTGTTGCAGCAGTTCAGGGGAGATTTGAAGAGGGCCTGACATGGCCACAGGGACAGAAAGAAAAGAAAGTATTTGAGACATGTTTAGAAGATCATGCCAAATGCAGCAGAGCGCACATTAAGACAAAGTCTGAAAATAACCCATTGTGTTGTGCAATTAGGAGGTCATTTGTGCTAGGAGGGGCAGAACAGGCAGAAGCCACAAGGAGTGTACTAAGGATTAATTAGGAAATTCACATCTGAAGGCAGAAGTCAGCCTGTGAAGGGAGGAAGAGCGAGTTAGGGCCATAGGGAGATATGTGGGAGAGGGTGCACCATGGTTGTAGTTACCGGTGAAGGGGCAAGAACCTGTAGGAAAAGCAGGTGAAGACATATCATAGAGGGACAGAGTGATAGAACAGGAAGGCACAGGAGAAAGGCTATGAGACCGGAGGTGTGAGCATAGATTGGTTTCTCAGAGAGAAGTAACTGAGAGTTGGACTTTGTGCCCTGTGGTTTCCAAGTTTTCTATAAAGTAGAAGGTAGTGGGAAGATTTGGGGAAGGTTTGGAATCAGCTTAGGTGACTGAGAAATTACTGACTATAAATGAATGAAAGGATTGTTGAAGTCTGTCAAGGACCCAGATGACACTGTAAAAGAAACTTTGCAATGGCACCACCCCTTGTATTTGGGTGAATTTCCTCTATGATATTCAGTACCCCTGCTATTGTTTTGGCTGTACAGTTCTCCCTCCCATCCTCCAATTTTCCAAGTATTGCAGTGATCACTATCCCTTCTGTTCATGTAGGTATAGCAGCCATGACTGTGCCACAATTGACTGATCCTGCAGCATGAAACTGATCCCATCTTGGTATATCAGAACCCTTCCCTCAGGAATTTAAAACTGGATCTAAAAGCTTCCATCTCAGTCTACCTTCTCTGAAACTGTAAATTCAGAAATTACTGGTGGAAGCCATTCTTACCACGAGGATAAAAAGAAAAAAGAATGCAGCAAGAAAAGAGACAGGGGCAGAAGCACAAAGAGAAATGGAAATGATGATACAGATAATTTCCTAGACTTCCTGTAGTACTCCAGCCCCTATTTCTAGGCCACTCAGAACCCTAGCTGCATCCCTGCAGCTTTCTTATGATTTTTTTTTCTAAAATTCTCTTAGGTTGACTGAAGGAGGTTTCTGTTACTTACAACCCAAAAATTTCTAATTAAAACAATGGCAAAGGCAGATTGTTGGATTTACCCAGATGTGAAGCATTTGCAGGTACAGCCATGCCAGGAGAAGAGAGCAAGGGAGAAGTAGAAGAGAGGGCTAGAGAGACTGAGGGGATCCCCCAAAGGTCCAGGCTCCTTGTAAGCAGTGTTCTCAATCGTGACTGTGCATCAAGATCACTGGGGAGGTTTCAATACTGCTGCCTGCTCCCCAGCCTCCGAACATCTGTGTTTAGCAGTTTGGGGTGAGAGAGATGATTCTAATGTGCATCTAGAAAAGCCAAGATGGGCCTAATAGACATGAGAGGAAGGGAGGACCAAGGGCTTGAAGGTTTTAGGGAAGAACAGATGTTGAGGGAATACAGGAAGGAGGAAGCTGGAAGGAGAAAGGAAGCTGGGAAGAGGGCTGGATGCTGGAGCTTGATGTTTCAGAACGGATCTGTCTTAGGTGAATTGTTCTCCATGTGGGTGGATAACAAAGGTGCCAATGGAGAGAATTATGAAGCTAGAAGCCCAGATGGATCCACGGCACAAACTCAAAAGCCCCAAGAGGATGGCAGGTGGCCGAGTGGAGAAGAGACCACAAATAGGAGCCTGAGATTTTTTTTCTAAAATTCTCTTAGGTTGCCTGAAGGAGGTTTCTGTTACCTCCAACCCAAAAATTTCTAAAACAATGGCAAAGGCAGATTGTTGGATTTACCCAGATGTGAAGCATTTGCAGGTACAGCCATGCCAGGATAAGAGAGCAAGGGAGCAGTAGAAGACAGGGCTAGAGAGACTGAGGGGATCCCCCAAAGGTCCAGGCTCCTTGTAAGCAGTGTTCTCAGCAGCAGCAATGAGAAAATAGAAAGTTAGGCCTGGACCCCAGGCCACAGAGTCCTTTTTCCTCCTAACGCACATCCGTACCCCATGGAGCTATTAACCCATGGCATGGCCCATGGGAAGCATTGGAATAGAGGCCAAGAACACAGAGGCGGATCTGGATTTGAACCTCACCTCTGGCACTCCCTGCTGAGTGGCCTTGGGCAAGGTTCTTTGCCTTTCTAAGCCTTCGTTTCCATACACGTCGAACTGAAGTGTTTTATAATGCATGAAGAGTACATAAGATAGTATATAAAAATAAATGCTCAGTACTCAGTATCTATCACCATTGAAGGGGGTCTCAAAGGGCAGAGCAGAAAGTTTTGGTGGATAAGTTGGGTGAGAAGAGGAAAGCTAAATGGGCATGAATGTATAGGAGGGGACATGGCAGGGCAGCCTTTATTTTGGAACTGACCCAGGTGGATGGGGATGAGGGAGACAGAGGGATGAACTCATCTCAATCTTCCTAATGGCATTTTGTTTTCTTTTGCTGCTGGAACAAACTACCACAAACTTAGTGGCTTAAAACAACACAGATTTATTATCTTGCAGTTCTGTAGGTCAGAAATCCAATACAGGTCTTATTGGCCTAAAATCCAGGTGTCAGCAGGGCTGTGATTCTGGAAGCTTTGGGGAGAATCCTTCTCCTTCTTTTTTCTGCATTCCCCAGCTTATGGTCCCCTTCTTCCAACTCCAAAGCCAGCAGCATTGATTTCCCCTGATCCTTTTTCCATCATCATGTCTCTTTCTTTTTTATTTAATTAAATGTACTTATTTATTTGAACTGTTGGTTTGTTTGTTTGTTGTAGAGACAGGGTCTCACTATCTTGCCCAGGCTAGACTCGAACTCCTGGGCTCAAGCATTCCTCCTACCACAGCCTCCATCCATGTCTCTTTCTGGCCACAGCTGGGCCAATTTTTCTGTCTTTAAGAATCCTTGTGATTACATTGGGTCCACCTAAAAAATCTAGGTCACTTTCCCCATCTCAAAGTCCTTAACTTAATGACATCTGCAAAGTCCCTTTTGCCATGTAAAGTAACTACTCCCCAGTTTTGGGGATGAGAACCAGAATGTCTTGGGAGTGGGGGAGATAATTATTCTGCCTGCCACATATTTGGATAAAGAGGTTAGCTGCAACTTCTGTCTGCAGACCCAGATTCCTGCTATACTATCAGCGGCATGAAGCAGGTTGGAAATTCACTCAGACCTCCAAGTGAAATGGAGGTGCAGAGTTGTTTTGATGTCTGTGCACTGTTCTGGCCAGGCAGAGGGCAGCTGGGTTAGGAAAGAAGGATGCATAGAGAGGCAGCCTTAGTGCTCATTCACCTCAGGGTGCATGCTGGACTAGCTGGCAGTAGTGGGCATGATGTGTGGGGATGGATAACTGACCAAGGAACTGGTTAGAGTCAATATGATGCCAAAGGTGAGTGTGGACTTGCCCTTTATGTGGTTTGAGCTTCCTTTCCAACAAGTACCTTCTGCCGCCCGGAGACGCAAGCTTGCCAGAGAATGTGCTTCTACTGTAACGTCAATTTTCCTCTCCACATTTCCACCCTGCTCCCACCCCAGTCTCATCAAAATTTGTCTTCAGAAACTGCTGTTTGAAAAGGATCTGATGCTTAAATATATCTTGAGGTGAGTGATTATCGGATTTAACGTATTCTTTTTCCCAGGAGTATTTTCAGTTTAATAAGAAATCATGTCTTAACCCAAAGGAAAGAATTGCTACTGGTGGGTTTTGATAGTCATGCACAAGCTGAGAGGAGGAAGAGAGCCCCTAGGCATATCTCAAATCAAACCATGAAGGTAGGCACCTACCCCGTATGACCAAGCAAGGGTAGGACCAACTCCACACTCAGACACTTCACTTAACTGCCTGCCTCTAATGTCTTTGAGGCTATGGATTCCAGCTTCTCCTTCCCCAGGAGGCGCTGCCTTGCTACAGAGCTTCACACAAGAAAGCCTCTCACTTCTGCCTCTCACTTCTGCCTCTCATGTCCTTGATGTAGGAAATCATTCTGGCCAACTTCCTGTCAAATCTCACCAGAGACAACTGCAGCAAAAGAGGAAGCCCTGTCATGGGCATTGTTTTAAACCAGATCTGACAGCCTACCTGGAGAGGAAGGAGGAAAAGGTGGGTATTGGCAGTGGAGAGATTAGAAGGCTTAATAGCTACTCTCCATATTTAACTTTTATGATTCTGCAATCCTTGAAACATTAATAACCTATTGGATGACATCTGAGATCTCCACCCTCCCAGCTCTAGGAATCTTGATACTTAAAAGGGGCCTTTCAGGGAATTGGCAAGCAAATTTTTGTTCTTTTTTTTTTATGACTTTGCACTCCTGCTTCTGTCAGACACAGTGAAAGGTTCTCCATTGCATAGACAAGTTTCCTCTCATTGATTGGAACCTTTTATCTGGGCATCAGACATTATCATTCCCCAGCACAACTTTGGACTTGCTGACAGCCAAGAAGTATTCTGATGGTCAGCACACCCAGTTAAACCAGCCGCTGATTTCCTCCACTATTGCTCTGATGAGAAAGAAGTTTCAAGATTCCAGATCACTCCTTTGCAATGCAAAAGGGAACTTCTTCATCCCTGTCCTGTGGAGTCAGGCTGGTCCATGGGGTTGTGACTAAGATGTGCCATTAAGGAGCCATGGCGTGATAAACCATCTTTAAGACTGTTCATTAGGGACTTGCTGGGAATAAATGAGGTAACAGTTAAGTGGTAGGGAATAAAATGACTAGCCCTGTCTGTGTGGTTCCCAATACTCAGGTATAGCTCTGGTTGCAATGGAGGGCTGCCTACTGCAGGGAACTCCCATAATTCAGTGAGTCCATGTTCCCACTACAGTCAGCTAGCCCACATACACGGCAAGGTGCAATCAGCTGATGGCTGAGATTCCTGCCTCTTCTGTTCTAACCAAAGGACAACAAAAAGGGGAAATAGTGAACCAAAAGTAAGATCTAGGGAGACACCTACAAAAATTAAATAAAACAATGAGCTAGCAATTGCAGTCTTAGAGATATACCCAAGAAAATTGAAAACATGTCCACCCAAAAACCTGTAGAGGGATGTTCATAGAAGCATTATACATAATAGCCTAAGAGGGGAAGCTACCCAAATGTCCATCCACTGATGAATGGATAAACAAAATGTGGTATATCCATAAAACGGAACATATCTGGCCATAAAAGGGAATGAAGTACTGATACTTACTACAACATGAATAAACTTTGAAAACATTATGCTATGTAAAAGGTCCAGGCACAAAATACCACAAATTGAATGATTCAATTTGTTTGAAATGCCCAAAATAGGAAAATCCATAGAGACAGAAAGTAGATTGCTGACTGTGATGGGCAGGGGAGAAGGGAAAATGGTGAATGACTGCTAATGGGTATGAGGTTTCTTCTGGGGAGATGGTAACGTTCTGGAAATAGGTAGTGGTGATGGTTGTACCACTGGGTGCATATACTAAAAGCCACGGAATTGTGCACTTTAAATGAGTGGATTTTATGGTATGTGAATCATATCTCAATTAAAAAATCAAAAATTAAAAAGCCATTGCAGTACAAGAAAGAGTAAGCAAGGAATGAAGGAATGAAGAATGACTGGGACTGGGTAAGAGGGTTACATGGATCACTCATTCATTCAGCACAGTGTTATGAGCACCTACTACACCTGGCCTTGTTGCAAACAGAGCTGACTTAGAGTGAATGAAACAGATGTGGCTCCTGTAGTCTTGAAGTATCCCATCTGGTAAGTGAAATAGACATTAATTCAACAACGTACAAATAAGTATGAGATTACAATAGATTACAAGAGATGGATGAATAGATTGATGATAGGTGAATAGATAGAAATATATATATATATGTATATATATATATATATACACACACACACAGAGAGCACATACTTATTAAATGTAGAATCCTACTATATTATGCAACATAGCTTAATAAATCCTTTTCAATCAGACTCCAGAGATATTACAAATGAGTCATCAATAACATCCTAATAGCTAAAGACATTTTGGGTTTTCTCAATCCTTAAGTCAAAAGTGTTTCTCCTTGAGGTTTCAACAGTGGTAAATGAGACAGCATTGAAGCCATCATTCTTACCATTGATGGGGAAGCCAGAATGGATGGTCATCTCCTGCCCTGTAAGCACTGGCAGAATGAGGCAGGCAACTACGAAAATGAAACCAGAGAGGGCCGGGCAGGGTGGCTCATGCCTGTAATCCCAGCACTTTGGGAAGCCGAGGGGTGTGGATCACTTGAGGACAGGAGTTCAAGACCAGCCTGGCCAACATGGTGAAACCCTGTCTCTACTAAAAATACAAAAATTAGCTGGGCATGGTCGTCTGCCTCTGTAATCCCAGCTACTCAGGAGGCTGAGGCAGAAGAATCACTTGAATCCCAGAGGCAGAGTTTGCAGTGAGTCGAGCTCATACCACTGCATTCCAGCCTGGGAGATAGAGTGAGACTCTGTCTCAAAAAAAAAAAAAAAAATGAGGCTGGGTGTGGTGGCTCACGCCTGTAATCTGAGCACTTTGGGAGGCCGAAGTGGGCAGATCACAAGGTCAGGAGTTCGAGACCAGCCTGGGCAATATGGTGAAACCCCATCTCTACTAAAAAAAATACAAAAATTAGCCAGGCATGGTGGCGCGTGCCTGTAGTCCCAGCTGGGAGGCTGAGGCAGGAGAATCACTTGAACCTGGGAGGCGGAGGTTATAGTGAGCCAAGATTGTGCCACTGCACTCCAGCCTGGGTGACAGAGTGAGACTTTGTCTCAAAAAAAAAAAAAAAAAAAAAGTGAAACCAGAGAGGCATAAACTTGAGACTTTACATATGGTGGAAATGAGACCCTGAGAAGTGGAGTAAATCACCCAAGTCTGGCAACTTGTGATGATGGAGCCTGGCCTTGAACTCACAGGAAGTCTACGCTCCAGGGTCTGAGCTCCTAAACACCAGCTGTGTTGCTCCCCTGTTTGAAAGGGAGCTATCCTAAAATAACAGTAATAAGTAATCATGGATGATGTGGTTTGGATCTGTGTCCCCACCAAACCTCATGTCTAATTATAATCCCCACTGTTGGAGGTGGGGCCTGATGGGAAGTGATTGGATCATGGGGGTGGTTCTTCATGGTTTAACACCATCCCTCTTGGTGCTGTTGTGATAGTGAGTTCTTGTGAGACCTGGTTGTTTAAAAGTGTGTGGCAGCACCTTCCCTGCTTTCTCCTGCTCCAACCACGTAAAACGTGCCTGCTTCTGCTTGGCCTTTCGCCATGGTTGTAAGTTTCCTGAGGCCTCCCCAGCAGCAGAAGCCACTATGCCTCCTGTACAATCTGCAGAACTGTGAGCCAATTAAACCTCTGTTCTTTATAAATTACCCAGTCTTGGGTATTTCTTTATAGCAGTGCAAGAACTGAACTAGTGTGCTTTCCCCTCAAGGCAATCTACTTTCACTTCAACCAGGGCCTTGTTGGGGAAAAATATGTATGCCACGTCTCAAGAGGAGACTCCTTAATGACAGAAACTAAAGGAACCTCAAAGGCCAGAAAGACAGACTTTGAAAGCTTCACTTTCTAAATATCCAACCTGTTTCATAAAAGGCCACATGCCATGTCCAACACATATTCAGTCAGCTTCTTACCAGCTCCAGGATCTTCTCTCTCAGTAGCTGGCTGACAATCCTGCCACTGCTGCTCCCCGAGCCCGGGGCTCTCCCTCCCATCTCTTTTCTCTCTCCCTTTCCCTCTTTTGCTTGGGCACCAACCATCCATGACCCTCTTTCATTTCTCCTGACTCACTTTCTTTCTCTCTTTTCCCTCCCTTTCTCATATCTCTTCCTCATCTCACAAGATTATTAAATATTCTCATATTAAATAGTTTAATATGTGAATCAAGTTCATAATACATATACATTTATACTCGGAAGCTCATAAATGTATAAAGAAATGCTGCATAAATAGATGTGCATCGCTTCATCCAGTTTCTGAAGGAGCCTCACTCAGGCTCAGCCCTCCAATGAGCTGAGTTTGTCGCTAAGAATCTAAGCATTTCCCCTGGTGAACATTCTAATTTCTGTCCTGTCCTTTCTTTGTATATCTTTCCAGTATCCTTAAGAATGATCTTTGAGAAAACAACACGGAAGAAAAAATAAAGATAGAAAGTCATAATAATGCCTAATGTGTACTTTGAGCTTTGTATCTGCAAGGCTTCACAAATACTGTCCTATTTAATCTCCCAACAACTCCACAGCTAATGAAAGTATCATTGAATACCTACATGGATCATCTCATTTAGTGGGAGAAGAAAATAAGGCTTCAAGAAGCTGAACAACTTCCTGGTGCAGGCACAAGAAAGAGGCAGAGCAAAGCCGAAGCCTCCTGACCCCGAGTAGAGCACTCATGTCACTTTACTACAACTGCCTCAGGGAAATGAGGAAGAAGGCCAGAGATAGATGCATAAAGGAATATAAGGTGAGCGAGGAGAAGATCAAAGTCAAGAAAGAAGGTGGGGGTGTGAGAGAGACGAAAGAATAAAGAACCACTGCTCTGGAGGGCGGTTACGAAATCTTCAGCTAAAGCTTCGGAAGGAATGTCTCAAGATGGGATACGCAGGAAGTGGAAAGTTATTCTGCAGGTCAGTGTTTTACTACGGATTGTGCTGGGCAGTGTAGGAGTTCTCAGACAGGGCCATGCCTCATGTCTCTGAAATGCTGTGGTTCTTACCCAGGCCCATGCACAGGGAGAAGGGGAGCGAAGAGATGGGGTGCTCAGCCACAGGGCTCCCACAGATATGGATTCTGCACAGCTGGCTTCAGGGACTAATTCAGGTTAATGAAATGTGTGTTTTCCTGAGCACCTATAGAACACCAGGAATTATTCTGGTGTGGAGGGAGAACGAAGAGCAATAAAACCCATCCCTGTCCTCAGCAAGCTTGGCAGGGTGGAGAGAAGCCTGCTGATGCTAAGTGTAGATACAAAGCTATCTGCCTGTGAAGGGAGAGGGTATCCTTGCTACACACCTCTCCATTCACTGGGTGTATTTTACCATTTGGAACACTGGTCCTATGAGGTACTCCCTGTAAAAAGCAATATGTTGTCAAGTCTGACTGGGTAATGGAATGTCTGCTTAAGTAAATGATAAGAAGAAAGCTATCTCCTCCCTGGCTGGGGGTCTTTGGATGCATATTTAATCCTGGCTCTTCCATTGATTAGCTGTGTGAGCTTAGACTGCACATAACTAACTTTATATTTTTTGTTTACAGAGTGCTCTGTTAGGAAGCTTGTTGCCTGGTGCTTTGTTAACCTAACAATCAATGCAATGCCTTTGTCCACTGCTTTCCCTTCACCTCCCCCCACCTCATCCCAAACACACACACACACACACACACACACACAGCCACATACACAAAGACACACACACACACGCGTATGCACATATACACACACACACATACAAACACGCATGTACACATAGACATACACAGACACATATACACATACAGACATGCATACCCATAAACACACATACACACATAGACACATACACATACGTACATGCATACACACGCAAATACACACAGACACAGATATACACATACACACATACACCTACATACATACACACATAGGCGCACACACACACACACACACACACACACATACACATGGCTTCCTCTTCTAAGGGTTAACCAGCAGAATTATGAATAAACTCCTGTCTCACAACTGCGAATTGACAGAGATGTCGATGTCTGGAGGGCTTTCAAATGCGAGGCGATCTTTTTGTCTCTCTCAGGCCACCCTCTTCTTGTACTCTTTGTACCAGCCATTCTGAAACTTTACCACAGATTTTCCAGACTTCTACTCCCCCTTGAAGCTCACCAACATGTGGAGTGGTCTAGTGAGTGGCTCAGAGCAGCAGACGCTGAGTCAGGCTGCTTAGGGTCAAGTCACCTAAGTTCTCTAACATTAGGGTCCTCATCTATAAGAAAAAGGTGATGATTTATCCAGTTAGCAAATACCATTTGGGTATTGTCATAGTCTATTTGGGTTGCTATAACAAAATACCATAGACTGAGTGGCTTGCAAACAACTGAAATGTATTTCCCACAGCTCTAGAGGTTAGGAAATCCAAGATCAAGATGCTAGCAAAGTTGGCGTCTGGTGAGGGCTTGCTTTCTGGTTCACAGATGGCACCTACTTGCTGTGTCCTCACACGGTAGGAGGAGCAAATGAGCTCCCTTGGACCTATTTTATAAGTACATTAATTTCATTAATGAGGGCTCCACCTTCCTGACCTAATCACTACTCAAGGCCCCACCTCCTAATACTACCACCTTGGAGGTTAGGATTTCTTTCTTTTTTTTAATTTTTCATTTTTGTAGGTACATAGTAGGTGCATATATTTATGGGGTAAATGAGATTTTTACCACATCAAAATAAATGGTGTATCCATCACCTCACTCATTTATCATTTCTTTGTGTTATGAACATTCCAATTATATTCATTTAGTTATTTGTAAATGTACAATAAATTATTGTTGACTGTAGTCATCCTGTTGTGCTACCAAATACTAGATCTTATTCATTCTAACCATATTTTTGTACTCATAGAAGTTCACCATGTGAATTTGGGGAGACACAAACATTTAGACCATAGTAGGTATTTATGTGCCAAGTACTCATCTTAGTCCTAGGAATATAACGGGAGACAAGCTAAACAAGGTCCCTGCATTCATGGAATTTACATTTCACTGGGGGAAATTAATAGGATAATACATATCTTTTTTTTTTTTTGAGATGGAGTCTCTCTCTGGCTCCCAGGCTGGAGTGCAGTGGCGCGATCTCAGCTCACTGCAAGCTCTGCCTCCTGGGTTCACACCATTCTCCCGCCTCAGCCTCCCGAGTAGCTGGGACTACAGGCGCCCGCCACTGCACCCTGCTAATTTTTTGTATTTTTAGTAGAGACGAGGTTTCACCGTGTTAACCAGGATGGTCTCGATCTCCTGACCTCGTGATCTGCCCGACTTGGCCTCCCAAAGTGCTGGGATTACAGGTGTGAACCACCACGCCTGGCCGATAATACAGATCTCTTAATATTGATATAGGGTTAGTAAGGTAATTCATTATTTCATTTAATCCACACTTAATACTATACCTTTCTCATAATAAGTACTCAGTAAATATTAGCTTTTATGATGATTATATTATAGGGAAGGGGTATAAATTTCCCTATAACCTTACAAACTTTTCTTCATCTGCCCCTACTTTTACTTCTGTAACAAATTAAAAAGTTGTAATCCTCAAAGCTACCCATGGTAGGTGAGACTACACCTTCTCCTATGGCCATGATCTTGGCACTTCACTCCAACTTGCTAGACCATAAGGAGGTGTTTCTCTCTTGACAGCTAGAGGGAGGGGAAGGACAGGAACCTTGAGATCAAAATTGGCCCTAGAATACTATAAATAATAACCAGAGCATTTTTTAAAGTTTGAGTAGCTTTCTGGTTCACTGGAGTGGGGGGGCCATGGACTCCAACTGGAAAGAGATGACCATGAAACTGGCCCAAGCTCATTTGGCTGAAAAAAGAGGCAGCACAGGATTTGAACTCAGGGCTCTCAGACTCCAGAGCCTATCCTGAGCTGCCTCTCCACCTCCTCACTGCCTGGCCTGCTATTCCCAGATCGAGGGCACTGCCTCCCTGAAGCCTCCTTGATTGCCCCAAGTTGGAATCAGTGGCCCCTGATTCTGTCATTCTGCAGACCATCCATATGGTTTATGGACAAGTGCTTTGATGGACATTTTAGCAGTGAAAAAGTAAGGCAAAGAGATTCTGCTAAAAGAACGAGATGTCCCAAGACACTGTTGCTGCAAGAAGCAGGGGAACCAGGAAAATCGTGATATCAAGGTGGACTGTTGCTTCTGGAAATGCATTTCAGCTGAGGGGAGGAGAGGACAATGAGGAATTATCCAGTCTCTATTCCCTTCCTGACTTTTGGACTGAGTTTATGCCCCCATGCTTTAGATATATGAGAGCTGGAAACTGACAGATCTTGATGATCTTGAGAGTCTTTCGGATTTGAGGCATAAACTAAATACCAGAAACTGTCCACAGGAGACTCTAAGACTCTGGACATGAGAATTGACTTGGGCCTATGGGACAGAGTGTGACCTAAGAACAGGAGCTGGCCACCTTCTCTCTTCCTCTCCATGGACCTGCCTGGCTTCTCTCTGGCAAGCTGAGGTCTGCAGCTCTAGAAGCACCTGGGATGACCACAGTGGTAGTGGTGAGCCTTCCTTGAGTGGTCTCACAAGCCCTGGACCTCCTCAAGGGGAGCAGAACAGGAAGAACATGATGAGCACCACATAGACTGTCGGTACTACAGAATAATTGGAAGAATAATTGGGGACTAAGTGCCTTCTTGGGTAAAAGGAAGGGGCTCTTGGGAATGCATTTTAACCCTAAAAAGTTTGCATGCCTTGGCCGGGTGTGGTGGCTCACGCCTGTAATCCCAGCACTTTGGGAGGCGGAGGCGGGTGGATCACGAGGTCAGGAGTTCGAGACCAGTCCAGCCAACATGGTGAAACCCTGTCTCTACTAAAAACAGAAAAAAATTAGCCGGGTGCAGTGGCAGGTGCCTGTAATCCCAGCTACTCGGGAGGCTGAGGCAGGAGAATAGCTTGAACCTGGGAGGCGGAGGTTGCAGTGAGCCAAGATTGTGCCACTGCACTCTGGCCTGGGTGACACAGCAAGACTCCATCTCAAAACAAACAAACAAACAAACAAACAAAAAAACCAAGTTTGCATGTCTTTATGTTTTAGTACTTAAAGATGAGGCTAAGAGGATTTAGAAATATTTCTTTCACTCCATCCAAGAGGAATTGGAGTTTCTTCTATTATCCAAAGTTAATCCCCCACTTTTGTTCTGGATTTTATCCAAACCACAGAGCTAGGAAACTCGTGAATTACTACTCAGATCTACATAGCTCCAAAGTCATCCTCCCACAGAATAGTACTTGCCCATCTTTATCCCATATGATTTGTTTACATTCCTGCCCTCTCATTAGATCGTGAGCCCCTGATGACAGAGAATCTGGTATTTCGCTATGGCTGAGTACAGCAGCTTGACTGTCACAAGTGCTCAGCAAGTTAATGAGACAGCACTTGGCCTGAGTTCTAAAGAATGAGTAAGACTAAGATGAGTTAAAGCTGCTAATCAGGGTTTCCAAACTTTCAGCATGCATCAGAATTGACCAGGTGGGTTATAAAATGCATATTCCCAATTCAGACCCAGGTCCTAGTGGATCCCAAGACCTTAGTTGTTAATAAGCACAGGGAAGGATACTGATGAGCCAACACAGAGACACTCCGCCACAAAACTTTCCCCAACTTCTCCAGCCCTTCCTAGGCTCCCTTTCCCCTGACATTGCTCAGCACTCTTGTCTATGTCCCACACAATGAATGCTTTCTTTTTATTATTATAATTATTATTATACTTTAAGTTTTAGGGTACATGTGCACAATGTGCAGGTTAGTTACATATGTATACATGTGACATGCGGGTGTGCTGCACCCACTAGCTCATCATCTAGCATTAGGTATATCTCCCAGTGCTATCCCTCCCCCCCTCCCCCCACCCCACAACAGTCCCCAGAGTGTGATGTTCCCCTTCCTGTGTCCATGTGTTCTCATTGTTCAATTCCCACCTATGAGTGAGAATATGCAGTGTTTGGTTTTTTGTTCTTGCGATAGTTTACTGAGAATGATGATTTCCATGCACACGTATGTTTATTGCGGCACTATTCACAATAGCAAAGACTTGGAACCAACCCAAATGTCCAACAATGATAGACTGGATTAAGAAAATGTGGCACATATACACCGTGGAATACTATGCAGCCATAAAAAATGATGAGTTCATGTCCTTTGTAGGGACATGGATGAAATTGGAAATCATCATTCTCAGTAAACTATCGCAAGAACGAAATACTTTTCTTACACTGTTTTTCTTACACTGATTCAAGGGCATATCTCTCAAGCCTTCTCTGAGTGACCCCAGCTAAAAGCCCTCTCTGAACTTCGTAACATTGTGTCTGTGCTTCCTCTAAGACACACACACTTGATATTCAGCAGTGTTCCTGCTCATGCCTCATCTGCTCCACTGAGCTCTAGCCATCTAGAATTTTGCAGAAGAGAGCTCATGGTCATTGAGTACTTTGAGTACTTTGAGTACTGTGGTGCTCTGCCAGGATCTGTGGTGCTCTGCCTTTGGGCAGACAGGGGATATTGTCTGCCTACACCAGGGATTGCCTTCCATTGACAGAAGCTGCCTCACGCAAGGTTATGCTTCCTCCCTGAAGGCAGGAAGCCAGTGCAAGGGGACAAAGGACAAAGGTCCCCTTGCCTCAGGATATCTCTAATGGGCCAGTTGCTGAGCTCTGCAGCTCCCAAGGAAAAGGCTCAGCTCTCTGTTCCTAGTCAGCTCCTCCTTCAGCCCAGTCCTGCCTCCCTCCAAGGACTCCTTCTGAAAGCACTCCCCAGCACTCATCTGCATACCAGTCTCAGAATCTGAGAGTCTGTTTCCTGGGGAATAGGACCTACAACACACCTACTATGTGCCAGGCACCAAGCTAGGTATTTCATAGGCAGGGGCTCATCTAACCCTCGCCAAATTCAAAAGGTGAACCTCACCCCTTTAATATAGCTGAGGCTGCTGACACTCGGAGAGGGTGACTAACTTACCAAAGACCACAGAGATAGTGAGTGCAGCATCACAATTAAAATGCATGGCTGACTGACTCCAAAGCTCTTTCCATCACACTATGAAAACAACATTAGTCAATTAATCTTTCTTCGTCTCTTCAGCACCTAGTTTGATAGTAAACAAATATTTGCCAAGGAAATAGCAAAAGAATGGACACATTTTGAGGTTCTAGGGAATAGGAACTATAACTTGCATCTGTGTGAAATTTCCGCTGTAGCTTTGTGTTGGGCTGGGTATCTAGCCCCAACGATGCTGCCAAATACCCTGATGATATCTATGGCTCAAGGAAGCATAGTCTTAGAGTCCTGGAATGGTATGTTAGTCTTCATTGAGATATAAACTGGCTAGCAACCTAATTTCCTTTTATATTTGCCTAGTTTTATTTGAAGGTGAGGGGCTGTGCAAATACATATAAAGGCTATTACTTAGACTTTAAGATGCTACTTATCCCTCAGCCTTCTCCACACTTCACGGTCAGGGAGCACCTGTTGTTCAGATGTGTAAAACTTGCCAAGATGCTCCATCATCTCCATCCAAAGCCTGCCACACAACCCCATAAACTAGTAACAAGACTGATCTTGTTACTAGGTGCAGGTGTGCCGAGAATGCACACAGAGGTCAAGCAATCTGTGAGGGGGTCCTCGGAGACACCTATCTATGGCTGTATCTAAAAAGTTAGCTCATCCTGCTCATCCTTGGAGGGGAAGAATCCATACCAAACCTTGACTCTGGATTCTACATCAGGCTCTATGAGATCACGGGGGATCTGTTATTAACTGTGATTTGCTCAGTGTGCATGTGTGGAGTTTCTTAAATGAATAAATTAAGTGTGGCTGGGGGAACATCTTCAGTGAAGCCCTGTCTGTGTCTACTTCTGCTCTAGGATACTGTCAGATCTGGGGCAGTTCTATGTACTCAAGGGATGCTAAGTGGGTCTCTAAAATACATATGTGCAGCTACTTTGCCAGCTAATGAGGCAGCCCAGAAACTGAAGAACACCTGATAACCACCCAAGACAGGGATTCATACAGTGCTGACCCCAGAGGGGGCAATGGCAGATGACTTTCTGGTATGTTTGTTCAGAACAATTTCCCATTAATATGAGTTCTGTGCAATCTGAATGAAGCAGCAGTTTCGATGGAATCTCCAGGTTGTTTTTTCATCTATCTTCAAAATGAACCACACTCCTGTCTTAATGAAAATGCTACTCAATTACTATGATTTTATTAACAAGACAAGTGTAGCTATTTAGCGTGTAACAATGCAAGAGTTATAATTCCAAGGGGATTGTCAGATGCTAATTCTATATTCAGAATGCAAAGCAAAAGTTTTGTTAGCCTCTTCCCTGCAAAGGATACTTCTACTCCGTGCTGCAATAATATTTGGATTTGGTGCCTGGGTGGTTAAAGTTGTAAAAGTTGCTGTAGTCATCAGCACATTATAAACCCATGAAAAATTCAACAGTTAAAGGTAGTTTAAACTAGACCTTAATCTTGGTTTTTGTTCACATAAAGCAAGTAGACCCAAGCACATTACCTTATGTGCCCAAGGTATCTCTTTTCTCTCCATTTGGATTATGGATTTTCACAGAACTTAGGCTGAAATCCCAAAGACCCATTGCAGGTCCCCCAACCATGCATTAGGCTTGAGCAAAGGAGAAGGGAGAAATTTTTAATTGGATGTGAGATGGAAATTTTAAATATGACTATACTGGACTTTTTAATAACTGAATGTGAATCTTAACTATCAAAATGGGAGTTTTTGTATAAGTGAAAGTGACTTTGAAGACATTACACAGGTGCAGAGAAAGGATATTTGCCCAAAGATGGAAGTGATAGTTGAGGAAAAATAAAGCCATTTCCTGTTTGTATCCTATTGAATCTCATGCGTTTAATATACAAGTTATAGAAAGCAGATTCAATTCAATATTACAGAACCTTTCTTAATAACTGGTATGTGTGAAGCACAGTGCTAGGCATACTTTCAGATAATAAAAGATGAGAAATACCTATCATGGCCCATATGAAAGTTATTATTAAAAGTGGAAACTTATTTGTAAATAACTACAATCATAGATCACAGACTCTAAATAAAAAATCAAGACATATTTTGATAAAGTTTTGTTATATTTCTGGCTGAAAGAGGCAGTCTGGAAATGTGGATGCTTGAAAATGTTGGAATTTTTGGATAAAACAGTAAGAAACACTTTAATCTGTTTGGTTTCCACCAGTCAAAAAGAAATCACTGCCATATGGGTGGATCACCTGAGATCAGGAGTTTGACACCAGCCTGGCCAACATGGTGAAACCCCATCTCTACTAAATATACAAAAAATTAGCCATGCATGCTGGCAGGCACCTGTAATCCCAGCTACTCCGGAGGCTGAGGCAGGAGAATTGCTTGAACACAGGAGGTGGAGGTTGCAGTGAGCCGAGATCACTCCATTGCACTCCAGCCTGGACAACAAGAGCAAAACTCCATCTCAAAAAACAAAAATGAAAAAAAATCTCTGCCACAATAAAATTACAAAGTAATGTGGGTTCCTAGAAGAAGATTTAAGAAACTTTCAAGGAGGGGACAGCATTTGATCTTGACCTTGAAGGATTTTAGCAAATAGAAAAGAGTAGGTAGGAAGGACATTGAGAAAACAAAGTTTTCATGGCCTCATTTGTCTTCATAACGAACTGGTTGAACAAAATCCTTATTGTTTATGAGCAAATAGTCCGAAGGATTTATCTACATGTGAACACTTAGTAAGCCTCTCTCTAATAGATAGAAAACATCAGTTAAAACCAAACTTATTGCTGGTATTTTTCAGTTTCCCCATTGAAAGTTCTCTGTGTCTGGGAAATCAGCTTGCCTCCTCCCTGCCACGAAACACCCTGGAGTAGCTGCAGCCACGGATCAGACTCCAGGATCTGGGTGTTCAATAGATCCTGAAAAAATTCAATTTGCTTTAGATCATATTTCAAGCCATCACAGAATTGTTTTGTAGCCCTTCTCTATTTTAATCCCCTGACTTAAATTATTGTCATTCTTTCCCTGAATTCTGATGTCTTTTTTTGGACACCTTTCTTCTGAAATCTGTGGAATTTATCTGTACTTATGACTAGTGCCACAAAGGATTTGATAGAGAAATCTAATAAGATTGTAAACTCCTGGAGGCAGAGGCCTTTCCTATTTAACTCCATTGCAGAGTTCCTAGTGCGTTGCCTGAACATGTGTTTAACAAAGGTTTTTAAATGAATGGATTAAACTCTACTGCTGAATGGGAATGATTAATCACAGTAACTAATAAGAGACAATACAGGACGAATTTCAGCAAAAGAGCTTCGTACAGACTGAATAATTATTAGAATAATCGTAAGTAACTTAAGAATGTTTTAGGGTCTGCGAAGTTGTTTTGGCTATCCTGCAAGGTCAAAGCACCTCATAAAAATGATTGATGCTTTCTGCCTTCCGCTAAGCTGACAGCCCTCATCTCACACTGCAGTTTATGGTTCCTGACCCCACATTCCGCAGCCGACCTGGAAGGGCCGTGTTTCTGTGAGCCAGCTCTGATAAGCCACCTGAAAATCTCCCTCAGAGGCAGGCAGGCAGACAGGCAGAAGGGGTCCACTTGAGCCAGCTGGCCCTCCCCTGCGCCTTCCTCAAACTTCCCCAGATTCAATCATGATGTGTGTGACAGACAACAACACTAATCTCTTCAGGAACACCCTGGAACACAGAGCTCATCTGTGCTTCTAGGCTGGATTTTGCAGAAAATGGGAGATGGCACCCAACCCCCTCCTGCGTGCCAAGAGTGTGGCTGGTCTATGTGATACCCAGGCAGCTGGCACACACTGGCACTCTCTGGGGTCACTGCAGAAGCTGGTGAATAGTGCTCCGACTCTCGAGGGGGCGTACAATCTGCATTACAATATGTGCTCCGATGCTGTGGGGAAGGAACTCACGGTGGCCCAACACTTTGTACAGGATGCCACTGGGCACAGAAGCCAGCCTCCAAGATTTGTGGTTTAACATCCACCCATAGGTCTGAGGTCCAGAAAGTTCTTGCCTGTCTGAAGGCAAGAGGACCAACCACAAGGACAGTATGTGAGAGCTGTTCAGTGGTCAGGTTTTTCCCTGCCCCTGAGAAAGCCCCCGGATGTGCCCAAGGAGCCGTAAGCTCCATTTGTAAAATGGAAGACTCCTTGCTAATTGACAGGACTGTGAATGGTGTGGCACTTTAAATTACCTTGGCATTAATTGCCTGGACAGGTTGTTCACTCAAATTGCCCTGGCTCGCTAATAACCTGAACGGGTTGGTGTTTTAAATGACCATGGCACTAATGGCCCAGGCTGGCTTCTATTTCACATCGTCCTGGCACTAATGGCCTGGAAAGGGGGCTTGCTTTGCAGATTAACGAGTGTCCTCCAAATGGTAAAGGATTATGGAAAAAGAAAGAAAAACAAGCATTTGCAAGGGAAATAAGAAATAAGTTTTGCCTCTGTGTTCTTTCCCAGCATTAGGTGCTCTGTTAGCAGGTCTGGAGCGTATGCCTTCTCCAAAAAATATTGCACTTCTAACTCCCTTTTCATTTTCTATGCTAATCCTAGGCAAACATTACCTTTTTTTTCTTACTTTAAAAAATTATATACAGTTTGTTGAAGAGGAAACAACACCTTCTCTGCTCCAGCCGTAGTTTCTCTACTTTAATTTCTGTTCATTCCTATCCCCCACTCTCACCTATCCCCAAATCATTTACTTACCAAGCATTGATTGATTTATTGATTATCTTCTATGTACCAGACCCCTGCTGAGTCCTTGAGGATAGAGATGTGGAGCCATAGACTCTGTATCTAGGAGCTTCCATTGATGTAGGAAACAGAGAGCCATTCACAAATAATTGTATTGCAACGTGATGAGCACTGTGACAGAATGATGATGCATTGGGGGTGTGAAGGGGGCTTGGAGGCTGTGAGAGGCTGAAGGATGAGATAGGCTGGAAGAACTTCACACTAGAAGTGAGTCTTGAGAAAACAATAGGATGAGCTTCTCAAGGCAAGAACGCCTTGCAGAAAGAGAATGTGCACAAAGGCAAAAGTCATGAAAAGACATGGCTGCAAACCCACAGCTCAAGAACCAGGTGTTCGGAAGGAAGGCTACTTTTCCCAAGGGAAAGGTAGGCTGGAGCTAGATTGCAAAAGCCTTGGGAAAGCAGGAAGAGTTTTGAGCAGTATTTCTGAGATGGAGTCTCCTGTAGTCAACAACTGATTGCATATGGGGTTTGACAGCGAGGAGTTGGGGGTAACTTCTAGCCTTCTGGCATTGACGACGTGGCAAATGGTGTGGCACTTCACCAATATGAAGTTTACAGGAAGGAACCAGGTTGGGGTGGAGGAGGAGGGACATTAGTATGTGATTTTTTGAGGGGAAAGATATTGAATTTTTGTTCATCTCTGTCTATTGCATTCTATCCATCTTTGGCATGCCACTGTGTTTTGAAGCAAACACTCAAAACACAGTCTTTAAGGCACTGTGAGAATTGCACATTTCATGGGAGGCCTCTTTGGATTTCATCAAGAGGACCACCCTCATCAGGCAGTGTGGGGACTTAGATCCTAAAACTAATCAGTGTAGATGGTTTGGTCCCTACAGTTACAACAGGAATAAGAGAACAAATGGAATAGAAATCCCCTCCCTCCTCCTCTGTGTTCCATTCTCGCTCATTTTCATGACAATCTGAACTTGCAGTGGCTCTCAGGGGATGGTTTAGAAGGAGGATTTTCTTTGCCCCTCTTTTCCCCTGTGATCAGGGGAGTATAGAAAGAGAAATGGTTTTAAAAAGGACAGAGTGTCTGTACAAGATTAACTATTATTGGAAACCTAAATGCTACCAATGTACTTTGACAAGGGAAACAGAAATGGAGAACTTTTTTTGTTTTTTCCACATTTTCAAGACTGACTGAATAAATGGAGAGAGTGATTGGATGAAAACAAATGGCTTTTAGAGAGTCGACTGAAGTCAATTGAATAGAGATTAATTGAGAACCTACCATTTACAAAGCCCCATGCTAGGCACTGTGGGGTATGTCAAAATGAATAAAGTGTGGTCCCTGCTGTCAAGGAATTTAATGTCCCAGGCTGGGTTACAGTCACTACACATTGTATTTAAAGCTGCTCTCTAATATAAGAGCTGGCCACAATGACCAGCCTCTCCAAAGTGAGATATAAACGTTTCTCTTTGTAGAAAAGGTACCTCCTTTTGGAGGGAAAGTTGTTCTTTCATCCAGCCATCAATAGACATAATGTTTGCTAAGTGCAGGGCACCTTGCTGGGCACGATGGGAGGTTTAAGATAGTAAGACACAGATCCTGACCTCTAAGGTTTTACCTGTGAACATCCAAAGCCCCTTAATGTCTGAGGAAAGGTATAGCAACCTCAATATTTTTGTTAAAATAAACTCTCCTAGGATGTCTTTTAACCCAAATAATGATTCTTAACAAAAACTCATAGAGTTTGGACCTAGAAGGGAGCTTAGAAATTTGATAATCTCACGCCCATTTATTAAGAGCAGACTCAGAGAGTTTAGATGATCTGCCCAAGGACACACAGGCGGTTAGTGGCTGATCCAGAACCAGGACCTAGGTTCATCCTCCTTTCTTATCTAGTGCTTGTTCTATGTAGCCCATCTCTGGTATCAGCAGATGCAGCAAAACAAAAGCAAAGTTGAAAGACAGACAGAGACCCAGGAGCATCATAAGGGATTATATAAGAAAAATCTAGGCATGCCCAGCTGGGCCTTTCTTTAGGAAAGTAGATTTGCAGCAGTCTCACCAAGGACCTCTCTTTGCCAATTTCATCAATTGCACTCACAGATATGTAAAAAAGGAAATCTTCCTGCAAAGATAGGAAGTATGAGATCCTGTAAAGTTGAATTATTGCCAAAACCAACGACAAGGTGAATAATTACAACTAATAGCCACAGATTTTTCTTCCAGAAAAACATGAAATGCTATAATGCACTTTTTCCTGATAACATCTGTAAGGTCCTAACGCTGTATGGCCTTTAGTTTGCCACCTTTCACTCAATCACTTTCATCTCCTTCAAGAAGCCTTCCCTGACTTCTTCTAGATCAAACCAGTGAGTTTAAGAGGTGATAAGAAGATGAGGAGAAGATTATGATAATGAAGCAAGTTTTCTGCTTCACAAATTTCTCTCAGATCCCTTAGAATCCTCACAGCCTGAGAATTCATGAGAGTGAATAGCCTGAGATCATTAGAGTAGATTTTATTATCCCATTTTACAGATGAAGACATTGAGGTTCAGGGTAAAGGTGGAGTCAAACCTCAAACCCAGGCTTTCTGCCTTCAAATCCCATGCTTTTTTCCTTATACAACACTGATCTCTCCCTCTCTGAACTTATATGCTAGTCCCGTGATATCTTCTGCATTTTAATTTATCATTTTTCTCATGCCTCATATCTCCAAAACTAAAGTATAAACCATGAAATACATTCCTTTGTCTCCCCAGCATCTATTCGTTGAATGAACAAGTGAATGAAATACAAATCCAAATAGCTTCACATTCAGAAGGCAACAATATATGCAAAGAAGGCAAAAGCAATAGCAGGAAAACATAGAGATCAGCAAATAGTTCGGAGAGCTGGAAATTTAGGACTCAGGATCCTCTTTCAATGTATCTTTATGTCTTTTATGTAAGCTATTTGACTGCATTTAAAAATAATCAATTCTTCAGGATACACAAAAAGGCATACTCAATTGAATTTTCCATATATGAATCTTTGAAACATCTTCCTCTAAGTGGAAAGGAATGCTTTTGAAACAAACTATTTTAGAAATTACTTGGGCCAGATGGAAACCATTGAGATGTCAGGCCACGCCAGTCTGTTGTCTCCCCCACTTGGTTTGGGTTTGTTAGTGAAGTTGTTGCATAACTAAAAAAAAAAAAAAAACTTTATAATACTTCTTAGTAATGGGCTCTGCTAGCCCCCAAAGTGGGTTCTGGAAGATCAAATTAGCTTTTGTGATAAATATTGCCATGAAACCAGTAATTAGCTTCTAATGATCCTGCATTTTTCATCGGCTGTGAAGCCATAAACAGATGAAGATTTTGGCTCCTTGGCAAATTATTTTTGACATAGATACCTGGGAAAAGAAAAAAAGAAAAGGTCTTTTGTGGTGCCCCAGGCCATAGAAGCCTGGCAAGGAGTTCATATGCTTCCCCTCCCCTCCGGGAAGCACAGCAATTTACCCACCAATATTTTTTAACTCACTCCAAAATTGTGACTGTAGGCACTGCAGGTCAAGCAAATGAGTGAAGTTTTTCTGAGTTAATCCTAAAAAAAAAGAAAAAGGACTGTTGGATCTGTAAAATGCTACACTGACCTATAAAATGAAGAAAGCTCAAGCAATAAGAAGTAAGCTCTACAAAAGCAAGAGAAGCATACCAACTCCTGACTTAGATTTTGTCTGATACATTGAGATTAAAAAAAAACCCTATAAGGATTTATTCATTTATATTATTTGACAAATATTTGGTGGATATTCTATATGCTAAGCACTGGCCTAGTTGCTGGGAGGCAAACCTAAATTAGACATTGTTCTGGAAAAAGCTACCACCCCTGCTAGGAATGTTAGGAAGACTCTCAAGAGAAAGTGCATTTACCATTAAGAACATCTTCATGAATGAGTAGGGATTGTTAGGCAAAGGAAATGAAAGTGAGCAAAATCAAGAGTGAAAGGACACACCGTTGAAAGGAACAGCAAGTGTTTCCATTATCAACCAAACTCAGGTTGGCTGTCCTGGCAGAGTAAAGCCAAAACATCCACACCAAGGTTTGCAGTGAGAGAAAGAAAGACATTTATTTGCAGGCACCAAGCAAGAAGATTGGGCAGCTAATGCTTAAGTCCCGACCTCTCTGATCACTTGCAAGTAAGGGTTTTTAAAGGCAGGGGGAAATTTCAGGAAAGCAGACATTAGGGGCAAAGTCATAAATCAATACACGGAGGTTACAAGGGTGGGCTATCTTGAAGTGGAGCTTACAAGTCATAGGTAGATTCAAAGACTTTCTGATTTGCCATTGGTTAAGGAAGAGAAGCTTTGTTTAAAATTTTGGGGCAGGGCACAGTGGCTCACACCTGTAATCCCAGCACTTTGGGAGGCCAAGGTGGGTGGATCACATGAGGTGAGGAGTTTGAGACTGGCCTGGCCAACATGGCAAAACCCCGTCTCTACTAAAAATACAAAAATTAGCCAGGTTTGGTGGTGCGCGCCTATAATCCCAGCTACTCCGGAGGCTGAGGCAGGAGAATTGCTTGAATCCAGAAGGTGGAGGTTGCAGTGAGCCGAGATTGTGTCACTGCACTCCAGCCTGGGTGAAAGAGTGAGACTCCGTCTCAAAAATAAAAATAAAAAGATAAAAATTTGGAGTCGTTAGGAAAGAATGTTAGCTCTGGCTCGTGGCTGTGACTCCCTCCAGAATCTTCAGGAAGAAATTTAGAACAAAGAATGGCGGTTAGAGTTCAGGCCTCAGTTTCCCCTTATCTGAAGTCTACAGATCCATTTGGTGGGGGTGTGGGTTTCCGAGAGACAACTCAGGGACATATGTGAAGATGTTCTCTTCAGTTTCTGTAGGGGAGCCAAACATCTCCTGACTCTAACTTCCTCGGCTACTGTTGTAGGCTACTATTACCTTCTTGCTTATCAAGTTGCTTATTTACTTCTCAGGGCTAGCTAGGTGCCTGGAATTTCCCCTGAAGGAACTCAAGATTTTCCTTTCTTCCCATGCTTGGGGACCCACACCCTCTTAGAGGGGCTTCTTGTTTCTCTCATTTCTGGTGACTGGGGCAATAGATGTGAGACTGGGGCAGCAAGCAAGTTGGGACCTGAGTTTTTGAAGCATCCATTCAGCAAAACCTGCTAACCAGTAGGTATTGCATCATAAATGTTCATGAGAACTCCATAAGTGATCTGAGAAGTAGTCACTGAGAACAGAGTCAACTCATGCTTTGCTTTCAAAAAGAATATTTCAGATTCTTCATAACATCCCATGCAGAAAGCTCGTCTATAGCTTTAACTTCTCACTGACACTCCCACAATAGGAGGGAGACCAGGAAAAAGAAGCCCAAAATAGAAACCATGGGACCCTATGCCTATTTCTCCTTCTAATCCTTTCTTCTTTTGACATATCATTTAGCCTCTCTGAATCTCAATGTATTCATTTACATGACAAATTTGAGTAGTTATTAATCTGGGTCCCCTGAGTTTCAGAGCCTTTGTGGACACCCTGAAATGTATGAAACCTTAGTGTGGGTATGAGTGTGCATCTTCCTGCAAGAAGGTCCACAATTTCCATGAGCTTTTCAAAGACTCAGAGACCTCAGTAAAACACTGAATTAAGTTATGTTTCATGTCAGCTCAAAAATTCTCTAGTTCCGTAAGTCTGTGTTTAACATAAACCCTTAGTTACAGACTGCCATATTGTCAACTTTTATAAAACTCATGGACTAGTCATTTTTAAAATAGTGCCACAGCATATGTGTGTCTATTAATCATTTGTGTGATAACAGGATCCTAAACCAAGTAACTTGCTGAAGGCCATACAAAGGATAAGGTGAACTTTTCACTTGCAAAAGAGAGTGAAAGTGGGTCCCATCTGGATGGGACCCCAGGGGAGCATGCTTAAACCAGCACTATCTAGGCAACCCCAATTGTATGGTCTTCCTATACAACAACCAGGTACTATTGTGAACCAACTGAACACTAATTCTACCCAAAATTTGAGTCAGTTCTGGAGCTTCAGGTAACTGCCTCCATATTGACGAGGTTTACATTGGCCACACTGCTCCCCAAGACTGATAGGTTTAAAAAATTCATTCTATTTTGCAACAATCAAAATTAAGGACCCTTAACAGAAGGATGTGATTGTTATTGAAGGTGGTAGACAGGAGATGGCGAGAATGTCTCTTAGAGAAGTCTAGTGAGTCACCAGGCAGGTCCCAAACGGCGACAGTAATTTGATGTGATCACCTCAAGGGATTTGCTGGTGGAGACAGAAGTGATTAGCTTCGAAGGCAAAGAATATAAAGTCATGATTCACAGAAGGAACTCAAAGGGCCAATAAAGAATATAGGAAAAATTACTCTCACTAGTAATCTGGAAAATGCAAATTAAAGCAACAAGGTGATATCATGTTCTACTAATAAGATTGGCAAAATTTAAAAATATGAGCAATAGCTAATGCTGGAAAGAGTGGTATTTTATATCTACGTACCTCTGTATTTTTAAATGAGTTGTATTCATGCAGTGTGTCATTTGGAAAAGTTAATTTTAAAAAATAAATAGAACAAAACAAAAACGAAGCACAGAGGAGAGCAAAGATAAAATGGAGGAAGAGTTCAAGAAGAACAGGAAGTAGGGGCCAGTGAAGGATGGAGTCTTTGGAAGAATGTGAGTCGGGGAGGAATCGCCAGTCACAGAGTAGCTATGGTCTCTTTGAGAAAGTGAATATATAAAATCCAACTTTAAATGTTTCTAAGTCTATGATATAAAACTTTCTCCTTCACCTCAAAATGGGTAAAGTCTGCCACTCACAAAGGCCCTGTGTAGTTGTTCTTAGAATCCTGGGAAGCAGGGGGGAAGAGAGAAGCCCCAGTCTGGAGACACAAGTAGAATCAAGAACTCCAGAAGGGCAGGAACTCGGAGGCAGAGTGACACGAGAATTCAAGCTCCTGGGAATTCACAGAAATCTTGGAGAAAGCATTGCAATCCCCAAAGAATTGGGAAAGGGCATTTGAGGCAATTTTAGCTAAATCTCAAAAACCCACATGGCCCCAGCTAATATTGGAGTCACAAATAGTTACACAGAATTTCAACAGGCCCTGTTCCACCTTGGCCTGGGAGACACTGTTTCTTTCAGATAATGTTGTCCATTTCTTCTTTAATCTGTTATACATTAAAGTTTTGCTTTAATTCTCAGAGGGCAATCTTATTTCCAAGTCCTGGGGCTCTACCTTCCTATTGTTCCCCGGTATCAACCCATAATCAGGAAGTACAAATGTATGCCCTAATTAATAGCTTTTATTCTCTGCTGCCTGTATAACTAAAATACTTGGCGAATCAACAGAATCACTTAAGGCACAAATCTCAAAGTGATTCTGTTAATTCGCCAAATTTGGGTCTTTACACTTTGCACATGAAAACAACAGCCTGGTGTTAATATAGCATCTTGAGGGCCAGACACTGTGACTCACGCCTGTAATCCCAGCACTTTGGGAGACTGAGGTGGGTGGCTCACTTGAGCTCAGGAGTTTGAGACCAGCCTAGGCAACATATTAAGACTCCATCTCTACAAAAAATCAAAAAATAAGCCAGTGATGGTGGTGTGCACCTGTAGTCCCAGCTACTTGGGAGGCATAGGTGGGAGTCCCTTGAGCCTAGGAGGTCAAGGTTATAGTGAGCTGTGATTGCACCACTGCACTCCAGCCTGGGCAAAAGAGCAAGACCCTGTCTCAAAAAAAAAAATATATATATATATGGCATCTCATAGAAGGAAGTTAGCCATGCACTTCAACATTGATATCTGGCATATTTCTAAGTTGATATGTAACAAGATGATATTGCAGGTGCAGGGCAGGATACTAGGGATATGAAAAGAATGCAGCACCATGTTGGCTTTCAAGCAGCTGACAATCCATAGTGGGAGGCAATGTACAGCTCAAGGGGGTGATGCAGACAGTAGAAGCCCCACGAGCCCAAAGACATAGTGAGAGGGACAGGTCTGAGTCAGGCTGGGCTGCCTTATCCTCTTTGTGTCAGACACCCTCCATTGGCCTCATCTGCCCTGCTCCATTCTCCGCCCTTTACTGTGGCCCTTGAGACGGAGACTTATGGACTCTATCACCCAGGCCCATGTGCCCCATGGCTACTGGTTGGGCTCCTAAAGGAGGCACACCGCTAAGCACCTCTGCGTGTTTCTTCCCTGTTGCCTCCTTCCTTCGACACCGCGATTCCAGCAGAATGAGTGTTTCTTCTCCAGGTTTTACCTCCATGGCTCAAGCTGCCCCTGGGGCTCCAATCACACAGTTATCTCCTCCTTGTTCCTTCAGACCTAGAGGTGGTCAGGCCTTCTCCATTTCTCATCTCTGGGTGTCTTAAAACCTCTTGTTGAGTTTCTCAACCTGCTCGCACCTGTCAGTAAAGCCTACACTAACGTCTCTTCAGTTGAACCATCTGAATAGAAATCCAGTGGACACGCATTGAAACAAACATTGATTTCTCATCTGTGCTGTATGTCCATCATGGGTTAGCAGGCAGCTCTGCTCAGGGTCTAAGGCTGATGGACGCCCCAATATCTTAGCACAAGGCTTCCTCAGCTGTCACAGCAGGAGAGAGAACTGGAGGGCCCTCAGTGCTTCGGCCAGGAAGCGATGCATATCATTTCTTTGCACAGTCCACTGGCCTCTGAAAGTCATGTTTCCAGACACACTTGATTGTAGGGGGCTGGGAAATGTAGAAGAGCAGAAGAGTATCTGGTGAGCAATAAATGCCTCTCTCCTCCACCCACCATGGTCTAAAAAGGGATGTGGCCAATTCCACTCTGGAAAGGACACAGTTGCAGTGGAAAGTAAGTCTTCAAGGATTTGGAGAAATATGGTTGAGAAATCCTTGCTACTTGTAAACATGTTCATGAGCATACTTCCATATGTTCATATAATATATAACTCTGGTTGTGATGTGCCAGTAGCTGGTAATGGTGGCTTTTACAAAACCATTTTCCAGAGCTATGGCTGCTGTGGATTCTGAATTTTTGAAGATAATACTAAGAGCTTGTTTAATATTGCTGGGAGGCTTTACATCTCAAAAATAAACATCTCTAACTTCATAATTTTGTCTGGGAATAGCCCTGATTATAGCCTTATAGTTATTATTCTCACCAACCGCTACAACTCTTTAGGGGGTGATAATCCTGGGTAGAGACAGGTACAGTAGGCCTGAGATGACTTTATGTAGTAGAGAAACTATCCCCATAGACTCATCTCTTCTCTCCACCCCCAAGGAACAACTGAAAGGAAAAGAATCAAGTTCACTCTGTTTTCCCCAAAACAAGAGTTTTTAGTTCAGCATAACAATTATAATTACAGAATTGTCGATATTCATGCAATTATTCAGCAAATATTTATTGAGCTCCTATTGAGTGTCAAATGCCAGGCAAAGCTTTACACACTGAAAATACAGCAGTAAATGAGCAGGCACAGCCCTCCCCTCCTTGCCCTCCCAAGGAAGATGGGCATTAAATAATGAATCACACAGTCACCTTTTTAGGTTACAAGTATGACAAAAGCGACAAGAAGAAATGCAGAATGAGATATGAAAAGTAGGAGGGTAGTCCCAAGACACAGAAGTCAGGGAGGTGGCAGAATGGAATACTTGGTTGACTTCTATCCTGAAATGACCATAGATTTTCAGAGAGGCTAGGAAGAGGCAGGAGGGACTAAGGCTTGAGGTAGTCTTAGTGCTCCAGGATATTTACATGTTGAAAAGCATGCACCTACATAGTCCAAAGCCTTAGCCCTATCGGTTAGTTACTAGAGTTTCCCAAATCCAAAAAAAGAATTTTAGTAGTATCATGGCCAAAATCTAGACCTCCTAACAAATGTGGGAAACTCTTTTGTTTGAACTGAGCTCTGTCCATCTCTACTTGGTCAGGACCAGTCATGTTGGATTGGCTGGCAAGGCAGTTCTCCAGAAATTTACTTGCCTGAGAAACAAGGCCACTAGCCTTCTGCAAAGACTTCTTCATGGAAGACAGAGTCAGACAGATATTTTTTTTTCTTTCTGATAGTAAATCTTCCAGCATTGGAAGAGAAAGGTGAGAACTTAGAGGAAAGAAAGAAATGTAAACAAAAACTAAAATGTTGATTTGTATTTTTACCAAAACACCTCTCCATCAAGACCCTGGCAAAGCACTGTACAAAAAGGGAAAGAGGTGTCCCACCTTCCAAAGTAGGAGAGGCCACAGTACGCTATGGCATGGAGAGGGCCTGTGGGGCAGTGCCTGACAGCCACAGCACAGCCCCACGACCACAGGGCCCTGTTGGGGCCACTGTGCTACTGAAGTCATCGACAAGGCAGGTCCGTGCTCCTTCATAGGAAGCAGAAGTCCTGGCAGCAGATATCAGTGAAGGGAGCCAGAGTAGATAAGAAAAATAACTGATG
The DNA here is from genome assembly GCF_000001405.40 of Homo sapiens. NCBI lineage: Eukaryota > Metazoa > Chordata > Mammalia > Primates > Hominidae > Homo > Homo sapiens. Next base: position 24,820,340 of record NC_000018.10, on the reverse strand, counting down.
GAGCCCGCCTGGTAGACAGGCACTGTTCATGTGGGGTGAAACCTCCTCAGGGCCCCCCAAAAATAATCTGAGGGGATTTTGTGAAGTATTGAGTAACCTTCAATAGTAAGTAAGGAAAATGTCTGAAAAACGCAGGTAATTGGAAATTAAGATTGTGGATGATAAGTTCGCTGATAACCTCACAAAGCTCCTTTGGGTCAGAATTGTGCAGTGATGGGATTTTGGCTATCTAGATACCCTACTGAAAAGACGAATCAGCAGGCCAAAATTCTCAAATCAGGGTTTGGAGGGTATCCGTAAATTTTCTACCGTGGAAGTCAGAAAAAGCCAAATGACCAGAAACCAGACAAGAATCTAAAAATCGAGGGAGAGAAAGACAGGGAGGGAGGGAGGGAGGGAGGGAGGGAGAGAAAGAGAGAGAGAGAGAGAGACTGCAGAAGCAAACATAAGAAAGGTCAGACCCCTGAATTGAAGGAAAGGAGAGAAGTCAGCAAATACAGACAATGATCTTTAGGAGATCCATTTTTAACATGCTCGTGGGCCTAGCAGGAGGACCAAAAATGGGAAGAAAGGCTGAAAGACAAAGGGATCGGAGGAGCTGGATGCTCTTCAAGCAAACAGACCTGCAGGCACTGGGACAAGCCATACCAAGGTGTGAAGGGACCAGAAGACAGCAAGATGCCAAGTTGGCTGCACACAGATCCCTGCAGAGACCTCAGAGACAAATAGGGCCAGATTGCTACGGAGGAGCTTAAAGAAATAGCGTGATTATATAGGGACAAGGAGACTGATTTAAAAGAAAACTTTCCTAGAAATAAAACCTTTCCCTGGAAACACTCAGCTGAGCCCCTTTCAAATGTGACTGAGCCTGAGGCCATATGAGAAGGGGGTCTGAGACCCATTCCCACCTGCCCCTGCCCCTTGGAAATAGGGTAGGATGTGCCGCTCTGGAGATGAGGAGCTGGCCCCTGCACGGGCTGTTTGCACTGGCACAAGTACCAGCTCACCCCTTGGGCACAAGCTGCTCTCACTTCCTTTCTGAATGTCAGGGCTCTTAACTGTAAGCAACAGAAACCAACGCTGATCAAGTTAAGCACAAAGTTTGGTTCTTAAAATATTGATTAGTTCACAGGCACACTAGGATGCCTGGAGAACCACATGTGGGGGATTATGTCCCAAATCCCAACACTGAACTCTTGCAGAGAGGAAATCTACCACCAAGACCCTAAAGCTGCTAGCCACAGTGGCTCCAGGAATCCTAATGTCCTGCAAGCAGAATAAGGGGTTCTTCAAGGACCCTGATGCTGGAAAGGACAGTGTCCATGTCCTAGCAGGGAAACTGGGAAGGCAAGCTGTTGGCATTTTCAACTTCAATTGTAGAAGGCAGTTCCGCATCCCATGAGAATCTATACAGTGGTGGCTCCCCGAACAGAGGACAGGCTTTCAGACACAGAGGGGCCAAAAAGAATGACAAGCGTTCCTCCATAGTGACACCCGGCCTCATTTGTGACAGGAAAGGTCACATCCATCTTGTCATTTACCGACATATCCCAGCTCTGCCCACCTCCTCCCACCTATTCACCTCCCCAGTACTTAGCGCTTTTCTTAACCATCACACAGTTTGGAGTGAGGCCTTAGTGGCAGCTGAGCAATTCTCCCTCAGTCGCCAGGAGGATATGGGGGAGGGCCAGGGAGGGAGCGAGGAAGGGAAGCTGTCTCTCCTCTGTGCCCAGGAGGGCCCGTGGCTTCTGCCCTCCCTAGCTTGAAGGGGAGGAGACATGGTCCGGGAACATTCCCCAAAGTACAACTGTCCATCTGTTACACTTGGATGTAATGGGGGTGTTCTTTTTTTTCTTTAATCATTTTGCTACATTTTACTGGTAGCTTCCATGCTGTTTAAGCAGGTAATCATCTAGTCCTTAAAAACCCTGGCACGATTTATCAGAGAGTCTGCTTGGCTTTCTAATGAGTGATCATAATAGCTGTGCTTGCTGGTGGCTTCTTTTTTTCATTTTCAGATTTATCAAGGTCTGATTTAATTGCCATAAACAAGGAAAAACAAGATCAAATTAACAGATGAAATCATAGGGTTTGGCGCTGATACATATTAATGAGCTCTTACTTTTGTGATCTGGCTAATAATGACCCCAGACCTTGATAAAATTAGCCGAAAGGAAAACAAACATATCAGGGCACTGCAGTGCTGGAACGCTTCTAGGCTGAGAAGCCACCAGATGCAAACAGAGGCTTCATCAGAGGGGGTGGGTCAGGGGTGGAAAAGGGGTCTGTAGGACAAACGGCCTCCCTCGTCCCCATGCCTGAAACTGTGTCCCCTTCAGGCTAGACAGTGCCTGCCAGTGCTGTTAGTGGCCCAGCCATGCCAGCTCCCCATGCCCCGCAGACACCCACACAGCCTGGTGGTGCTTGGATCTGAGAAATCAGACACAATATAAGGCACTCCTCGGTGGAATTCTCTTCAGTCCTTTTAACAGGCTTGAAGCATTTTACATCCATAGGAAAACCACCTTTGAATTAGTGGTTTTGTTCTCTGAATTGGGCTTTGTATTTGCTCTAATCAAATTCCCTCTCACCCAGATAAGCATTAAATGTGGATCACATCATAGGCAGACACTTGCAACTCCCTGCCCGCTCTTCTCGGGGAGGACAACTTGCCTTTGTTATGGAAATATTTCTCCATGGTGAGCCCACTCTGGGAAACCATGCACCAGCCACAAACACCCTTTCTGCCCCTGGGTTTGCAAGTCTTCTAGACCATGCGACTTTAGCGAGGAGTCTGATTTGGGATGAGAGTTATATTTCTACAGAAACACATCATCAGATTTTTAAACAAGCACCTGGGCGGCAATATTGGGAGGAGGTTAAGGATACAAGCTGGGAGTCTGAGAAACAGGCTCTGCATCCCCACCCGCCTCCAGCTGGGTCACCTCAGGCAAGTCCTTTAACCTGCTCAGCCTCACTTTCTCCATCTGTACAATGGAGGTAATAAAAATACCTACTCCCAAGGGTCACTGACAATTGAATGAGGTAATGTATATAAAGTGCACAAAACAGTTCCTAACCCATAATATGTACTAGAAAATTTCTTTACTGCACATGTTTTTCTCCCCATAATAAAATCTCTAAGTAAATATTCTTAAAATAAGCCTCTCCATTCTCGTTGATGGTGTGGAGCTGTGGTTCTCAAGCGAGGTCTTCAGACTAGCAGCATCAGCACCCTCCTGGAGAAACTTGGAAGAGCAAATTCTCCAGTCCCACCCCAGACCCCCTGAATCAGAGGGTGGGGCTTGGCCACCTGCATTTTTAAAAGCCTGTCAGGTCGTTCTGAGGTATGCTCAAGTTTGAGAACCACTGGTACAAGGAAAATACGGGAGGCGAATGTTGCCTATAAATTTCACCTGCTCAAATCCCTGCTTTTAAAATTGTTGGATGCCAGATACGGTGACTCATGTATCTGTCATCTCAGCACTTTGGGAGGCAGAAGCAGGAGGATCACTTGAGCCCGGGAGGTTGAGGCTACAGTGAGCTATGACTGCACTCCAGCCCAGATGAGAAAGTGAGACCTTATCTCTTAAAAAAACCAAAATATTGGCGATTTTATATCTATATCTATATTTATCTATATACCTATTATTTATTTATATTAAATATCTATATTTATATATATCTATATTTACATAGATTTATTTATATTTATATTCATTGGGTTGACGTTTACAAAAGTGGCTTCAACACCTATTTGATGTATAGTCAAAATGATACAAGCATGAAAATGAAATGAGCCACAGTCTGCTTCTCTTCCTCTGAGCTTATTCAAAAGCAAGTTTCAGAGAACGTTAAAACTTCACTTTGGCCCCCTCAGTCCCAGAGAAAAGAATCAATGAATCACAGCTCTAATAGAAGAGGGGCATCTTTGGATAAATCAGAAAGACAGGAAGCTACCTCACCATGACTCTGTTGGAATTGTGGAAAGATAAAAGCAAAAAACCTGGGGAAAATGCAAATCTTTTTATCCCAAATGTTCCAGCCAATAGCAATGATAAACATGGGGGAAATTGCAATTTTTATAAAAGTACATTCTAAGGTTATAATCCTTTTGTGGGGTTTATCTGCACAAAAGATGGGTTTTATAAATGGATCAACTTTGCCAATCAGGACCTCAAATGTAAAATTTTATTTTTCATATATGTTCCTGGAAAATTTGTAGGTTCTACCGAAAAAGATTTGCAACCTAAAGAACCAGAAATTTGCTCTAGGCCATGATTTTGTTTGCAATGTTTTCTGATTGTAAGATACTTTTGTTTCAGAGGTGGCATTATTATTATTCTTAATGAAATAAATGAATATTTATCTTAATAATTAGTCAAAAGTAATGCTTTCTTTTTTTTTTTTTTTTTTTTAATTCCCAGAAAGTGCTGTGGAGCCTGAGGCAGACAATGACACTTTGGGGCTATCTGCAGATTTTACATCTTGAATTACTTGTCCCCAACACTTGCAGCAAAAGTTCCTTTCAGGAAGGTTTGGCAATGATTATATTCCCTCACCAGGGTCTGACATCTGTCAATTCTATTACACTGTATAAGCTGTGACTGCTTTAGAGAGGTGAATTTTGGCTAGTGGAATGGGTCCCATGACTGCCTAGTTATATCTCTTGGATTTAAAATCCTTTAAAGATTAGAATTTCTCTGGATTGCAGAACAACGTGTGTAAAAGTCATTCTCTCTATCTCGATGTTAGCCGAAAACTGTTTTTTACCGGTGATTGTAGTCTGTTGCAGGACTGTTTTAGCTTAGCTTCCCTTTTATATTTTAGAATTTCTTTTGATTTCAAATTTAGTATTACAACTGCATTAGCATAATTAGGGTCCAAAGACAACATCCTGACAATATAAATTCATATACGACTAGGCTTTTATTAATTTGGCAATCCTGGAAATCCTGTTGATGTTCAGAGTTCAATATTTTTCTCAAAAAAGAAAGAAAATTAGGCAGTGGTGGTATACAGTTATTAGCCACTGAACAGCTAGATTCTCTCCAGTTTCTAAGACCCTGGTGGATAAGAATTAGGCTCAAGAAGACACATAGAATAGATCCCTGTGACCCATTTAGGCCTAGACTAGGGACCCAGTTAGCGAATAGTACTGGGAATCAAAGACATAGTGTAACAGGCAGTGAGTGGTTAACAACAAACACAAGAATATGAGGTAGGGCTGTAGATTATGTACTTGTAAAGGGCTGACTTAAGATGAAGAAGGAAAAAAAATGCAAATTCCGTGACAACCTCCCCCATTTACTTTCCTTTCCTTTGTTAAACTTAAGGCAGAAAAATGCAGCGGTCAAGTATGGGGGTTGTGGAATCCTACAGACACAGATCCAAATCTTGCTTTATTCTGTTATTTGCCAATTGTGCTTTATTGGGCAAGTTACTTAACTCCTCTACGCTTCCATTTTGTCATCAGTAAAGCTAAGAGAATAATAGCACCTACCCCTTGTGAGAATGAACTAAGTAACGGCTTGGTGCAGAATAAGCACTCAATTAGCACTATTATTCTATTTCCACGAAGTCCTGCTTTCAGTTAAGTTATGAATGAAGTACACAGAGTGAGCCAGGAAAGCAACAAAGCAAGGGGGTTGAGAGAGCTTCCTGGTAGAAGTGCTAAGCAGAGATTTGCTGGCTGCCTCTTTGTTTTTCATCACAACCTTGTCATATGATTTTCTGAGGGTTTTTCCTCTTCTTTCCTGCATCATAATGGTAGGGAGAATAATGGCCCTCTAAAAGTGGCTCTATCCTAATACCCAGAACCTGTCAATATGTTACCTGATGCAGCAGAAAGGACTTTGAAGATGGGATTAAATTACCAATTTTGAGACAGGAGATTATCCTGGATTATCAGAGCATACCGATGAGATAACAAGGTCCTTATAATAGAGAAACATGAGGATGGGAGTCAGAAGAGACGTGGCAACAGAGGCAGAGTTAGGGATTTGAAGATGCTATGCTGCTGGCTTTGAAGGTGGAGGACGGGGCCATGAACCAAAGTATGTGGCAACCTCTAGAAGCTGCAAAGGGCTTTTAAACAAGGGGGAAAGAGTTTTTAAAAGGAAGAAGGAAATAGATTCCCCATTAGAACCTCCAGAAGGGAGCACAGCCCTACCAACATATAGTCTTAGCCCAGTGAAACCTATTGCAGACCTTTGACCTTCAGAACTGGAAGATAACAAATTTGTGTTGTTTGGAGCCAAGTTTGGGGCAATTTGTTATAGCAGCAATGGGAAACTAATCCAAGGGGACAATGTTGTGTTGCTACACTCCAGGAGAGAACTAAAAAGAAAATCGACTCTTGGCCCATTATAACCAACAGGCTGATTTGTTTATTCTAGCAGTTCTGTAGACTGCTCCATTTTGACCTTCAAAGAATACGTAGCAAAGGTGAATTTTTATTTAAAAGTGAGTGTGATTCACTCAGCAGAAATAATTATGTTTCGGAGGAAGGAAGTGTCTGGGTTTCATTTTAAAGATGGTGGAGGAAGGGAGTTGGAGGAGGGCCAGTATTAAATCTTGTTTTTTATATCATTTTCAATGAATGAACAGTGATGTTCAAAAGAGGGAGTTACCAGAATACAGTCAACCCCTATCTGTCACGGAGCCTTTGCATACACAGTAGGTCAGAATGGGTTGAAAACCTCCAACAGAGCAAGCTAAGGAACATCATCTTGATTTAAGGCTACGCCTCCGTCCCTAGGGGTGGCAGTCATGGTGCAATTGCCCAGTTGCCCCATGTTATGGCTCAATCTCACTTTCAAGACCCTTTTGTTTCACTGTGAACACATCTTTACTCTCCTGCCTGAATCGGAGTCACCTGACTTCCATACATTTCATGACTACTCATGATTTTCATATTAAATTCTCTTTTTATAGGGAAAAAAAGCTTTGCCAAAGATGTAATCTAGGACTTTTAGGCAAGGTCTAAAGAGCATACCAAATTGACGGCTTGAAAACTGAGCCCCAAGTAATAGAATGAACCCCCAAACAATAGACCAGATTCAGTTTTTACAAAAAAGGAAAAAAATTAATCCATGAAACACAGGGTAAGTGATCAGTTTGCCCTGTTAGATACAACCACACACTACCAATCTGTAGCCCATAAGAATAAAAATAAATTGTATCAATTATACATTATCTAGTAAATAAATAAAAACAGTCTGAAATAAAATTAACAAATACATAAATTATCCCACCTACTAGTGCCTGGTGGGCCCTCAGTCAAAATGTGTTTGTCTTTTTATAAAATTATTTTCAGAAGGCAACGACTCACAACTTTGACAAAACAGGCAGATGTCCACCAGAAAACACCAAAGAATGTGGTGATAGTACACATTTATTTAACAAATACATAGTAAGCACCTATTGCATGTTGTGTGGGCTCACTTTGGAGACCAAGTCACATCCTGAGACTCTCTCTGCTTCTTCCCTCCTCTGTATGCTCATTCTTCAATTCCCAAATGGTAAGCAACCTTCCTCACAGGTCCCTGCCTCTGCACGTCTCCCCATGGGTGCCACAGTTTCTTCCTAGTCATTTGTGATGATGTTGGAAGTTCAAGGAAACCCAACTCACAGAGAGAAGAGGGCAGAAGGGCCTCCTAACCATCAACGAGAGTGTGATGCAGCTGGGAGGCCCTCCCCTAGGACACCCAGCACAGCAAGTGCCCCACCCCATCTGTAGGTCTCTGCTGCTACCCCCGACATAGGATTCCAAAGAAAGATCCAGACAGTGGTCACGTGCAGATTTGCCTGGGCCTGGAAAAGTCTCTGGGCAAGTGGAAGACAGCCTGGTTTTAGAAATGTCCTCAAGAATGTAGCTATGAGGGTTCACATCAAGAAGCAAGGGGAGAAAGGCAAAGAGAAAAATAGGTCGGGTAGGTGGGGACTGCATGGGATTTGTTCAAGACCAGATTTAAAACATTCTGCTCTTTTTTGAACAACTTACTTTGTAATCATTGCCTTGGCTTCTGGCCCTCTCTCATTTAACCTCATCTGCCTGACTTTAAATTCATGGAACAGATTTTCCCTGCCTTGGACTCCAAGCAGTTGGCTGGCGGAGTGTTCTTGGATGTTACCAAAAAAAGGTATTTGATACCATTAATCATACTGCCATATGTAATAAATTGGCTGCCTATGGTACATCGCCTAAAATTGTCACATGGTTCCAATCAGAGTTCTGCCAACTGAAAGTGGTTACTGGAAACTTTGACTCTCCCTTTCAGGCACGCCTTCCCTGTGTTCCACGGACCGGTCCTGTTTGCACTGCACGTTAATAACCTGCTGGCTCAACATCTGCACAAAGGCCAGTCCTTTCGAGGATGCATATGTTTGGGGGTGCTGCTGTGCAAGCAATAACCTGCTTGGTATCAACATCACATCTTTACAGTCAGCCTTTGACAGCCAGGCAGGGACTCAAAGGCTAATCCAACGCATCACCTAATTTGTGGTTTTGCATCTGCCTCCACCCTGACTCTTTTTTAACCTTCTCCTTCGCCCCATATACATGTATATGGAATTTAGCAGAGCAGTGTCCATGTCCTCTGAGGAGAATCCTGCTGCCTGGATTCATCTCAGCCCAGGTGAGAAGTATCTGCCACATCGCAGAAAGGACGCCCCAAATTCATTCATTTAAGAACCATTTAGGTGGACAAAGCCCCACAATTGTTGGCAGTACCAGGCCATCGTGCTCCTGGCTTTCATACATTACATTTACAAGTTGTTGGATTTGGGTTTCTTTGTTTGTTTCTCTCCATCTTTTTTCTCTAGTACATTCATGAGAATCTGGATAAAATTGTAATGAACTCACCCGTTTCCCCCAAATCGGATTGTTGTTTGGTTTGGTTTTGAAACTTTGAAAAACCTTTATGAAAATGTTTTGGAATTTGAATCCATTTTACTCAAAATGGAAAGTACCATCTGTGTGTTTTAAGTAAATTTTTGTGAGTACCTACACATACCATGACCCTTTCTAGGTATTTGTGTGGGTGTGAATGTGTGTGCACATGTGTTTCTTCTTTGTGCACATCTGTATGTCCAGATTCCAGCTGGGGCCAGGTACTGAAATCCTGAAATACAGTTTTTGTCTCAATTCCAGCAGCTCTAAAACAGGAAGTACAGGAAATCTTAGCCACCCCTCCCCCATCCTGGAAAAAAGTTCTACTCTCATGAAATTTGCAGCCTGATATTTGCAGGCCCAGGAGGTTCAGGCAGTTTGGGTAAGGTTCATATAAACATCCCTGCCACCAACTGAAACCCATAAATAAGGCCTTGAGAGACGGGGGGAAAAACAAGATCCCTCCTTTTTTCACACATCTATGTCTTTTATCTTCGGTAAGACCTTGTGCAGTGGAGCAAGAGAGCATTTGGGGAGAGTCTGAGCAAAAATTAATAGATGGCCTTAAAAATAAGAACTCTGAGTGAAAAACAGAGCTAGTGGTGTACTCAGGCTCACAGAGACCCAACAAAAGTTCCAAAGTCCCCACGAGGAAGGGAAGGTCTGGCATCCCCGCTGCTTTGGCGAAGTGCCGGAAAGATGACGATCCAGGGCTCTGTTGATCTCAGTCATTCCCATATAGGTGGTACGGTGCAAATATAACAAGTTTGACCTTTGGTTCCCAGAAAAACAAATAATAAAAGTGAACTAAATGGCAAGTTCTGAAAAGAGTTAGAGGTTACTTGCATATCCCCTGAATCGGCAATGCTCTGGAGACCCATAAAAATTCAGTATTACACCCCACTGTGCAAAGGATTTTCCCTCCATTGGCTACAGTGAAAAGTTCAAGTCTAAATATTCATCACTTGTATATTCAGGAGCTTTGTTCCAGAATTCTGGTTTGAGGATGCAAAATGACCGCATATCTTTATTAATTGGTTTGTGTTTTGGATTGACAAATAGGTTGCCCTCACAGAGCCTGAGACACACCTCATTTAATCAGTCTTTATTGAGCATGTGTTGAAATTAGCAATGGGGAACAGAGAAAAAAAAATCTCTGCCCTGGAAGGTCATATAGTTTAGTTAAAACACATACATATCAAATTATTTACTATAATCTTATGTGTTGGTTTAGTTTTTGTTTACTTTTCATAAAACTCTTTTAAACAAATTTTAATTCTACTGTATTGTAGGAACTACAGGCTTTTTCTGACAAGTTGGTGAGTGTCTAGTTGAAATAGTTTGTATCCATGGTCAGGGAGCCATAAATGTTGCTAAAGATTCAACAGTTGATGGGAGGGAATAGGCATGTGCACTGTTAAGAAGGAAACAACAAAAGATAAAAACTGATAAGATGAAAAAGCAATCTGGGAACTCTTCTAAATGGGCAGAATCCTCATGTGGGACATTGATGTCACAAGTGGTCTTTTCTCCTTTGATTGTGTAGTAAAGGGTTACCAGGAAACCAAAGAGAATGGCACAACCTGTTTGCTGATTAAGGAGGCAAGTTCAGAGTGTCATGTGAAGCGGACTACAGCCCAAGTTGGGTGTGCCAACCATTTATTCCTGGGATGTAACTGGCAGCTGAGGAAGATCACTTTGGCAAGCCTGTGCCAAGGGGTCATATAATTACACAAGGAGAAACCTTACTCCAAGACAAAGTTCAGGAAGAGTTAAAAGGAATACCTCAATCAAGCAGAGGTCAGCAAATGTTTTCTGTAAAGGACGAAATAAATACTTTAGGGTTTGTAGCCACATAAGGTCTGTCACATTAATCTTGTGTGTGTGTGTATGTGTGTATACAGTGCCTTAAAAATGCATAAAACATTCTCAGCCTGAGAGCCTTACGAAAACAGAACACAGGTCGGATTTATCCCAAAGGCTAGATTTGTCCTGCAGGTGGTAATCTGCCAACCCTGTAAACTTCCATTTAACAAACATTTGTTGTGCACCTATTACGTGTTAGGCACTGTGCCAAGAGTGGAGCTATCTAGACACATGGTCTGTCCCTGTCATCAAGCCGCCTCTAATTTAATATGCTTTTGCAATTCAACAGGGAGCATATTAAGCTGTAACTGAAATACTAACAGTTATCGTGTAAGATACCAAATGGCACCTCCATACAATTAGCTTCTCATCTTCATCAGGGCTTAATCATATTGGTATCTCTGTCAGCTAACACATAGAAGGATCTCAAAAACTGTGTGTTAAAAATGTACCAATGTTTAGCTGAGATTTTATTTTCTTTAAACACTTCCTATGTAAAGTCCTTAACTATAATATTTGGCAATATGGTTTAACAAAGCTTTTTTTTAATTGAGGAATTTACTAAAGCATTTTCTTTTCTAAATTGTACCTTCCACTATGTAAACCCTTTGCTTATCCCACATCTTGTCACTAGAATACATTTACAGGTACAATGTGCATATGCAGATGTAGGTAAGATTCATAGCTTTTATAAATTGCAAATTCAATATTTTTGTATCAGTTCTAAACTTTCTATTCACTATTTACAAGCCTATAAGAAACCAAAACTTGACTTCCTGCTGGCAAGAATTGGAAAAAAAAATCAAAACTATTGTATAACATTTTTAAACCATACTGCAAGAGTGCAAGAGTATACACTCTTTCCTTAAAACACAGTCATCATTCACAGATCAGACATGCGCTTATGCTGAGACAGATGTGATTCTATTCACTTGGGGACAGGTGGTTTATTTATTCCTTCTCTAGCACTCCGCTTCTGACCTATATTATTTTCTGTCTGCTGAAGAACTTTTTTTTTTTACCACTTCCTGCGGGGCAGGTCTGTTGGTGATAAATTCTCTCAGTTTTTGTTTGAGGTCTTTAGTTCTCCTTGACTTTTGAAGGATAATTTGCTGGATATAGAATTCTAGGTTGGTGGTCTGTTTCATTCAACACATTAAATGTTCCATTCCTCACTCTTCTTGCATTCATGGTTTCTAATGAGAAGCTTATTGTATTTCTTATCTTTCTTCTTCTATAGATAAAGTGTTTTTCCCACTTCTTACTTCTTTCAAGATTTTCTCTTTGTCTTTGGTTTTCTGCAGTTTGATTATGATAGGTCTTGGTGTGGAATTTTTTTTTAAATCCTGGATAGTGTTCTCTGAGCTTCCTGGATCCATGATTTGATGTCTATCATAACTTTGGAAAGTTATCAGCCATTATTACTTCAAGGATTTTTTCTACTCTGTTCTCTCCTTCTTCCCCTTGGTGTGTTACACCTTCTAAACTTGTCCCACAGTTCTTGGATGGTCATTTTTTTTTGTTGTTTTTAATTCCCTTTTCTGTTGTATTTCATTATCTTCAAGCCCACTGATTCTCTATCAACTCTGTGCTGAGTCTACTGGTGATCTCATTGAAGGCATTTAATTTTCTTATGGTTTTTTTATTTCAAAAACGTCCTTTTGATTTTTTCTAAGACTTTCTATCTCTTTTCTTATATTACCCATCTTTTCTTACATATTGTTTACTTTTTCCATTAAAACCCCTAACACAGTTATTTAGATTCCCTGCCTGATAATTCTAACATCTGTGTCATATCTGAATCTAGTTCTGATGATTACTTTGTTTTTTCAAACTGTGTTTTCATTTGCGTTTTGGCATGCTTTGTAGGTTTTTGTTAAAAGCAGGACATGTTATATTGGGTAAAATGAACCCAGATAAATAGGCCTTTAGCCTTGAGGATTTGTGTTAATCTGTCTGGGAGTTGGGCTATGTTTAATGTTCTCAGTAGCCGTTAGCTCCAGAGATTCAAATTCCTGTAGTGTCATTTTTGTCTTTCCTCTTGACCTTGGGCTTCCCTAAGTACTCTTCCTCAGAGAGAGCCTGTGTCCTGCAGCTCTTTCAGCTGTCATCCACTGTTACTATGCTGGAGCCCTGCTGATACGGTGGTAAAGTGTCCAAAAGGAAGTGTTTAATAATCTCCCAATTAAATCTCAATCTTTTAGTGGGTTTGTATTTGGGGGCTGTGACCTTCATAAGTGTTTCTCCCACGGTATCGCTTTTTTCTCATCTGATCTGTATTCCTTTCTCTGGATGCAGTGTTCACAGTCTATTTCCTTGAAAACATGACCTCTGTTGACTGTTCTTTGTCGCCCCCACATCTCCTCAGGTGAGACAGGAAGGCTAGAGGGTGCTAGAATGGGATGAATGCCCCTCCTCAACTGGGATAAGGCTCTATCTAGTAAAGTCTTTTTTCCTAAGGAGTAGGCCTTTGTTATAGAGAAGTCTCTTTGTGTCTTCCTTCCTTCCTTCCTTTTCTTCTCTTCTCTCTCTCTTTGTCTCTCTCCCTCTCTTCCTTTGAGACAGAGTCTCACTCTGTCACCCAGACTGGAAGACAGTGGTATGATCACAGCTCACTATAGCCTCGATCTCCCAGGCCCGAGTGATCCTCCTACCTCAGCCTCCTAAGTAGCTGGAACCACAGGTACACACCATCATGCCTGGCTAATTTTTTTATTTTTTTTTGTAGAGATGGTATCTCCCTATATTGCCTCTTTGTGTATTTCATAATAATTTTTCTTCTCGTATTTTGTCCAGAACCCTGAGGGAATCTTTCCCAGATCTTAGCTGTGAGAACCTGGTAGGGTCCCTGGAGATAAAGCCCATGAAAGTGAGAGCTTCCCTCAAGACTGCAATCCCCAGGAGCTTCTCCCTCTCTAGCTAGTCCACACTCAGCCTCTAGGAATTCACCAGAATGAGCATTTGAGTGTTCTGACAGCTTACAGCTCCAGCAGCTTTACTCCAGGTACACAGATCTCAGATGTGCCTCTCTGGATATGCCTGTCTCTCCAGGTTTCAGGGTTGAGGTATACCCTGCACATTCAGTTCTTTGATGAGTACAAGAAATGTTATTGGTTTTCCATTTGTACAGTGTTTTCTTGTTGTAAGGATGGAAGTGATAATATCCAAGTTCTTTACACATCAGAACTTAAGACAGACAGGTCTTTCTGGGTCTCCCCACTCAGTCGAATAATGTTAGATCATACCTTTTGTTCAATCATGTTTCTACACAGCTGTCCTGTTCATACTTTGTTGAACGTAAGCATAAGAAAGGACAATTTGCCCTATATATTTGGGTCCTCATTCCATGTACACATTAAATAAATTTGTATTGATTTGTTTAAATAACAAAATGTTGTAATGAATAGATATGTGAGCAGATAAACAAAAATAGAAAAATGTCCCCTCGAATCAGTCTCAAAGTTGAACTTTTCTTTGAAGGCTACAGACCGGGACGGAAGTCTCAATGCCAATTAATTGCAGAAAACTATCTAAGAAGCAAGTCAACAGGGTCAACATGACATAGAGTAATAATAAATGTTTTATACTTTTTGTATAAAATTATATCTTCACATATAGGAGAATATGATTGTGTTAAGGTATGATTTCAACTCTAAATCTACTTAGTCATAAGATTTCATACCCAGAAAGCACATCACCCTCCTCATCAAGCAGTTATCAAGCACCTACTATGTATTAGAATTATTGGGTATTCATAAAGGATGTGATTGGTGAGCCTGAGGGACTGGAATACTAGCTAGAGATGAATTAAAAGATTAAATAACAAAATGTACATAAAAATAATGAATTTTCATATATTGCTAAAGGGTGGTGGAAAGGGATTCAACTCTATGTTTGTTGGAGCCTGTGGAAAGCATTCCCTTAACCCTCTGAAGATTTGTTGAAAAATAAACTCACAAAAGACAGATTAATTGGAGAAAAGGCATATAAATTTATTTAATGTGTACATGGAAGCCTTCAAAATGAAGACCCAAAGATATGGGGGAAATTGTCCATTTTTATGCTTGGGTTCAACAAAGTATGGACAGCCATATAGAAATATGATTGAACAAAAAGGATATGATCTAAATTAATAGACTGAGTGGGGAGACCCAGCAAGGCCTGTGTGTCTGGATTCTCCTTCGCCTCTCTGAACAAGTGTTCCTTCCTTCTGGGTGTTGGGCAAGACTCCCTCTGGAATGGGGGTTTTATGACCTACAATCAAACAAGGTAGGCCAGATCATTTCTTTATGGCCAGTTTTTACACAGACAGGTGGAGGGAAAGTTAGCGTAATATTTTTAGGTTTTATGGCCGGCTTTGGGAAAAAGACGATCTGGTTTCCATGACCCACCTTGGGGTTTCTACGGCTAGCCTTGGGGGAGAATGGGACTGAGAGTCAGGAGGGCAGGAGAGGGTCGCAGAGACACTTTTGCTTCTGAGGTTGTTTCTCAGGTTTCCATTTTGGGGCACTGTTTTCTGAGTCCCAAAAATGTAATATTTTAAATACTTATATGGATAGTCTATTCATGTGTTGCTTTATAATTAGATATTAATTAAAATAACAACTCAGAGCAGTACGTGTTAAGTACCAAATGAGTGGTGGAGACAGTAACTGCCGCAGATCAGAGAAGCTTTGTATAGCAGTCAGCTGGGTACTCATCAGCACCTCCCATTTGCAGACTTTCAAACATAGTCCTAAAATATTAAATGGCATGATTTTTAGCTGAGCTTCTCCACCAAATATATACCCAGAAAGCACATCATCTTCCTCATTAAGTAGTTACCAAGAACCTACTGTGTGCTAGAAGTATTGGGTATTCACAAAGGATGTGATCAGTGAGCCTGAAGTACTATAACACTAGCTAGCTATCTTCCCCATCAAATGTATATGCCATGACAAAATGAGGTTTGAAATCACCAAGCAAGACTTGTAAAAGAAAGCTTAAAACCATTTTGTGACTCTTTGATGATTGCCCACTTCAGCTGAGAAAAACAAGTTGAAGAGACTGAAAAAAAAACTTTGATGATTAAAAGAATGTTGAATGTTTTGCCTTCTCACCAAAAGGAAGATGTGCTTCCTTCTTTTTACTTTTTCTTCCTGCTGTTTAATAGGATCCCAGCATCCCTGCAGAAACTTAATATGTCCATCCAAAGAGCGGGGGGATCCATTGGGATGATATCTAACTGCTGGCTGGAAAATCTAAGGCCAGAGACTGGCAGGCTAGCATGCTGTCAGCATGAGATCATTAGAAACTGCCCAAGAGGGCTGCCGGGAAGGTGGCAGTGACACCTGTGAGAGAGTGAGATGTGGGATTCCTGGGGCTTAAGGAAAGAGCCATAAGCAACCTAGAAGAGATTTGTTCTCCATATCAAGAGAACTAGGGGAAACTCTTAAAAGCACTCAAAAAAATGCCCTGTAAGACAAAGGCCAGCTTGAAATACTACCAAGCCTGAGGATTGCTTATGTCACCTTGGAGTAGCAGAAGTCCCACCTCAAAGCCTCTTCACCTGCAGTCCCTTCTGCCTGGGTGCCTCTCCACCAGGCGTCTGTTAGCTACCATGCTCATTGTTTTCAGGTCTCTAATCAAAAGACAGTCTCTCAGGGAGAGGAGGCTTTTTTGTCCTAAAAATGCTGACATTGTATGTCTCCTTGTCCTGTATTATTTATACCCTTAGCATGTTTATCTAACATACGAAGTGTTGTACTTTTTTTTTTTTTTTGAGGCAGAGTCTCACTCTGTTGCCCAGGCTGGAATGCAGTGGCACAATCTTGGTTCACTGCATCCTCTGCCTCCTGGGTTCAAGTGTCTCCTGCCTCAGTCTCCAGAGTAGCTGGGATTACAGGCATGTGCCACCACGCCCAGCTAATTATTGTAGTTTTTGTAGAGACAGGGTTTCACCATGTTGGCCAGGCTGGTCTTGAACTCCTGACCTCAGGTGATCCACCCTCCTCGGCCTTCCAAAGTGCCTGGATTATAGGCATGAGCCACTGCACCTGGCCAGTGTTGTACTTTTATATCTTGTTTTGTTTTTCTTTTTCTCCACGGGATTATAAGCTCCCCAAGTGCAAGCATTTGTATTTTGTTTAGTACTGTACCCCAGATTTTCGAATAATGCCTGGACATTGTAAACATTCAACAAACTTCTATTTAGTGAATGAATTAATAAATAAATAAATGGGTAGAGGAATGAACAAACTGGCATGGTCTGTGAGAGGCAAAAGTAAATGACTTTTTTATTATACTCCATGAGCCTTCCTTATTCAATGTGCCAATTACACTAGTTTCTGATACCCAACAGTGCTTACAATGATATACTGTATTACTCATGAACATATAGAAAATGGAGGTGGTCAGGAATACTTATAGGAGCTGGAATTTAAGCTGGGTCTTAAACGATTGAAAGAATGTAGAGATGCCATGGCCCTGTTACAAAAGTGAAGAGCCAAGGATGTTCACGAGGTACCCGCTGAGCTATGAATAGGTTTGTTTGCCCAAAACAGAGGATTTTGTAACAGAAATAAGCCTTGGGAGGGATGTAGAGGGCATGTGGTCACTATAAGGGTAGGCCCTGGCACTATCCTAAAACCTGTGGCTGGACCCAGCCTTCACACATACCAGCGAGTAAGCTTCAAGTTAACAGAATAAGTCAGAGATAAGTGGGTCAAGTCTAAGGGCTGGAATTTTAAGGATCAGAGCAATTGAGACCTCCAATCAGAGCCCAGTCAGTCAGTGTGGGTTTATCTGGTGACCAAGAAAGAAATCCTGAGGTCCATGGTGAAATCAGATGGGGTGTTGGAATAGATGCACACTGTAGTCCCTGTGTCACCAAACTTTTATGACTCTAGGGTTGTATTCTCTGGCAGAATCCTCCAGGTCTTGGGAAAGGGTGTTGTCCAGTAGACTTTGAGCCTCCCAGCTGCTGACTGGCCAAGCCATAGCAGGAAGAATGTAAGAGATAGCTTTGCCTCAATGGTGCATTGTGTTTGCATCTGCTCCTGTGGCTTTTGCTTGCACTTGAGCTTCACTGTTGACCAACAAATCCTTTCACTCCCCACCTTAGAAGAGTTTTCTCAGCTTCAACCTTCTCTGTCATCTTTGACCAAGAGCACTTAATTCTGCTCATAGTGGGTTAGGCCCCTCAGTTTGACACTGCATTTATTCTCAACCCTTCCTTAACTAGTGCATAAATGTATTTTTAATCCTCATCTTTAATTGACCATTCATAGTTAGGTTTGTCATTATTTCTGATGGGTCCAAATCTGTATGAGGCTTTCTGACTGTTAAGTGAAACCCACCATCTTATTTTCTAATCCTTTCTGCCAAAATTTAAATTACCAGCCTCCTGTGTTCTCTTTTTTGTAATTCTCTTTTAGAGGCCTTATCTCAATTTGTAGGTGTTCATTATAATATATATTTATTTATCTGCATGTTTTACATCTGGGGCCACTGACTAGTCGGTAAGTAACGAGAGGTCATAAGACTTTCTGTTTTGTTCACCACTGTATCTCCAGTACCTGAACAGTGTGTGCACTCTGCAACTATTTAATAAAAACTTATTGTTGAATTTAGTTGCAATCAGGATGAATGCCCCTTTTGACCTTCCTTATCTAAGTAGGTGGTTTATTCCATGGTACCCTTCCAGCATGGCATATTCAACCCCTTCCCATGGTCTGCAGGCCTATTCCTGGTCCATTATGAAACTTACCTTTTCAATCCTCATTTATACAATACTGTTTTGAAAATTTTGACTTCAGCACAAAAAGGTAATTATTTTACAGCACAAATCATAATGAAACGTGTTCCTTATCAGAAAAGGAAGAGATCAGAAAGAGGATTGTTTTCAATCACCATAGTAACTTCCTACCTTCCCAAATACAGCCCAAGAGAAGGGCCCAGAACATTCCTTGAATGGTGTTCTAGGCTCACTGAGCTTGGATGGTGGATGGAAAGCAGTGAGGATGTTCCCAAATCTAAGTCCTCTCAGTAAAAAGGTACAGCCTGCAGACAGCCTTTCCCACTGAAATCTTCTGACCAACACGAATGAGGACTCTCCTGCTCCTCTCTGCCTGAAGCTAGGACTTGTTTGTGTGTGTCTTTGGTGTCTGAAAAATTGATCCTTCACTTTGGGTCACATATCCTAGCACATGGTTCCCATGGAAATTCATGTCTCCTGGAGTCACATGAATTTCTTCAAGCGCCCTGGAGTCATCTGTCATCTTCTCAACCCCCCCTTTCCTTTTTTACTGGGCTCAATGTGCTCAACTTCACCCTGACTGAACAGTCCTGGACTCTTAAAACTAGTAACATTCCTTGGCTGCCTGGGCACTAACATCACATAAGCTCCAACCCAATGCTCCCCAAACCAAGACCAGGCCTCCTAGGCTAAGAGAAACTAACCACTTATCATGCCTTAAGAGTGTTTCTGATTTTGATGGGTAAAGAGAATATTTTCAATATGACAGCTGTGTTCCTCTTTTCTGAGTACACTATTTGAGACTAACATGCATACTTGTGGCTCTTTGATGTAAAATTGTCTACATTTTTAAGTGTCATTCAATCCTTTTCATTTCCTTATTGCATATATACTCCAACCTTTTTAAGTTTCTTAAACAAATTCTAAGGAGAATTCCTTCCTCAGACTAGTGGGTGGCCAAGCTGATTTCTGATTCAGTTGGCCCATGGTGGAGACCAGGCATCAGAACTGTTTTAAAACCATCCAGGTGATTCTAGTTCTCCAGGTGATTCGAATGGGGATGAGATCCATTGATCTGGAGAAGGACATCTCAAACTTTAAGGTGTTTAGGAATCACCTGGAACATTATTAAACTGAAGATTCAGTAGCTCATGGATGGATCTTGAGATTCCGCATCTTTAATAGTAGATATTATTCTGTCATGTAATAAAAAAATTATTCAAAATAATATAATTATTATTGTCTAAAAATCACATAATTATTATTATCCCAGAATTCCCAATCTTTGGAGAACACTTCAAGTAAGAAGGTTATTTAAATGATGTAAGGCTATTTAAATATGAAGTTGTTTTTTAACTTTGTAAAGTAAAATTAAATGAAAGTGAAAAAATTTAAATTTTCAGTCCTGCTAGCTACATTTCAAGTGCCCTGTGGCTACTGTCTTGAACAGGGCAGGGACAGAAACATTTCCAGCACAGAGAGTTCTACTGGGCAGTGCCATGCTGGATTCTTCATTCCCTGTATTTCAACTTGCAAGAAACTACATTCACCAAACCTGCAGGTAATGCATTTCTGCAGTACCCATGGGGGTTAATGACACATACATTTTGTCTGCATTTTTGCTTTGGACTCTTAAAGATGGAACACACACCAGAAACCTTTGATCTCAGGACCGGTTTTTAGCCAAATAATTAATGTATAGTATTATTGGTTTTGTTGCTGCTGTTTAGTTAAAGCAAACTTTATTGAAGATTGAGTTGAGTTCATGCATGCTCTCTGGTTATTTTGAAACTTCTTTTTAGGAAGGACTTGCCAGTTTCTCTTGCCAATCTATTTTACTGGCATTACCTGAAAA
The DNA here is from genome assembly GCF_000001405.40 of Homo sapiens. NCBI lineage: Eukaryota > Metazoa > Chordata > Mammalia > Primates > Hominidae > Homo > Homo sapiens. Next base: position 24,799,991 of record NC_000018.10, on the reverse strand, counting down.
ACAACTGTGTCATAGTATTTGTTTACCTTCTCTCCACTCAGGTCTAGCCACCTACTTCCCCCTTCCTTTAATTCATTCAACAACGTCAATGTAGAGTACTCCGAGTCCAGCACTCTGTGGCTGCTATGGGAGTTAAGGAAGAAATAGCAAATGGCACTTCCCCCTCACCGAGTTTATAATTGAATAGAGGACCTGTGATGAGACAAGCAAAACTCAAAATCTCATTAAGTTGCTAGCAGAGGCTAGCGAGTGGTAACACATTAAAACATTAAAACAGATTAGTTTCTCATATTAGCCAGCTATCACTGAGCAAAGGGCAGGCTCCAATAAAATGGTACACGGGAGAGGTAGGATTTAATGGAGGGGTAGGGGAGGCCAAGGTAAAGGCAGGCAGGGGCTAAGATATGGAAGGACTGCAGTGGGAGTAGGGTACAGCTCTATGGAGGAAAGGACTTGGGGAAGGCAGGCAGAGTCTGACGGACAGAGAGAGCACAGCAGGGTAAGAGGCATGAAAGAGGAACTGTGCAGCAAAATAGGGGGTCCATGGAAGTGGCTGACAAAATTCTTGTTTCCCATCTTGATTGTGCCTTCATCAGGGCAACTGTGCCCTCTGATGGACAGGATGCAAATATAAGGGAGGGAGTGGAGAGAGGGATGAGTCCATGGAAGGAAGTGGCTTTGTCCTGCTGCCTCCTGGGCCCACTATAAAAGCAGATCTGCACAAAAAGGGATGGTGAGAGAGAGCTTAAGTATCCACAGCACAGTGAAAACAGTGCTGGTCTGGGAGGATGGGATGGCCAAGTTCTATTCCCAGCAAAGCCTGGTGATCTTAGGACACTTTCAGCCTTCTCTGGGCTCATTTCCCAACTGTGCCATGAGAGAGTGAAATGAACTTTCACCATGAAACTTCTGCAGTCTCTGATCCTATGCCCTAGGGCAGTGGTTTGCAAGCTGGGATTGGTAGGGTGGTAGGTGGGGCCTGGCACCCTCCCTGCACCTGCCTCACACAGAGGAGTTCCATTTTACACCACTGATGAAGACATTGTATTTGTTAGAATTGACTGAGCCATTGTCTCTGAGCTTCTCTTTGCTCCTTAACCCTTATATACATCTTAGAAATGTAAATGTGGCTTCAAAGAGGGAGAGGGGTGGGAATGAGGAGAGAGAGAGAGAGAGAGAGAGCACAAGCACTATGCCTCATCTGGGGAAGAAGAGACTGGATGTCTCCACTAAACCAAGCCACAGAGTCCTTTCCCGTAACTCATACTTGTCAATGAGACAGGGTCATAAAGATCACCCACCCCACTATGTACAGGAAGCTTATAAAGAAAGTTGACAGATCATTTTACAAATATACCAAAAATTATGTATCCATATTACTTATTATTTTGGAAAACTGTACACATACTTGAATGACATTGCCTTTACTCAACCGTTTCAGGTCCTTAAAATTCCTCCTTTGAAACCTGATTAGTTTCCAGGCATACAATTCCTAAATCTTTGTGAAATTGATAGACTACCTTTCATTTTCTGAGCAATCAGAGCTTTGCAGCATACACCTCTGGAGTGAATGCCTTGTTGTGGAAAGAGGTGACGTATGTTGGTTTGAAAGGCAGGTGGGGGTCAATCCATGATGCTCCAGTTCATGTGCCCAGGGTCACCACCTTCGGGAAAGGCTGGCCCTCCTGACATGTGCCCTTGGCCAGAAGGTCACCACAGAAAACTCTCCTGTCTGAAAACAGAGCCCTCCAGCTGAGAAAAAGAACCCAACCATGATTTAGAGAGAAGCCTATTTCTCTTTTCAAATTTTCCAACTTGACATGTTGCTGTAGTGCACTTCACATCTGATTACATTAGTCACATTGCATTATCCCATATCAGATGTGACATGCTGCAATGGGATTGTGAGCTGTGTATAAAGATGTAGCAGCAGCCAATAACTTCAACCCACTCCTGATGTGAGAGCCGAGCCACCTACCTTCCCGGTAGCCCTTTACTAATTCAGATAAACCATCTGATTTTCTTGTCAAAGAGGAAGCCCCGTAAGTACTTACCTGAGTAGTCAGCTAGAAAACAGATGATTCTAGATGCCTTCCTTAAATCGGGGCTGCTTTTACTATTCCAGGAAGCAACACTCCCAACAATGATGCCTTCTGTGTGTCCAGCACATTGTAATTTGCAAGGTACTTTCAAATCCATCTTCTAATTCACATTCTACATTCTTAGCCAAACCTTAGCAGAGATTTTGTCACATTTGATTCGGTGATTCAAAATGTTCAACAGTTTCTTCCTGTCCCCAGGATTTGGGAGTGAAGAGAATGTTGGATATGCACCTTGGAAAATGCATGATAGTAAATGTCTGTCCAGGTGACTAGTTGGCATGAAAGTGGGGGTTGGGAGAAGAGATGGCCAACCCAGGAAACACAGAGTATACCGATCCATTCAAAGGATAACTATCTTAAGCTCCATCTCTGTCACATAGAAAAATCAGCTGGCCATGGCCACTGTGTGTGGCACACTCTGTGTGGCCATGTCTTCATGATGGGCTGCTTTACATTCGGTGATTAACTAGACTCAGTTTTGTTTTAATCTAAGTACTGATTAAAAGAAAGCTACTGAAGATACATATTACAACTATGGTACACTAACTTCAACATGAAAATTATAATATTTTCCTGGTTTCCCCCACGGGGAAGAACAAAGAAAATGATACCATCTTTCTAGAAAACACAAGACCAGACACAGTATGGTTTGAACCAATCTAATTAGAAGTTGTACTTGATTCTTCTCACAAAGATTCTTTGAAAATCTTTCATGATTTTCAAAGGAGTTAAAGAAGCTTCCTGAATCTCATCGTGAAGAATCCATGGCTCTGGCTTCTACATCAGGCCAGGGAAAGATTGTTGCTGAAGTTCAGGCATTACAAACTGACACAACCACTTCTAGGGGGAATGAGGTAGACCCTGTCTTCCTTTCTTGGAAGAAAGGAAACCCTTCCCAGGACCACTATCCCTAACCTAAAAGACTTCTCTCAAATGCATTGGCCAGGATTGCGCCACATAATTTTTTAAACCAATTTTTGACCAGGAGAACGGGATTATTATAACTGGACAAGAGAGGCAACCACAATGTTCACGACATTCCATCTGTCATAGAAGCAAGCATGTAGGAACACCATTTGGACAGGAGAAATGGGAACTAGCTGCAGAATTGTGAGGATAAGACCCAGCTGGGAAAATGCTTTTGGTGCCATTCAGCCTGGGTTTATACTCCTACATGAGGTGAGAAGGATCAAGAACGAGGAATCCACCACGTCGCTATCCCACACTGTCACCCAGGACCAGGCTTTCTCGGCTGGGTCTGAAGGAGCACTAGGCTCAACTTCCAGGAACAGTGCACTCACTACCCTCAGGACAGATCATCATCCATTCTTGTTTGCACAATATAGATGTATTCTGCCTTTCACACATTGGAAAGATATATATATTTGAAAATAGCTGCTGTGACCTTCCTACAATGCTTCTTCTCTAGGCTAAATATCCCGTTTCTAAAATCATTCCTATAATTCCAAGGTTGAGCTTCCTCTTGGCTCACTAACTACCACCCAGGGCTATACCTTGAAGTTTACTGGCTTAACTGCCCAAAATTGTTAGTTATCAGCACTTTGGTATGAATTGATTTCATCAAATAAAATTTATCCTGGAGTTTCTGAGGGAGAACTAGGAGGAAATGGAGAAGATGTAACTAGAGAAAGCCAAAAAAAAAAAAAAAAAAAAAAAAGAGCCTGGAGAGAAAAACGAGGAACTGAGGACACATCTTGCCAATGACACCAATTTACCTAAGATGTGTGATATCTTGGTGCTGTGTCCCAGCTCATGGTAGGGCAAGACAACCTGGGCAAACTGGAGTGAGCTGAGATCTAGAAACCTCTGAGATGATGGACCTTGCCAGAAAATACTGGAAGGAAGGCCTGGCCAGCAGGGAGAATAAATTTATTTATTTGAATGAATTCACTAATTTGTTGAATGCCTAGTATGAACTAGGCATTCTGCTGGACATTGGACATGCACTTTGGAAAGTGTATGATAATAAACATCTGTCCAGGCTGCTAGTTGGCATGAAGTAGGGGGAGGGAAGAGATGGCCAACCCCAGGGAGCAGAGGGTATCCCAATCCATTCAAAGGATAACCTGAAGATTCTAGAAGCCAGTAATATCTAGTCCAGCAGGAGTTAAGAGACAGGGAAGGCTGTAGACCTTTAGATTTTGGGTAAAGAACTGGCAATGAAGACAATTCTAAACGGACTAGGGCATTAGATAGATTACCCACAAGGGGCAGGACAAGGACACAGATACCAGGATGAGGATACAAAGTAGAGACCAGATATTCTGCTCAAGGGACAAGCCCCTTTATGAAAACTGGAGTGCAAGGTCAAGGTCACACCTGGATGAGTAGCAAGACTGACTTAGTGCTGATCAGGATGGGGACTGGAGCCTACAGCAGAGCTGACCTACTTTTGAGGGTCATGTGGGTCTGGAGGTTATAATTTCCATTCACAGGCCACCGCCGTCTTTCAGCTACCCCTCTTCCTTGACATGCCAATCCTCATTTCTTCAATTTGGGAGCTACTGTGGCCCATTAGATCAGCAGAGTGTAGCAATCTACTCCCCCTTGAGGCTACTTCTAAGGAATAACAAGTTGAGCTTGAACAAGACAATTTTTGCTTCTCTGTATCACAGGAACTACTAACCAAGAAGAAGAGAGAATTACTGTAACCTAGAATTTAAGATGCACATATAATGCCTAAATTGACTTTGAACCACTGAAATCCAAACAGAGTTCAGATACTTGTAAAATTTAGCTAGACTTATCTCTAAAACTTGTAAAGCCATATTCACACAAGTGTACCATGTTTGATAACAAAATACTTTCTTCTTTTATCACCAGAATGTTCTCCCCTTATAAGCATGTTAACAGTTGCAAACTTCAGGCAATTGGTAATTTTCCAGCAGTACAAGATTCTAGAGTGTTACATAAATGCTAAATACTCATCAGTTTTAATTAACAGCCTTGGCTGATTTGATTATTAGATTCTTGGAATTTCCCACTCAAATACCAGCTCTTCATTTTTAAGATGGAAGGGTATGGTTTCTCTCCTCTAACCAGAGCAAATTGCTCCACAGTATACAAATAAATTCTCTACTTCCCAGAACCGATGGCAAATTTGCAAAGCTCCATAAAACTCATGCACAACTTGCTGCTGCAGCTGCATAATTAAAAGAAAACTAATATATTGACTAGTTCTCCTCAGAATAGCATTCATAAGTCTCTGCTGCTTGAGAGAAGCGTGTTGCTAAAAGGATTATGGCCAATATCATTTTTATGATTAAAGAGAAAGAACGGTTCTGGTTTGCCTCGTCCAATCCTCTCACCGATATCCAACATGCTCCACTGGCTGATGTTTTTTACATCCTGAACTATCACGACAACCATAAGGAAATAGTTATCTAACGTACAGATTTACCACCAGAGCTATTGCTTTATCCTTGTTACATCGGCCCTCTGTCTCCCAAACCCAATCCATAGAAGGCTTATTTTTAGCAGTGACTAAAGGACTCCATGCTCTAATTTATGCACACATATAAAATCAATAATTACTTAGTCGACCTTTTCATTCGTCTAAATTTGGCCTGGCGTAATGGAAGCTGCCCACACAGTTCCCATTGAGAATGATAAATAGGAGACAGGAGTGCATCTCTATCTTCTCTCTCAGGGTCAGATGAAATCAGAGGCAGCTCGATTCTCAGCCAGCCCTTGAACTGAGCCACACGAACTTCTCTTTGAGGCAGATTCCATTCTGATGAACATCACCCCTCTTTCCAAAGAGGAACACTAACTTTGACTATGCCCCACTCTGGAGGCCTGAGTCCTGCACAAAGCCAGTCCTGCCTCTTCGTTCATGAGAGCAGTTGTTGCAATGAGCGCCAATGGCAGTAAAGAGTACAGTTCCCTAAATGGGCACAAGGCAAAGAGGGCTTGGACAACAAGTCGGCTTCGCTGTCCAAGGTATGGGAAGACAGGCTTCTAGAAATGTTTCTCCATGCCTAACCCCTTCCAACTGCCTCTTTCAATTTTGGAGGCTTTCCTACCATTGTCCAACACCTCTAGAAGGCTGACTTCCTACTGAATGAGCAGTAAATTAACCCCTACTTTGTTTTTTTAAATTTAAGTTAAAAAAATTAAGATTATTTTTAATTGAGATGGAGTCTTGCTCTGTCACCCAGGCTGGAGTGCAGTGGCACAATCATAGCTCACTACATCCTTGAACTCCTGGGCTCAGAAGATCCCCCCACCTCAGCCTCCTGAATGGCTGGGACAATAGGTGCATGCCATCACACCTGGCTAATTTTTTAAAATTTATTGTGGAGATGGGGTCTTGTTATGTTGCCCAGGCTGGTCTTGAACTCCGGGCCTCAGGCGATCCTCCCACCTCGACCCCCACAAAGTGCTGAGATTATAGGTATGAGGCAACACACACATCTGGGCCCGCTTTTGTTTTTTTAAAAGACTGTATTTCTGGCTTTCAGAGTGGCCCTTTTATTTTTCCTGAATTTGCTCAAAACAGGAAGGTATTGGATGACTTTAGGCACAGATATAGAGGCTATGTTTTCCTCTGTGCCTCAGGATTATTTAAACTTACCAGCAAGTCTATCTTCCTGCTTTAATTTCCCTATGATCAGGGCAGAAGGAAGACCTCCATGCTTCATATTAGCCACACTCTGAATCTTGAATTCTATGCCTTTGTTTTCAGGGAGTGAGATAATACAGCATCTTGGTCAAATGGCATGACCAGTCAACACAAGGGTCCCTCCCACCAGGAACTGTGTCACAATGAGACCTAGAACATGGACTGGAACTTTAATTTGTTCTCTATGTCTACAAATTTATGAGCTATCCTAGACCACTAAAGTCATTAAGTTATATATAGGAGCTGGTAAATTGTTGAGGTGCCTAACGATAAAAATAATTATATTATTACTACTATTTTAACTACCTTTTCTTGAGCATTTATTATGCACCTATGACATGCTAGACATTTTTTAAATGTGTGTGTGTGTGTATATATATATATATATATATATATACACACACACACACACATATATATATATAAATTCACCATATATTTATATATATATAAATTCACTAAATCTTTATCACAAGCCTGGTGTGGGAACTATTATTACAGAGTAGTTCTACTTGCTGATGAAACATCTGAGGACAAGTGACCTTGACCAAGGTCACAAGATAGTAAGTGACAGAACTGGGATTAAAACCTAAGCAGTCAAATTTTAGAATTTTATATACAGTATTTGAATTAAGCCTCATGACAGGCACTGTCTTTCAACCCCTGTATTCCGTCCACTATGCTGGAGTGGCTCTTTAGATTTCTGCCTGGTAATATGGCACTTCTTCAGAAGGTTTTAACAAAGCCTCAGCCAAGAGGACCTATTAAGTATGAGACATTCTGTGACACCACTCCCTGTGTTTATCAACCACGTTTTAGGAAAGTTCAGCATTCCTCAGCACTGCTGCCTGGCATGTAAAGCACACAGACTATATCCAGTGAATACTGACACAGGGGAGTGGTGAGGGAAAGATCACATGGCCTGGAAGCCAGGAGGGGAGGGAAAAGAAGGCAGAGAAGAGGCTTTGGAACACAAAAGACCCAGACTCTCAGGGGTTTGGTGGCCAGCTGCTCACATCTTTGCATAAAACATGGGCACAGGAATGTCGGGGGACACAGTGAGGATGGCTCCTGGGGGCAGCCAGCAAATTGGAGGATGTGCCTTGGTGAGGAGGGCTCTCAGGAAAAAAAGGGGAAAGGAGGCTTTTCTCTTGCATGTGTCTAAGAAATGCATATTGCACAGAGCTGAGGGGAAAATCAGAACAATTCAAGTGCTAAGATGCTGTGTATGTTGCTTTAAATTCTCCTGGCAACATCTAACATAGTCACTAACACAGAGGGGAATCTAGCCACCTGTCAACCCCAAGACACACTACCGACTGTTCGGGGAGTTATTCTAGACAGGAAGGAGCCTGCCACAATAATTACAGCACACTGCGATGGCCTTAAACAGTACCATACTCAGTGCATTATCTAAGGCTTTTTGTCAGCCCCTCTGAAAGCCATCAGCGAACCGGGCATGCTTTACTGGCCAAAGAAACTGATGTTTGGCTTTGGGTGATTTGTGGAATCGAAATTCTCATTATTCTGGAAGTATTACAGTCCACAATTGAAAACCTCCAAGGAAGGAATGCCAGGTGCCAGAAATGACAGAGAAATCTAGGGACACTAAGATTGTTTAATTACACACACAGGATTTTTAATGGATTCATTCCACTTGAGGAATGTGAAAGTATTTTAAATTTTTAAACTAAGAATAAAACCTTAAATACTATTATTCAGTGAAAGAAGGAAGATTAAGAACTTGAAAATTATCTACAATATAATTAAAATAGAACCGATAGTAATGAAAAGTCTGCAAATACATAGAATGAATATTCCAGATCAGAGGCTATGACTGAGGAAGATGGGATATCAGTCCTATTCCTCAGGAAAACAGGGCAGAAGAAAGATGTCCTGTTCTGGCCTTCCTCATCCAGAGAAAGGATAAGCTCTTGCAACCAGAATGATTGGGGAGTTTAAGGGTTGATTTATGAGGGTACATTAAAATAATTAAATGTGTATAATCTACTTAAATGATGACTGACAGGGGACAAAATAAATGTCTACTAAACTTTGAAGGTGTAAACACTAAGAATATAAGGAATTGTTTATTCTAATTTAGGAAGATTATTAGAAATAAAGAACTCTAAAGATTGAAAATAGTCTGGAAATTGAGGAATTCTTTGTGATGGAGAAGCCCAGCTAATGCATAATTGATCTCCCAGTGGGATATGGTAAAAGATATATCAGTAGAAATTCTTAAATGAAGCTCTTCAAGATGCTCTAAGGCCAGAGCAATCAGGGCCTGATGTTACCTGGAAAGGTCAGATGCATTAGTGAGTCCAAATCCTGACTGCATATCAGAAGAAAGATGAATACTTGTCTTGGTGCATTTTGTGTTGCTATAAAGAAAAACCTGAGGCTGGGTAATTTATAAAGAAAAAAGATTTATTTGGCTCATGATTCTGATGGCTGGAGAGTTCAAGATTGGGCATGTGCATGTGATGTTTAGGCTACTTCCGCCCACAGTAGAAGGGGAACGGGAGCTGGTGTGTACTGAGATCACATGGCAAGAGAGGAAGCAAGAGAGAGAGGGAGGAGATGCCAGGCTTTTTTTAACAACTAGCTCTTGAGGGCACCGAATAGAGTGAAAACTCACTTACCCCACATGGAGAGCATTAATCTATTCATGAGAGATCTGCCCCCATGACCCAAACACCTCCCACTAGGCCCCACCTCCAACATGGGGGATCAAATTTCAACATGAGGTTTGGAGGAGACCAACATCCCAACCACAGAAGCCACTTTCTAGGATCACTTTGGAGATTCTGAATCAGTAAGTTTTGGCAGAATGTTAAAATCTACGTATTCAAAAAGTTCCTCAGGATTACAGCAGTAACAAAGTAAGAAGTATCACACCTACCCACTATAGTCAACTATAAAACTGGACAAAAATATATGAAGTAAATGTTTTCATGTATTTTACAACATACAGAGAATGAGAAAAACAAAAAAACCGAGTTCCACGTTCACCTTGGCTTTCTGTCTGGGGACACTTATAAATTAGTACAGGAAAATTGAGCCAGTCACAGGTCTTATCAAGGGGAGTATCAATTAAGTGAGATAACCTACAGAAAGCAGTCAACACAGTGACTAACTTATACTAAGATTTTAATTGTAGTTATTATTAGAAATCATCTGCAAAATAATGATATTCCTAGGAAAGATATTGCCAACTTGCAGATTTCAGGAAAATTATTATTAAGGAGAAAGAAATAACAGCTAAATTTTTCTAACTATAGAGATATAATTCATCTTTAAATTACAATGTTGCCTTTTATTTAAGGTACCTTTTATTCCTAAGTTCAAATAGAATTTAAATTTGCAGAGACAATTAGAATGTGTGGTGTGAACACCAGAGAGCAGATAACTGCAAATAGATGGACCCTCAGAAATCTGCATAAGGGTTTCCTTAAATTATTGATCAAATATTAATTTGTACAATTACAAAGTTAGACTCTGTGAGAGCTAGCAGACAACAGCTACCAAAGCATTGGGAACAGAATGGACATTTTGAAGGTGCACAGGACTGGGAGATGCTGAAGTTCTGACCAGCCAGAGTGTAAAGAATGCTCTAAAAACTCTGTTTGGGTCTGTTAAGACCCAAAAAAGACCAGACCTTAGTTGTAGGATTACTCTAGACCTCTCTAACAGAGCCTGAAGCCAAGCCTCAACAGGTCAAGCTGTTTTACCACTAAGAGCTTTCCAACAGTACAAAATGCAACTTTCTTTATAGAAATGGGGGGGGGGCATATTTTCAATGATGTAATATCCACAGTGTCTAACACATAATAAAAATTATTAGACATGCATAAAAGCAAGAAAGTGTGATTCATAACTAAGAGAAATCCCAGCAATATAAATAGACCCAGAGGTAACACAGTTAATTACTGGAATTAGCAGAAAATTATTTTAAAACAGCTATTATAAATATATTCAGTAATTTAATGGAAAAGGTGGATATATGAGTAATCAGATAAGGACTCTATGGAAAGGAACAGAAACTGTTTATAAAGAACCAAATGGAAATTTTAGAATTAGTATAATATCCGAAAATAAAATTTCAATGGATAAGCTTGACAACACATTGGAGACTGCAGAAGAGATGATAAGCACACTTAGGTGATTAGAAACTCTCCAAACTTAAACACTAAAAGAAAAATACTGGAGGGAAAATGAACAGGGCCTCAGTGACCTAGTAAATAATATCAAATGGGCTAACATGTGTGTAATTGGAGTACCAGAATAAAAGGAGAGAGAGAGATTCTGGCAGATTAGAAAGACACTGGGGCAGAAAAAAAATGTATTACAAGAAATAATGACCAAATATATTTCAAATTTGATATCAACCCACAGATACAAGAAGCTTCAAAAGACCCCAAGAAGAGTAGGTAAAAAGGAAACCCTAAGCATATTATAGTGATATTACTGAACATTAAATATAATGAGAAAATCTTAAAAATATCCAGATACAAAAGACATATTACAGTCAGGACAACAATGATAAGAATGGAAGGTGATTTCTCTTCAGAAATAGTGCAAGGCAAAAGACAATGAGATAGCATCTTTTAACTGCCAAAAGAGAAATAGGTATCAACCTAGAATTCTATATCCAGCTAAAATTACCTTTCAAAAGTGACAGAAAAAGATAGTTTTAGATAAACATTAGCTGGGAGAATTTATCAACAACAGACTTGCTCTACAAAAGTTATTAAAGGAATTTCTTCAGGCTGAAGTGAAATGATATCAGAACTCAATTCTATGTAAAAAAGTGAAAAGTCCTAAAAATAATAAATATGTGAGCCAACAAAAATATTTTTGCCTGTTTTTAAAATTTCCTTATTTAGATAGTTGATGTTTAAGGTAAAAATATTAACAATGTATTTTATAATTTATAACTGTATTAGTCCATTTTCACACTGCTATAAAGAACTACCTGAGACTGGGTAATTTATGAAGAAAAGAGGTTTAATTGACTCATTTCCACAGGCTTAACAGGAAGCATGTCTGGGAGGCCTCAGGAAACTTACAGTCATGGCAGAAGGTGAAGGGAAACCAAAGACTTTCTTCACATGGTAGCAGGAGAGAAAGAGGAAGGGGGGAAGGGCCACACACTTTTAAACCATCAGATCTCATGAGAACTCACTCACTCTCACGAGAACAGCCAGGGGGAAATCTTCCGCCATGATCCAACCACCTCCCACCAGGCCCCTCCTCCAATTTGACATGAGATTTGGGTGGGGACACAAATTCAAACTAGATCAATAACATACATAACAGAACGTATGATTGAAGTATACATTTTTTAATTCTGTATATTGGAAGTGGCATAATGGGAATTCAAGGTAGATTCTGATAAATTAGGGATGCACGTTGTAATCCAGAACAACAATTTTAAAAATAAATCAAATATCTATAGCTTATAAACCAATAGTAGAGATAAAATGCAATATTGAAAATAATCCAAAAGCAGGCAGAAAAGGAGAGGAAAAAAAGGGGCAAACAATAGATGGAACAAATAGAAAACAAATAGCAAGATGATAAACTTAAATCTAATTACATTAATAATTGCATTATATCTAAATGGATTAATCACTGTAATTAAAAGGCAGAGATTATTAGACTAGATGAAAAGACCCAAATGCATACTGTTTAAAAGAGATGAAGTTTTAAACAGAAAGATACATATTGGTTAAAAGTAAGAGGATAGAAAGGATGTATTATGCAAACACTAATCAGGAGGAAGCTGGAGTGGCTATATAGGTATCAGACAAAGCATACTTCAAGACAAGACAGAGATAAATAGGGACATTTCATAATGATAAAAGGGTTCAATTCAAGAAAAAAATCCTAAATGTGTATACACCTAATAATAAAGTTCCAAAATACTTGAAGCAAAAACTGTCAGAAGTAAAAAACAATGAGACAAATCCACAGTTAGAGTTGGAGATTTTAACACTCAGTAATTGACCCCAAAAAAGTAGATAAGAAATCAACAAATACAGAGATTTTGATAATACTATAAAAACCTCCTCAGGTGAATCAAATGCTGCCCATTCTTGGACTCATGTTTGAAAACTACTGATTCACTTCATCTCTAACTTTCAGCAGAATGATAGCAAAATTATACAATCAGACAAGTCACTAGTTTATTTTTTTAATTAGGAGGACAAATCCAGAACCTCTGTAAGTATTATATCTGATATCTAACCTGGAAATTCTTACTTCTTTATCATCTGAAGCCACACGATTCTGTTGAAATCCATTCTCTTCCCTGTGGGGTTATATAGAATAGGCTTTTAGAATTGAAGAGGTTTTAAACATCACATAGTTCAAATACTCCAATTTACAGAGGAGATTCTACTGATTCTTTGTGGCCCAGTTCAATTGCCACATCCACATTTAAAGATGAGAAAACAGTGCCTCAGAAAGGATAAGTAGCTTGACCAAGATCACACAGCCAGTAAATTATAGCCCCTGGATTCTAACCTACATGGTCTAATTCTAAAGCCGCTATCCTCATAAGATACTTTGCGAATGCTTACTGAATTAGGGTAACAATGGAAAGAAATCAAGATACCATAAGTTCCTAAGATGTGACTGCTTTGATATAGGTGGTTATGGATGGAGCCATTAGACCCCAGATCTTCTGAGCCCTGACAGCTTCCACGTCAACACACTGTCTGGGAGAAGGCAAACTAAAATAAAAAATGAAATTTTCAGTCTAATATATTTCAATCTAATCTCTAATTTTGCAGTCTAATCTCTTGCAACTGAAGTTGTGAATCAGCTAAATCCATCCTGAATAATGAGAAATGTGCTTCCTAATTATCTATTTTAATCCAATTGTACCTTAAAATCTAACCAGTGACTTGGAATGACCGACGGAATTATTCTTGCCAAACAATAACATTCATTGTGGCTTTTCAACAGCAATCAAATACAATTTATGACTGAATGGTCTGAACTGCATTTAGATACAATGGTTTTATTGTTCTCAAATTGCTGCCTTCACCTTGATGTCAAATCTCCATTTCCAACCTCAAATATCCCAGCAAAACTCACAGCTTTCCAGGCATTTTCAGCTATTAAATATTCATCCCAGTATAGTCCAACATTGTGATCTCTTCTCCAAATTGATATTTAATTTTTCCACTTACTAAGAGGTAGCAAGGCATCAGCTCAAGAGGACAGTTACATCGTCTTCTCAATTCTCTTCCTCCCCAACCTTAGGGTTGGAGTGGAGGATCTAGTCTGTTCTGGGGACACCTCACATTCCTCTTCCATCTAGATCTCTAGCCCATCCCATGTGCTGAAGTCAGGAAGAAGGATGGAAGAGATAGCAGATATTATCTCATATAATTGGCTGACTTCTGGGAGTGGTCTTCCTCTGGCTTGGTTTGGGGTTATCTTCTGTGCAGTGCTCCCCCATGTGCAAATAGTGTCCATGGTTTTCTTGGGACAGTTCCCAATACTGAGAAGGACCCCTTCAGAGAGGGTGGACAGTCACACCTTTCTTTGGTCCCTGCCACTCTTCAGTGCCCCCAAACCTTCTCTCTGGAAGGAGGCAGAGCTAACTCTTGTTAATCACCTGAATGTTTTATGATTCGTGCCTCCTTTTTAATCCCCATGGTTCTTCTTTTGAGTTCTTGAGACCAATGCAGATTCTCTGTGCCCTCCAAGGGATTCAGGGAATTGGCATTTGAAAGGTATCCCCATCTTCTTCCAGTCTCTTTATGCTATTTATCCCAGCAAGCTTTGTGCCTTTGAAGATTAAAGGGAAACCAAAATGGGCAATGGTCACTAGGTCATGGGGACCTCCAAACTTCAAAGACAGTAGCTGACCTTCTCAAGAGCTTTCTCCTCATACCTACTCCTCTCCACCAGAAAGCACTAGAGCAGACTCTGCAAGCACCGAGCCAGGGCTGGGATGACAGTCACCACTCCTTATAGGCACATCCAATCCTTACCAGTAATACTCTTGGTATTTCCCTCATGCGGCTTGTAGGCAAAGGAGGTCAGCACCCCCACAGGAAAGGAAGAGGAAATCTCTTTACTACAAATACTGCATTCCAGCTGACCAACTCCCTGTCCCCGCTTCACTTACCCACCCAGTGATTTTCTCCTACATATATGTGGGGTGGAATGATTGTGAAGGTAGCACAAAAAGGCATGGTCCCTTTCTTTTTTTTGAGATGGAGTCTCATTCTGTCACCCAGGCTGGAGTGCAATGGCGCAATCTCGACTCACTGCAACCTCCGCCTCCAAGGCTCAAGTGATTCTCCTCCCTCAGCCTCCTGAGTAGCTGGGATTACAGGCATGTGCCACTGCATCCAGCCAATTTTTGTATTTTTAGCAGTGACAGGGTTTCACCATGCTGCCCAGGCTGGTCTTGAACTCCTGACCTCAGGTGATCCACCTGCCTCGGCCTCCCAAAGTGCTGGGATTACAGGCATGAGCCACCATGCCCCATCAGCATGGTTACCTTTTAAGAAGCCCCAAGGAGCTATCCAGACACATTTACCATTGGATCCTGTTATGAACTGAATGGTGTCTCCTCAAAATTCACATGTTGAAGTCCTAACCCCCAGTACCTCAGAATGTAACTGTATTTGGAGATTTGGGCCTTTACAGAGGTAATTAAGGTTAAATGAGGCCACTGAGTGGGCCCTAATTCTATATGACTGGTGCCCTTATAAGAAGAGGTGATAAGGACAGACACACAGAGAGGGAAGACCACGTAAAGACAGTGAGAATGTGCCTGTTTGCAAGCCAAGGACATTGGCCACACAAGAAACTAACCCTGCTGGCATCTTGATCTTGAACTTCTAGCCTCCATAACTGAGAGGAAATAAATGTCTGTTGTATAAGCCACCCAGTCTGTGGTACTTTGTTAAGGAGCTGGGGCAGACTAATACAGATTCCTTTAGAAGATGAAGACAATTAATGCATACCTGTTCTCGGGTTTGGGTTCTAGCTCTCAGACCACAAGAAAAATCCCACTTAACACCCTGTTGCATCCATCAGGTATAAAAAAATAAAAGTATATGTCAATACTGGAGAATGCGAGAAGGAAGATGGAGCCAATAGCACAAATGTAATGGGCAGAAAAAGGAATAAGGAACTGTGAAAAAAGACTGGGCAGAGTTTTAGAACATTACAACAGTGAGACAATGGAAACATGATTGCAAATGAACCACATACTTACAACAGAGCCAAAGGGCACTAGGTGAGACCACTGGTGGAGAACCAGGCTATGTCAGAACACGGCAGTCCAGGTAATTTCTGGAGTGGATGAATAGGGCCTGAGTTAGGAAGGCAAATGTGTAAATCTACATGAAATATCAGAGTCACAGAAAGCAGGGCAAAATGTCACCTAATGAAACAGAAATTATACAAAATCAGCCACATTTTTTTGGGTCATGACCTGGTCCCTGTCAAAACTGGACCTATGAGTAAAGACAGAGGAGGCAGCCTGCCATGTGGAAGGATTTGAGGGACTCCCTGCCTTCTGGGTCTGAAGTTAGTCTGATCAGAAAGCTCTCCCCTGTCAACCTGTCTCAGACTGAAAACTTCATCCTATAAAATGTTATATGTGAATAAGTGAATTTTAACTGGGTTTAAGAAATTATGTAACCTTGCAGGGATGAAGTAGAAAGGGTAAGGTGAGCATAGTCCTTGAAGTCAGAGACACTTTATTCCAATTCTGACTCTACTTGCTGTGTGCTGTTAGGCAACTGGGAAACGCGGTATTCTCATCCGTAAAATAGAGATGGCTTATATGTGTAACTGCGGCTCAAATGCAAGCACAGCTGTATCTTCTTAAACAAGGGCTGGTTACCATAGAAGGTTGGTACATGTTAGTTCCCTGGTCCCTTTCTACTATCAAGGTGGTGAGATCAGGACTTTTAAAGGACCAGGACAATGGCTAGCTAGATTTTGAAGATGAGGCAAAAGGAGAAAAAGCAACCAAGAGAGGTGGAGATCTGGCAGGAGGAGGGAGACTGGGGGGTCTGGGAGAGGGCCACCAAAATCAATGTTACAAGTGTTGTGTGTTTCACGATCTTGCTTAGAAAAAGGGCTTGTTGGCAGCAGACTGTCTCTTCTCTAATCCTTAGCTGAGCACTGCTAATCATCAGATTGGAGATGGATCTGAGGAGAAGAAAGCTGTTTCTGCTGATCAGTCTGGCTAGACAGGCAGGCCTTCGTGCTCAGCATGCCATGGGAAGACCACCCCCAAATCTGCACCTTGCTCTTAGAGTATGCCCTTCCCAATTAAAGAAAAGCTGCTCTCCTGCCAGTCACAGAAAAAAATAGCTGCCCTTCTCAACTAGAAATTCTTCCAAGTCCATTTGTCCTGACCTTGATCAAAGTTTCACTGCTGTGGATTGGGATATTGTGTACAGTGTCTGATAGAAAGAATTTACTCTACAGAGAAAAATTCTCAGGATAGCCACCCCTAGGACACTGATTATAAAGTCCTCATGTGACAGAGCCGGCAATTCCCGCATCCAGATGTCAAAAGCTGGTTAATTAAGATTAAGACATAGTTGCTTGAGCAAGTCCAGTCAATCTAATTCCGGTATAGTTCTTTTCCCATTGTTCATTTCTACAGAAATGTCTTTGTCTCTGTAGAGCAGCCGTAAGTAGCAGAAATAACCAGAATTTCACAATACCGTTTCTCAAGCAAGAGTGAAGAATAGCTTATTTATTTGAAAAGAGAAGGGGACATTTTTAGAGAGGAATTAAAATGTCTTGTCTTCAAGCTATCATTTTTAAGCAAAAATATAGGCTACAACTTCAAATTGTACAAAAGGTAAAGCTGAATATTGTAATTGAGCAACTGACAATGAAGAAGAATGAAAGCTCATGGCTGAATCTCATTCACAACATTTCACCAGCCCACTTGGGTAATTCGCGCCATCTTGACTCAAAAGGAAAAGTTTCCCCACCGAGTCCATCATAAATGCTGCTGCTGACATTTCCATTTCCCCCTTTGCTTGGCTATAGACTAAGGCCCAGAAAACAGTGCTTCCACCATCTGCAAATTAAGATGATTTTTCGTCATCCATAAACTTCAAGCTGAAGAGGCTATTCAAAAAGCTGTGGTAAAGGAGGCAGTAACTGTTTTATCTTTTTCCATAAAACTCTAATGCATTGGAGGGAAAATAAAGAAACCCCAGGTATAAACACTGCTATTGTAAGTTCAGTACACAACCTCTGTGATCTATCTACGACAAAGTTAAAGCTGTTGCATATGATAGTGATAAAATTCTAAACAGAACTCATGAGAGGAACGAAAACGATTCAAAAAAGGGATTTTTTAATGGGATTTATTAGCAAGACCATCCTTGGGAATTATAGTGACATACATATAAGAGTTTTGCAAAGGCAAATTGCACTATGTTGGGCATTATTCTACCTTAATTTAAAGGTAAAAGGCAAAAAACCAAAGGTCATCAGCCCAAGAGTATATTAATTTATATCTAATGTAGGGTTTTTTCCACACATGAAGAAGTCCAAAGGGGAAAAAATTATAGCTCCCACAAGAAACTTTCAGCAATAATCTTACATAATTTACAACATAAAAGGACATTTCCGTGTCCAGGAATTGTGGCTCATCAGCATTGTAAAAATGGATCTGTGCAACTCATTTGATGCAAAAGTCATATTAAAATTTTCAGCCAACTGGCTTCTTTCACACAGCCTCTTTCTTCTATTGAAAGTCACACTCACAACAGGTAATATTTATGGGCACTCTAGTGGAAAGACAAATACATGAACTTTGGGTGCAGGAGGTCAAACTGAAAGGACAAGCTCAGTTCTTCTGAGCCTCAAGAAGCACTGCTCAGTTACCTGACAAGGCCCATGCCGGCTGGGTTCTATGTCTATCCTAGCACAGGCTCAGGAAAGCCCTGAACAATTTTATTATCTCATGCCTTCCAAAGGGAGAAAGAGCCTGCTTTCCTATTTCATGATAATTGGATGAAGAAATGTGGGTGGGAACACAATTCATTTCAGAGTGTGATGAATTATTTACCAATTAAGGAGATGAACACAGGAAGGGGAGGGCTACATAACTTTGATATGAATGTTCTTTTATTATATTATTTATACACATGAAATTGTTGCTTTTATTAACTAAGAGGTTAATCACTTGAATGGGATGCTTTGCATCCCTTCCAATCCCATACACAGGCAAATTGGCTAATTTTATGTTAGGAAAATAACCTGGCAATTTTTCTAGTACTTATCTGTGTGGTGCAGTTTAATAACATTTTATAATATGAAAAATGAATAAACTAGCCAGGCTGCTGGTGTTGCAAAGCCACCCGTTTTAGTGGTGAGGGAAAAGGGAAGCGTACATAGGATTCTGGTAAAAAAATGGATTTCAAGAACATTACCTTTTTCTGCTTTTCAGGTGGCAACATGAAAGTCTATGTTATGTGGAATCAAAGCACAGACTGCAGGGTTTGAAAATGTGATTGGAGACCCAGGCTTGCCACTCAGTGTGTATTTTGGGCAAGTCATGTGCCTCCTAAGTCTTATCTTCATTTGTGAAATAAGGATTCATTCATTCATTCATTCATTCATTCATCCATTCATTCAAACATATTGTGAAAACATTCTACATATTTTCATTTCACAGGATACCAGGATTGTCATGATGACAAGATTGACGAGACTCTTGTCCCCTTGAAGATTTCATTCTAGTGAAAATAACAATGCACACATAAAAAAGGAATTAAGTGAATTAAATGAATTTGCACGTTGTGGTAAGTACTCTCAAAGAAATGAATAGGAACAATTGGAAAATAACAGTGAGACCTACCCTTTTTATTGTAATAAACACACTGACATGAGATCTACCCTCTTAACAAATTTTAAGCGTACAGTACAGTGTCACTGACCATAGGTACAGTGTTGTACAGCAGATCTCTAGAGCTTATTCATCTTGCTTAGCTGAGACTAAGAGATAGAAAGGAATAAGCAATTTGTAGGCCAACAGAAGGGAATTCCACAGGGAACAGCAACAGCAAAGCCCCTCATGCCTGAAAGACTTGATTTGTTCTAGCAACTGAGAGATGGTTAGTGTTGTCAGGGCCAGACAGGTAAGAGATGAAGCTGGAGAGATAGGAGAATCCAGATCACACAGGACCTTGTAGGCCACAGTAAGAAATTTATTCTAAGTTTCAATGTGGAGCCATTAAGGGTATAAACAAGATCTTATTCATATTTTTTGAAGATCTTTCTGGTTATTATGCAGAGTCAGTTGAAAAGACACAAGAGAGATGGAGAGAACACTGGGGGCCACTGCAGTAATCTAAACGATGGGTAGTGGTGGCGTTGACTAGAATGTTGACAATGAAGATGGAGACGGGCGGAGAGAGACAAGCTATGTTCTGGAGGTAGAATCATCAAGGCTTTGTGATGAAAAGATTATGTCTCATTAGATTTCCCATGAAATAAGAGAGAAGTTTATGATGACAGTGACTGAAGTAACAGAGACCAGGCTGGTGCTACAGGTGACACAAGACTGGAAAAAATCCAGGTTTAGGAAATATTCACAAGTTCACCCCAGGCCTGATTTTGAAGCATCTTTTGAGACATCCAAGTAGATGTGTCAAGGAGGGCAGTTAGACAGGTAAGTGTGAGCCCAGATAAGAAGTATGAGTTAGGAATGTAAATTTGGGAGTTGTCAGATTAGCAAGAATATATTAGTAATGTGCTCCTTACACACCTTTCAAGAGTTTTTGTTTTGTTTTGTTTTGTTTTTTTTAATCTTGCAAGCTGCCCATCTCACTGAGAGAAGTTAAGTTATGCTACAGTAACAAAAACCGGAAAACCCCAGTAGCTGGAAACAATAGAGGTTGATTTCTTGTTCATGCTACCTGCCTGCCTAGGGCTCTGCTCTAAATCTCTGCTATCATCACTATGTCCAAGGCTGACAGAGCTGCCAAGTTTAGAGAATTGTCAGCCATAGTACCTGTGATGTAACTTAGTGGGACACAGGGTGCCCAGATATCTGGTTAAACATTATTCTGGGTGTGTCTGTGAGGGCATTTCCTGAAGAGATTAGCATTTGAATCTGTAGACTGAATAAAGCCGATTGCCCTCCACAATGTGGGTGGGCTTCATGAAATCCATTGAAGACCCGAATAGAACAAAGTCCGAGTAAAGGAACATTTGCGCGCTTGCTGGCTCATTATTTTTGAGTTGGAACATCAGTCTTCTGCCACCTTTGGCCTCTGGCTCAGACTGGAATTTACACTGTCAGCTCTCCTGATTCTCAGGCCTTCAGACTCAGATCAGAACTAAACCATCAGCTTTTCTGGGCCTCCAACTTGCCAGCAGCAGATCTTGGGACTTGTCAGCCTCTTTAGCTGCATGAGCCAATTCCTTATAATAAACCACTTTATGTTATATGTGTATTTTATATACAAAACACTATATGTGTGGGGGGGAGGGCTAGGGAGAGAGACAGAAAGATGCTTCTGTTTCCCTGGAGAATGCAGACTAATACAAATTTAGGTACCAAGAATGATTCTAGAGGAACAGAGTTTTAAGGATGAGTTTTCTAAATTTGTTATAGAGTTTCTGGAATTGGCTCTCTAATTCAATTAGATCTAAAGATACCAGTAACTCTATTTCAAGTAGCAAAGAGTGCAATGATAGGCCATAGAGTGATCAGGTAATAGGGACACAAAATATCATCATTGGATACTCCTAATTAACCATTTATAAGAATAAGGAGTTGGGTGACTGTGTATATGATACTTTTGAACATTTTTGGAAAACTAATTAATATTATTATTAAATTGGCTGATTGCTCCTAATATTGCTGAACAAAGTAGTGAAAGACAAAGATGAGTTCAGGGACTTGAATTTCCAGCTCAAGCGTAAATAATCTGAAGAGATCTATGTGTGCTCTGAAGGAGACCCTTATCTCCTGTAGCCACAGGGCTCAGATTGCTGAAAATCAAATGCAGAATTTCATCCTGTGGCTGGCTGAATCACAATACAAATGTAACTCACATCTTAACAGGGTATCTATTGTTAGAGTAAGACCACTGATAAGGAAAGAATGAGGTTCTGTAAGTAGGAATGGGGACATATGAGAAGACCCTGATGAAGGTGGGGATATTGAGCCCTTAAATTGTGATGAGTCTTTTTTGCCAGTGAAAGAGGCTTTCCCACCACCAGTGGAAGTGACCTCCTCATCCCCAGTAGAAGCACCCTCACTGGTAGAGGGATAGTGGCTTCTCCAATCTCATCTGAGGGGAGTAACCCCTCATTGCCCAAGGAAACTATAATGGCCTCCTCTGAGGCAGTTGTCATGGAAGACAATATTGATTCTCCTCAGGACCCACCTCTACTACCTGTCCTTGATTCTTGACCTATAAATAGACTCAAGTCACAAAAGGCCCCTGCAGGTGAGGTAAAAATTGTGACCCATGAGGAGATGTGCTATACTCCAGAACTACTTGAGTTTTCTAATTTATACAACCAGAAATCTGGGTTAATATGTGGAAATGGATATTAAAGGTGTGGGATAATGGTGGAAGGAACGTTAAATTAGATCAGTCTGAATTTATTGACAAGAGTCCACCAAGCAGAGATTCTGCATTTAATGTTGCAGCTCAGGGAGTTAGATGGGCCTCCAATAAGACATCTTTCACCACTATTGTGAGAAGTAAATTTGTGACAGGAAACATAGCATCCTTGTTGAGTTCTGCAATCACTTCTCTGTAGGTCAAAACTGATAATATGGACTGCAGACAGAGTTGGGAAATCTAAATGCAATGGGATGGGGTGGCAAAGGCCAAGTGGCAGCACTCAATTGCCAGAGGCAAAGCAGGTGTGGTAACTGTAATAGTAGAGTCAAAGCAGCAATCAGAATAGTCTGACTTACTCAGATCTATGGTGTTAGCTAATTAATGACAGCGTTCCTAAATGTGAAATAGATAGATGCCCACTAAATTCTTACTTGATCTGTATAAGCAGAAAAGTTCTAGATCAAGTGAACAAACGTCTAACTCAAATCACAGTAAAAAGAGAGTCATAGCCCCCCAATCAACTACCAGACTTGAGCCAGTTTATAGACCCAGAACCCTTTGACTAAATGGAAGGTTGAGTCCCCTCAAGGAAGGACCCAAGTACACTACCAAAAATGTGTACTGTTAATCTTTCTCCCAGCAGGATTCTGTAAGTAGGAATGGGGACATTCCTATTGCCTTTTACTAGGGTAACTGTACATTGGGAAAATAAAAGAAATAATCAGGCCTTTCAGGGACTACTGAACACTGTTTCTGAACTGATACTGATTCCAGAAAATTCAAAATGTCACTGTGGCTCTCTAGGTAGAACAGGAGCTTATGGAGGTCAGGTGATAAATGGAGTTTTAGCTCAGATCCATCCCACAGTGGATCCAGTGAGTCCCTAAACCTATCCTGTGGCCTTTCCTCAGTTTCAGAATGCATAATTGGAGCAGATCTACTCAGCAGGTGGCAAAATCCCCACACTGACTACATGACTTGTAAAGTGGGGGCTGTTGTGATGGGAAATGCCAAGTGGAAGCCACTGGAACTACCTCTACATAGAAAAATAGTAAACCAAATGCAATTCAAATGCAGTATCCCTTATGCAAAATGCTTGGGACCAGAAGAGTTTTTTACTTGGGATTTGTTTTTAATTTTGGAATATTTGCATTATACATACTGGTTCAGCATCCCAAATTTGAAAATCTAAAATTTAAAATGCTCCAATGAGCATTTCCTTGGAGCATCAAGTCAGTTTAAAGTTTAGATTTTGGAGCATTTTGGATTTTGGATTTGAGATACTCAACCTGCACTGCATTCCTGGAAGAATTACAGAGATTAGTGCACCATCAAGGGCTTGAAAGATCAGAGGTGATGTGATCATTAATTTTATGTGTCAACTTGAGTGAGACATGAGGTGTCCAGATATTTCATTAAACATTATTCTGGGTGTGTCTGTGAGAGCATTTCCAGAAGAGATTAGCATTTGAGTTGGTAGACTGAATAAAGTTGATTGCCCTTCCCAATGTGGGTGGGCAGGAGCCAATACACTGGGGTCCTGTGTAGACCAAAAGGCAGAGGAATGGAGAATTCATTCTGCATGACTGATTGAGCAGAGACCTGGATATTCTCTTGCCTTTGGACTAGGACTTCACCATTGACACTCCCAGTTCTCAGGCCTTTAGACTTGAACTGGAATATAAACCATTGGCTCTCTGGTTTTCAGGCATTTGGACTCTGACAGGAACTACACCATCAGCTTTTCTGGGTCCCCTGTGTGCAGATGGCAGATTATGGGATTTATCGGCCCTCGTAATTGTATGAGCCGATACCTTGTAATAAACATGTATATAGATATACAGATGTAGATGTAGATATATAGATAGAGACATCATATTGGCTCTGTTTCTCTGGAGAGCCCAGACAGGTAGTGATTCCCACCACATCCCCATTCAACTCACCTATCTGGCCTATGCTGAAGACAGATGTGTCTTGGAGAATGACAGTGGATTACTGCAAGCTTAACCAGGTGTTAACTTCAAGTGCAGCTGCTGCACCAGATGTGGTGTCATTGCTTGAGCAAATTAACACATCCCCTGGTACTTGGTATGCAGCCATTGATATGGCAAATGCCTTCATCTCCATACCTGTTTATAAGGCCCACCAGTAGCAGTTTGCTTTCAGCTGACAAGGCCAGCAATATACCTTGTCCTATCTCAGGAGTATATCAACACTCTACCCTATGTCATAATTTAGCTCACAAGGATCATGATTGCCTTTACTTTCCACAAGATGTCACACCAGTCTATTACATTGATGACAATATGCTGATTGGACCTAGTGAACAAAAAGTAGCAACTACTCTAGACTTATTGGTAAGACATTTGCATGTTCAGATGGTGGGAAAAAATATGACAAAAATTCAGGGGACTTCCACCTCAGTGCAATTCGTATGAGTTCAATGGTGTGCAGTATGTCAAGACATCCCTTCTAAAGTGAAGGATAAGTTGTTGCAGTTGACCTCCCCTACAACCAAAAAAAAAAAAAAAAAAAGTCAAAATGCCAAGTGGGCCTCTTTGGACGTTTTGAGACAACACATTCCTCCTTTGAGTATCTTACTCCACCCCATTCATTGAATGACCCAAAACCTACCAATTTTGAATGAGGCTAAGAATAAGAGAAGGCTCAGCAAAAGGTCCAGGCTGCTGTGCAAGCTGCTCAGACACTTGAGCCATATGATCCAGCAGATCCAATGGTGTTTGAGGTGCCAGTGGTAAATGGAGATGCTGTTTGGAGCATTAGACAGGCCCCTATAGGTGAACTGTAGTTCAGGCCCTCAGGATTTTGGAACAAAACACTGCCATCCTCTGTGGATAACTACTCTCCTTTTGAGAAACGGTTCTTGATCTACTACTGGCCCTTAGTAGAAACTAAATGCTTAAACATGGGCCACCAGGTTACTAGGCAACCTGAGCTACCCATCACGAACTGAATTTCATCTAACCCACCAAGTCATAAAGTTGGACATACACAGCAGAACTCCACCATCAAACAGAAGTGGTATATACATAATCAGGCCTGAACAGGCCCTGAAGGCACAAGTCAGTGACATGAAGATGTGGTCCAAATGCCCATGGTGCCCACTCCTGCTACATTGCCTTCTCTCTCCCAGCCTGCACATACACCCTCATGGGGAGTTCCCTAGAATCAGTTGATGGAGAAAGAGAAGACTTGGCTTAGGCCTGGTTTACAGATGGCTCTGCATGATATGCAGGTCCCACCTGGAAGTGGACAGTTCCACCACTATAGCCCCTTCCTAAGATATCCCTGAAGGACAGTGGTGAAGAGAAATCCTCCTGGTGGGCAGAACTTTAAGCAATGTACCTGGCTGCATATTTTGCTTGGAAGGAGAAATCGCAAGACATGTAATTATATACTTATTCATGGGCTATAGCCAATGATTTTACCGGATGGTCAGGGACTTAAAAGGAACATGATTTGCAAGTTGGTGACAATGGCATCTGGGAAAGAGGTATGTAGATAGACCTCTCTGAATGCACAAAAAATGTAAATATATTTGTATCTCATGTGAATGCTCATCAGAAAGTGACCTCAGCAGAGGAGGATTTTAATAGTCAAGTGGATAGGATGACCCATTTTGTGGATACTAGTCAGTCTATTTTCCCAGCCATCCTATTCATGACCCAATAAGGCATGAACAAAGTGGCCATGGTGGCAGGGATGTAGGTTATCCCTGGGGTCAGCAAACATGACTTTCACTAAGGCCAATCAAGCTACAGCTACTGCTGAGTGTCCAATCTGCCAACAGCAGAGACCAATACTGAGTCCACAATATAAGCACCGTTCCCTGGTGTGGTCAGACAGCTACCTGGAGGCCAGTTGATATCACTGCATCACTTCCACCATGGAAGAGCTTACATGTGTTCTTATTGGAATAGACACTGACTCTGGATATGGGTTTTCCTTCCCTGCACACAATGCTTCCACCAAAAAGGCTTATGGAGTGCCTTATCTATCATCATTGTATTCCATACATCATAGCTTCTGGTTGAAGAACTCACTTCACAGCAACTAATGTGCAGTGATGGGCCCAGGGCCCACGGTCATGGAATTCATGGCCTTACCTTATTCTCTACCATCCTGAAGCAGCTGGTTTAATAGAATGGTAAAATAGCCTTTCGAAGATTCAGTTATACCAGCTAGGTGGCAATACCATGCAGGGTTGGGGAAAGATTCTCCTGAAGGCTGCATGCTCTGAATCAGCATCTAATATATGGTGCTGTTTCTCCCAAAGCCAGGATTCACAGGTTCAGGAATGAAGGGGCAGAAATGGGAGTGGCACCACTCACTATTAACCTTAGTGACCCAGTAGTAAAATGCTCTGCTAGCCTAGGTGTCTTAGTTCCAAAGGAAGGAACACTTCTAAAAGGAGACAAAACACTGACTCCATTGAACTGAAAATTCACACTGCCACTGGCCACTTGGAACTCTGCATGCCTTTGAATCAATAAGCGAAGAAGAAAGTGACTGTGGTGGCTGGTGTGATTGATCCTGACTAACATGGGTTAGTTGGGCAGCTACTATATAATGGAGGTAAATAAGAGTATGTCTGGAATATAGGAGATCCCTGAAGGCATCTCTTAGTATCACCATGCCCTGGGATTAAGGTCAATAGAATACACAACAACCCAGATCCTTCAGGAATAAAGGTTTGGGTAGCTCCATCAGATGAAACACCATGACTAACCGAGGCATTTGCAGAGGGCAAAGGAATACAGAATGGGTAGTGGAAGAAGATAGTTACAAGCAGCAGCTACGACCACATAACCAGTTGCAGAAATGAGGACTGTAATTTTCATGAGTATTTCTTTTTATTTTGTTGTGAATATATATAAATATATATATATGTGTGTGTGTGTGTATGTGTACTGAGTAAAAATCTTTTTCTTTCCTCTCTTATTCCCTTATCGTGTAGCATAAGCTGTACTGATTTTATATCATAACATTTAAGTATTGTTAATTATATGTAATACTATTTCATGAATGGGATATCAAGGAGAAGGGTAAACATCTCTCAAGGATTTTACGTCTTTTTCTGGGGAAGAGGTTACTGTGTTTTCAGTTGTATGCAGGATGGTTGTATCATGTTGGGTGGAATTATAGCCTTGTTATTGTCTTTATTTGGAAATTAAGTATGGTTTAAGAAGATTCATGTGGGTGCCAAGTTGACAAGGGATGGATTGTATGTGTCGACTTGACTGGGCCTGGATGCCCAGATATGTTGTCAAACATTATTCAGGGTGTATCTGTGAGAATGTTTCTAAGTGAGATTAATGTTTGAGCTAGTAGACTGGGTAAAGCAGACTGTCCTCCCCAGTGTGAGTGTGCCTCATCTAATCTGAGTCCTAGATAGATAGATAGCCCTAGATAAGAGCAAAAGTCTGAGTAAGGGAGCCTTTGCCCTCTCTCTGCCTGATTGTCCTTTTTTTTTTTTTTTTTTTTGAGACAGAGTTTTGCTCTTGTTGCCCAGGCTGGAGCACAATGGCACAATCTTAGCTCACTGCAACCTCTGCCTCCTGGGTTCAAGCAATTCTCCTGCCTCAGCCTCCTGAGTAGCTGGGATTACAGGCGCCCGCCATCATGCCCAGCTAATTTTTTTTTTTTTTTTTGTATTATTAGTAGAGATGGGGTTTCAGTATGTTGGCCAGGCTGGTCTCAAACTCCTGATCTTAAGTGATCCACCCACCTCAGCCTCCCAAAGGGCTGAGATTACAGGTGTGAGCCACTGCGCCTGGTCCCTCATTGTCTTTAACCTGGGACATTAGTCTTCTGTCCTTGGCCTTAAACTACAACTTAGACTCCAACTTAGACTCCAACTTATGCCATTGGCTTTCCTCATCCTCAGGCTTTCAGACTCAGGCTGGAATATACATCATCATCTCTCCTGGGTCTCCAGCTTGCCAACCAGAGATCTTGGGACTTCTCAGCCTCTATAACTGTGTGAACCAATTCCTTACAATATATATGTTTCTCTGAAAAACCCAGGCTGATACAATAGCAAAGGGAAAATTGAACCTGGAAGAGTCTCATGTTGACCTTAATGCTCCAGCAAAGAAGTGACACATGTTGCTTATCTTTTCAGCTCATTGGCCAAACCTAGTCACATGATACCATCAAAAAGGGAGTCAGGAAATACACTCATATCATGTATATACTTGGAATGAGGAGAGATGAGAACATTTGGTAAACAGCACTAATAGGCACCATATTAAGGAAATGCTACCCTCTTGAAGGCAGAAGGTGCTGTGGAGCTGATGGTTCTCAGCTCTGCCAACTTTTGGGTCCCACTTTGTGTTTCCTAGTGCGGTGTGCTGATGCATTATAACAAAATCTTAAATAAGGAAAATAAAAATGGTAAGTAACAGGGTAAATTTTAGAAAAGAGTATTTTTTTAACGTAGGTTCAAGGCCCTAGACTGAATGTGATGAGGGTGCTGTGACACACAAAGCAGATCATTAAACATTTAGTAACCAGTGGTTATTGGGGCCTTGGCTTAACATCCTCATTTAGGAGACAGCTGCACTTGCCTGTATTGATTGAGATGGTGTGTGCTAACAAAAGCTGAAACCTTCAGATTTAATGAAGGCAAGGAGTCATCCTTGGGCAGAAAGCAACTATCGAACTGATTATGGTAGACAAACCCAAAGTTTGATTAATTCCATGGAGCATTGTGTCCAAAAAGAAACTCACTATAGTTTATATAAATCAACACAATCAGGATCAGAGAAATCTGGTAAATTCCAGTTGACTGGTGGATAGAATGACTCAGATAGGCAGTCAGAAGGATCACAAATAATTACTGAACAAGATTCTCTCAAGCTCCTTCCTGTTACTACATTAAATGTTTAAGGAGTCCTACTTTCTCAGATCATGAGGATATTCTTAACACCTCCTCTCTAAAGCCCTTTACATTATCAGACATGTAGGCTTGGCCCCTAGAAGATTGTAGCTCTCACAAAGTCTATTCCACCTTGAGCCAGACGCTATGAAAAGCTAAAGCTCAAAGGCCACAGCCTTCACCCTCAATCCACTGTTTAACATTGCAGACCACACTCTATTTTCAATTACGTGTATTTCATTAGTTTGCTTATTGATCTTTTGCAAATAATCCAAGTTTTAACTTGAGTATGTGGGTAGGGTAGGAGGCAGGCAAGCTGTGGGTCTGTGGAAAGTAAGGGGGCCAGGAGGGCAGGTGGGTAGGGCTGATCTAGGAGGCAAAGTGCATGAGAGAATTATTAGGACTGCTGATCACTCAGCAAATGGATGCTGACTCCGGAGGATATTTGTGTATAGCACAAAGATAAAGGCCACACATAGAGGTGGGAATGAGGAGTAGCAAGAAGCTCTGATGCACTGGATGGAAGGGGTGTGAGAAAGAGAAGGGTGGAGAGATGAGATGGAGCTGAGGGCAGAGCACTTTGATGACTACCAAAAAACTCTGGTACTCACTTCTTTAGGCACAGGGAAGTCATACAACTATTTTTAGCTGGAGGGTAACTTGATAAAGTGTTGAGTTTTTGTTTTTGTTGTTGGGTTTTTTTTTTTTTTTTGGCTTTTTTTGTTTTTTTTTTGTTTGTTTGTTTTTTGAGACGGAGTTTCTTTTCGCTCTTGTTGCCCAGGCTGGAGTGCAATGGTGCAATCTTGGCTCACTGCAACCTCTGCCTCCCGGGTTCAACCAATTCTCCTGCCTCAGCCTCCCGAGTAGCTGGGATTACAGGTGCACACCACCATGCCCAGCTAATTTTTGTATTTTCAGTAGAGGCGAAGTTTCAGCACGTTGGCCAGGCTGGTCCTGACCTCAGGTGATCCACTCGCCTCGGCCTCCCAAAGTGCTGGGATTACAGGCATGAGCCATTGCACCTGGCCAAAATTGAGGCAATGCTTGGGGTTGGCATGGACTGAAAGAAGGAGCAACCCTGGAAAGGACCTCAGTTATGAGGCTATTGTAGGGACCCACACAATCATTCTTTCAAACTGGTTTCTAATGACAGCCCCCAAACCATCAGGGACAGATGACCCTACCCACACAACATGTCCATTATTTTCTCCAGGGTGAAAACTTTCTTTTTCTTTCTCTTAGCATCATAATTGAAATGATGATAGTAACTCATTTCCTCCACACTTCTCTCCTTTGTTATAGACACTTCTAGTACTAAAAGAGTAGGAAACCAATCTTAGGCTTTTCTTATTGTTATCTGATTCCACTAGATCCTGCCTAAGAAGAGCAACTATTATTCATATCTGTTCTACATATGTCTATGTTATATACCAGACACTGCTTGTGAGGCATACAAAGAAAATTCCTGAATTGCTGCTGAAGAATGCTCAGAGGTAACTTGCGAAATAAACAAATAAGCTGTACCATTAAAGGTAACAGGAGGAACGGAGCAACGTGGGCTGCCTGGTCCCCTCCTCAGTCTAAGGCACATAACTCCATGAAATAAGATGGCTACACTGGAGAAAATCACATCCACACTGAGTCTAGAAAAAGGAAAAAAGGAAACACTAAAAGATTATCCTGGGTTGGCAGGGCACGGTGGCTCACACCTGTAATCCCAACATTTTGGGAGGCCAAGGCGGGCGGATCACGAGGTCAGGAGATCAAGACCAACCTGGCTAACACGGTGAAACCCCATCTCTACTAAAAATATAAAAATTTAGCTGGGTGTGGTGGCGGGCACCTGTAGTCCCAGCTACTCAGGAGGCTGAGGCAGAATGGCATGAACCCCAGAGGCGGAGCTTGCAGTGAGCCGAGATGGCGCCACTACACTCCAGCCTGCATGACAGAGCAAGACTCTGTAAAAAAAAAAAAAAAAAAAAAAAAAAAAAAAAAAAATTATCCTGGGTTAGTAGAGAAACTGAGCTTTAAGAAAAAGGAAGCTGCTACGTTGAAAGATTAAACAAGGAAAACTAAGTTCTAACGTGGACACAGAAAGGTCTTGGCAGGGAAGAGATGAAGAGTGAGGAGCATCGCCAAGGGGCATCTTTCTGGGTTACAAGAAGCAAAAACAAATGCAATGCCTATTTCTTAAGCATTTGTCTTGTGCCAAGTGCTCCACTTGGCTCCTCTCATTTCATCCTCTGCACAGTACTATGAAATATGAATCTGAGTTAGCATCCCCATTCTGCAGACGAAGAAACTGAGGCTTGTCTAAGGACACACAGCTAATAAACAGTTGGTTACAGATTCCACCCAACTGTTGAGCTCCAGAGCTTATGGATTTAAGCACCACACTTACACTGTCTCCACAATCCTAATCGTAAAGTCTCAGAATCAGGTCCAGTGATCCATCTCTTGCAGCATAGCTATGTCTAAATTACATTTCCGTGTACTTCCCAAACATCTACATGGATATTCTGTAAGTACTTGTTTTTGAAAATGTCCAAAAACATCCCTTTATCTTCTACCACCCAATGCACACCTCTTCCTGCATTCTCTAGTTCAATAAAGGTATCATCTTTCTCCCAGTAAACTATCTTTAATCAGGGGATTTCTCAATATACAGGCAGTTGCTAAATCTTGTCTGGCCTTCTTTTGAGATATTTCACATGATTCTAAAGTCACTTTCTATTATAGCTGGCCTATCCCTGTCCTCTCCTCCTGCAATCCACTACCCACCTGCCTCACACTGCCAGTGTGGCTATTTTTCTTTGACACCAATGAAGGAGACCCTCAGTGATAAGTCAGTTAAGCCTGCAGACTCTGGAATCAGATAACCAGGGTTCAAATCCAGGTTTCCATATTTACCAACGATGTGACTTCAGCAGTAACTGAAATTTCCTTAGTTTCAGTTCCTAAACACATTAAATTGGGATAATGATAGTACCTATCTCATAAAGTCATTGGAAAAATTAAATGAGACACTTCCGCCTCAGACACAGGAGAAGGCCCCTGTGAAATGTCATCAAGATCGTTGAAGTCAATGGTGGGGTTTCTTCCCTGATCAAAAGCCTCTGTTGACTCCATTCTGCTTACAAAGTGAAGTTGAAAGAAACGTTCATCATGATATTCAAATCCCAAAAGAAAATTGCCTTAATCTACCTTTCTAGATTTCTTCTCTTGTATCCAAGCTCTCTTCCCCAGCTATGCTATGCTCTAACCAGAGACCAGTCACAACTCAACAGCCTCCTAACTCTGCCCGTTCTCCTTCCACACCTTTGCTCAAGGTGTTCCTTGTGCCTGGAACAGCCTTCACCCATATCAGCGATCAAATCTGACCCTGGGGCCTAAACATCACCTTCTCTGTGAGGCATTTGAATATCCCTTCTTCCAAACACTTTAATGGTCTCTCATAGGGCTCTATTTTACCTGTGCCTGCATCACTAGATTGCAGGTAGCCTTATTGAATGTGCTCTATCTCCCATGACCATTTTTTTGCAGTATTATACTGTGCTGGCTGTAAAGGAAACCTTCATTCTGCACCTGTCCATCCTCAACTCTCCTGTGCCAGGCACCTCTTACTCTGTACCCATAGTCACTCCCACCACTACACTTTTCCCTGTGAACAGCAGCATTGGGAGTGATTCTCTAACTCTCCCCTAATGCCAACTATCTTCCTTCTCAAATACACCTGGTCAACACTGCCCATGCCTTAGAAGGTGGTACAGCCAGTACTAGCATAGGATGACAAATGACTTGCACCAGCCCTAATCAAGACTAAATTATCCAACAGGGGATTTTCCCCATCCACACCGTAGGTTCTTAAGAAATGAAATTGAAATATAGCAGTTGTTCTCAAACCTGTCTGCACATTGAAATCACTCAGGAAGCTGTATTAGTTTCCCAGGCTTCCATAACAACATACTATTAACTGGATGGCTTAAAACAACAGAAATTCAGTGTCTCACCATTCTGGAGGATAGAAGTCTGAAATCAAGATGTCAGCAAGGCCATGGCTCCCTCTGAAACCTTTAGGGGAGGATCCTTCCTTGTCTGCTCCTAGCTTCTGGTGGTTTGCCAGCAATCTTGTACATTTCTTGGCTTGCAGATGCATGACTCCAATCTCTGTCTTCATCATCCCATGGCATTCTCCCATGAAGCTTTAAGGAATTCTAATGCTTCAAGGGCATGCATGACGTGGCAAAGAAGATTGAGATGGAGACTAGAAAAATAGGGGAAAGCAGGAGAAGATGGGAAGTTGGAAGCCAAAGAAAATTGCCTTCACCTACCATTCTGGACTTCTTTTCTTTTGTGTACACTCTCTTCTTCGGCTATGCTGTGCTCTAATCAGAGGCCAATCACAACTCATCAGGCCCCAACTTCACACGGCCATCTGCTTATAAGGACACCAGTCATATTGATTAAGGGCACACTCTACTCCAATATGACTTCATTTAACTTTAGCAGTTACATCTTGCAATGACCTATTTAGGAATAAGGTCACATTCTTAAGTATCAAGGTTGAGGGTGTCAACATATCTTTTTGGGGGGACTGAACTCAACCCATAAATGAAGTTTTTAAAAATGCTGTCACTAATATTCCATACACAGAGACTGTAATTTAATTGGCCTGGGGTACATCTTGGTCTTCTGAAATTTTTTAAATTCTTTAAGCAATTCTAATATGCTAACAAGTTTTAAAACCAAGTGTCAGGGGTTCATATCAAGGGGTTTTGGCATCAGGCTGCCTGGTATTGAATCATGCCTACAACACTTACAAGATGAGTGACCTTGGGAAATTTGTATAACCTCTCTGTGCCTCAGTTTCCACCATTTAAAATGGAGATAATAATATTTAATAGTACTTGCCCCATAGAGAGGTTATAGGAATTAAATTAGGTTATAAAGGACAGCATTCAGAACTATGCCTGAAATCATATTGTCCCTATTATTACTACAGTTCAGGCATATTTACACCGTACCTTTAAAAGCCTCAATGGTAATATTCAATGAAGACTGTTTAGTCTCTATTTTAGAGATGGAACAAAGAGAACACATAGATATTCAATAATTTACTCAAAAGTCTGTGAGGAGCCCTAGAAAGAAATTCAGGTCTCCTATGTACAGATCACAGCCCAGAACCCCAGGAAGCCAGAGGTTTTCCATCCAGGTCCCAGGGGCCACCATGATGTGGGGTGAGGGTGAAGGATTGGGGTGGAACAGCTCAGTTTTATCTGCTTCACATGTTGATGAACTAAAGGATTTTGTTTGAAAAGGGAGCAGGGCTTCCTATGGCTTAAAAAAAAATTAGAAAGCACTGTGCCTGATTCTGTCACCATAAACCTTCTAAACTGACAGTTTATCCTGGCTTCTGCCTCCTCCCTTTTCCCCATGGAGCAGAAAAGCCCCAGAGAATTTCAGGTGGCTGAGGGCATTCCAAAAGAGGAGGTGAGTGCACATCTCCATGTTCTGTAAGAGGAGAGATGCAGACAAACTTTGTAGCATTTCAAAATGTCTGCCCTCTGCTCATTACTAAAATTTGTATAAGGGGGACCGAGAATTAAGGCCTCCCAAGGCTCCAATCAGAGTTATCTCCACTGAGAAATGCAAGATGAAATGGATGGAGCACTCTCTTACGCTTCTAATCACTGGGAAGTTCAGGAAATTGGAAACGCCCCAGAAACAACATGACATATTAAATACCAGAGCCTGGGTGATCCATCACCATCATCATCACTGTGGTCATTACCATTCACTTCTACTCCACGGACAGCCCGTAAATCAGCTTGTAGAGCTCTTTGGGATAGCTGAGTGAGAAGCACTGAATAAATGTCAGCTGGGATCATTAAAGATACCTTTCACTTTAGACAGATAAATGTTAGTGAGTCCATGGTCAAGGAAGCACCAATAGGGACCTTAGCTATTTCCAGGGGCCCCAAGATACTAATAATGGTTTGCATAGTCAGAAAATTAAGATAGAAAAGGAAAGGCCCTTCTTATCCCACAATATTAAAAATACTCCACAAGCATAAAAACTCATTTACTGTACTTGGCTTGTGAAGGGATATATTTCTTGTTCAGTGAAGTTCCTCCATGATGGTGATCTGAAAATAGGCAGAGAGCCAAATAATTTGTGATATGCCAATGCATCAGGACAAAACTTTGAAACCTTCACTAAGGACATTGGGACCAAGCCAAGGATGCTTATAGGCAAGGCCACTGCCTGTATGCTCCAGTCTACCACCATGAGCCCTCTTGTGTCTTTTTGCTTAGCCTTCTCTTCTCAAGTGTTGGCTCTATGCAGTGTGTCCATTCTGTACATAACAGGCAGCTCTCCAACAGCAGCTCCAGCGAAGGTTGGGTCTAGGGACTATGACTGCTCCTATGGAAGAATGCCCAAGACTTCCCAGCATTGGGACGCTGTGTTTTCTAGATCCGAATTGATGAGTCTCTTTGTTCAGAAAGACAAACTTTCATCTTCTAACATATTCCCTTGTGTGTTTGCATCTGTGTGTTACTTTGGCCTAGGTTATTGGTTTCCATTGAACTAAGTACCAGGCCCACATGGAGGAGGGGACTTTCTTTTTCGTAGGTTTTCTATTGTTCATTGTTTGCTGAGTGCATTCTCTGTACAGTATTGGATGGATCTTCAAGGTCCCTTGAGGCAGAAAGTCCCAAATAAGGAGACAAGTGACTCATACAGAAATTGCTCTGCTGGGAAGAAAAGCCAAGTTGTTCATGGCCTGTACATGAGCCAGGTGGGTGGGAGTATGTTTATGCTAGAACTTCCAAAGACTAACTTCCAGTGAGGCCCTCTGGGGACACGAGGCTCTAGTCAAGTCTGTCTTTGGGGGAATGCTTCTTCCTGCCTAATAGAAGGCAAGGCCACAGGGGGATTCTGGAATTTCCCGTTTAACAATTACATGGATTATATTTGTCACTGGGACACAAACACCTTTTTCAGTGCTATATTTATTTTATGCTTAGAAATGAGATAGAATTAAAAAGGCAAGAATGGAAAAAGTTTAGAATTCAGAAAAGAATGTATCAGCATATTGGGCTCAATTCTGTTCTTCAAGGTTCCTCTGCAGGCAGGATGGGGCTTTAAGACTTAAGAACCATTCTGTCTTTCAAACTGCATTCCAAGAGCCCCCATACAGCCACCACGGACAGCCAACTGGAACCTGAGCTTCAGTGATACAATTGTTTACCCACTGGAAGCAGGGTTGGCAAAACCTAGTGAATTATTTTAGAATATAGGCAATTCCATGATATTGTGTTTACTTTTGACACAAACACAATGCAGGCTGGCATCTTAGTGGGAAGGGAGGATTGGATACTTCTTTTCTTTTTTTCCCTGACTCTCGTTCACATTATCTATTTGTTGTTACTAATTCAGTATAGGTTGGAGTGTGGGAAAAGGGGAGGAAAAAAAGGAATAAGAAAACTCTTCCCTTATGTAAATTAGGACTGCCCTAAGATGGTTTTTTACTCTTTGGGCCAAGCAGATGTTCAAAACTGATTCTTTCTTTCTCATGGGCATTTTTGTGAATTTACCTGAGGCTCCCTTCCCAGGCTTCATCTAGCTGAAACTTCTGTAATTTTAGAAATGTTTCCTCTATTTGCCACTCAATCCTCACCATCATCCCTGAGTTTTCTTGCAATCTACTCTACATAAACTCTTTCCTGTGGGAGTTCCATTATATCTTCCAAATGTCCCTCGATCTTGAAAGACCAAAATGCTGGAAAGAAGAAAAACAGACAGAAGTGAACACTACACTAGTTTCTACTTGCCACCCTCAGGGCATTTGCCAATTTGCTTTGTGGAACATAGATGCTGAACAAAGATCAGCAGCCAAGAGTTTCTAACAGTCTCATTGGCAGGGGAGTTGAAAATTGGTGGATAGGGCTACCAAGGACGCTACAACTTGAGGACTCATGATCTGAAAGAAAAGCTAACTGCAGAGATGGAAAGTGGGTATTATATGTGCAATTTTTCCTTGAGGT
Source organism: Homo sapiens (assembly GCF_000001405.40). Lineage (NCBI taxonomy): Eukaryota > Metazoa > Chordata > Mammalia > Primates > Hominidae > Homo > Homo sapiens. Next base: position 24,762,695 of record NC_000018.10, on the reverse strand, counting down.
ATTTTCCAACTTCTAGCTGCACATGTGTGAGGCAAGTTGCCAAGAAAACAAGTAAAAAGCAGCTGCTAAGAAGCTAAAAATCTAAGCAGACAGTTCAGTAGTCTCATGGTGCTGGAAAAAAATTGAAGTTCATAGCCTGCCAAGAAAGAGAATCTCTAATAAACATACCAGGCTCACACTTGAGCTCCTTGAAGGGATAGGCTCTAGGAATAAAGATGAACCTAAAAAAGACCAGTTCTCACAAACCCTCATATTGAATCTGAAATCCAAATCCAATAGATCAAGATAATCTTCCTGTGGTCTATATGCCTGTCAGAAGAAAATTAAATCCTCTCTACAGGCAGACGTCATCCATAGCATCTACAATTTTTTGGCAGGCATTATAATGTCTGCCATTTGGTCACATTTGCCAAGCATGCCAGAATACAAGATCAAATTACCAAAAACAACAGTTTAAAAAAACAGACTTTAGAAACAGGCTCAAAAGCAAATATTTAAGTTCAAATTATTGGACATAAAATTTCAAATAACTATAAATAACATAATCAAAATAGACAAAAAGATGGAAAATTTCATCAAACTACTGAAATCCATTAACATCATCAGAAAATGCAGAGTTTAATAATACAACACTGAAATTAAAAATTCACTTGGATGGCAATTCAGTTGGATTTAAAAGCACATTAGATATAGCAGAAGAAAAAATTAGTGATCTGGAATGTATATCAGTAGAAAATATTCAGGTTGATACTTTTCAGAGAAATGGAAAGAATAAACAACACAGAAAAAGAGCTTAAGAGGCATATGAAACATGATGAAAATAACTTTCATAAGTGTAGTTGTAGTCTATAAAGGAGAGAGATAATTGAACAGAAGAGACATTGTGAGAATTTTCCAAAACAAGCAAAAGATATTAGTAAACTGAAATTCTACAAATTCTGAGCAAAATAAATACAGATAAAGCTAACCCACAAACACTAAAAAGAGTATCTTATAAAGAGACAGAAAACAGACACATGATGTTCAGAGAGATACAATATCTATGGCTGAGTTTTCAATAGAAACAGTGAACAAAAATGTCTTTAAAGAGCTAAAAGAAAATTGTTGCCAACCTAGAATTGTGTACACAAGGAAAATAGCTTTCAAAAATAAAGGCTAAGCAGACAGTTTCAAATGAGCACTTAACAAGCAGGGACAACAACAACAATGGCACAAGGAAAATGACCCTAGATGAAAACATGTTATTGCAAGTAAAGACAGGCTAGAGGGAATTTTGTAGTCTTAAACGCATAAACTAGAAATGAAAAAAAAAAACTTACCATCTCTAACACAGGTATTCACATCAAGTTAGCAAAACTGCAAATTAACCCAAGAGAAAGAAGGAGGTAGGTAGGAGAAAAATAGAAATAAAAACAAAAATTATTGAAATAGAAAGGAATCATCTAATAGAAAAAAAGGCAACAAATCTTTGAAAATACTATTAAAATTAATAAATATTTAGCAAGGACTAATCAAGAAAAAAGAGAATGAGACACATATGACTAATACTAAAAACAAGAAAGAGGCTATCACTACAGATTCTGGAAATATTTAAAAAGAAGTTAATACAAACAAACTTATGATCCTAAACTTGACTAAATTTACTGGCTACATTTATGACTGTCACTTTGCAGAACTGTTGGACAATATAGACTAAGGCTAAACATAAGCGATTCCATAACCCAGCAATTTCTTTTCTAGGCAACTCAACGGAAATGTATGCATATATTCACTAAGATATGTAAAAATACGTTCTAGCATCAATATTTCTTTTTTTAACTTTCATTTTAGGTTCAAGGGTACATGTGCAGGTTTGTTATATAGGTAAACTTGTGTCACAGGCATTTGTTGTACAGATTATTTCATCACCCAGGTGCTAAGCTTAGTACTGAATAGTTATGTCTTCTGATCCCTCCCTCCTTCCACCCTCCACCCTCAAGCAGGCCCCAGTGTGTGCTGTTCCCCTCTTTGTGTTCTCATCATTTATAAGTGAGAAGATGCAGTATTGGTTTTCTGTTCCTGTGTTAGTTTGCTAAGGATAATGGCCTCCATCTCCATCCATGTTCCTGCAAAGGACACGATCTTATTCTTTTTTATGGTTGCATAGTATTCCATGGTGCATATATACCACATTTTCTTTATCCAATCTGCCATTGATGGCCATTTAGGTTGATTCCTTGCCTTTGCTATTGTGAATAGCGCTGCAATGAACATATGCGTGCATGTGTCTTTACGGTAGAACGATTTATGTTCCTTTGGTTACATACCCAGTAAGGGGATTGCTGGGTTGAATGGTAGTTCTGTTTGTAGCTGTTTGAGGAATCGCCACACTGCTTTCCACAATGGTTGAACTAATTTACACTTCTGCCAATAGTGTACAAGCATTCCCTTTTCTCTACAACCTTACCAGCATCTGTTATTTTTTTACTTTTTAATAATAGCCTTTATGACTGGTATGAGATGGTATCTCATTGTGGTTTGATTTAGCAGCAATATTTCTAATAGCCTTAAAAATACCCAAATTTCTTATTAAAACAGAATATATACATGAATTAGGGTGTATTATTAAAAATTAATACTATTGTCAGCAATGCAAAAAACAAACTATGCCACGTGTAATAATTAGGATGAATTTCAGAGATGTCTTATCTCACAGACATCCAAGAGAATATATTGCATGATTCCATTTGTATAAATTTCAAAAATAGACAAATATAATCTTTGGTGTAGAAGTCAGAATTAATGTTTTCTATGGGCAAAGGTGGGTAGTGGGCAGTGGAGAGGTAATAACTTACCAAGGGTATGAAATAGACTTTTGGGATGCTGATAATATACAGTGTTGATCTGGATGTAACTACATGAGATTTTCACTTTTCCAAAAGTTAAGCAAACTGTACACCTATGATCCGTGTACTTATATAAAAAAGCAAAGTGACTAGAATAGCTAAAATAATTTTGAAAAAGAAGATCAAAGTTGGAGTACTCACACTAACCTATTTTAAGACTTACTCTAAAGTGACAATCATCAAGACAGTGTTGTATTGGTGAAGAGCTAGACACATAAATCAATGGGCAACAATAGAAAGCCTAGAAATAGATCCACACAAATATGGCCGATTGACTTTAGACAAAGGTGCAAAGACAATTCATTAAAGAAAGCATAGTAGCTTTCATCAAATGATGCTGAAACAGTTGGAATCCACATGTTAGAAAATGAACCTTGACCTGTACCTCACGATTTAAACAAAAATTTAGATCATAGATCTAAATATAAAATATAAAACTATAGAACTTCCAAAAGAAAATCCTAGTAACCCTTGGGCTATGCAAACTTATTAAATAAGACACCAAAAGCACAACCTATTTTTAAAAAGAGACAAACATGGCTTTATCAAATACAAAAATGCTTGCTCTGTAAAAAACATTGTTAAGACAATGAAAAGGCAAGCTACAGATAATATTTACAAGTCATGTACCTTACAAAGGACTTGTATTCAGAATATACAAAGAACTCTCAAAACTCCACAAAAGAAACAACACCACTTACACATACACAAATGGGCAAAATATTTAAATAGGCATTTCACTAGAGAAGATATATTGATGACAAATAAAGACATGCTGTTCAACATAATTAGTTAATAGAGAAATGCAAAGTAAAACCACACCAGGACACCGTTACACACCTACTAAAATGACTAGAATAAAAAACAAACAAACAAAAAGATAGGACCAAGTGCTGGTAAGGATATAGAGAAACCAGGAGTCTCATACATTGCTGGTGGGAATGCAAAATAATACAGCCACTCTGGAAAACTATTTGTCAGTTTCTTATAAAGTTAAAATACACTTACCATATAACCCAGCAATCCCATACCTAGGTATTTACCCTAGAGAAATGAAAACTTATGTTCACACAAAAACTCGTACAGTCTATTAATAATTGTCAAAAACTAGAAACAATCCGAATGTCCTTCAACAGGTGGCTGAATGAACTGTGTACATCTACACAATGGAACACTACCTAGCAATAAAAAGGAATGAATTCTTGATGTACACAACATGGATAAATCTCAAAAGCATTATGCTAAGAGAAAGAAGCAAAACATAAAAGATTGCATGCTGTGTGATTCCATTTATATGACATTCTGGAAAAGACAAAACTACAGGGCTGCAGAAAAGACCAGTGGTTGCCAGGGGTCAGGAGTCGAGGAGGATTTTGAGTGGCAGGAGGGAAATTTTTTTGGGTGGTGGAACTGCTCTGTGTCCTGATTATAGTGGTGGCTACATTAATATGTACATATCCATGCATACAGCTGTACATTTTTAAAAAGTTAATTTTATATATGCTAAATTTTTAAATGGTTAATAATTTTTTAGGGTAGAACATTCTGCTTTTTATTTGCATTGTTCAAAGCGAACTGAACACATTAGTGGAGCTTCAATGGCTATTGATTTTAGCCAATGGATATTTAAGGATACTAATTTACTTCCTCTCATAGTCATTAAGAAATTCAAAAAATAAACCCATGGAACAAAGAAATAAAATGTCAAACTTTAAGCTTCAGCTCTCTCTGAGAACTGTGTTTTGGCATTGACCATATCATTACCTACCTAGTTATGAGCTCATACTTCTGCACAGTTCATTAGAATTTACCTTTAATTCTATAGCAAACCATAATTGCAAAGCCCACCTGTTCTAGTCAACATTTATTGCACTGGCATATTTCTTTCAAGGCCATATATTAAAGAAAACTAAAGAGACAGAGTCTCTCCAAAGTTCTTAGGATTAAGACTCTTGGTGACACTTTAAAATATTTCATTCAGAGAATTATTTTGGGAACTTCCTCTAGCATTCTAATGATTCACAGATTTTGAGACCATTAAAATATTTTTCTCAATTTTTCTTTCCTTACTTACACCACTTTGTTGGTTTTTTTTATTTTTGCTTTAATTTTTAATTCTTGTGGATATGTAGTAGATGTTAAATATTTAATAATTTAAAATTCCTATGTGCTTCATTGTAGAGGTGTATATATATTTATATGTATATGAATCTAATTGAATTCATATATATGAACATGAAATTCATATTTACATATATATGAATTTAATTCACTAAGACTAATACACATGAATATATATGAATTTATATGCATATTTGTCCTCAATTAAAAGTTTACAAAGAAAAAAAACAAAGCAAACAGACAACAACAAAAGCAGCCCCAGATAGGTTATCTCTGCAATGGCTTTGGGAAATGTACAAACATCAGGCTAATGGAAAACATAGGAACTTTGCCCAGCAAATTGGGGAAGTGCTGTGGCCAACCCCAATGTACCACCTGCTCTTTGCACTTGCTGTCAGGAAGATAATGCTGTATGCTGGGACCTCCCAGGTGCAGCCATCTCTCCTGCTACCCAGCACTCCATCCTTTAGGTTAGCCAACTTCAGGAAACAAGTTCCATGTCTCTAGGTCTCAGCAATGTCTCCTCATTTTTCTCAGGGTCAGGAGGCAGATGCACCCACCCACCCTTTTGAGGGAGGTCATAAGATGCACAGCACACCAGCAGCTCCATGTAAAACTGCCTCGCAAAATCCCCTCCCTTTTCACTGTCCTAATTCTTTTCCTATTTCAGACTTGCTCAGAGATTCCAGGTGAGAGTTCCAAGAGTCTGGAAAAAAGGACTTGGCATTCTGATTTGAGATTTGCACTATCAATGGATTGCTGGTTTAGTAATTATCTGTGAACGCATGTTAACAACCTGTGACACATAGCAATCATTTAGCAATTCAATTTTTTAAGTACTCACAAAAAAAGAAAAGAAAACAGACGGGCACCTTCTTTGTTGATTTATTTTCTATTATTCTATTTTATGTATTTTGTTAAACCTGTTTCTTTCTGTTCATTAGATTAGATAACTGTTGTAGATCCATTAGGAAAAATGCATACCACACTGCAATGTAAAGGGCTGGCACATAGAGACAGCAAGCTGGTCACCCAGACAATTCACCACAGAGCAGAAGAATTCACCAGGGCCCAGGATTTTATTGTCAGAAACATTGTTAATACCTAGAGAACAAATGGATGGCTCAGGGGCACACTCACATTAATCAAGCTTGCAGAGCCTGAGATAGACAGATAGATAAGTAGATCAGATAAGACATTCATATATAGTATAAAAGCACATTAGCCAATTTCAAAGAAAGATTTATATACATAGCATGCTATCAACTTATGAGCCTGATGTTTATTGTAAGCTTCCCACTACCTTCCCTACTTGTAACCAAAATAGATGGGAAACTAAGTCATCCAAATGCAAATGGATGCAAATGAAGACAAGGAAACGAATTGAAGGGACCTAAAAAGTTTCTCTTAGACTAGGTGGCTTGCAGCACCATCCTCTCAAATAGGTACACCCTGGACAAGAAAACATGAAAACAGCCCCCCACCCCACATCCCCCTTTTTTATTTATTTTTTATTTATTTATTTATTTTTTTTTTTTTGAGACAGGGTCTCCTTCTGTTGCCCAGGCTGGAGTGCAGTGGCATGATCTCAGCTCACTGCAGCCTCCGCCTCCCGAGTTCAGGCAATTCTCCTGCCTTAGCCTCCAGAGTAGCTGGGATTACAGGCACACGCCACCACGCCCAGCTAATTTTTGTATTTTTAGTAGAGACGGGGTTTCACTATGTTGGCCAGGCTGGACTTGAACTCCTAACCTCAACTGATCTGTCCACCTCGGCCTCCAAACGTGCTGGGATTACAGGCGTGAGACTGCACCCGACCAAAAAACCCATATTTTTGAGACTGCCTCACCAACAGTCCCTCTCATCTGTGTCAGGTCACTGCCTCTACAATTTTTTTTGAGCTGAGTTCTTAAAGACAAGTAGAAAAGTTACAGAGCTACCTATGGGGAATGCGGCACTGCGGGTAGACAGAAGAACGTAAGTAAAGAACCAGGGGCATAAAACAAGGTAAGTAGCTGTGCAGACCTTTTGCAAAAGCAATGTGAATGGCAAAAGCAAGAAGGTGGCCAAAACTAAAAGAAGAAGCATGCGTTGTGAGCCTCTTCTGTTCCAGTTGCCAGAATGCAAAGATGACTTAGATCTGGTCATGGCCCTCGAGGAGCCCACTGACTGGAAGGGGTTTTACGCCGGTAAAGAAACAAGACATAAAGAGGTGCTGTAACAGTGGTAGGTACAAAGTACTATTCTGAGCACAATCTCAACATAATTCCTCTGGCTTGGACAATTCTACCTCTCTTAAGTAGTAGCAAGTACAACAGAGTTTTCTATTCATTCTCTCTAGTTGGGGTTTAGGATTTCTCAGGACCTGCAAATTGAAAGTGCTATGGGAAGCTCATGCCTTGCCTCTTCTTCTCTAGTTTTCATTCCAGCCCAGCTAACAGTACTTATCTATAATAAAGTGCCTTTGTCCCAGCAGGGGCCATTGCCAAGTAAATGCAATGAGAGTTTTAAGATTTCTGAATCCACACCAAAAATCTTTCATATTTATCTAAAAAGCATGTAATTATAAAGAAAATACATACCTTGGGAATGAATAATTGAATCATAAAATCCATCAAATGTCATTTTACTCATTTTGCCCAAGTGTCTGTTTGAAATGATTCTAAGCAGTGTGACGTCAATATCTATTGAATGCCAACGTTACACAGGGATGCATAAATTACCCTCCCGGAGAATTAATGGCACATAAATATATCTCCATTAAATATGTTTCAAATTTAGTTGTTATACATTCACTAAATGTATAGGCTTTTAACAGTTACATTTTAGGCCAAGTTGCCTTTGAAACCACAAGACTTTTTTTTTTTCTTTTCTGGAGCTGTAGTGGAGCCCCAGGCCAGGACTGTTATATATGGTGATGATAGCAGGCAGCTCAGATTACCCCAAGAACAACACCCAGACAAGAGCACAGAGAGATGCCGCTTGTTCTAGGCTGCTATGAATTAGAGGCCTCATGGTTAGTTCTCTGAATATTTCTCAGACAGTCTTTCAGGCTGCTCTCTCTGTGGGTTAGTTCATCTGGAGTTGATGAAGGAAGAAGTATTTCAGAGCCAGCATCTGCAGTTCTGTAGCCTTTTCACAGACACCTGGGGGTCCAGGCACCATTGTGGGTGGCTCTTCTTCCTCAACCTGGAAAGGGCTGGGTTTAATTCCTTCATGCTAACCCCCCATCACCACACTGTACTCACTGTTCAGCCTTTCTCCCTTTTGTTGGGGAGACATATTTTTCCACTTTTACTTGGTAAAGTAATAATCACCATTTCTAAAAAAGAAGATTCTAAGATATTGAGTGAGGGGTTGTTTGTTTTAATAAGCAGCCATAGGAAGAAAGAGAAAGAAAGAATACCATCCTTTATTAAGCACATAACAATTCTTTCAATCCTCATACAACACCCAAAGAGGCAGATACTGTTATTAGGACTCATGTAGGGAGCAGAGGGTAGTGCGTAAAACCATTGAAACTGGAGTGAACTACATGGATTCAAACCCTGGCTTCAGGACTTACTAGCTGAGTGACATGGACAAGCAACTTAACATATCCATGTCTGCCCCATTTTCTAGTGCCTCATTTATAAAATGGAAAAAATCCTTGTTTCTATTTCCTGAGTTATCAGAAATAAGATAATATTCTAGGTGAAAAGTACTTAGATCAGTGTTTGGCATATAGTAAGCTCTCAGAAGAGCTTATTATTAATATATCATTTTATATATAAAGAAACTAAAATTCAGTCATTCCCAAGATTACAAAGATGTTAACAGTAGAGTTGAGATTGGAACCCAGGTCTGGATTGTTCAGTCATTCATTAATTCAACAAGCTCTTTCCATTACCCATTATTAGTTGTTATTGGGATATAATTCACCCTGGGTATCTTGCATTGCTGCACATCTTGCAAATGGGGCACTGACTGTCCTTTGTTCAGAATTATTTGTTGAAGGGCATTTATAAAGCAAAGAGCCTTGGAAGAAAAAAGATAGGGACTCCCTCTGGAGTAAACTGTAGGCCTGCTTTTACTGTTCATTATGACAGATTTGGGCTTCTTAATCCCAGAGTCTTCTCCTGTAATACAAACCACTGTATGTATAGGCATCCATCTGGGGCCATCCCTATCATCTCTGGGAGACTTGGGGGCAAAGGGAACTGACACAAATGTGCTGATGCTCTTGCTTCTTGCCATGCTGTGAGATCCAGGACTGTGAGTCTTCTGCCAGCATCCTTGAAACTGATAGGCTGCCATGTCAGCTTGCAACTGCATGGATTCAAATTCTGGCTTCAGAGCTTAATTACTGTGTGACATCGACAAGCAACTTAACATATCCATGCCTGCCCTATTTTCTGGTCCCTCACTTGTGAAATGGAGAAATATAGCAAAAATCTCAGACCTCGCCTCAGCTCTTGACAGTATTGGGGATGAGAGGAAAAAGGACCCTGCCGGGCATGTTTGGGAGTATGTGAAGACCCCCTGAGATCTGATAGAATGCACTCACTAAAGTGGTAAGCAAGTGGAGAGTAATGAATGTTGATGAACGTTTAGAAGATGAGCAGAAATAGGTAGGGTTGACCAAGCACCCAAATGGTGCATTTGTTGTTGCTCACTCTCCCTCAGGAAAGAGGAGGAAGAAATGTTACCATGGGACTCAGGAATGAAAAACCAAATATGTTCTACATGTTCTCACTTATAACTGGGAGCTAAGGTATGGTTATGCAAAGGCATGGGGGTAGTATAATGGATACTGATGACACAGAAGCAGGGCAGGGTAGGAAAGGAGTGGGGGATAAAAAAAAAAACTACATATTGGGTACAACACACACTACTTGGGTGGTGAATGCACCAAAATCTCAGACTTCACCATCACATAATTCATCCACATAACTAAAAAATCACTTATATCCCAAAAGCTATTGAAATTTATATATATAAATATATAAATAAATACATAAATTTTATAAGAAATGTTATCATGGGGCAGCAAGCCCATGGCCCCAGACAAAAGGCAATATGGCTGTCCCTGCTGAGCCCAGGAGTCCCTAAAGCTGAAACGTAAGGTGCCATCAATGAGGACATAGAATTTTAGGTGGATTGAAGACATTACAAATTTGTTTGGTTGAGCTCAGAGCAAATGGCCACTCTCAGATGAAAATAAATGCAAAGCCTTACTTATTAACTCAGAGCCACTCTCTCCCTACACGCCCTGATCCCTCCCTCTCTCGCTGTTCTGACCTCAGTTTCTTTAAGGAAAAAGATGATTAGGGGTGAGGCTGCAGTCTCTCTGTCCCCAAGCAAGATCAAAGACCATATGCACGCATATGAGTGTGCAGGGGAACTTTGGTGAGGAGAAGGAATAAAACTGTTATGACGCTGTTAAGTACAGCTGCCCAGGTCACGATTACACATGGTCCCACAGGAGAAGGGAGCACTCAAATTCAGTCAATGGGATTGGAGTGAGGTTCACAGTAGATGGGAGAAGCTAAGGTGACATTGAGAGTGGGGTCTTTGACCAGGAGCTGTAGTTGCTTCTACCTCTGAATGTCTAATACCAATACATACATTAAATATTTGTACTTCCCCATCCCATAAGCTCCAAAGGGGATTCTCCCAGTCAGAAAGAGCCACATGTAAAGAATTGGTTGTATTTTTGGGGAGCCCTCAACCCTAATGAGGCCACTTTGAGCCACGAGTCCCTGTGACTGATGAACTTGCCTATTGGAGTCTCTGGCAAAGGGAGGCATATTCTACTCAGAGATGCCCCTTGGGGTTTTTGACCTGTTACCTCCCTGACATGATTAACAGGTACAAGCATTTTGGAAAGAAGCTATGAGATTGCTGTATGGCTGTCATCCAAACTGAACACCTGATGCAAGGAGGCCTCGTAACTCTCTGATAGTTCTTTGTTTGGCATGAGTGAACTAGAACTCAATGACTAACAAGGTAAGAAGAGCCCAACAAGCCCCTCTTGTCAAAAACGTATGAAGCGAGCCTGGCTCCAGAAGCATCTTGGCTTTATACAAAAAAGTGGTAGCTGTCCCTTGAGAAAAATTTTATTCCCCATTCTGCCACCTGAAGTAAAGCCACTGGTTCAGTGAGGCCCTTGGTTCACAGAGTTTCCCCTAAGTGCCTGGGCCTGGTTCACTGATGGTTCAGCTAAGCTAAAACCTGATGGTGTCCAACAGCTGTTCAACTCCCTGCCAGCTACGCAGAACCAGGATGTGGTTGCTCTGCTCGGTGGGCAGAACTCAAACCCATCCTCATAGCTCCAGCCAATACTCCCTTTGATGAACCATAGTATATTTTTCCTAACTCTTGGACTGTGGCCAATGGCTTAGCTATTCAGTCTGCCATTTACACAACTACAGACTGGCAGATTGAAGACAACCTGCTTTGGGGTCATGAAATGTGGAAACATATCATGGCTGCTAATCAAACCATCTGGGTCGCTCCTATAGGTGCCCACAGTAAGGGTCTGTGCTCTGATGAGACGGGCTGCAATCAAGCTTTTGATGGGGTCTACAATGTCCAGATTGCTGCCATTGCCACCATGATCTCTCATCTTCCCAGACACAGCAACATGGCCACCATCATGGACTGTGGACAAAGCAAAGGACTTTATGTTTCTGGTGCAGAAGGTCCCACTGCATGCCAGATTTGTGACTTCTGCCAAAAGAATTTGTGACTCCTGCCTTGATCCTTTTATCTCCCAGTGAGGAAGGCTACACATAACCCTTGAAGTTGATGCATCATGTTTTTGGCTTTCTGGACCATTTGTAGTCTGATAATGGTAAACTTTTTTATCACAAAGCTACCCGATTATAGGCTAGTGGTCAAGGTATTGAATAGGCAGTCTACACTCCCTGCCATCCACAGGTATATGGTATTATTTTGAGTTGGGAAAGGCTTTTTCATATTTTTGACTTTACCTCAATCACCTTCTTCTAGTATATATACCTTCCTAAGACAATTTGGCTATTGAATGTGGCTGTTCCCAGAAAGGGATTATGTTCTCTTTCACCTCCTGGGTAATAATTAGGATGTAAGGGATGAGGGTTTACATAAGTCTCTTTTGAAAATTCTGGATCTTTCCTGACCATTCCTGGGCATGATGCTTTTTGCAGTCCCCCCAAAACAACTCTAGGTAAGCCTGGTTGGATCACCCTCTGGATGATCTTCTGCACAGGCAGAAGGGGGCCTGAAGGACTTAAATTTGATTTTAGTTTGGCCATCTGGGGGCTCTTGTTGGACTGACATGGTAAGAGGGCATAAGGATGATGACTGCCTGGTTGAGTACACTACTCACCGAGTCCCCTACAGTGGCCCACATGTGCCAAAGTAGGGGATATGGTGGGTCTCTGCCAGTTTCATAAAAATTCCCTTGTCCTTCTCACGTTTGACCTCTCTGAATGAAAGGCATGGGTGTGAATATCGGATGATGTTTCTAAGGTGATATTATAGCTCCTGGAATGGGACACACTAGTTTTGAGGCCATGGAAGAAGAATAACGACCTTGGCACTAGAGAAGAGAACACCTCAGAATCCAGAAGGGATGGAGCAGTGAGGGAGATTAATACTACTTGTCTTTCGGAAACTTCCCTGGACCCTTGATCCCGAAGGAAAATGCCCTGGTGTCACTCTCTCAACCTGAAGCAAGCACCTTAAATTTAACTGACTTCCGTGCCTGTCATTCTCCACCAGAAGGTTCTAACAAAACAGCAGAGAAGAGCCCCAGTTCCTGCACCTCCCCTGCAAAACACCCTTTCAACACCTCTGGATGTTTTCCTCATCACTCTTTTCCCAGCTGTCACTCAGTCATCCCATGCAGCAGATGAACGCCTCCAGTCTGGCAACATGGACCAACAGGACAGGTTGGACTGACTGTCCTCAGGCCAAAAACAAGGACATGGGAACTGAACTGGGAGTCTTAAGGTCCACCAGCCAAATGGGATCCCAAGCTGACAGCACGGACAGCTGGGGCCCTCCAACTCCCATAGGTCCAACCTGAAGGAGGAGGCAGAGGGGCATCTATTGTAAACAATGATTCCTTCTTAGGGGAACCATGAACACTCCTGCAACTACACTTGTTGTATAGAAGCCGGGTATGGAAATAGTGACAGCTATGGAAATAGTGGTGAGAAAAACATCCTGAGGTGTGAGGGTGTTTTGCAGGGAAGGTACACGAACTGGGCCCCACCGCCTGCTGTTTTGCTGGACTTGTTAGAGCTATCTGGTGGAGAATGACAGACACAGAAGTCCGTTAAATTTCAGACAAATTGTGTGGAATCTGGTACCTCAGGGGTGGCCATAAGAAACTTCAAGTCAGCTGTTAAAGCAAATATCACCAGTAAATTACATAGCTCTCATATGACTGTGGAGAGCTCTCCAAAATGAGGCTACCCTTGGGTATTTGGGAGAGATTCCCAGAGAGATGGTGGGTATGTTATTTGTGCCCACACTGAGGCCAGCTTTTTCTACTATAGGAGTCATCCAACCAGAAATAGTACAGTGGCAAGGTGTGGTGGCTCACACCCATAACCCCAGCCCTTTGGGAGGCTGAGGTGGGCAGATCACTTGAGCCCAGGAGTTCAAGACCAGCCTGGGCAACATGGTAAAATTCTGTCTCTACCAAAAAAAAAAAAATTAGCCAGGCATGATGGGGCATGCCTGTAGTCTCAGCTACCTGGGATACTGAGGTGGGAGGATCACTGGAGCATGCAGTGAGCCATGATCATGCCACTGCACTCCAGCCTGGGCAACAGAATCGACTCTGTCTCAAAACAGAATGAGAATAAAAAAAGAAAAGAAAGTAACGAAGGAAGGAAGGAAAAGGAAGGGAAGGGAAGGGAGAAAGGAAGGAAGAAAAGAAAGAAAAGAAAAAAGAAAGGGAGGGAGGAAGGGAGGGAGGAGGGAAGGAGGAAGGGAGGGAGGAGGGAAGGAGGAAGGGAGGGAGGAGGGAAGGAGGAAGGAAGGAAGGAAGGAAGGAAGGAAGGAAGGAAGGAAAGAAATGGTGGTACGAAATTTATCTTAGCTGAAGAGATTAATGACACGACTTTGGGTCTTGAAGGCACTGAAATCAGCCTCAGTTCACTGGCCAGGGCTGTTAATGATGAGAGAACAGGCCTAGACTTCCTCCTCTCTTGTCAAAGCAAAGTCTAAGCAATCACTAAAACATCCTGCTGTACCTGAATGAATTCCTCAGCCAAGTGAAAAGGTCAATACGGAAACCAAAGGAGAAAGTCACCTGACTTTTAAAGTTAAGTCCTTTAGGTTTACGGAATTTGCCCAGCTGGCTGGATCCAAGACACGGGGGCCATGGTAGAGGTCAATACCACAAGCTGCCCTCATCCTGCTGCTTGGAGTTGTCCTGTTGATAGTGGGCATAATTAAACATTACATGAAATCGGTTGATTAGATTTGGCCCTGGTCTCTGTCAATCAGATTAATTAGAGTGGCCAGAGATTTGGCATACTCATGGAAAAATCACCAGAATCCAAGATGGTGTAAAAATCAGGGGTGAATATTGTTGGGGGAAAATTCTTGACATATCGCTAATGCTTCTGCACATCCCGTGAATAATGCAGTAATTGTCTTTCTCCAGGACTATCTATAAAGCAAGGACATTTATAAAGCAAACAGATAGAGACAGCGTTTTCCTTCAGAAAAAAAAAAGATAATTTGCTTATATTTTCCTGGAGCAAAGGGCAGGCATGCTTATTGTCCATTGTAAAAGATTTGGGTTCCCTAAACTCTGGAATGCTTTCCTGTAGCATATCCATCTGGGGCAATCCCCATCATTTCTATGGGACTTGAGAGGAAGGGAAACTTATGCAAACACACTGATGCTCATGCTGCTTGCTGTTCTGTGAGTAATGAGAATCCATTTTCTCTGACCCAGGAATCTCCTATCTTCTGTCAGCATCCATGAAACTGTGACAGGCTAACTTGTAGCTTGCAAATAGATAAAATCTCAGACGTTTTTAAATTCCTAACAGTCATGGAGTGTGATTTTGGATAAGCCATTCTCTCAAAAATAAAAAACATTAAAAATTAAAGAATTCTGTAAAAATCTAAATATTTCTAAGCTATATGTACAAAGCTATTTTTAGTTCATTTGTCCTTTTCACTTTTTGAAATTCCTTCATTAATTCATTCTTCAATTTTTACCAAACACTACTTAAGAAGTGATATAACAAAATAAAAAACACAGCAGATTCTTACCTGCCAGAGCATACGATCTGGTGGTGAAAGCAGAGATACCGGTCATCATATAGTATAGGGATCGCGGAGCATATCCTATGATAAGTGTCATGAAATAAAAGGGCAGGGAGCTAAGAGAAAGAATATCAGAAGGGACCCTCATCTAGTCAAGGGTAGGGGGGTGGACTGACCAGACAAGACATCACGGAGGAAGGGGCAGTGAACTGAGATACGAAAGGCATGTGGCAGTGAAGTAGGTGACAGGGTAGGGAAGAGCCAACAGCCTGTGCAGAGGTTCTGAGGGAGAGGATCTTGGCATACCCCACTGTGGTGGAAGCAAAAAAGCTGGGGATAGAGGTTCCAAATGAAGCTGGGGAGTAAGGCAGAGGTCAGATCAGGCATAGTCTTGTATTCAATCATTTTAAGGCTTGTAGCTTTATCCTATGACCTGTGGGGGCCATTAAAGTGTCCGTCTCATAAGCAGACAGAGTAAATCTTCATCTCTGTCATTCACCACAATGTTCCTAGCACCTGGAACCGTGCCTGGCACATAGTAGGTGCTCAATAAATATGTGTTCAATTACTTGAAAGAAAAGATACCACTTGCATTTTTGAAAGATCACTTTGGCTGCTATGTGAGAATGGATTGAAGGAGATGAAATCAGAGCAGGAAGACAAGTTAGGAGACTATTGCACATACTAGTGATAAATTAAGTAGCTTGGACTCGGGGGCAGCAGGAGAGATGAAGCATGTATTCCCTTACACACACCGTTTTGGTTTCATTAATCCTTAAGGATCTAGTCAACTTGGAAAATCATGAAAGATCATCAAATACAATGTAACTAATAAAGATAGTATGTTACATGATGCTTGGAGTCTTTGGGAGTAACCACTAGTTATGTGTGGCTACTGGTGCCAGCAAAGACAGTGAAAGAGGAAATTTGCTTATGAAGACAAAGCAAAAATTGGTAACTGAAGACACATGCAGTAAAACCTCCAGGCTCAGCAGAATAAACCCCAGAGCCTTTCCTCTTCCAGACTTCATCAAACTGTCTCCCCAGCCTGACGGCCCCTTGCTCCCCACAGGTCACAGCAAGTTGGAGCCTGACCTTGCCATTGCGGGGAGCCCTTTTGCTCCTGTGAGGATGGTAAGCATTTTCAGTGTATGTATGTGTGTGTGTGTCTGTGTGTGCACATACATGCTCAGCCCAGCTCGCATCCTGGTAAGAAAGAACTCCTTCCCTCAGCTTATGAGAGAGAATGTTAAGTGAGTATGTGAGAAAGAGGGGCATTAGAGGTGAGAGAATAGGACAGTGCCCCTCCAGGTCACATGGCATCCATGCCCCCTGTGTCACATGCCACACCATTGGGCATGGCAATTCCTGAAGCAGAAGTTGCAAAAGAAGTGGCCAAGGTTATTCTGGTGCCACAGTGGTCTCCATCTCCCAGCCCAGATGGCCAGGAATGCTACGAGGCAGAGAACTTTGCTCCCGGTGGAGAGCTGAGCACTTGGCACCGCTTAATTCATGACCACTCATGCCCACTGGACAGGTTCGCTTTCCCTTTTGAAGGGCAGGGGGTAGGCAAGGGCCCTAGAGAGAGAGTTCTTATTGAGAGACAGTGGAAAAGCTGTTCTGGTTCTGTCTCAGCCCTGCTAGGCACGCCCACAGCCCAGGTGGGGGCTGAGCAGGCAGGAACACTGAGCAAAAGCCAGTGGGGCAGAGATTTAAGATATGTGTCAAATGACAGAATAATACTGACGGAAATCAGCCACCAAGTGGTCATTCATTTTAAATATTTCTTACAAAAGGAAGAAAAAGAAACTGTCAATGGTTATATTTAAACAATAGTCCACAAAAAGAACTAAACTAAAATGTATTATCATTCTGATGTCTCATGAGGTAGACAGCATGTTGTATGTGGCTACCTCTTTTTAAAGCTTTTCATGAAAAGTAATTACTTTAACTGATGCATCTGCTCCCAACTCATTCACAGTGAGTGGAGACTGGGGCTGCTACCTGTGACCTTAAATTTGCCTTTGAGTTAAAATTGTTTTCACCATCTTTAAGATGTTGGAACAACGTTCTGACTGTGATTTTCACTGTCTTTAAGTACCAGCTGCTATGCTTTGCTCCTTCTTAACCACCAACACCCAAGGGGCATCAGCCAGTATGGATAATGACATGTCCCAAAAGGGCAGCCTTGCACTTTCACCAGGGTTTGCATGGGAAGTTTCTGGGTGGTGCTACTTTCAGAATCTGCACCCAGATCCTGGGCAAGCCTCCCACATCCAGTTAATTAATTACCCAGGATCCCACTGAGTATGGAATTACAAGCTTCTGAAATAACCATTCTCACTGTGTGGACATCTGAATTTCACAGTTATAGGTAGATTTTCACACCTATTTCATAGCTATTTATGATATCAAAAGTGAAGGTACACAGAGAACTTTGAGAAATAAATTGTTTTAGTCTGTTTTGTGCTGCTATAATAGAATGCTACAGACTGGGTAATATAAAAACAGTAGAAGTTTATTTGACTCACAGTTCTAGAGCCTGGGAAGTCCCAGTTCGAGGGGCTGCATCTGGTTAGGGCCTTCTTGCCCCTTCATAACATGGCAAAAGGTAGCACATGGCAAGAGGGCTTGAGAGAGAAAGAGCGAGAGGGCCAACTCACTTTTATAACAAACCCACTCTTGAGATAATGGACCCACTCCCACAAAAATTACATCAATCCATTTGTGAGGGTAGAACCCTCATGACCTAATCACCTCTTAAAGGTGCCATTTCCCAACACTGTTGCAATAAGGATTACATTTCAAACACAGGAACTTTGGGGGACATATTCAAACCATCAGAGAAATTAATAGTTGTTTTCTTTTTCTGGGATCCACCTTATTGTTTGAAACTTTTTCTCCAGCTCTCTTACTTCATACCAGATGCCTGTGACTTGAGAGGCATTCCTAACCAAGTGGTCTTGTCAGGGTTTTAGATAAAAGACATGTAGGAGGCCTGCCCTGCACTCATTTAAGCTAAGCAGTTATTAGGTGAATGTGATGGTTAAATTTTATGTCAACTAGACTGGGTCATGGGATACCCAGACATTTGACTAAATGGGGGTGTGTCTGTGAGAGTGTCTGGATGAGATTAATGTTTGAGTTAGTGGACTGAGTAAAATGGACTGTCCTCCCTAATGTGGTGGGTTCATCAAATCCATTCAAGACTTGAGTAGAATAAAAGGCTAAGAAATAATTCCTTGGCTGGGTGCGGTGACTCATGCCTGTAATCCCAGCACTTTGGGAGGCCAAGGCAGACAGATCACGAGGTCAAGAGACTGAGACCATCCTGGCCAACATGGTGAAACCCCGTTTCTACTAAAAATACAAAAATTAGCTGGGCATGGTGGTGCACGCCTGTAGTCCCAGCTACTTGGGAGGCTGAGGCAGGAGAATTGCTTGAACCCAGGAGGTGGAGCCTGCAGTGAGCGGAGATCATACCACTACACTCCAGCCTTGCAACAGAGCAAGACTCTGTCAAAAAAAAAAGAATTCTTTTTCTCTAAGTAACTGTCATTGAGCTAGGAGATCAATCTTCTGCCTTCAGATTGGACAGAATTTAGACCATTGGCTCTTGTGACTATCAGGCCTTCAGACTTGGGTTGGAACTATACCATGGGCTCTTCCAGATCTAGATTTCTCAGCTTCCATAATTGCATGAGCTAATTCCTCATAATACATATTTATTTTTATATATAAGGATTTATTATATATACACATATAAAATACATGCATATGTATATATGTTATATATATAGGTTCTGTTTAATGTTTTATATATATACATATATACATATATACACATATACACATATATACATATATACACATATACACATATATACATATATACATATACATATATACATATACATATATATGCATATATATAAAACATTAAACAGAACCTATATATATAACATATAATATATACATATGCATGTATTTTATGTGTATATATTATATATATATTATATATACACATATACATGCATATATATAATATATACACATATATGCATATATATAATATATACACGCATATATGTGTGTGTGTGTATATATATATATATATATATATATATATATTTGTTCTGTTTCCCTGGAGGACCCTAATACAGTGTGCTGCTCAAAGTTTTTGAGAAACATCTTCAGTGGCTTCCTATAAACTCAAATGCCTACAAACAAATGTAAATGAATGTCACAGCAAGAGAGGGTATGCCGTGTCCTCAGGTCCCAGCCAATCTCCACTCCAATTGTCTTTTGCTGTGTCAAATTGTGGGTACCACCATTGCCATATTTTTCCAGTTTTTAAAAGGAATCAAAAGTCTGGATATTTTTGTCCATGTTGGCAACTACTGCAAAAAATGTTTAAAACCTTGTGTGAGCCAACAATTCTAGTCTGTGAGCTAGATCTGGGCCCTGGCTGCCAGGGTGCACTCTCTGCTTTAAGGAGGTAGTGGGAAATCTTTTTGGATGGTAGGAAAGGACATGTTTAGAAATATTTCCCTATTTCTAAACTTGGAGTGGCTGCTACAACTGCTGCATGACAGCATTAATTCTTGCATTGGTTGTTTGTCTGAGGCTTCTATACAAAGCAACTCCACAGCATGTTTACATTATCCCATGAGACCATGGAGAGGAGCAAAAGACAATAAATATTATAATCTCCATGCTTATATATTTTAAATGGAGTTAAACACTCTTCAGATGGTGTGCCCCATGGAAAGGTGATAGAAAAAGTTGCACCATTTCAACTAAATGTCAGGCCTATATTCTCCCCTCAGTATGAACTTCACATTAGTCATTCCTGATGCATGTTGTTTCTCCTACTCTTTCACAAACACACTGACATTTGGCTAAAAATGCTATCAATGCTGGGTGAGGGAGAGACATAAATATTAATTTCAGTCAACACCCCCATGAATCATTTAAAAACTATTTTTCCTATGAATTGCTTGATTTTTTTCATTCTGATTACTATATTTTTTTAACTCACTACTGCTCTTGAAAGAATGTCTTTCCTGTTCTTCAACTTCCAAAGATTTTCTTCTCCCATTAAGCTGTACCTCCAGTGCCCCCAAGGAGTGGTGCAAGGTGTAAAGGAATACCCAGATGGCTCTGAAGATGTTTGTTATAGGGCCCTCCATTGTATTCAAATTAATGTCACCACATTAGCATGGGCTGCCCTTTGGTGCTCATTTGTTCCTGCACTCCGGGGGTTAAAGAAGCCGCATGCTTTCCAGATGTTCAGTAGGTCTTATAAATGAAAGATTAGCGATTTTTCGCTGCTGCTGCTATTTCCTTGAGTCCCTGTTAAAGCTGATATTTTCTTTAGGTACTTGCTCAGTGTCTGAGTCAGAAGAATCTTCTCCCTGAGGTATATCAATCAATAGCGTGCACAAGAAGAACAAAATGTAGAGGAGGGAGACATGGTCTGTATTAATTTGTTGACTACGATAGTCTTCCAATGACTGATATACGCAACCTGTGGTTGCATTCCACCTTTTGAAATGCAGATCAAATACATGTGACATTTTTCTCAGTCTAAAAAACCAAAAAACAAAAAAAACAAAAAAAAAACTCCTTTTTTGGTGAGAATATCTTTTGTTAGTGCTATGACAGGAATATCAACTTTATTTTCAAATCCGGCCTATCTTTCTTCCAAGCAAGAGATGTAAGTGTCTGCAATATGACTGTATCTAACTCAAAGATGCCACCAACAATGTCTTCCCAGGAGAGAAATAGGAAAAGTACCCAAAATGGATTCCAATAAATGAATGCCAGTTTAGCATCTACCATGCTTGCCTTTTGTATACAGAGACACTCCCAGGTTCCTGCTGTTCTAAGAGCTGTTCAAGCATTGAATAAGTAGAGTTCCAATGAGACGAAACCTTCTGCCTCAGCTGGTGTTTAACAAGCTGTTTTCTTGCTACAACTCAGTCAGGATTTCTCTAGCCTTAGCAGAATTACATTTCACATCTCCTCCTAATACATTCCCAACACTCCTTTTACCAAGCAGGAATAAAGACACACACCAACTTAAATAGAAAAGAAAAGCCTGGAAAATGCAATTAGTCTTGCTACTACCTTTTTGACAATGGAGAAGAAAGTGGCTGATAGGCTGAGAGGGAGCTACTGGCCTTTAAGGACTGTGGTATCTAGGATGGAATCTTTATGGAAGCTTGAGCTCCTGCAATGGGATGTCCAATATGACCCCCTTTTGAGGTAGAGATAACATGGAAGGAGGCTTGAGATGACAGTAACACTTGACGTCTTAATGCAAACCTAGGTTAGTTTGAAGGACGGGAGTCCCAGTCACATACACATGAAATAAAGTTTTTGAAAGACAGCTAGAGACAAAATATTTATAATATACATATAAGATTGACATTTTCAAGGATGCCAGCTCAGAATGAATTGCCATGGCCACTGTAGGGGAGGAAAAATCTTTTTCCTTCCAGTCTCCTAGTTTCAATGGCTTGGCTCCAAGAATCAAACTGATAAAAGACATTAACAAAAGGAAAAACAGTTTAATTATGTACATGAGCAAGTAAGCGTGGGAATTTCACAAAGAAATAAGACTCGAGGAGATGGCCAGTTGATTGAAGCTTATAGATGTTTGAAGCTGGCATACCATCATAAGCTGAACAAAGAAAAGGGATTTGGGGCTTCTGGGCAGGGAAACAAGTTTTGGGAAGGGCAGAGGAGGAAACGAATGGTAAGTAAGGGTCATCTTGTCTTGCAGATAAGAATCTCCCTGGTGATGAGAGAGGTCTTGGGAGTAGCACTCTTCCCCATAGAGAGACAATGTTACTCATGGAAATTTTCTTTATAAATATAAATTTCCTTTAAAAAAGGGGTGGGGGGAAATCTTTATTTTTAGACAGGAGGAGGCAAAGAACTTTTCCTGGGTCTGCAGGTTCCCAATTGTCTTTAACTCAAAATAATCCTTATACCAAAGTGGCACATTTCAAGATGGCATATTCTGGTACCGTTCATCCCTAAAACCACCAGCATGGTCAGGCTGGTGCCCAGAGAGAACCTTCTGAGGGGAAAGTTTTGTGGTTTTCTCAAAGGCACACATAATGCTGGCCCTTGAAAAGCAAACCTGCAAAACAGAGGTAAACATGGAGGATGACCAGGGTCGGGGAAGGAGACTACTGTACGGGGTGAGAGTACAGGGGAAAATAATGCCAAGCCATGCAGGAAAAAGTGGGAAATACCTGCAGGAGACTGGCGGCTTTGGCTTCTCCCTAATCTGCCAGGGTTCTCCAGGGACAGCTTGTTACAGGAGGAATTTCCCAAATGACATCAGCCCTATCTGACACAGAGAAGGCTTGGAGCAGACACCTGAAGGAGAGGCATTCAGTTGATTGACTCAATAACTGAGTTGTGGAGGTGAAGCTGATCGAGAAGAGTTCAAGGGGAGCCAAGAAGAAGTGATACAATGGAAACCAGAAAGGAAAAGCGCAGTGGTCAAGGACAGATAGGAAAGTCAAAAATAAGGTGCACCCTAAAAAGATCTTAGAAAACTGCCTTCTGATATTTCGACTGTAAAAACGACTGGGCACATATAAGAGCAGAGATAGGCAAACTCACCTTAAGGAAACAGACTTGCATCAGGTTAGCACAAGTGAGTCAATATATTAATATAGCTACAGAAATCGTGTGTAAAACAAAGAGAGGTTGTTTGGCAAGAGAAATTTTGTAAGTGTTAAGTTGCTTGAGCGAGGAATGCAAGCATTTGAAGAACAAATCAGTACATCAAGAACTAAGAGACCCAGACCCAAGTTAACCTGCTCCTTTAAGGAGAAGGAGCGAATGAATTATTCTTCACTTGTAAGATGTGAGCAAGTCTGGCATCCCTCAGGCCTCCAGGAATCCCAATTACCTGCTCTGCACTAGATCACAAGCCTGGAGCTCCTACAAGTTGCCATGAAGAGGACTTGAACCTACAGTTGTGGTGACCGCTACTCTCCCCAAGGTCTCTTCTTGCTCTCCAGGTGGAAAAGCGCATGCTCAGGTCTTGCTTCTCATCTCAATTTTCATTAGTGGAGAAAATTTTAAATGATGATCATAATTCAGTGATAGCCATTTCAAACTCTTTCACTGCTAGAGAATGCTAGAATATCTTAAAGCAGGAGGTAAGAGCTGGCTTTCACCTCTCCATCAGAAAACCAAGCAGTTAACATCATTATCATTTGACGAACCATTACCACCACTGCCACGTGATAGTGGAAATTTAAACTGACACTTCTCACTTGCTTCATTAGTAAACCATGTAAGCACTTAATAATGATAATCTGTATTTTATTTTTGCCTTGGTCCTAGAATTCTTCTCATCCTCTGTGCTTTCCAGCAGGAAGTAGATGCAGTCCCTGGTACACTTGTAAGTTTCACAACCAAACCTATTTAAACACAGATGTGCTAGTGGATTGATTTCCTTCTCTTTTCTGGTACAAAATAAAGTAACAGAAGGGGAAGGAGAGAAAGGAACTGATAAAATATCCAATTCAACCCAGAGAAGCACACTGTCTAAAGAGGCAGCTTTGTTCTGCCAATGGCCCATATCTCAAGCAGATACTCCAGAACAGAATAAATTTCTCTAACTCAAACTTCCAACATGTGGCATATATACCTTTATCATCCTACCAGATTCCAATAAGCTTCACTCTTAGGATGTCAGTTCTGTTCCAGGAAAATGTTACCACAGTTAGGTGAAGAAGAAAAGCACTATCTTTGATCCTTTGCTAAGTTACTGAGACCCGACGCATAGACAGTACCAAAGATGACCAGGCACACAACCGCCCTGAATGGAGACAGTTGTGGAGCCTCTGTGGATACAATACAAATAACCAACAATACAGGTTACTGATTTCATAAAGCCAATACCTGCCAATCCTAGTATTACGTACATGACAGATCAATGGGTTATCACACTGGATCATGAAGATGAAGTAGAGTTTATTTAGAAGGAATAAGAACAGGTAATGGGCATCTCTTCCACGTTGAGTAGCAGCATGTTATTTGAGCCACCTCTCCTTCTCTACCCACCTGCTTTCTCCTCCAGCTCCAGGGCTAGGTCTTGTTGGCATAAGCCAATTAGCACCCAACACTCCCTAGACATCCAATTTAGCAATTAGTTGAGATATAGAACTTAAATTAATTCAACAAAGAAATGCCTGGGGTTTATTTTCATGGTTTTGAGACATCTCTTCCCACCCCCCAGCCCCCACCCCCACACACACACAAAAAAGCTCACTTGTGTTTTCTCTCTCTCTCTGTCTCTTCATGGATAATGAGTTACATTGCCACACCAATGGCATTGGCACCTATTCTGTGACTATGAAGGGATCCAGTCCTAATATGAAGCTGATAATGTAAAAGGTGGAACAGAGAGAAGGAAAGAGACTGGGTCCTGGTTTATGCTTTTGGACCATTGAAGACACCCTGAAGATACCCTACTTACAGACTATGCAAATACGGGAGCCAAAAATTGTGTTTTATTGTTTAACCCAGTGGGAATGGGGGTTTCTGTCCCTTAGAACCAAAAGCATCCTGGCTGACACTCAGAAGACAAGTCAGAACACAACTCACTTGGGCCCAGCAGGAGAGGGGATCCCTCTCTTGATCCCCTTTAATGTCGGCTACATCTTTGCAGAGACAAAGACACAAGAAGGAGGGGATGGAACGTCATAAGAGCCACCTGCCCATCAGCTCCTCTTCAGCCTCCTCTCATTTTATTAAACTGGGAAGTAGTAGTGTGGGAATAAGCAGGGAAAGAAGAGAGCGAGAGGCAGGATACAGAGGAAAGGCACCAACTGGAACATGCCCGCATCATCCCTGGGCTGCCCTGGAGCTTTCTATATGAGCATTAACTGATTACACAAAGCCCTTCCTGGAACTGCTCTACTCTTCTGGGCCGAATACTTAAAGGTGTAAATATTAGTATATAAAACTGAGTTTAATGTGTTTTCAAACATAATTTGAAGTGTAATTAGCTTTGTTATTCATATTATCAGGAACCTCAAGCTTTGGTTTCCCAAGAGAAATCTGTGTCCTGCACCCATCATAGTAGGAGCTAACTGGCCCATTCTAATAGTTCCCCTGCCCAAATGCAGAGAAGCATCGAGGGGCAGTTAAAATCATTGGAATTGCTGGCTCAGGCTTCACATGATCAGGATAAACAAACCTCTAGCCAAGCAAGTAAAAAACTTGGTTTGCTTTATTTCTCTGCTTTCCCAAGTCACAGCAGTCAAGTTTTCAAGCCAAGATGCCTCTCAAATACCTTCTGAGGATTTTAACTCTTCTTTTTTCTTTTCCCTGGGGATCCCAAGTATAGTAATTTCATAGTCTGTCTCCAATAGGTACTGTGACATTTTCCCGTTATTATTATTGACACCTAAAAGAACCTATCCTCAAACACATTCATTGTCTTTTCCAGCCAGGGTGTGGGAAATCCATCTGCCACAAGCACAAGTAGAAACTTGTAAAACAGGGCGGTTGCCATAAGGCATAAAGAAACTTATGACAGAATTGGAAGGCAAGAAAGGTTTTGAGACAAAGTCAGTAAACGCCATCTGTGTAGGCCAAGAGTCATTCCAAAATTTGGGAGCCGCTAAGAAAGACAGAGGGAGACGAGGACAAGAGCGGGGGAGAAGCTTAGGAATCAGGCCGTGTGCTCTTAAGGGGGACTGAGAAATCATCAATTTCTTCCACACAGTTGGCTGATCAACTAGAAGGAGAGTAGGTCAGCCACAAGCCATCCCTTTAATACTCTCACTTAAGTCACTCAAGAACTCAAAACGCACAATTTGTGCCCTGTGGAAGGAATCTTTCGCCTTGTCCTTTCTTCTGCCATTAGACAAAAAGTGTGTGAAACCCTTATTGACACAGGAATTAAGTTATCATGATTTTGGAGAACTTTAAAATGGCCTGGGAGAATTCTCAATGCTGAAAGCCTCATTTCCACTAATCCCCTACATTTCCTTCTT
Organism: Homo sapiens; assembly: GCF_000001405.40. NCBI lineage: Eukaryota > Metazoa > Chordata > Mammalia > Primates > Hominidae > Homo > Homo sapiens. The sequence continues at coordinate 24,736,390 of NC_000018.10, read as the reverse complement.
TTATTGGCATTTTCCTGGCTACCTCACTCCTATTCCTTCCCTGTTTTATTTCTTCTTTTCCTATCGGAAGTGTTATAGATCACCTCTGGGCAGCCCTTACATCTGACCCTTCTATGGCAACATGCTCATGCTGAGCTTCAGCAAGAATGGGCCAATAAACACACACAGCACACACACAACACACACACACAAACACACATACAACACACACACAAGCACACATACAACACACACACACAACACACACAACACACACAACACAAAAAACACATACAACACACACAACACACACACACAACACACTCAACACACACAAAAACACATATACAACACACATACAACACACAAACGCATACAACACACACAAACACATACAACACATACAAACACACACAATACACGCAAACACACATACAACACACACAAGCACATACAACACACACGAACATACATACAACACGCACAACACACAAAAAACACACATGCAACACCCACATAGCCCAAACATACAAAAAACATACAACACAAAAAAACACACACATACCCACAACACAAAAAACACAAACACACACATACAACACACACAACACACATACAACACACACATACCCACAACACAAAAACACACAAACACACAAAACACACACAACAAACACACAAAAAACACAATACACACAGCACACAAAATGCACACAAACACACAAATGACACACAAACACACACACAACACACACAACGCACAAAAACACACATACACACACAAAAAAATACATACAACACAAAAAAACACATAACACACAAAACACACACATACTACACATATACAACACACAAAAACACATACAACACACGCACAGCTCACACACAAAACACACACACAACACAACACGCATGTACTTCTGCCTTTTATGCCCTCAACCCAAACCTGCTTCAACAGACAACTACAGAGATCTTATTGCTGATTCTCAGTGAAGAGGGGACAGAGAGCCTTCCTCCCAACTAGCCTTCAGCCCTGGACACCAGCCTGTCTACAAGAGTAGCAGTAGCAGAAGCTCACCTGTGTGAGTTCCAACTGGGCCCCAGGCAAGGTGCACTGGTGACCCTGCATTGTTGCATATATTTAAAATGCATTACAACATCCCAAGAAAAAAAGCACTTATTATGGACCCCGTCCTGCAGTTGATGAATGTGGAACTCCAGGCAGTTAATGCATTTGCCCAAGGTCTCGGAGCTAGCAAGTGGTGAGGTGGAATTAGAACCCAGGTCTGTGTAACTCCCTAGCATGAATTCTTTACTTCCAAGCTGCCTTTGCCTTTATTCCGTAAGCAGCAGCCCTGGGAACACCCAGGAAAGAGCCAGGTTGAGGCATGTTTGGGGGCAATGGCATCTTTTTGATAGAAACAAGAAGATTGAGGGTGCGGTGCTGGACGTTCCCACGGACAACGGGCCTGACAGGGCTCATTCATCATGGCCAAGCCAGGTGACAGTGGGGTTCCACCTCACCTCCATTTAACACTATGGGAGGTTACACATTAGAGATTTGGAATCACAAAACTCCCCAGCCCCTGATAAGCCCAGCCAAGCACATAGTTTGCAGGTTATGTAAGCATGTAGAACAACTTCAGACCAGAGTTGTTTTCTTCTCCAACCCCTCCCTCCTCTGCTTTAAATAAGGTCAAAATGAAGTTATTTCATCCAAAAACTGTAAAAATAAAATACTAAATGTCAAGCAACTTAGGCATTTTAAAGTAACAGATTATATTCTGCATTAATCCACAGGGCTGTCTTACAAAGAGAAGCTCTTCTCTTCCCTATCACTATTTTCTCACACTGTTCTCCCAGTTACTATTATGGCTCACCCCACACTCAAATGGTAACATTTAAATTGATCAAGCATAGAAACAGACATCATCTCAGTCCCAAGAATCTCCCCCACCTAAGTCAGAGACAGCCGCTGAAAATGAGCTGCTGGAAGGCTCGCGGTGGCGATTCTGCACTGCCTCTTTCTTTTGTGCATTGTCTAAAGTGCATGCACACCTTTCAGTGCAGACAAAACGGTCTTCTTTATCTATAAAGGAGCCACTTAGATCAACCAGACTGGCCACAGGATGTCACTGTTACTCCACACACACACACAATAGCAAGTGCGCGTTTCCACCAGGGGTTGGATCTGGCCCGGGACCTGGGCTCCCCTCAGCCCTGCCTGTCACAGAATTGTCATCCCTTCAGGTGGCACACCACAAGCCAGCAGCGCGTGCCCTGTAAAAGCCATGTAGCCTGACCCATTGTCTCAATATTCGCATTGTTCTGTATCAAAGGGGACAGGAAGAGAAAGAGAAGCGAAAAGAAGAAAAGGATCAGCGTGGTCCCTCACATCACGGGTTCTCCAAGAGTTGGACTTTGAACATTTGATGACCTTGGATAGAGCCCAGGTCCTTTTCATATATTTTATAGTGTTATATAAGGATAAGAACATCTTTTGCTTATCTTTATTTTCTAAAATTTCTGGAAAGAATATGGAATACTTAAGCTGTTCTTAAGCTGTCTTAACTCTTCATGCGGATGCTGCTTTTCATTGGAGCCTGAGATGAGGCCAACAATGGTTAAATGCTTTCCTTTTATCCCAACAAAGCACCTGCCTCTTCCCACCACCCATTCCTCAAATGTCTCCTAGACTCAGGGGCAAGCCAAAGTCCAGGAAGAATGCATGCTCTGCAGCTGGCAAGCAAATGCCACTTCAGAGTTGGCATCATGGAACTCTTATCAGGGAACATGCCAGTAGCCCCTGCTGGAGCAGGAGAGTCACCTCGTATTCATGGCTGGCAGCTATTCTTCCTTCCCTGCTAGAGCCCCTCAGAGGGATGGTTTTCTATTTATTTTATTTTATTTTTGAGACAGAGTCTCGCCATGTCACCCAGGCTGGAGTGCAGTGGCGTGATCTCGGCTCACTGCAACCTCCACCTCCTGGGTTCAAGCGATTCTCCTGCCTCAGCCTCCGGAGTAGCTGGGACTACAGGCGCATGCCACCACGCCCAGCTAACTTTTTGTATTTTTAGTAGAGATGGGGTTTCACCGTGTTAGCCAGGATGGTCTCAATCTCCTGACCTTGTGATCCACCTGCCTCGGCCTCCCAAAGTGCTAGGATTACAGGCGTCAGCCACTACGCCTGGCCAGAGGGATGGTTTTCTTTCCATGGCTCCTCCATAGTCTAATTCCCCTTTGCCCCCATTTTCTACCATTATCCTCAGTGTATACTCTACAAAGTCATTGGCACAAAATGGTTAAAGCTAGAATCATAGATTACCACAGCCAGTGAGAAGGGGTGTTTTGGGTAGCCAGGGAGACATTTAACAATGCAGCATAAAAGGTAATCACAGAACAAAGGTACTTTGACTCATAAAGATGGGGAAAACCTTTTGCCTTAAAAAAGTGACTATAATAAAGCCTGGAAGTAGCTTTCATTTCAATGGAAGTTACAGCAGTTGAAACCTCCCTGCCACATGTCAGCATTACTTTAGCTACACCATAGCAGCAAAAAGAATTAAAACAAATAAAGCAGATAGTTTCTTGCAGAATGAGCATTTAAGAAAGGAAACTGATTGTTCCAGCATTTGCAAGGATCTGTGCAGTAGCTAAGAACTTGAGCTACGTAAATACAGTTGATGGAAGCTTTGTTAATCTCCACACTGTCTCTCTGCATATTGATATCAGTATAGGAAAACAGTTAGTTATTTTGACTGGAAGTGGCTTGGATCAGTGTGAGGAGTTGACCACCTCGAGATCTAGGAGAAACTCGGTAGGCTAAAGGGAACCAAATAAAACACAAAGAAAATCCAGACCAGGACAATTGCCTTAACTATACTTGCCTTAGGATTTGAGCAATTCCCTAATGGTAATGGTTTGAAATAAATGCCAGAATAAAATCTGTCCAATAATTGCTTTTATTTCACATTCATATGGCAATTTTTTTGTATCTACATTGCATTAAATACAAAGACAATGATGAACAAGGTAGCATATTCCCTGCCCTCAAGAGGTTAATTAGAGAGACAGACAAAAATGCACTAATACAGTGTAGGAGGGACTGTGTGTAATAGAGTCTGGCTGGCCTGTGTCCCCAGATCCTGGGAGCTAACCTCTAAACCCTTGGGATTCTGAGTGATTGGAATGTTTGTTATTCATGATGCACCCCTCAGACCACACCTGCAGCTGACACTAACAAGATGACTCAGGACTGGGGCTGGCCACGCCAAAAAGACCAACGGTATGATTAGAAGGTTGGTGCATGAGTCTTAAGATATCAGCCTGACCTTCAGGGAAAGGATGAGGCCTGGAGACTGAGTTCAGCTGCCTGCCAATGAGCGAATCAATCAGTGTATGTAATGAAGCCTCAGTTAACACTCTGGAAGCTGAGCTTGGGAGATCTTCCCTGCTCGGCAATACTCTCTGTGCATTGTTACTCATTGCTGGGAAGGTAACACATCCCTGAGGACACTGGAAGCTTCAAGTTTGGAAACCTCCCAGACTTCTTCCTGGTTAAATACGGCGTTTTCAGGGATTTCTGTGAGTCTCTCTAATGAATCATCAAGACTGGGGGGGCCTTGAGGGGTGGAGACCCCTAAATTTGTAGCCAGCTGGTCTAAAGTGAGGGTACCCCCAAAGACCCCCAAACTTATGGCTGATGTCAGAAGCCTTGGGCAGACTTCTATCTGTACTGAGGACTGTGCTCCATCTAAAAGTTTGGTCTGACTCTGGATGGGCTGGAACAAAGGAAATTTGGGGTGCTTGAGGCACATGAAGGAGGCATTTGATCCAGACTGTGGGTGGTGGGGAAGAAACGCCTGGAAAGTCTTTCTGGAAAAATTATCTCTGGCACCTGGAGGAAGGATGATTAAGCATTTGAGCTCAAAGTAACCCTTGAGAAAAGCAGACTCAATCCCAAAGAGGATGTTTCATTCTCAACAAAGCGCTGTCTTTGTTTCAAACACCAAGTCATAGAAATACTTCTGGTTTTGCTCAGGAAGTTTCCCTGTCCACAGTGTGCCCAGCCAACCGCTAAAGAAGGAGTTCAGTCTCCCAGAGAGGACAGAATAGACAAACAACTAACCACACCCCAAAATGACGCTGTGACAGAGCAGGGGTGAGCTGCAGGTTACGCACAGGAATCAAGGTGAAGACAGGCTCACCCAGTCACACCCTAAACTACTCCTCTCGTGGAAGGAAGGGTTTATTAATTTCCCTTTGCAGAGAGAAGTTACTAGGCACTGAAAATTTCTAAAATGTATTCAAAGTAAACAGTAAGTTCTTAATACAGGGGGTCAGGCCATCAAAGTACTATATGGCAATGATTGTCCTCGATTACCTTTCCTGAGGGCTCTCATCCATGAGGTGCTTCTTGAGTAAATGCACAGTTTCTCCCTTCCCCCACTGCCAGTCCAGATATACTCTCCTCCACAAGCTGGTAAACATTCAAAGGAGAAAGTGACTGAAGAGACTAGGAGGAAGTGTAGACCCTGGATGGAGTGCTTCGGCACTGCATGCACTGCTCCATACTGAAGGATCTATTTATGTGTGAATTTATCACCTCAGTCTTACTCTACATGAGAGCAGAGACCATTGTACCCTCAGCCTCCAGCACTCTGGCAAGGCAGTTACTCAGTAAATGTCTGTTCAATCAAATGAAGTTAAATAATAACTCTAAGCAGAAAATAAACCTCTAGTAATATCGTTTCTGATTTCTGAACATGGTCCTGTTTTGAGTTAACTCCCATTGGAGCAGGACACTCCAGTGAGTCTCCTTCCTCCTCCCCAACCCCATCACAAGCCCACCTGCCGTTGCTGAAATGAGTGACTGCCTGCTCAATCTCCAGATGCCCACATGAGGGGAAACACTTACATCATCCCTTTTCTCCTCCTCATCTGCAATTTGTCCCTCATCTTCATTCAATTATTCAACAAATATTCACTGAGCACCTGGATCTACTTGCTGGGAACATAGCTGGGAATAACCCCATCCTAACAGAGCTTGCCTTCTTCCGGAGAAAACAGTATAAATAAGTAGCATACGGAGTATATTAAACAATAATAAATGCAAAGGGCATAAAGCAGAGATAGTGGCAAGGACACAATTGGTGGTGAGGGGTGCAATTTTAGAATAGCCAGAGGAGGGCCACGCATTGGAGCAAAGAGCTGCAGGAGGTGGGGCGTGAGCGACATGGACTCCAAGGAAAGAGCATCCATGCAGAGGACCCAGTCAGTGCACAGATGCGGGGCGAGAGCATGCCTAGCATAAAGAAAAGCAGAGAGATCAATGCAGCAGAAACAGAATGAGGAGATGAGAGCAGAGAGGAAACAGAGGCAGCTAAGAGTACAATGTAGCAGATTTTACTCTGAATGACATAGACAGCCATCAGAAGGGTTTTCAGCAGAGTGCTATGATCTGATGTGTTTTAACAGGATCATGTAAGCTGCTGGGCTGAGAGGGATCGGAGGCAGCAAGGGAGACTGGCTAGGGGCTACTGTAGATGTCCAAGCAACAGATGTGGACAGCTGAGACCAAGGTAGCAGCAGGGAAAGTAAAGAAAATGATCAAAACCTGGGTATAATTGGAAGGTGGAGATGACCAGATTTGGTGACAGATCAGATACGGGATGTGAGAGAGAGCAGTCAAAGACGGCTCCAAGGTTTGGCCCAAGCTGCCAGAAAGAAGCCACTTTTTGAGATGAAAGATGAAGAAGGCTAGGAAAGAGCAGACATGGGAGGAAAATATCTGGAGCTTAGTTTGGGGATTACTAACTTTGCGATTCCTGTCAGGCATCCAAATGTTTCCTCCTCCTGATGAGGAGGCAATAATTATATGCATATATATTTATAAATATATATATATATATATATATATATATAGTGTGTGTGTGTGTGTGTGTGTGTGTGTGTGTGCGCACGTATCTGCAACTTGGAGGACATGTCCAGGATGGAGATACCAGTTTTGGAATTAACAGCATATAGATGGCATTAACCAGAGAGGAGAAATGAATTCACCAAAGAAAAAAGGAGGAACAAAGGAGCCAATATCTGTCAATTTTCTAGAATGGCATCAAAACCAACATGCATCCCATGAATCACATTCCACTCCAATTCTTCCCTTGCCTGTAAGTCCAGGACAGAGCCCATTCTTTTCTGTGGCAAGAGAGGTGGACTTGAACTTGGGATGAAAATATGGTGTTGGCCACTCAGAATGTAGATTGTATCTGGTATGGGTAGTGTTCAGTGTATCAAGGTCTTAGGAAGCAAGTAATTATTTCAAGGGAAATGATAACTCAAAATGGTACTAAAATATCTTAAAACTAGAGTGAGGTTGAGGTGAAGAGTGAGGCTGCAGTTGGGAGGGGACAAACTGCATCCCTTTCTCACCTCCTATTCTTGCCTGTCTTTGCAAAACAGAGGCCATGGAACTGCTGCCTCTTCTACTTTCCTATAGGTGACTTTAAGCTCTACAGTTTCTCCACAATTCACATTATGTCATTCTTCTCAATAAAGCCAAAGTAGTAAATGCATACCTCGATGTGATTCAAAGCGGGTAACTTTGGGACAAATTTACAAGTCAAATAAAAAATAATTTGTTAATCCAAGTGTCCCAATTTTGGGCTCAAAAAAAAAAAATCTAACATCCTGGCAGCTCCATGCTCGGGGTGAATAACAACAAATAAAGAAGGCCTGAGGCTTGTTCTTAACTGTGATAGAGGCTGGGGGAAGGGGAAGGGATTGGGGGGGAGTCCTAGACAAATGCTCCATGAATTTGCTGTCTCTGGAAAAAGCATTAACTTTTCCAAAAAGAGAAAAGTTAAACAAGCAGTAGCTCATTTCAAGTAGATGAAGGACTTAAAAAGTGAGCATCACCTCTTCTTGGTACCTCTAAATGGCCAACTCTTGATCCTGGAATCACAGAAGCCATGATGGGGAAACCGAAGCCTAGAGCAGGTTCTCACTCAAAGCTGCAAAGCTGGAAAGCTCCAAGCCCTGTGTAGAGCCCGTACCTTCTGATCGCCAATCCAGAACATTCTCTACATCGCAGCAAATTGGTTCGAATTAAAAAAGAAAAAAAAAAAAACCTCATTTGGGGTTGAATCATGTGAAGCTAGAATTTAAACTTCCAAACTTTCTGCTCTGGATTAGAAAAAAAATGTTTTCCTAAGTGTTAAGAGTTCAAGGTGTCCCAGTGAAGAACACATGAAAGGTCTGCAGCAAGAGAGGTGGGAAATGAAAATACCTTCATTACTGACAGGGTTGATGGTGGAGGTCATGGTTTCTATCTGTGGGGTGGGCTTCTCCACCCCTGAGCCTCCAGATTGGACAGCCTCCCCCACCCATTCCTCTGCAGCACAGGGACGGAGTGGCCCCGTGAAATGTACAGATGGGGAGAAGGAACAGGTGCACCAGATGCAGGCTGTCTGCAGGTGGCCTCACTCCTGTAGGGGGCAGGGCATTGGGGACTGCGCTGCACAAACCCTGTTCTCCTTAGGAACTCACCAGGTGATGAAATCACTCCTCTCCTCTTCTAAGAGGAGCCAGAGGGGCATCGGGTGGTCAGGAGTGTAATTGCTAGTGAAGCTCCCTCGGTGGCAAGGACTTCAGGAGACTGCAAGCGGCATGAGGAGAGCAGAGCACTCCTCTCCCCTGATTGTGTTCAACTCCAGGAGCCACAGTCTCCTAAGCTGCGAGACAGACGCAGAAATATCTCAAGTGGCAAATGATGTGCAAAGCGATGGCAGGTGCCGCAAATGATAGTCATTATGACAGAGTAGAAGGAAAGGCGGCGGGAAGAGGGAGGTAGGAGAATAAGGGAGAGAAAAGGGGTAGAGAGAGGTGCAAACCAGCTAGGGATGTAGGAGGTGGAGAAGACCCCGCCAGAGAGCCTGCAGGTGTGAGAATGGCGCATGTGTGCAAGAGCAGGCAGCGCGGTTGGGACCCACATGGGACCGTGAAGACGTGATGCTGCAGGGAACAATGTGTGTCTGCAATGTGCTGCAGCCAGAGTCACTGTAACTTGGTGCTGTGCTGAATGAAGTGGAAGAAATGCTATTAAACTCGTGACTCCATGAGGTAATAATATTCCCAGTGAGCCCACGCCTACAGAAATACACCCAGCAAGCAGGCTTTCCAGGAGCCCCCTCTAAGTTATAACAAGCTGCCTGTATCCTGCTGCCAGGATGCAGAGAAAAAATGAAAGCCAGTAACCAACTACATTATAAACTTAGTGACCTGTTTCACCTCCGCTGGTTTAGTGACGAGCTCGGCTGCCTTTTGGGCACGGAGAAAGAAACATAAGGCTAGGATTAAGTTTCCTGGCTTTTGAAGTCATCAACAGTCAAAAATGCTTTCAGCTGGCATTTCTCTCTGTTATCCAGTCAGCTTTGATGGATTTATTTTCTTTGCCCTATTTCATGGAAGTTACTGGGGCCAATTTCCGCAAAGATGATTGCCAGGGAGTTTTTTTAGGTGGACACGAGGTGGCGCTGTCTCTCCAGCTGTTTCAGTACTTTTTAGGACGTGCAGACTGGTTTCATTAAAGTCCTTAGAGCTTTCTAACTCGCAGTGAGAGTGAGGGATTCAATGGTCAGAAAGACACTCACTTACTTTCTCCAATCTGTGGGTCTCCAAGCCCCGGGAGAGCGGTAGAATCCTTTATACACTTCACAGTCTCACAGTTTTATTTCTCTCTGTAGCAAGTGAAGCAATTAGAAAGTAGTGCTGTATTCAGATATTCATAGTCAGCAATTGGAATTCTTGCTCGTTTTAGACTCTGGCATTTTGATTTATAAAACAAGTCTTTCTTCTTACTACAAATTACCAATGACTTCCCAATTTATTTTTAAAAATTCTCTAACAGCGTGCCCTACTTGAGAACATTTCTATTTCTGCTAAAAGACCAGGATCTCTTACATGGATTAGAGCCTAAAAATCCTGACCGGGAGATTGTAAGTCTTGCAGCTCTGGAATAGACTGAGTATCATTTCCCTTTGGGATTTATGGAGATAGCAGCAATGATCGGGGATGGTCTCCCATGAAGAGAAGACAGTGCCTCCGTGCAGTTAAGCCCCCTTGCTAAAATCACATTAGAGTCAAAGATTCAATTAGGCCCCAGGCCTCCTGATTCCTGATGCAATGCTTTTTCCATGACACTCCTCTGTCTCCGTGAGTCCAAATATCTACACGTGCCTGGATTGATAATACATGTTACATGATGTTTGAAAATTTTTACTGGGTTATCTGTAATTCTAAATAGACATGCCAAGAAACCCAGTGGCTTCTAAGCAGCATGTATCAATTCAAGAGAAAAGCGATATTCTAACTTCTGGCAAAACAGCAAGTATCAAGAATATCACTTACCACAGCTGACGTGATAAGGATGCTGCTGAGGGACCAGCATGCTGCCTCATCCCAAATATCTGCCATGGCTTCTCCCAGGGGCCAGGGAGCTGGGTGGCAGAGTCCCAGGCTTTTCTCTCAGATCTTTTCTCTGAAGTGCTCCCAATCCTCTCCACCCCCCACCCCCATCTCTCTCCTCTCTCTCGTGAGAGCCTCGCCTCCCAGAGCAGAGTTAATTAGAGCATAGGCTTACTTCCAGCTTCTGACCACAATATGTATAAGCTGTGAGTGGAGGAATGAATCTGATCTGAAATTTTAAATCTACGTTTTCCTTGATATTTACAGATCTTACTGTTATTTGGGCTTGTGACCCTGGAATCTGTGTTAGTTGATTTTATATTGATGCATATTTTGCATGCTCTCTAGTCCAAATTACTAAGAGATGAACATGTTTCTCAGGCAAAGGGTCCACTCGGGTTTCTAATATTACTGCCCCTAGTTTCATCCAGAAACTGGAAGGCTGAAGTCTTCTTCATGATAATAAGCTGCTTGCTTCCACAAGTTTCGGTTTTTTCTGCTTTATGAGAACTAGATTGTTCAGACCCAGTTACAGGTAAAAAGTCTAATATTTCAGGTTGGTTTTTTAAAATTCTTTTTTTTTTCACTAACGAAGTGTGAAAAAATTTACTAATACACTAGATAGTAATTTTAAATCAATTAAAATAGAAATTTGAGGGTTGCTGGGAGGGGGAAAATTGAGGAAGTAAGTTATCTCATTTTCTTTTTCTTTCTTTTTTTTTTTTTTTTTTTGAGACAGAGTCTCACTCTGTCGCCCAGGCTGGAGTGCAGTGGCACGATCTTGGCTCACCGCAAGCTCCACCTCCCAGGTTCACGCCATTCTCCTGCCTCTGCCTCCCTAGTAGCTGGGACTACAGGCGCCTGCCACCACGCCCGGCTAATTTTTTTTTTTTTTTTTTTTGTATTTTTAGTAGAGACGGGGTTTCACCATGTTAGCCAGGATGGTCTCGATCTCCTGACCTCGTGATCCGCCCGCCTCGGCCTCCCAAAGTGCTGGGATTACAGACGTGAGCCACCTTGCCCAGCAAGTTATCTCATTTTCTAGAGCAATGAAATAATATGGATGCAATTCATTCATTTATTTATCCACAGAATGTATATGGGAGAGTTTATTAGGTATAGAATACTTATTATATTATGGTTATTATATATGAGGAACTTCAGGTCCTAGAGAGAGATGATGGTGAACCAGAAACACTCGATCTGTAAATATTTTGTGAATCAATGAACAATAAATGAATAAATACATTGCAGTTATATTATTTCAATTTAATTATTTTAGATACAGCAATGCTATTCTTCATCTACCCCCATTTTGGCTTTTTAGATTTTTAAAAAAATTTTTTAAATTGTTTTAATTGACATAATGATTGTACATATTTATGGAGTACATAGTGGTGTTTTGATACATATAATGTATATTGATCAGATCAGGGTAATTAACATATCCATTATCTCAAACATTTATCATTTCTTTGTGCTGGGAACATTCAATATCCTTCTTCTAGCTATTGGAAACTATTTAATGTATTAGTGTTAACTATAGTCATCCTACACTGGCATAGAACACTAGAACTTATTCCTCCTATCTATCCAAATTCAGTTTTAAATGATTTCACTGATATATACTGTGGATGAAAAAAATTATTCCCTAACCTGGCTCAAACACTTTTTATCCAAATCTCTCCAAATTCAGTTTTAAATGATTTCACTGATATATACTCTGGATGCAGAATATTATTCTCTAACCTGGCTCAAATACTTCTTATTTGATCCAAGTTCTTTTATGATAAATACATGCAGCTTAATCCTCCACTGATGACCAATTTATCCCCCTGGTAGCCACCTGGCCTTAGAGAAATTCACAGTCCCAAAAAATCTTGAAATCAAATGTCTACAGGGCCAGGTGGTCATTAAAAAGCGAATCAGGTGGGGCTAGGCAAGGACTGAGGTGAGCTGGAGAGCAGAGCTCCAGGACCTTCTAAAGGGCTGATGGCCAACTGTTGCCTCAGGGAAGCAAAGCTGTGTTGTGAGATCTTCAAATTAGAAAATCTATATTGCTGCACAAGATCTCTGATTTTTAAATGATAACAAGAGAGTTTGTTAGAACACTGTGCAGGCCAAATAAAACATGTTTGTGGGCTGGATCCAGGCTGTCAATCTGAGACCTCTGATGTATAGTTTCAGATTAAATGAAGCTTTTAGCGAGATAATAAACCCAATCCACCAACCTAATTCAGAAATACCTGGCTTTATGAAGATGGCTTCCTTCACAGCTAGAATTTGTTTAATCCCTAAATGGAAACATTTATTAATTAAACACAGCACCATCCTATTGACACATTTGGTGAATATCACCAAAACTTCCAACAAGCTCATGCAGAATTTGAACTAGAAGAGGGTAAGAACCTTTACAGGGAAAGGTTACCTATATTGTAATTGCTCTGCCTTTCTTTATGTAAACGAAAAGTAAGTGATATTGAACCTCTGCAAAAGGCTTCTTAAGATGTAGAAGAGTACGGAATTTTTATTATCTTAGCAGAATCTAATATAATAGCTCAAATAAATCAATACATTTATTATCAAAACAAAGCTTCAGGCCAGGCGTGGTGGCTCACGCCTGTAATCCCAGCACTTTGGGAGGCCAAGGCAGGCAGATCACAAGGCCAGGAGATTGAAACACAGTGAAACCCCATCTCTACTAAAAATACAAAAAATTAGCTGGGCGTGGTGGCAGGTGCCTGTAGTCCCAGCTACTGGGGAGGCTGAGGCAGGAGAATTGCTTGAATCCAGGAGGCGGAGGTTGCAGTGAGCCGAGATCATGCCACTGCACTGCAGCCTGGGTGACAGAGCGAGACTCCATCAAAAAAAAAAAAAAAAAAAAAAAGCTTCAAAAGAGTTTCTAGGTTATTATTCCTCAATTTCTCATAAAAGCAAAGAAAAAGTTGGCTGATGCTTTAGATCATGTATTCACTTGACAAACATTTATTTTTGTTCCTAGAATAACCTGGCATCTTGAGATACTTAGTTTATTATGCTCTGAAGGCTTTTCAGCACAGAGTCTGCCTTTCAACAAATCATGCTCAACACATATTTATTAAATACTACTTTCTAGCAAATTTATTATAGAAGCAGATTTTACCTTCTGGTATTGGCAACATAAGATATCTCAAGTACCACATAAATATATACACTTACTATGTACCTATAAAATTTAAAGATAAAAATAATGGCCAGGCATGGTGGCTCATGCCTGTAATCCCTGTATTTTGGGAGGTCAAAGAGTGAGAATCACTTGAAGCCAGGAGTTGAAGACAAGTCTGGGCAGCATAGCGAGACCCTGTCTCTACAAAATATAACAAAAAAATAGCCAGGTGTGGGTGTGCTGTAGTCTCAGCTACTCAAGAGGCTGAAGTGGGGGATCACTTGAGCCCAGGAGTTTGAGTTTGTAGTGAACTATGATCATGCTGCTGCATTCCAGCCCAGGTGACAGAGCAAGACCTTGCCTCGAAAATAGAAATAATGAAGAGGTCAGGTATCCTCCTTTAGAGAAAACAAGCATAAAATGGACAAAATTGTCTTTTAAAAAATTTGTTTTGGCATGCAGAAACCTACCAAAGCCAAAAAATAAATTAAGCAGAATTTATTCTAATACACAAAAACTGATTGAGTTTTTGGGCAAGAATGATGGAAGTCTGTGGCCTCTTGCCTGGGCTGTTCCTATGCTCCCCTTCCTCAGTTCAATTGGCAAGAATATGGCCATACCAACCTAGGCGGGCTGTAATTAGAAAGGGATTTTGCTGCCAAAGAAGGCAGGCTTGCCTTGGGGTATAGGGGAAGGAACAAACTTCTATTACATTCACAGCTAAATATGGCAGCTTTGGTTTGGAATAGACTGTAAAAACCTGCAGCTTTTCTAGACTTAGGTTGTGTTTCTCAGTTTAAGGTGAGTGACTGACCAGCCAGAAATTTAATAAGGCAATCTTGGAATTTAGAACATCATGAAAGGGCTGAGATAAGCTCTCCACACATCCCTGGCTGATGGCTAAACTACCCGTGTGTAGGAGAGATCCAGAGGTCCCTTAGGAAATGTGATAAACCAAGGGAGACGTGAGAACTGGCTGCAACTTTGAATATGTTCCTCACATAACTCAATTGGCACAGGATGGAAGTCTAATAGGTTCAAGGTGTTTGAACGAAGCTTGAGCCGTCATTAGTTGACCATTAAACTATACAGACAGAGGAGTGACCTCTAGAGAGCCAGGTTAAAAAATAGAAATAGAAAAAACAGATGGGCCAAGGCATCAGCAGTTGCATATTGTGTGGGAGAGGTTTTCCACAATGTAAATTTCTAGACATGTAAAAAACAGGAAAGTATGACCTGTACTTGGAGGATTTGGGAGGAAACAATTTTTAGAAACTGACTCTGAGTGATCCTAGATGTTAGGCTTAGCAGGCAAGACTTTACACAGCTGTTATAGATATGTTCAAATAATTAAACTAAAACAATAAACAAAAAAGAGTTAGAGAAAATGATGCTCAAAGGATAAAAGAAAAATATGCTAACAACTGGTCAAGAAGTAAGAAGTCCACACAGAGAAATAGAAACTATGTGAAAGAACCAAATGGAAATTCTAGAGTTTAAGAGTATAACTGAAAGAAAAAAAAATCACCAGCTAGGAACAACTGCAAACTTGAAATGGCAAAAGAAAGAAGAGGAAACTTGAAGATGGATAAATGGAAACTGTTAAATCTGAAGAACAGAGAGAAATAAAGGGAGAAAAATAAACAGATCCTCAAAGGCTTGCCAGATAACATCAAGCATTTCAACATATGTGTGATGGGAGTTCCAGCAGAAGACAATTCACTGAAGAAATAATGGCTGAAATCTCCCAAAACTTGAAAACTTGAAAATCATTAACTTACAGATCCAAGAAGCTCAACAAGCATCAGATAAAATAAGCACAAAGAGAACCACATAGAGATACATCATTGTCAAACTACCAGAAGATAAAAACAAAGAGAAGATTTCTAAAGCAGCAAAAGAAAATGACTAATCCTGGACAAAAGAATAACAGAATAAGCAACTGATTTTCATCTGAAACAATGTAACCCAGTGGGCAGTGGAATACCATATTCAAAGCACTGAAAGAAAAAAAAGTCAACCTGAAATTCTACATTCAGTAAAATCATTGTTCAAAAAGAAATTAAAGAAACTTCCAGGTAGACAAAATGAGAAAATTCCTTTACAGCAGAACTTTGCTACAATACATACTAAAATTTAAGTTCTTCAAGATGAAAGGAAATAGAGTAACTGAAATCTCCAGAAAGAAATAAAGAGAATGTGAAATGGCAAGTAAATTGGTAAATATTAAAGATTGAAGATCATATGTTTTTTTCTTTTCTTATACTATAATTTTTTATAGACATAACGTTGTTTAGGGCATTAATTACAACACCATATTTTTGGTTTATACCTGACATTGATATAACATATATAATAATAACACTAGAAGGAACAAGAAAATTGAGTTATATTAGTTACTATACTCTTCTCAAATTAAACCAGTATTAATCTGAGATTGTCATAAATTAAAATTGAATATTGTAATCTCTAAAGCAACCACATTTTTAAGTTTTCAAAAGCTATGACTACAAAATAAACACAGGATTTAAAATGGCACACTAAAAAATATTTATTTAACACAAAATAGTCAGCCAAAGAGGAATAGAGAAACAAGAAAAAGGACATGGACCTTATAGGGAAAAAATAGCAAAATGGGAGGCATAATTCAATGATGTCAATAATTACATTAAATATTAATCAACTCAATGCTCCAATCAAAAAGCAGAAATTATCAGACAATAACAAACAAGATTCAATTTATATGCAGTCTACAAGAGAAACACCTTAAATTCACACATGATAAATTCACATATTCACATGTTAAATTTACATATTCACTATACTCCATGAATAGAGTAACTGTAGGAGAATTACAGTGGCTATGCTAATATCAGACAAATCAGACTTTAAGAAAAGACCTATTGCTAGAGACAAAGAGGGACATTTCATAATGATAAAAGTATTGACATGACCAGAAGATATAATAATCATAAATATGCATATACCTTATCACCAGGGCCAAAAAATTACATAAAACAGATTGAAAGGAGAAATGGACTATTTAATAATTATATAGAGAGACTTTAATACTCCTATCTCAGTAACTGAAAGATCATAACAGAAAATCTGTAAGGATACACAAGTCTTGAACAACTTGATCAAACTGACAAATACAGACCCCCTCAACCCAAAAACAGAATATACATTCTTCTCAATAGCAGACAGAAATCTTAGAAATCCCCAAATATTTCAAAATGAAACAACATACTTCTCAATATCTCATGATTCACATAACAAATCATAAGGGAAATTCAAAAATATCATAAACTGAATGTAAATGAGAACCAATATATCAAAATCTATGTGTCACAGCTAAAATGTTGCTTAGAGAGAAATTTGAGCTTTATATACTTCTATTAGAAAGGGGGAAATACCTTACATCAATAATGCAAGTCTTCATCTTGAGAAGTTAGAAAAAGAAAGCAAATTAAGCACAAAATACTAGGAAGGAAATAATAAAAATCAGAGCAGAATGCCATGAACTAGAAAATAGAAAAAAGCAATAGAAGAAAATCAATGAAATCAAAAGTTGGTTCTTTGATATGATCAACAAAATTGAAACAGTAGGCTAGCTAGACATCAGTCAAGAAACAAAGAGAGATAAAAATTTTTCCAAATTTGGGAACAAAAGAGGGAATGTGACTACAGACACTACAGAAATTAACAGGCTTATAAAAGAATATCATGAACAACTTTATGCCAACGAATTTGTTAACTTAGATGAAATAGACAAATTCCTAGAAAGACACAAATTATCAAAATTGACTCAAGAGTAAATAGATATTTTGAATATACTTATGCCAAGTAAAGAAACTGAATTAGTAATTTAAATTCTCTCCACAAAGTTCACACACAGATGGCATCATTGATGAATTCTTTCAAACATCTAAGAAAGATATAATACTAATTCTACGAAGCCTGTTTCAGAAAATAGAAAAGGAGAGAATACTTTCCATTGTATTCTATGAAACCACTATTAGCTGGATACTAATGCTAGACAAAGGAATTAGAATAAAAGAAAGCTATAGCCCAATATCCTTCATGGACACAGATTTTTAAATCCTTGAGAAATATTAACAAATAAAA
The DNA here is from genome assembly GCF_000001405.40 of Homo sapiens. NCBI lineage: Eukaryota > Metazoa > Chordata > Mammalia > Primates > Hominidae > Homo > Homo sapiens. The sequence goes on along the minus strand of NC_000018.10, from coordinate 24,718,674 downwards.
TCTAAAAGCATATGAAAAAGATTATACTCAATGGTCAAATGAAGTGTATCCCAGAACTGCAAAGTTGTTTTAACATCTTAAAATCAATTAACATAAAATACCATAGTAATAGAATAAAGAAAAAAATTAATCATCTTAATAGATATAGAAAACAATTATTTGATGATGTGATTCATTATATAAATTCTCATAAAATTAGGAATGAAGGGAACTTCCTCAGCTGGATAAAGGACATCTACAGAAAACTTTGGCAACTAACATCATCCTTCATGGTTAAAGGCTGAAAGTTATCCTCCTAAGATCAGGAACAAGGGAGAAATGCATGCTCTCACCATTTCTATTTAACACTGTGGGACAAAACAAAACAAATAAATAAAAGGCATGCATGTTGTAAAGGAAGATGTAAAACTATCTTTATACACAGACATAATCTTTGATATAGAAAAGCTTAAGGAATCTACCAAAAAATCTACTAGAGTAAGTAAACAAATTTAGTAATGTCACTGTTACAAGGCCAATATACAAAATTCAATGAGTGGCATTTTTATATATTAGCACCAATCAATTCAAAAACTCAAGAAATCATCCACAAAGCATCAACAATAATAAAATACCTAGAAATAAATTTACTGAAGGAATGGCAAAACTTAAAGGAGACCTAAAAGAGTGGAAAGATAAACCACATTCGTGTGTTGAAAGATTCAATATTATTAAGATGGGAATTCTCTCCAAATAGATCTTCCCATTCAAGACAATTCTTATTAAAATCCCAGGAAGTGTGAGCACAGTGGCTCACGCTTGCAATCTCAGCACTTTGGGAGGTCCATGTGGGAGGATCACTTGAGCCCAGGATTTGAACCTGGGCAACATAGTGAGACCTTGTCTCTACAAAAAATTAAAAAAGGAGGCAGGGGGATAGTTTGAGCCCGGGAGACCGAGGCTGCAATGAGCCGTGATTGTGCCACTGCACTCCTGCCTGGGTGACAGAGAGAGACCCTGCTTCAAAAGAAGCATTTTTTTTTTTTTTAGAAATTGATGACAAGTTGATATAAAATTAATATGGAGATACAAAGGATCTTAAATAGCTGAAACAATTTTGAAAACGAATAAAAAATTCTTAGGATTTGTACTCACTGATTTCAAAACCTACTATAAAGCTATACAGTAAGCAAGACAATGCGGTACTGGTTGTAAGAATAGTCATATAGATAAAAAATGGAACAGAGAGTTCAGAAATAAACCAAAACATATATGGTCAACTGATTTCAACATAGTGCCAAGGCAATTCAACAGAGAAAGAATAGGCTTTTCTGGAAAGTATGCTAGAACAATTGGACATTCATATACAAAGTAAACTAAGAAGCTTGATCCTTAACTCTCATCATAGAAAAAAATTAATGCAAATGGATGCCTGAACTAACTATAAGAGTGAGCTAAACTATAAAACTCCTAGGAGAAACTTTTTGTCACTTAGGTTAGGCAATTTTTTTTAAGAAATGAAATCAAAAGCATCATTAGAAAAGAAAAAAATTGATAAATTATACTCTATCAAATATAAAAATTTTGCTTTTCAAAAGACATCATTAGAAAATTAATAGAGGCCACAGACTGGGAAAGAAGATTTGCAAAACATACATTTCATAAAAGACTTCTATTCAGAATATATAAAGCACTCTTACAACTCAATAATAAGACAACATTTTAAAATCACAAAAGATTTAAATGGATACTTCCCCAAAGATGGCATACACATGGCAGAAAAGCACATTTTAAAATGCTCAAAATCATTAGTCATGAGGGAAATGCAAACTTACAATGAAAGACACCACTGATGGGGAGCCAGGATGGCCGAATAGGAACAGCTCCGGTCGACAGCTCCCAGCGTGAGCGACGCAGAAGACAGTGATTTCTGCATTTCCATCTGAGGTACCGGGTTCATTTCTCTAGGGAGTGCCAGACAGTGGGCGCAGGTCAGTGGGTGCGCGCACCGTGCGCGAGCCGAAGAAGGGCGAGGCATTGCCTCGCTTGGGAAGCACAAGGGGTCAAGGAGTTCCCTTTCCAAGTCAAAGAAAGGGGTGACGGACGGCACCTGGAAAATCGGGTCACTCTCACCTGAATACTGCGCTTTTCCGACGGGCTTAAAAAACGGCGCACCACGAGATTATATCCCGCACCTGGCTCGGAGGGTCCTACGCCCACGGAGTCTCGCTGACTGCTAGCACAGCAGTCTGAGATCAAACTGCAAGGCAGCAGCCAGGCTGGGGGAGGGGCGCCCGCCATTGCCCAGGCTTGCTTAGGTAAACAAAGCAGCGGGAAGCTCAAACTGGGTGGAGCCCACCACAGCTCAAGGAGGCCTGCCTGCCTCTGTAGGCTCCACCTCTGAGGACAGGGCACAGACAAACAAAAAGATAGCAGTAACCTCTGCAGACTTAAATGTCCCTGTCTGACAGCTTTGAAGAGAGCAGTGGTTCTCCCAGCACACAGCTGGAGATCTGAGAACGGGCAGACTGCCTCCTCAAGTGGGTCCCTGACCCCTGACCCCTGAGCAGCCTAACTGGGAGGCACCCCCCAGCAGGGGCACACTGACACCTCACATGGCAGGGTATTCCAACAGACCTGCAGCTGAGGGTCCTGTCTGTTAGAAGGAAAACTAACATACAGAAAGGACATCCACACCAAAAACCCATCTGTACATCACCATCATCAAAGACCAAAAGTAGATAAAACCACAAAGATGGGGAAAAAACAGAACAGAAAAACTGGAAACTCTAAAAAGCAGAGCGCCTCTCCTCCTCCAAAGGAACACAGTTCCTCACCAGCAACGGAACAAAGCTGGATGGAGAATGACTTTGACGAGCTGAGAGAAGAAGGCTTCAGACGATCAAATTACTCTGAGCTATGGGAGGACATTCAAACCAAAGGCAAAGAAGTTGAAAACTTTGAAAAAAATTTAGAAGAATGTATAACTAGAATAACCAATACAGAGAAGTGCTTAAAGGAGCTGATGGAGCTGAAAACCAAGGCTCGAGAACTACGTGAAGAATGCAGAAGCCTCAGGAGCCGATGCGATCAACTGGAAGAAAGGGTATCAGCAATGGAAGATGAAATGAATGAAATGAAGCGAGAAGGGAAGTTTAGAGAAAAAAGAATAAAAAGAAATGAGCAAAGCCTCCAAGAAATATGGGACTATGTGAAAAGACCAAATCTACGTCCGATTGGTGTACCTGAAAGTGATGGGGAGAATGGAACCAAGTTGGAAAACACTCTGCAGGATATTATCCAGGAGAACTTCCCCAATCTAGCAAGGCAGGCCAACGTTCAGATTCAGGAAATACAGAGAACGCCACAAAGATACTCCTCGAGAAGAGCAACTCCAAGACACATAATTGTCAGATTCACCAAAGTTGAAATGAAGGAAAAAATGTTAAGGGCAGCCAGAGAGAAAGGTCGGGTTACCCTCAAAGGGAAGCCCATCAGACTAACAGCAGATCTCTCAGCAGAAACCCTACAAGCCAGAAGAGAGTGGGGGCCAATATTCAACATTCTTAAGGAAAAGAATTTTCAACCCAGAATTTCATATCCAGCCAAACTAAGCGTCATAAGCGAAGGAGAAATAAAATACTTTACAGACAAGCAAATGCTGAGAGATTTTGTCACCACCAGGCCTGCCCTAAAAGAGCTCCTGAAGGAAGCGCTAAACATGGAAAGGAACAACCGGTACCAGCCACTGCAAAATCATGCCAAAATGTAAAGACCATCGAGACTAGGAAGAAACTGCATCAACTAACGAGCAAAATAACCAGCTAACATCATAATGACAGGATCAAATTCACACATAACAATATTAACTTTAAATGTAAATGGACTAAATGTTCCAATTAAAAGACACAGACTGGCAAATTGGATAAAGAGTCAAGACCCATCAGTATGCTGTATTCAGTAAACCCATCTCACGTGCAGAGACACACATAGGCTCAAAATAAAAGGATGGAGGAAGATCTACCAAGCAAATGGAAAACAAAAAAAGGCAGGGGTTGCAATCCTAGCCTCTGATAAAACAGACTTTAAACCAACAAAGATCAAAAGAGACAAAGAAGGCCATTACATAATGGTAAAGGGATCAATTCAACAAGAAGAGCTAACTACCCTAAATATATATGCACCCAATACAGGAGCACCAAGATTCATAAAGCAAGTCCTGAGTGATCTACAAAGATACTTAGACTCCCACACATTAATAATGGGAGACTTTAACACCCCACTGTCAACATTAGACAGATCAACGAGACAGAAAGTCAACAAGGATACCCAGGAATTGAACTCAGCTCTGCACCAAGCAGACCTAATAGACATCTACAGAACTCTCCACCCCAAATCAACAGAATATACATTTTTTTCAGCACCACACCACACCTATTCCAAAATTGACCACATACTTGGAAGTAAAGCTCTCCTCAGCAAATGTAAAAGAACAGAAATTAGAACAAACTATCTCTCAGACCACAGTGCAATCAAACTAGAACTCAGGATTAAGAATCTCACTCAAAACCGCTCAACTACATGGAAACTGAACAACCTGCTCCTGAATGACTACTGGGTGCATAACGAAATGAAGGCAGAAATAAAGATGTTCTTTGAAACCAATGAGAACAAAGACACAACATACCAGAATCTCTGGGACGCATTCAAAACAGTGTATAGAGGGAAATTTATAGCACTAAATGCCCACAAGAGAAAGCAGGAAAGATCCAAAATTGACACCCTAACATCACAATTAAAAGAACTAGAAAAGCAAGAGCAAACACATTCAAAAGCTAGCAGAAGGCAAGAAATAACTAAGATCAGAGCAGAACTGAAGGAAATAGAGACACAAAAAACCCTTCAAAGAATTAATGAATCCAGGAGCTGGGTTTTTGAAAGGATCAACAAAATTGATAGACCGCTAGCAAGACTAATAAAGAAAAAAAGAGAGAAGAATCTAATAGACACAATAAAAAAATGATAAAGGGGATATTACCACCGATCCCACAGAAATACAAACTACCATCAGATAATACTACAAACACCTCTACGCAAATAAACTAAAAAATCTGGAAGAAATGGATAAATTCCTCGACACATACACTCTCCCAAGACTAAACCAGGAAGAAGTTGAATCTCTGAATAGACCAATAACAGGATCTGAAATTGTGGCAATAATCAATAGCTTACCAACCAAAAAGAGTCCAGGACCAGATGGATTCACAGCTGAATTCTACCAGAGGTACAAGGAGGAACTGGTACCATTCCTTCTGAAACTATTCCAATCAATAGAAAAAGAGGGAATCCTCCCTAACTCATTTTATGAGGCCAGCATCATTCTGATACCAAAGCCGGGCAGAGACACAACAAAAAAAGAGAATTTTAGACCAATATCCTTGATGAACATTGATGCAAAAATCCTCAATAAAATACTGGCAAACCGAATCCAGCAGCACATCAAAAAGCTTATCCACCATGATCAAGTGGGCTTCATCCCTGGGATGCAAGGCTGGTTCAATATACGCAAATCAATAAATGTAATCCAGCATATAAACAGAGCCAAAGACAAAAACCACATGATTATCTCAATAGATGCAGAAAAAGCCTTTGACAAAATTCAACAACCCTTCATGCTAAAAACTCTCAATAAATTAGGTATTGATGGGATGTATTTCAAAATAATAAGAGCTATCTATGACAAACCCACAGCCAATATCATACTGAATGGGCAAAAACTGGAAGCATTCCCTTTGAAAACTGGCACAAGACAGGGATGCCCTCTCTCACCTCTCCTATTCAACATAGTGTTGGAAGTTCTGGCCAGGACAATTAGGCAGGAGAAGGAAATAAAGGGTATTCAATTAGGAAAAGAGGAAGTCAAATTGTCCCTATTTGCAGATGACATGATTGTATATCTAGAAAACCCCATTGTCTCAGCCCAAAATCTCCTTAAGCTGATAAGCAACTCCAGCAAAGTCTCAGGATACAAAATCAATGTAAAAAATCACAAGCATTCTTATACACCAACAACAGACAAACAGAGAGCCAAATCATGAGTGAACTCCCATTCACAATTGCTTCAAAGAGAATAAAATACCTAGGAATCCAACTTACAAGGGATGTGAAGGACCTCTTCAAGGAGAACTACAAACCACTGCTCAAGGAAATAAAAGAGGATACAAACAAATGGAAGAACATTCCATGCTCATGGGTAGGAAGAATCAATATCGTGAAAATGGCCATACTGCCCAAGGTAATTTACAGATTCAATGCCATCCCCATCAAGCTACCAATGCCTTTCTTCACAGAACTGGAAAAAACTACTTTAAAGTTCATATGGAACCAAAAAAGAGCCCGCATTGCCAAGTCAATCCTAAGCCAAAAGAACAAAGCTGGAGGCATCACACTACCTGACTTCAAACTATACTACAAGACTACAGTAACCAAAACAGCATGGTACTGGTACCAAAACAGAGATATAGATCAATGGAACAGAACAGAGCCCTCAGAAATAACGCCGCATATCTACAACTATCTGATCTTTGACAAACCTGAGAAAAACAAGCAATGGGGAAAGGATTCCCTATTTAATAAATGGTGCTGGGAAAACTGGCTAGCCATATGTAGAAAGCTGAAACTGGATCCCTTCCTTACACTTTATACAAAAATCAATTCAAGATGGATTAAAGATTTAAACGTTAGACCTAAAACCATAAAAACCCTAGAAGAAAACCTAGGCATTACCATTCAGGACATAGGCATGGGCAAGGACTTCATGTCTAAAACACCAAAAGCAATGGCAACAAAAGCCAAAATTGACAAATGGGATCTAATTAAACTAAAGAGCTTCTGCACAGCAAAAGAAACTACCATCAGAGTGAACAGGCAACCTACAACATGGGAGAAAATTTTCGCAACCTACTCATCTGACAAAGGGCTAATATCCAGAATCTACAATGACCTCAAACAAATTTACAAGAAAAAAACAAACAACCCCATCAAAAAGTGGGCAAAGGACATGAACAGACACTTCTCAAAAGAAGACATTTATGCAGCCAAAAAACACATGAAAAAATGCTCATCATCACTGACCATCAGAGAAATGCAAATCAAAACCACAATGAGATACCATCTCACACCAGTTAGAATGGCAATCATTAAAAAGTCAGGAAACAACAGGTGCTGGAGAGGATGTGGAGAAATAGGAACACTTTTACACTGTTGGTGGGACTGTAAACTAGTTCAACCATTGTGGAAGTCAGTGTGGCAATTCCTCAGGGATCTAGAACTGGAAATACCATTTGACCCAGCCATCCCATTAATGGGTATATACCCAAAGGACTATAAATCATGCTGCTATAAAGACACATGCACACGTATGTTTATTGCGGCATTATTCACAATAGCAAAGACTTGGAACCAACCCAAATGTCCAACAATGATAGACTGGATTAAGAAAATGTGGCACATATACACCATGGAGTACTATGCAGCCATAAAAAATGATGAGTTCATGTCCTTTGTAGGGACATGGATGAAATTGGAAAACATCATTCTCAGTAAACTATCGCAAGAACAAAAAACCAAACACTGCATATTCTCACTCATAGGTGGGAATTGAACAATGAGATCACATGGACACAGGAAGGGGAATATCACACTCTGGGGACTGTGGTGGGGTGGGGGGAGGGGGGAGGGATAGCATTGGGAGATATACCTAATGCTAGATGACGAGTTAGTGGGTGCAGTGCACCAGCATGGCACATATATACATATGTAACTAACCTGCACAATGTGCACATGTACCCTAAAACTTAAAGTATAATTAAAAAAAAAAAAAAGAAAGACACCACTATGAAATTATTGAAATGGCTAAAATCAAACAGACTGACACTACCAAGTGTTGACAAGGAAGTAGAGAAACTGGAAACTGCACACATTGTTGGTGAGAATGAAATGTAATGGTCTGTTTAGAAAACAGTTCAGCAGTTTAGCAAGGTGTTTCCATATGACTCAGCAATTTCACCTTGAGCAATTTCATTGAGTTATCTACTAAAGAGAAATGAAAATATGTCCACAAGAAGATTGTTCATACTAGCATTATTCATAATAGCTAGACACTGAAAACCATCCAAACTGCTATCAATTAGTGAAAGGATTAACCAAATCTGGTATTCATACAATGGAATAAATAAAAAGGAACAAAATACTGGTAACATTCAACAACATGGCTAGACCTCAAAACACCTGTGCTACTTGAAAGAAGCCAGAGAGTAATGGCTATGTATTATATAATTTCATTTATATAAAATGTCTAGAAAAGGGAAACTACATAACAGAAAAAAAGATTGATGGATGCATGAAACTGGGTAGACTGCAAAAATCCACACAGGAACTTTCAGGATGATGAAAATGTTTTAAAACTGGATCATGGTAATGACTGCATAACTGTGTGAATTTACCTACATTTGTATAACTTCTATCCACTTACAGTGAGTGCATTTCATGGTATTTAAATCATTCCTCAATAAAAGTTCTTAAAAACAGATTTGATCCCTGCCTCTTGGAATTTGTAATCCATGCCACGTTCTTTCTAGATCATCCCACTTCTTAATCATAACAATATTGAAACTATCCAGGTAGCCAAGTTTCACACAGAATCTCTGATATCCTTAATGTCCCATAAAAGGAGAAAGTTTTCACTCTATCTTCTCCAACCATGCTAGTTTCCATACTTCCTCAATACATGTATGTTGGCTAAGCACTTTGGGAGGCCCAGGCGGGCGGGTCACTTGAGGTCAGGAGTTCGAGACCAGCCTGGCCAGTATGGTGAAACCCCATCTCTACTAAAAATACAAAAATTAGCCGGCGTGGTGACACATGCCTGTAGTCCTAGCTACTTGGGAGGCTGAGGCAGAAGAATCACTTGAACCCGGGAGGCAGAGGTTGCAGTGAGCCCAGATTGCACCACTATACTCCAGCCTGGGCAACAGAGTGAGACTCTGTCTCAAAAAAAAAAAGAAAAAAAGAAAGAAAGAAAAAACATGCATTTTGGCTGAATGAAAAAAATGGCTAAAATAATAGTGATAATTTTAAAATAAATCTACAGAAATCTTTCTCATTTCTGAAATATAAGTAGATTCTCTAGAGAAGTCGTTTTCAACTACAGGCCATTTTGACCCCCAGCACTCCAAATACTCAGCAATACCTGGAGACATTTTCGGTGGAGACATTTTGATACGGGAGAGTGCTGCTGGCAGCTAGTGGGTAGGGGCCAGAACTTTCACTAAACCCACAATGTACAGGACAGCCACTCACTAAAGAATTACCTGGCCCAAAATGTCAATAGTGTGAAGGTTGAGAAACTCTGCTCTAGACTGATCTACTGGCCCTTTCAGAGCTTGCTCCTTAATCTACATATCACATTTCAGCTGTTTACATTCTGTTGTCTCCCGCAGATTGTGACTCTCCAAGGACTTTACCTGTGTGTGTTTTCTTTGGGGTGTTTGGCATGATGCCCAAAACGTAATAGGTGCTCTATAAGTGATTAATGAAAAAATAAGTAAAAGAATTTTTAAAAAGTGTGATCAAATATAAGGACGCTATTTTTAGAAGAGATGTGCTATTTCAATCATTATTTGTTGAACACCTGTTATGGCTTTATGTTATGATATTAAAACAAAAATAATTCCTCAAATAAATATGTTATTCTACACCTTTTTTTAAGATGGAAAAAATGACAAAATATTTTAAGAAGTATATGTCACATCTCTAAAAGAATTATGAAATACTGAGCTAATTTCTGAGTTTACCTTCCACAGCTAGAAATATCAATCTCTGTTTTTACATAGGAAAAACTGATTTTGTATATCTCCCTTCCCAATTGTGTGTTCACAAGTTAATACTGTTTTTATCAATAATAGTCATTCTCATTACCCAGTATATGGCATTCTCATCTTTAAAGGTCTTTGCAGAATCTATTAGTTACCATTAATTATTAACGCTATGCCATTTAAATATAGGCATTTCATTTTAAAGTGACACTTTCCATTCTCATATTATAATAAAAGAAATGAAACTGGCTATTTTTTTTTTTTTTTTTTTTTTTTTGAGACGGAGTCTCACTCTGTCACCCAGGGTGGAGTGCAGTGGCGCGATCTCGGCTCACTGCAACCTCCGCCTCCCGGGTTCACGCCATTCTCTTGCCTCAGCCTCCCCGGTAGCTGCGACTACAGGCCCCTGCCACCACGCCCGGCTAATTTTGTTTTTGTATTTTTAGTAGAGGCGGGATTTCACTGTGTTAGCCAGGATGGTCTCGATCTCCTGACCTCGTGATCTGCCCGCCTCAGCCTCCCAAAGTACTGAGATTACAGGAGTGAGCCACCGTGCCTGGCCCACCAGCTAATATTTTTATAACTTTTCTTCAACACTCTGCCCCCCACCCCCATCCCAATCCTGGATAAGTCAGAGTATTCTAATGAGGATATATAATTGTAGTGATAATTATAGACATAAATAATTATAGATAGATAATAGACACATACTTACAGGTGTAAGATATATATGCTTATGTATTTACGTATAGCTGTATATAAAAGTATGTACCTATCTCTATTAATTTATGTATCCTTATCTTGTTTCCCTACATGCATACATATATTAGTAGCACTCTAATGTCTATGACACAGTCTCACCTCTTCACGCTTACATTTAAGCACTGCCACAGTTTGATCAATATCTGGTTCCAATCTAATATAACACTGACTCAGAAATTATCTGCTTAAGACATACTGAACTAATCATGTCCCTCAAAGAGGAGGGCCTTCTGAAAGACTTGCTTCCATAACCCCATATCTTTATGCCCTCTCAGAATAAAAAAAAAAAATGTGATAGATAAAAAATGGAATAGGGCCAGGCTCGGTGACTCATGCCTGTAATCCCAGCACTTTGGGTGGATCACGAGGTCAGGAGTTCAAGACCAGCCTGGCCAACATGGTGAAACCCCCTTCTCTACTAAAAATAGAAAAATTAGTCGAGCATGGTGGCAGGCACCTGTAATCCCAGCTACTCATGAGGCTGAGACAGGAGAATTGCTTCAACTCAGGAAGCAGAGGTTGCAGTGAGCCAAGATCATGCCACTGCACTCCAGCCTGGGCAACAGAACAAGACTCCGTCTGGGGAAAAAAAAAATATGGAATGGGGATCGTCTCCCTCTTTGAACTTATTTTCTAAAGAAAATAGCAACTTAATATCTACTGTCACAGAGGAAAATACAGGGAAAAAATTCTAAACCCATTTATGTCTTGCAATCTCCACCTCTCCTCCAGCAGTTTTATTCTACCTCTTGAATTGAATCTGGCACCCTTGGACTTTGGTTTTAGTATTACTGATTTGTCTATTCATTTATTAAATAATATTAAAGATATGCAAAAGAGTATACAGAATATTCAAGCAAGCATCATAATCCTACATTTATTTATACCTTTACTGCATTTATACTTATCCTTGGACAATGTTATGTATTGTGTTGCATGTTTGGTAACTTACATGAATTGTATCACATTGTATATAACATCCTGCAATTTACTTTGTGAAAGCATCATTATTCTTATAAATGCCTTCAAGATAGATAACATTTAGCTATAGTTTATTTGCTTTCACTGTTGTGTAGTACTCCTTTGTAAGAACATATGATTTTAGGTTATTTCCAATTTGGGCTATTATAAATAATGCTGCTGTAAAAATACTTACACATGTCTCCTTAGGTATGCAACTGTTACTTGAGGGCATGTGCCAATTTTTAAAATTATAAGTTAGGAAAATCTTCAGCTTTCTTTGGATAATTCCAACTGTTCTCCAAAATGGTTGTACATTCCTATGAACAGTATTTAAGATTACCTGATATTCTATCTCCAGCACTTAATATTGTCAAACTTATTCCCATGAAAATCGTAAAAATAATGAATCATTTTGGTCACATATGTCTACTTTGTATATGATAAATAAATTAAGCACATTCTATTATTTTTATTTAAATTTTTCATAATTGGAAGCTATTCCTGATCACAAGCTTGTCTCTTATTTTTATATAGACTTAACACTTACAGTTAGGAATTAGTGGGCTGTAAACTATTCATTTGTATTTTAGAACATGGCTTAATTCTGACCACAAAGCTATGAAACATAATTTTGTATAAGACTTGTCAAATGTACATCATTATTTTTGCATTTTCTGAGGATGATTAAATTAGTGATGATGAGGTGATATAGGTAAAACTAAATCTTTTCAACTAGAACATGCCAAAATGCAGCTATTTAATAATTGCTTCATAGGCAATCATCTCTGTCCTCCTATCTATAGGTTAAAGCCCAACTGCTTCAAACCATGTCAGTCTGTTCTAGTGTGGAAAAATCACAGAGGGCAACAATTTCATAGCTTAACCCTTTAATCCATTACAAACTCTTCTAGAATCCAAGATGTCTACATATTTAACTACACTTCACATTGCAGTTCAACCTCCTTTTCTTTTTAATGCCCCTTGTAAACAATGAAGAATGGTTTGTATCTGGTTATTAAAAGTTACTCAACTGCTAACATGAGAGTTTTGTAGTTTTGTTTTTAGTTGCCAACCCAGTGATGATGATGACTATGATAATAAAGAAGAATGCTTACTTGTAGAAGTGTGTTTGTTTGCACGTGCACACACAGAGAAGGAGATTGCCCTTTGTATTTGGAAACTAGAATGCTCCTTCTTCTACAAATATATTTTTAGATAAAGCAAAAATCCAGGTAAGGGCTGTTCATCCTCCCTGCAGTGGATTCTTGGGGAGATGCCTCCGTGCTTTGTGGCTGCAAACTGAAGAACAACAGTCTCATTCAACAGTCTTAGCTACAGGACAATCTTAGAGTGAGGTGACTGGAGATGTAATGCATCAGTTCTTGCTTGCAGCCTTCTACTCCTCTAAAACTCCTCCATCTCCCTTGGTTTTGAAGTTATGCCATCCAAGATCTAGAAAAAGAAGAACCAAATTGTGAAGAATGTTAAATGCCTGGAATGCCAGGAACCACAACATAATTCCCAAATGGTCTCATATAAACAGAAACCTGCTGCGTGTCCATTGGATTCTAAACTCCTTGAACTCAATAAGCCTGTCTTCATCCCTGCATTCGTGCAGCACCTCGCCAAGTATGTGACCCATAGCCAAGTATGTGACCCATAGCAAGCAGTCAATAAATATTTGAAAAGGATGAAGGCCGCTTACAGGGCCTGTTGCTATTTACAGGCTTGGTATGGGTCTGGATTTTTGTCCCTCCCTGAGCCACCCAGGACTTTTTGCTATAAATGAGCTGCTTCTCCCTGCCTGCTGCATGCCAGGTTTTTGTCCATCTGCTGCCATTGTTTCTCCACGTTTCACAGCTATGTTGTACTGCATGTGGGTATTCTTTAGTGGGTCATTATGGCATCTGTCTGCCCACCTTGTGAATGCCCCGTTTCGGTTCACCAGACAGCAGCTGCCTGCACCTCCTGCTCCCCTCCATCATCTGCCCAGGTCCAGCCCAGTCAAGCCTGGTTGCAGAAATCATCATTTCATTGCTTGGGGGTTGGCTGCACTCCAGAATCTGGTTACTGAGATCCTTGCTTACCATTTAATCTTCCTATAGGTAATTTTTTTAAAGCCAGATGTGTTACCCACAAGAAACTTCAGTTTCACAGATGTGAACAAGGATGCATACAATCATCACTACATATATCTTTATTAGTAGTAATTTTTTTAGTAGAAAGAGACCCTAGGAGCCACATTTATAGTAATAGAGGAAAGCTCTCATTATACAAAGAATAGACTTCCAGAAACCCTAACCCTCATTCAGAATTAATGTGAAAAGGAAAGAGGTTGCGCTGTCACAAAGCCCATCACTTTATTCTGCCTCCTTATGTAGAAGCTTCCCAGTGATTTGTAGCCATTGACATGAATGCAGTTACACACAGTTACATGCTAAAATCCAGAAGTTTGTACATTAAATTGATTTTGTTTGGAATTCAGGCTTCTGTTTCTATTGATAACTTTACTTGTCATAAAATTTAAGGCAGTAAAACTCTGGCTGTATATAGTGTATCCAAAAAATGAAAGTGTCCATCTCCTTTCCTATGAAGTAAAGTTCATGGCCTTTGTTACACCCATTTTCGCTTTTTTTTTTTTTTTTTTTTTTTTAAGACAGTCTCGCTCTGTTGCCCAGGCTGGAATGCAGTGGTGTGATCTCGGCTCACTGCAACCTCCATCTCCTGGGTTCCGGCGATTCTTCTGCCTCAGCCTCCCAAGTAGCTGGGACTACAGTTGTGTACCACCACGCCCAGCTAATTTTTGTATTTTTAGTAGAGATGGAGTTTCACCATATTCCCAGGCTGGTCTCAAACTCCCGACTTCATGATCTGCCCACCTCGGCCTCCCAAAGTGCTGGGATTCCAGGCATGAACCACCATGCCCTGCCAGCCATTTTCCTTTCTTTCCTCACTTCATTTTATATAAATCATATGATAAAAAGATAAGATTTTTAAGCCAACTGCAAAAGTATGTTTCGTATACAGTGTACCCAAATATTAGAATTATAAAATCTCATCAGCAGGAAGAACATTGTTACTTAGTGAAATTAGTGAAATTCATTCTAAGTACCATACCAAGGAGGCAAGACCTGCACTTCTTCTCCCCATCTTCCCTCCCTCAGTCTCCCCTCAGGTCATTGCAGAAGGTTCACTGAGAGAAAGAAGAGAGAAGAAAGAAGGCCAGGCAACCTTAGCGATGGAGTGAAGGTGAAGGAGTCCTGTCAGAGGAAGAAACAGAATCTCACCGTTTCCTGGGAGCTACTCTGGGCCAGACATTGTGCCGAGTCATTTTGCATATGGCATCTCACCTATCACCACCATACCCCATGAAGCAGATTTTATTATTTCCATTTTTCAAATGATAAGAACTGAGACTCAAAGAGGACAACATGCCCAAGATCAAGTAAGTCCTAAATTGTAGGAGTGGGACTGGAGAGAAGATCTGTTGAATCTCTGTTTGATGGTGACACAGTTGGCTCCTGGGAGTATTACAGGACTGCCAGGTTGTTATATCTGCTGTGCAGCAACAGACTAATACACTGAGACAGCAGGGTTTGCAGCAGAGAAAGAGTTTAATCATTGCAAGTCTGCCAAAGGAGGTAACAGGAGCGATTCTCAAGCCTCAAATCCATTTCATCAAAGGGTTCTGGGCAAGGGTCTCTAAGGAGATCATGGAGGGCAAGGAGCTAGAAAATTGGGGTCATTGTTTGGTCATGGTAAGGGGATGAAGTCAACAGGATGTGGAAACTGCATTCTTCCATGGGTCAGCTTCCTACTGGGCTCTTCAGACCAGCTGGCATGGGTAGTTTTGTTGGAATACAGAACTAAAGGAGAAACTCAAACAGAAAGCTTATCATCTCACAATGTCTTAGATTTTATCTATAGAACAAAGAATATTGTGACAAGGGCTACATTATCCTGGAGGTCTTCCTGGAGTAGTAAGTAGTAACCAGCTACAAGGAAGTGAGACAAAGGGCAAGCTGGCTTAATAATTACCTCTGATTGAGCTGCAAGCCTAGCTGAATTTTATTTTTTCCCTTAATCTATTTTATAAAATTTTCTTGGGGACGGTTTCAGGAGCACTACCTTCCAAGAGCCTGGAGCATGGGGTGTGCAGATCACCTGCATCAGAATTAGAGGTCAATAGAAAAGACTTGGAGATTTCACTCAAGGCAAAGCAGGAAATGCAGATCCACCAACTTTTTTCCTCATAAAGTATAAATAGTTAATTAAACCCTAGCTATTGTCAATAAGTAGGGAATGAGTAGGTTGAGTTTGAACTAGAGTTCTATGCCTCCTTTGACCTAGTTAAATAAGGCGACAGGATAAATTAGCTTCTAAAATCAAACACAGGAATAAAATGTGCTTTCTTATGCCATTTTAAAACAATTTTGGAGAATACACTTTTTAATTCTACATTTGGTTTCTTTACAAATATTATGACAACTGGCATTACATTTGGGAACTGAAACACTTTCCCCTTTCTCCACAACTTTCCTAAATTTTCATGCATTTTCTACTTCTGTGGCCACCATCCCCACGACTCATTTCTACCCAGCCCAGTCCTTTTTCATTCCTGTACTCACCATGCTATTCCTTGGTTTGAATGTAGTAATTTTAGTCCAAGAGAAAAAAAGCACTATATAAATAAATCTTTATTACTGTCATAGCATTGTTAAAGGATTTCCTAGTTTGAGCTGCTCTTCCTTTGAAATCACCACCTTACCAGGGCAGAGAGGATCCTGCTAGGCATTTTAAATTAGAGAAGACAGGTTTACTGTCAAGGCAGGTCAATCAAATTATAATTGGCTCTAATTTGCACTCCCACCAGCTGTTAAATTCTTCACCTGCAGCACTCAAAATGGTGTGAAATTCTTTTCGGCTTTGTGAAAGCTTCAAAGAGAATCACTCTCATTCTGGTCCCTAAAACCAAAAGTCTTTGTTACTTTTCATCAGAAGCGAGGAAAATGCACTTTTGACTCTGACTGTGGAAAACAAGGCTTGGTCTGAAGTGGTCTGAACCTGTCAGGGATGGATAAATCCATCTTCTATGAAAGATTGTCCTGGACAAGCCAACATTTCTACCACAAACCAGCGAAGGTAGACTTCGCTTTGTTATGGCCATAATGCCATTGAGTTGTATTTTCTATCTTATTGTTAATTGAATTTGCGGCTCTCAGGAGAATCGTAAATTTAACACTTAGAAGAAAATGGCAGACAAGGATAGAATTTTGAGATGGAACATACACATATGCTAGTTACGTTGTGAGTATCCATTATGCTTTGAGATATTGTCTGGTGCTGCTTCAGATATTTTGGGCGTCTGCATAACTAAAACAACTACAGGAATCTCCTTTCTAGCAGTGCCCACAAACACATATATACAACACACTACCTGTGGACACACGTATGTACACACATGTTGCCCCTCCAGGAAAAAGTGAAAAGCAACAACCAACTAAGAGATGGTGAAGGCTCATCTTGCTACTCTACCAGCGCCCTTTATAACATTGTTGAAGACAATTCTGAGCAAAACAGTAGACCCACTGATAGCAACAAAAGTAGGGAATGGCGAGATACGAAAGCAATATCAGAACCAAATAATCAACATAACTGTGATTTTGGATGAATTTTGAGTGTCAGTTTGGCTGCAGCTAAGGAAACTCTTTAATTTAAATGACTGCATGTAAGTTGTCCTACTCTTGCCAATGGTACAAACGATTCTCAACAATCTCAGAATGAGAGTCTTTGGGGATAATTGGTGGAGAGAAAATGTAATGAAGAACTAAAGGCTATTTGAAGAAATTGTTTTGGGTTTAGTGTGGGTTTAAGAAAACACAGGAAGAGGTTTTTAAAAATAAAATGAGGTCAGGAGTGGTGTCTCACATATGTAATCCCAGCACTTTGGGAGGCTGTGGGTAGATTGCTTGAGCTCAGGAGTTCAAGACGAGCCTGGATAACATGGTAAAACCCTGTCTCTACAAAAAATACAAAAATTACCCAGGCATGGTGGCATGCACCTGTAGTCACTGCTACTAGGGAGGCTGAGCTGGGAGGATCACTTGAGCCCAGGAGGCTGAGTTTTGCAATGAGCCAAGATTGCACCACTGCAATCCAGCCTGGGTGACAGAGTGAGACTCTGTCTCAAAAATAAAATCTAATAAAATATCACACAATAAATAAGAGAGATAACAACTTTTAGGTAAACTTTCTCAGAAAACAAGACTGGAACATAAATTTATATGAGGATAATCATAACAATATTATTTAACAGAGCAAAAAACTGGAAACCCAACTTTCTAATAATAAAGGATTAAATTATCTAAGGATTAATCTACTTAGTTAAATGATCTAAGGATTAATCATCTATTTTGTCCCTTAAAATTGAATAGCATTCAGCATTTAAGTGTTCTTCATGAAGAACTGTATTATACTGCATGAGAAAGTCTTCATAACACTGTTAAATGAAAATAGGATAGACTGTGCACAGTATAATCTCACTGATGTAACGATATATGTAGCATATACACATAGTAAAACCCCAAAAAATATTCAGCGAGAGTTGTTATTTCCAAGTGGTGAGTTTACAGGCAATTTTTATTTTTATTTTTTTTTTGTTTTTCCCTACTTTCCAAATTTTACATACTGAATTTTTTGAGATTTTTTATAAACAACAACGAAAACCAATAAATACTTGCAATCAATATAAACTTGGGGTGCAATGCTTAGGTACAAAAAGTACCATGTTTTTATTTCTCTAAATCAAATGAAATCTCTGCAGCCCAGTGTCTCAGAACAGGCAAGTTCCCCCGCAATGGTCATTACTGGGGCTTTCTTGTACTTCAATGGAGTCAGGAATTGAAAATGGATATAGAAAATCTGGGAAGGACCCAGACCTTCAGTGCATAGTTTCCCATCTTTCCCATCATCCTTTTAGTACCCAGACATGCTTATGCAGAGGTGCTGTGCTCTGGTACTAAAGCCGCAAGGCTGTCCTCCTGTGATCCCCTCTATGACCGCAGAATGGACCACACAAATCCTGTGACTCCACTCAAGACTCCATCATCACTTGGTGGCTGTAGTCCTCCTGCCCCAAGCAAGGACATGGCTTTGAGCAGAGCACAGTTCTCTACAACTTGTGGAACTCCCTCCCTTACCCTACCCCCATCCCCATCCCCATTCCCACCCCAAAAAATGTCTCTTAATCTCCAGAAATCTGCCCACTCTAATAAACACTCCTTCATCCACCTAAATGCTTCCTGCAATTTCTTCCTTGTCATTGGCCTGGTCTTCCAAACAAGTTATGGTCAGTATGGACCCCAAAAGCAACACCCGAGGAATGGTTATTACATATATATGCACATATATGTAGAACTTCCCAAGCATTACCTTTTTTTTCCCTCCTAACAAACCTATGAGATAGCATCATAATTATTCCTATTTTCCAGATGGGAACATTTGAGGCTCAGAGAGATAAACTCACTCTCCAAGTCACACCACTTTCATATACAACTTCTCCTTTTGGTTCTGGCACAAAAAGCCCTTAGCAAATCCCTAAGGCTAGTGGCTCAAAACGCAGAATAAAAATTGGCTTCCTTCTTAGGAGGAAAACAGGAGAAACACTGATAATTCCATCAAGCTCCTTCTAGGGCTGAAGGCAAAGGCATAAATAATATCTCAGCACTTTAGACTGCTATCCATTCTTAAGACCAAGAACAAAAAGAAGATAAAGGAAAAGAATGGAAAGCTGTAATATGCTGATTGATAACAACTGCTTCATCCAGAGAAAGTGAACAAGGAGACTCAATGTGCCCCGGCCAGGAAGAAATCCACAGAGACTGTGGGGAGAAGAACATTTGGAAATTTTATTTTGGACAATTTATCATCAGGGTCCAGTACTGTGGTGGACACATAATAGGTGGGTAGTAAGTATTTATTGGGTGAACAAGTAAGTGTGCTCTAACAAATTGGTGTGAGACTGTCACAGAAACTCCATCCTCTACTGATCCCAATCCCAATTCATATCCTCCTCTCTGGCTGGTTCCCAGCAGAAAGAGTACCTGCAGAGTCATGGTGTGTATGCCCCAAACAGCAGCCCTATGCCCACCAACTCCCTTTACCACAAGAAAAAGAGGCAGGCTCTTATCTTTTTGCCCAAATGGTGTCTATACCAGTTTTTCAGGGCTGCCATCACAAAATACCACAGACCAAGTAGCTTAAACAACAGAAATTTATTCCCCATGGTGTTGGCAAGGTGGATTTCTCGTGAGGCCTCTCTCCTCCTTGGCTTGCAGATGGCCACCTTCTCCGTGTCTTTACATGGTCTTCCCTCTGTGGGTGTCTGTGTCTTAATCTCTTCTTATAAGGACATCACCATATTGGATTAGGGCACAGCCTAACGAACTTCTCTTACCTTAGTTGCCTCTTTAAAGACCCTATCTCCAAATACAGTCACATTCTGAGGTATGGGGGCAGGGGGCTAGAATTTCAACATATCTATATGAGGGAGGGGGAAATCACAATGTAGCCCATAACATTATTTAATATTAGTTTAGTTTCTCTGAGACAAAGTCTGGTTTCCCTTTTAATATACTCTGAGGATCAACACGACACTTGGAATATGCTACTTCCCTCTGCCTTCACAAGTACATAACTGAACATTAGTGTTTCATGTAGTAAAAGTCAACCCTGTTCACTAAACACTCGCTGTTTGCTCAGAACTGTTCTGTACTATGGGAGCTGCATGGAAAGTTGAACACTTGATTCCTGGACCAGAACTTTGCAACCAGAGACAGGAGATCAGAAGAATGCAGCACATGCCGAGGAACCCATAGTCACAATTCACCCAAGTTTGCTCAGAAAGACAACACAAAGCCCTGGGGATGGAATGACAATGGGTTTTAGTCTACTATGGCCTTATTTCAGCTGTGTAACCGTGGACAAATGGCTGGGTCTTTCTGTGCCTCCGTTTTCTTATCTATAAAATGGCAATAATAGTAGGAACGACAGAGGGTTGTGGTGAGGATTAAATGAAATAATACGTATAAAGCAGTTAATGCAGTACTCGGCCCACTGTAGTCACTCAGGAAATGTTAGCATTTGTATTGGTGTTCCTGTGGTAGCCCATACCTGTGCTCAATTTCAAGGACTCAAGAGTCTAACTACTGAGTTAGAGAGGTCAGTCCTAGAAAGAGAGAGAGAGAGGGAAAAACAGTCTTTGAGCAAGTTTTTAAGGCAAACTAGTTTTCCAGGAAGAAGCTGACACTGAACGATGGTGCCAATGATGGAGGAACGTGGATGTAACTAAGGGAGGTAGGGGTGTAGGGAGCAGGAAATTGTCTTGGAGAACTGGATTTGAGGCCACACATGATTTGGTAAATGCCAGCCTGGGAAGCTCCATTTTCTCAGCCCAAGACCCTGGTTTGCCATTTCCTACATTCTCATTCCCTCTTCCATAGCCAGACATATGGGAAATGATATTCACTTGGAAATCAGGACCAGGGATCAAATCTTGCTCCATCTCCTTCTGTGATTTTAGTCAAATTATTGAAGTTTTCTGAACATCAGTTTCCCCCCTACACAATGGGAAACTAAAGCCAGCAATCCGGACAGTGTGTATTAAGTGTCTGCAGCAAAACAAACTCTGATGTTTGGCTCCCTTTCCCCATCTGCTTTAAATACAATTAGCAGGATTGAAGTGTTTCTGTTCCCAATACATACAACCTGAGCTCCATGTACTGCTCCCATGTATTTCTTTGCAGACAGCACAATTATCAGATTCAGTGGAATCAGTTAAACCTCTAAGACTCCAAAAGGAGGTTTTCAAGAAGCCCCCTTTTGAATCATTATTTCAAACACTTTGCCAAATAGCCAGGAAATCACGAAGGGTTTATCAGTATCTGTCAGTGTGGTAAATAGTCAGATGAAGTTTGCCTCTGAAGTACTAGATGACAGCTGATCAATACTCTAATGAAAAAGACCAAGGTGACAAAATTTTAAAAGGGAAATATATCAAAAGACTGGTATGTCTTACACAGTCTTCGAGGAAGAAATGAAAGAGGTAGAAAAAATTAACTACATACATTTGCAATGCTTTATAACTTGCAAAATATTTTCACATATAACATTTTATTAATTCTTACAAAAATACAACCAAATACTTAAATTACTGCATGATGAGAACTATTAGTAGATCAAGTATTGTTAAACCAAAATGCATGTGCCTGGGCGTCTTTAAAAGAGCATTTCTCAACCTGGACTCAGGGATCCTGAGAACATGTAACAATCTTTGTAGTCTTATTTGTGCTTTTTTAAATGTCATGTTTTCATTCTGATGATTATCTAAAAAAATTAACCCATGTAAAACCTGGATCATGTGAATAAGTAATTTATAATTGAGTACAACTATGAGATTTCAGAATCTCACTGGCATTGGAGAATTCTTCTTGGTAAATTCTTGTTGATGAGCTAAAGAGAAAAAAATTGAGATGTCCTTGGTAAGCATATGTCTGTTTTCATGCTGCTGATAAAGACATACCTGAGACTGGGAAGAAAAAGAGGTTTAATGGACTTAACATTCCACATGGCTTGGGAGGCCTCACAATCATGGTGGAAGGCAAGGAGGAGCAAGTCACATCTTACATGGATGGCAACAGGCAAACAGAGAGAGTTTATGCAGGGGAACTCCTCTTTTTAAAACCATCAGATCTCATGAGGCTTATTCACTATCACAAGAACAACATGGGAAAGACCTGCCCCCATGATTCAGTTACCTCCCACCAGGTCCCTCCTACAACACGTGGGAATTCAAGATAAGATTTGGGTAGGGACACAGCCAAACCATAACAGCATATGATGTGTTCATGCCACTCAAAGACCAACAGACATGCAAAGGAAGTTTGTTCAGGAGTGCCACTAGAGAAAATGATAATGAAACTGAGCCATCACATAGCACTCACTGGTAAATACTTGCCAGATACAGATACCTATGCTATGGCCATCAGCACCATAGTTATTTTTACAAAGAGTACTTCCTTCCACTTAAAAAAAAATTATCCACTACATCAAGGTAAAGATTGTATTTTGAATTTCATTTTTGGAAAGATTTTTTTGGGAGTATATAGTTTGAAATTTTCTATTTGTTCTAAGCTTCTGCAAGGATTATAAGCATAAAAATGTATACCAATTTTGACTTTGTATATTTAAAATTACTTTATTATATACTTATATTTATTGTATAATCATTTTATATTTTAAGTTATTTTCTTGTAATCTCACATAAAAATTGAGTAAGAAATGGGTATCAGCAAGTTTGAAGACATTGCTTTTTGAAATAGAAATGTTTCTCAAACTTGTTTGTAAATTTTTTAAATTAAATCTCTTGTGGTGACCTAGAAGAGATGATTAAAAGAATTTTGTGAATTCTTTTTTAAGTGAGTAATCTTTTTGCACTTGAACCATCACCAGGTGGTCTTGTCTACTTTCTATGTTTAGATTGTCATATAACCATATTTTCCTGAAGTGGTACATCTGACACAGTGAAATTAGTGAAAGGAGAATCAGGAGAGAGACAGCCAAATCCAGAGGAAAATGCCCATGACATATTGTGAAAGCTGAATATACGATCAGCCTATAAGTTAAAGAACCACAACTGAAACCCAATACCAAGGCATGCAGGAATGGAAAAACAGAAGAATGTTGCCAGGGTAACTGGCTCTGTATCTGGCGCTCTTCGTGACTTCCTCCATGACTCTGAATAATGTTCTTATTATTGCCTACCTCCTTTTTTTGCCAGTTACAAAATGGGGGCCAAGAATATTAGTTTGTAAAGTGTTTTGTGAATCATAGATGCCCAGTATTCTCAAGCATAAAGATCTTCAAGATGTGCAATTTATGAGTCTTTGAAAGTTATTTGTGCACCATGTCTTGCCATTTTCTTTCTTTTCATTTCACCTCCAATCACTTTACTGCTCTTATGTGAAACAGATGGAATAGAATAAATAGTACTCCAGTTAGGGGGTGTGTTTGATTTCCTACTAAAAGAATAGTACTTACGGGAACTGAAGGATGTCTTCTCATTTTGTCCCAGGATAAAATGCACAAAGGAAGGGCGTGTCAGCTGTCAGCTTCTAACTAGAGTTGGAAGGAAAAAAAGTGAAAGTTCATAGGAAAAGAGAAGTGAATTTAGGTGACTTCCATAGCCCAAGAACTTTTATTTCGGTTTAATAAAAATTGTGCACACTGTTGCAACTGCTCTCTGGACTGGATCCTCTTTGCTTTTTGTTTAGAAACAAATAAAAATAGCTAAATTATTAATGCGAAGTAAATTGGTTACTATGCATTTAGCATCACTTTTTAATTCACACATACATCTGTATTAACATCTTAATGGTGCTTTACTACAGATTACGCCATAGTCATAATGGCAGCAAAGGAACCATCTAAAGGACAATGTTTGTAGCAGAAACATATTTGAAGAAGGGGATGATGTTGTTGGGGAATGTCCAAATAAAGTTGGAAAATGCACCTGTGAGGTCAGGGAGTACAGTCCACAAGACTTCCCTCACTCCTGACACCAACAGTAGAGTTCAGGGGTTCCCAAGACCACCCTCAGTTTCAACAATTCAATAGAAGAACTTGCTGACAGCTGTAATAATCTGGTTGTGGTTTATCACAGTGAAAGGATACAAATTCAAATCAGCCAAGGGAAGAGATATGTGGGGCAGAGTCCAGGAGGTTTGTCCACACGGAGCTTCCAGTTGTCTTCTCCCCATAGCATTCTGGATGATGTTAATATTCCTGAAAATAACATATGACATTGTGCATGGAATACCACCAGCCAGGGAAGCTACCCTGAGCTCTGGTGTCCAGAGTTTTTATTGCAGACATGGCTAACTGCACACATAGCTGACCTTTAGTTTCCAGCCTCTCCAGAGGTCGAGATGATACCTTTAGTCTCCAGCCCTTCTGGAGGCTTTCCTGTGGTAGAGCAGATACCATGTGAGCCAAAGTCCCCATCATAAATTACACTGTTAGACTGTCTGTTGTGGTCCAATGCCTCCTGTCATAAATTCTAACTAAATCTCCCAATACAGTTGATCATCAATATCAGTGTTATCATAAGACCTATTTACATAAGGTAATTGAGTCTTACCAGCAGTGCCAATGTTATACCATATCACAGTATGACCATGGTACAGTTCAGCTTTATTACAGAACAAATCACTAAGAATTACAGACATATTTGCTATCCCTTCACGAGATAATCAACCTTGCCCATATACCATATATTACTATGAATAGGCACCATGACAATTAGTCATGATTGGTTATTCTATGGTCCAAGTCAGTTACAGACAAAACCATTCACCCTGTCTCAGTTCACAGGCTTGTACTAAGACCAGTTTTTATTCTGTGCTGTCACATAGCAGGGCTCACCTCCCTGCTACAGGGAGGACATGGTAATATTCAGAACAGTTCCTCCCTCTGATAACTGTACTTTACGATATGTCTTGTTTTGATCTATCCTAGAGCAAGGGCAGTCACATTGCTTCAGTGTAAATTGCAAGTGTTCCTAGAGGACTCCCATAGGTGAAGAGCCATAAGATTCCCATACGTGTGCCTCGCGGGCCTCAACAGCTAGAATGGAGGGCTATTGTTCCATGGCTACTTCAGTCCCTGTCAGTATTAAAATAATGAAGAGACCCTGTTGTGCCTGAGTACAAGGCTTTCCCAACACTGGGTCCTAGCATTATCCAGCATTATTTGTGAGTTGGCCTGTCCTACTTCACTAAAGCCTCATCACCTGTCCAGGCTGACTGTCATTTCTTGCATTCCTCCTGGAATGGAATTCCCTTTAATCTGCTCATTCTAGTTAATAAGTCTTTTTCTCCAAATGCCACTCCTCACTAAAAGCAAATTCAGCTCATCCAATGAAGCCTCAACTAGAAGATGTCTCCCCTAAAGCATGTTTCTGTCTCACAGGCCAGTGCTGTGTTCTACCATTCATGTTGTTGCCATTGGGTACTAACAGCCTGAGTGCAACTAAAATACACATTTTGTACCCAAAATGCTGAGTCCACCATACAAGATACAGGTAGACATAATTTAGTTTCTGTATACCAGGCCTGCTATAGCCTTCTTCAACTCAGGGTGGGGCTATTCCCAGAGGAAGTCAGAATCACTACGTGGTACCTACTGCTCTAATCCCATCAGGAACCCACTGGTCTTTCCTATTCTGTTTAATAGCTTGCCATCCACAAAAACAAAGGTGATGTATATTTGTGCATAGCATACTATGGAATATTGGGCATGCCACTGCTACATCTTATTCATTATAATCAGGAAACTTTCTGAGCATGGGATCATCCAGGTTTATCTTTACCCAATAATCCATCAGCTAGGAGTTGTTTACCACATGGTCCAATGGCTCTCTTGGGAGCAGTTTCAAGAAATTCCTTCCCAAGTGATATCCTTTGTAGTAGATAAAACCTGAAAAATAAGGGTCAGAGGTATTGACTTATTACTAGAGCTCTACTCACTCATTAACCATTCCTCCAGTTCATCATATTGTATGACCAGCATGTCTCCCAGGGCAGCGCTACTCAGGTTTGCCGGCTTCTATTCCATCTTGTCAGGTTCCAGAAGCAAGATGAATGTGACAAATACATAACTTCACCCGTGTGGGTATCTAGTATAATTGTGCTAAGAGATAATATTATTCTCTTCCTCTGAGCCTCTCTTAAGGCACCAATGTAAAATTGGATTTTCCTCGTTGCAATAACCCATTTATTCATTCCTTTATCCCCAACTGCTAGTTCTTGTTCTCTCCATTTGTGGTTTATTCTTACTCAAACTTTCCTCCTCTGGAAGGGATGTCCGGGGACAAGAAATGTAACCACTTTACATAATATCCATTCAAACATTTCCATTTTAATCCAATCTTCACCTTAATCCCATCAAACACTGCATCCCCATATCCTCTCATTTGACTGTAGATTCCATTACGACTTCACCAACAGGTTTTGGAATCCTAGAGCATTGGGATCCCATGTCAAGAAGCCCTAGAAAATTCTTTTCTCCCTTGACCCCACAGGTCATTTTACCCATACATGTACATTTGCCCTTGGGTTCTCAGATGGGGATTGAGCCAGAGGATCCTGGCCCCTCTGTCAATTTTCATCTTTATTAATGTGGCAGACCATCTCTCCAGGTGATTCGAAATCAAGTTTCTCATTGTCATCTTTCCCTTCCAGCTTTTCAAATACCTCCAAAATGGAGTAAAAAGAGCAGATTTGTTTGGGGTCTTTTAATGTTGGGGGACCAGCAGGGGGGCCCATTGGTCCAGCCAACCTCCAGTAGTGCTACATTAAGACCTCTGTTTCAACCCATTACTATCTGCTTTATTCATCCCATTTCTTAACAACCATCTAAAGATTACCAACCTGCAAGGTTGACTCTCCTGACTCTCCTTTTTGTCTTTCCCCATTTTCTTCTGACTAACTCTAATTTTTTTGGCATCTGTAAAACCCATAAGGAAACTAAGACAATAAATGTGATGAAGCTTCGCAAACTATTCTTCATATTGCAGCTATAATGTTATATGGGGTACTGATGCAAAGGTAGCTACCTTAATCACAGCATTTACCATGTCTTGGGTAAGGGGCATATTCTGTAGATGAATATCCAGATTATCATAAAGTCAATCCAACATGGCTTGCATACAAGGCATACTAGCTACTTCATCTGGAGTCTTCCATTTGGCAAGTATAGGGGGAGTTGGACAGACCCCCATTCTCAGGGTAAACTAACTTTATAGTGACTTTTATTCAGTCCACAAGGCTAGCTGTCCTCTCAGGAACAACCTTCTGTGTGTCTAGATCACATATAGCCATCCATGATTGTTCAATAGTGAGCTAGGTCTTATATCAACCCAAACATGCTCTTTCATTCTGCAGCAATCAAAACCAAAGATACATCCCCTAAGTTACTCACTCACAATCCCTTTTTGTAAAGGTTCCTCAGGAATTTGATGATACCAATGCACAAAATGAAATAACTTTTACATTGTACGCCTTGGTTTCACCAGTTCCTTGGTTTTGCCTTTCCCCAAACTGGCCACGTCCTTAATGACTGGAGGTCATAGAGGTGCTACCTATTATTGTCCCAGCATAACTTTTCCCTTTGGTAGCAGCCCTGAGACAATGTGGCCATATCTCAGACTGACAAGACCTGAGCTTGGTATAAAGTCAGGATCTGCCCCAGTACTATTTTACTTTCAGTTTAGCAATTATAGATAACAAAGCCAATGGATTGTATATTTAGCGTATTTCTTATTATTTTACATTTTCTTGAGTATCCAGTGAGCTAACTCCTTGGAAGCTGGAGCTATCTCTAAATTCCACTGGTAACTTTTGCCTCTAATAACTGATTGCCACACACCTGTAGTTCCATACCATAGGTGACCAGGTAGTCATTCAGGAGTCAAAGGTTCTTCAGCCTCAGCCCTCTCATTCTTCTTCTCAAATCATGTTTCGGTGAGTCAGGGTCACGCTAGAGAATCCCACCCTTGACACCAACTGTGAAGGGGGTATGGTCTCCAAGACCACCCTCATTTGTGACATCAACTACAAGTTCAGGTAGTCTCCAAGACTATGCTCAATTTCAATTTAAAAAACTCTTTATTCTTTCGGTAAGTTCAACTTATTAACAACATAATACTAAAAGGTTTCTTAGGCTTTTCATGGGCCTTACCCAGTTTATGCCACATCTATACCAGCCAAGGCCAACACCATCATGTGCACAGAAAGAATATGGTTAGGATTCTTGCCTTCTCAGAATTATTCTTGAGAAGCAGGATAGTGATGTCATCCCTGTCAGCATGGAACTAGGATAAGTTCATGCATGGATGGAAATTTCCTGATGAAGACTTCATTTCAGCCCTGGCACATTTCTACAGCAAATGGTGGACCCAACATAAACAGCTCCCAGTTTTTCATTTGTGCTGCTAAGACTGGCTGGTTGGGTGGTAAGCATACACCTTTCATCAGAGTGAATGGCAACACAAATATTGCCAAAGTTTTGTGCATAGGAATAGCAAGATTAGCAAGAAGTTCACCACTGCTAGCTGCAGTAACTCTCCTAACTTTGATTTGTGTTTATCCTAGTCAACAAAACTTTGCTTCCATACTGGGAAGAGCAGCCTCACACCCAGTTTGACCACATACTCTCTTTATATTCTCATTTGCTACAACTATTTGAATTCTACACTTCCTTTATTCCCCTCCAATTCTATCTGGACAACAAAGTTAAATTTGTAATTATAAGGTAAAAACAAAGTACAAAAACTTTAAAAGTTTCCTCATGCTCTGCATTTTCTGATCTTTTTATAGAGGTATTATTCAATCCAACCCTTGTTAGTGAATCTTGTTGACACAAAGCCACATTCTTATCTAAACTAATAAATAAAATATGTCAAAGGGATCCCTAAAAGGGTGTCATGATTTCCAAAACATATTTGATACAAACAAAAACTAACATTTCCTGACTCAGAAGTTTCCCAAATCAGATGGAGAAGTATGCAAACTATATGTTTTCTCTCTCTCCCGTTCTCTCTCTCTCTCTCTGTTTGTTTGTGTGTTACATTTGTTAATTTTGATCAAAACTTTTATCTTATTTGACTCTACAGAGGATATTTCTTGGTTTCCTCCCCAGCATCCCTCCCCTTCTCATAGCCCTGATTTCTATAGGCTCTAGAAATTTCACTCCACCTTCGCTCCACTTGTAGTTAAAGAAATCAATTTATTTCATCTGTACAATCAAAATGAATCTAGGCAATTTTGTTGGTAATACTGGAGACAAATTTTCTGCTGGTCACACCCAAGCAAGTATGAACCAAAGCCTCAGGGACTGCAGGCAGCCATCTTGGTCCCATGAGGAAAGCCAGCCCAAACGTGAAGCCAACTTTACAGAACACAGGAAAAAGTGAAAAGAAACCAGCACTTCCATGACATTATTGAACAACTGTTACAAGCCTTATTTGAAGTCAATATTTTCCTGAGTCTTTAAATTAAATGATCTAACATTTTCTTTATTTTTAAAGCCCTCACCACTGAAAGTGTGATTTGTAGGCCAGCATCATCAGAAATGCACACATGAGATCATACTCTGGATGCTTCTGAGCCAGAATCTGCAGCTTAACGAAATCTCCAGGTGATCTGCGCACATGGACATTTGAGAAGAACTCACCATGCCTCGTTGAATCAGCTTTGTTTGTAACTGCACCCTGAGTCAGAAGCCTCCGATACTCCTGTCCAGATCAGTGTTCAGACTCCTCTTTAGAGATACAGAAACAGATTCGGGGAGTTTACGTGCCAATCAAAGGTTGCACACACCCAGAGAGACAGAAGCAGCAGTTCTATCCTGACTCCCAGCAGCTCCATTCCAGTTCTCTCCTGCGATGGGAGGGCCCTGATCAACAGTCTCTGTGGGCCTTGTGGCCAGGGTCTAGAGCTACTTGTTCAGCAACCTCGTGTTAGTCTTTATTTTAAAAGACTATAGGTTTTAAAGACATTTGTCCTTCCCTGTGTTTATAATCATGGAAAACTCCTTAATCTAGGTAATTTATTTAATGAGTAGCTCCAAATACTGGTTCCCAACTACCAGCAGTTTAATACAAAAATTACAGGCTAGCTTAATTGCACTTAACCAAGTAAGCCCTCTGAACAATTTTCCCTCATTATTTCTCACTGAAGCATGCACTCTTGGCACAGTTCTCTCTTTATCAATAAAATCAAGGAGCAAGTGTTGAAAAATCCTTATGCTCTTTGATACTTTAAAATCCTTACCTATTTCTAAAATCCAGAGAAAGGGGAATGCTTATACACTGCTGGTGGGAGTGTAAATTAGTTCAGCCATCATGGTAAGCAATGTGGCCATTTCTCAAAGAACTAAAAACAGAATTGCCATTAGACCCAGCAATCCCATTATTGGGGATGTATCCAAAGGAATATAAATTGTTCTACCATAAAGACACATGCATGCGTATGTTCACTACAGCACTATTCGCAATAACAAAGACATGGAATCAACCTAAATGCCCATCAGCAATAGACTGGATAAAGAAAATATGGTACATATATACCATGGAATTCTATGCAGCCATGAAAAAGAATGAGATCATGTTTTTTGCTGCAACATGTATGGAGCTGGAGACCTTAGCAAACTAACACAGGAACAGAAAACCAAATACTGCATGTTCTCACTTATAAGTGGGAGCTAAATGATGAGAACACATGGACACATAGAGGGGAACAGCAGACACTGAGGCCTACTTGAGGATGGAGGGTGGGAAGAGGGAGAGGGTGAGAAAAAATATCTACTTGAGGGAGAGGGTGGGAAGAGGGAAAGGGTACTATATTTGTCACCCAGGTACTAAACATAGTACCTGGGTGACAAAATAATCTGTACAACAAACCCCCATGACACAAGTTTGCCTGTGTAACAAACCTACATATGTACCCCTCAACCTAAAATAAAAGTTAAAAGAAAAATAAAATAAAATAAAATCCAGCCAATGGGTTAAGGAAATATTACTATGTAGAATGGATTTCAGAGAAAAGCTTTTCCACGGAAACTTCTCAACTGGTAGACTAAAACGACAGGAAACACTTAAAGATATACTGGTAAATTGCTGTCACCTTTGTTAAATTAAACTAAATTTGACCTGAAGATGCCTCTGTACACGAGTCCTCATGAAGATTGCAACCTGACTCGGACATAAGTTTACTGGAAGCCTAGCTTAAGGGTATACTTTTGCAACAAATAGCTGAGTCTCCCCCAATCACAGTGGCCAAACTTCAGTCAATTGCGGGCAGCCAACTGTTCAAACTATGTTCGAATAAGGCAAATGCTGAGCTGTAGCCAATCAAGCTGTCTCTTTCCCACACTTTCATTTTCTGTACCTCATTTCCATTTCCTATACCTCATTTCCATTTTCTGTCCATAAATGCTATCCAAACTCATGACAGACTGGAGTGATTTGAACCTGTTCTGGTTCGGAGGGCTGCCTGATTCTAAAGTCATGAATAAAAGCCAATTAAGATATTTTAATTAGTTTTAATTTTGTCTTTTAACATTCTTCATACAATTTATGTGCACGATAATTCCTCAAAATGCTTGTTACATGAATTACTTTCATTTTCAAGTTACTTTACAGTTTGCAATACATTTTACCTTCTTTTCTTCATTTAATCACATTGATTTATATTTTTGCAACAATCCTTGTAGGTTGGTGTTATTATCTCCATTTTAGAAATGTTCAAGCTAAGTCTCAGAAAGATTAACAAACACCTGCCCAGAGTCACAGATTTATTCATGAGGGAAGTGAAATTTAAATCTTGGCCTATGACTATCATTCTAGATCCTTCTAATACCTTGTGCTGAAGGTGGTAGAAAGACCTTGGGTCTTATACTCAATTGCTATTTATCACTGGGAGCACACCCACCCACAGCCCATTTCATGAAAACTACTTTAGATGCAAGTCTTACTACAGTAATTTACATTACACTGGATAAATCACAGTAGACCATATAATATTCCACTATTTCCAATACCCTCAAATTCCAAACCTGCTGAACCTGAACCCTGCACCTGCTGCTTCTTGCATCTGTGCCCAGCCAGGGATACACAGCTAGTGGCCTAGATGCAAGCTGTCATGTGTTCAGTGGCAGAAGACAGATTTGTAGATAAAACTTACCTACTGTTCAGTTACACACCAGTGCACTTCTTGGAGAAGAGATCCCCATTGTCTTTGACAACTATTCTGCCAGTGTTACAGTGGATGGAAAAACCAGTGAATTTGGGCTCAAGGGATACAACTGGATGACAGAATATGATGGATTACACTTCCTGTCCTATCTGCAAACAGATGAATTCTTTATTTGCTTTTCCTTTGTGAGTCCTGCATCATTTGAAAATACCTGTGCAAAGTGGTATCCTGATATTCACCACCATGTTCCAACATGCCCATCATCCTAGTGGGAACTAAGCGTGATCTTAGGGATGATAAAGCCATGATTAGGAAACTGAAGGAGAAGCAGCTGACTCCCATCACCTATCCACAGGGTTGAGCTACAGCTAAAGAGATCAGTGCCCTAAAATAGCATACCTGGAATACTCAGCTCTCACAAAGTGAGGTCTCAGACAGTGTTTGGAGGAGTTATTGAAACAGTTCTCTGCCACTGACTGTCAGGAAGAAACAGCAGCAGCAGTGCCTGCTGTTGGGAATGTCCACGCCCCCCACTCCTTGCCCTGCCCCACTTGGAACCTTTCTATGCTTTGCTCAAAAATGGTAGTCTTTGCACTCAATGCCAAGTTTTATTACAGACTAATTTCTCCATAATTATTGCCATTGTGAACTAATCAGTAATTTCAAGATTCCGTTTCTCTAAAGTTTAAGATTTTAAATTTTAACACTCTTAAAACTTAGCCTTAAAATGACAAGTCTTAAGGCCTTGTTTTCCCAAATCCGCTATTCTTTCTCAGCTGAAGAGTTGCCAAAATACACTCTGAACTAAGTTGCATCAGTGTGCTACGAACTCTGCTGCAGGATTTTCCTTATCTTCGTGTCCTTTTGATTATTATACTAACATGGAGGCTTTATTAGGGAAGAGATTGGGTCTGTTTCACACACTCCATCCAGCCCAGTATACCATGATAAAGAGCAGAATAGTTCCCTGGAGCAAAATGTGAATATGATTTCTGTTTAAAATCTTGGCAAAAACAAATAAACTAATTTTTACAAATGTTTGATCAACAGTATTCAGAAGGAAGGATAATTGGAAAGAAAGTAGTCTAAGGTCCTTACGTTTTCATGAGGGGAAGTTTTAAAATATTTAATACATTTAGACTTGTCAAGCTATGTAGGCACAATTAAATGTCAAGAGTTATGACAAGAGTATATACAAATCATTGGGAGGGATAGTTTTTTAAGTCAATTATTAAAGTTAAGAAAAGTAGAAAAAGCATGAAAAATCCAAGAAAACATAGAAAGCATAAAGATGCTAGGAAAAAGTCTAAGTATTTAAATGATATATAAATTTATATAAGCAAAACTTGCAGTTAAAACTAGTAAGTTTTTTAACTCAATTATTAAAGTTAAGAAAAGTAGAAAAAGCATGAAAAATCCAAGAAAACGTAGAAAGCATAAAGATGCTAGGAAAAAGTCTAAGTATTTAAATGATATATAAATTTATATAAGCAAAACTTGCAGTTAAAACTAGTGTTACTGGGTAGGTGTGGTGGCTCACACCTGTAATCCCAGCACTTTGGGAGGCTGGGACAGGTGGATCACTTGAGCCCAGGAGTTCAAGACCAGCCTGGCCAACATAGGGAAACTTGTCTAAAAAAAAAAAAAAAATTAGCCAGGTGTGGTGGTGGGTGCCTGCAATCCCAGCTACTTGGGAGGCTGAGGGAGGAGAATTGCTTGAACCCGGGAGGTGGAGGTTGCAGTGAGCCAAGATTGCACCACTGCACTCCAGCCTGGGTGACAGAGTGAGACTCTGTCTCAAAAAACAAACAAAAAACTGATGTTACCAGTTTGTAAAAGTTTAATCTAAACATACACTTTTTAGAAAAAACACATAAAACAGAAGGAAACAACAAAAGTTACAATAGAAGGATAGAAAACCATATGACAGACAAACCTCACAAGAAAGTTTATATAGCAATATTAATATCAGAAAGACATAGACTGCAAGATAAGAAGCATTATTCAAAAATGTGGAAGAAATGGGTGTCCACCAAAATTCATTTCTACTTCTTCCTGGGTACATTATTAAACTACATTTCCCAGCTTCCCTTGCAGTGAGGTGTGGCGATGTGACTGAGTTCCAGCCAATGGAATGAGAGCAGAAGTGACTGAGCCACTTCTAGGCCCAGGATTTTAGGAGGCCAATGAGCCTGAGCACTCTCAACCTCCAATCCATCATGGGATGCAAATGCAACTAAGGCCCTAGAGAATGACAGAAGTAACAGATGGAGGAGACTGGGTCCCTGAAGCCTGGTGGAGAGTCACTGATCAAGAAACACCCACATTGGGCCTTAAGATGAGCAAGAAGTATTGTGTAAAGCCACTAAAATGTGTCCCTTCATAAACAAGAACAAAAGCAAGAGTTTACAAAGAATTCAAGTCAAGAGACCAGAAAATTCTAACAAGGAAAGAACATCAAAGGAATTAATAATTAAGAAAAAAATGGAAATGTATGTATTAGAAAAACAGGGGAAAAAACACAATTGAAGAAGAAATTCCAAAAGTTAAGGGATGCCAAAATACATAAAATTGAAAATCTTGCAATGAATTAATTAAACAGAAGATCTTAGATGAAGTCAAGAGTGAGACAGGATGTGGCAAATACAGAAGAAATCAATTACAACAGAATACTATGAAGTCTTGAAATGACTTATTTTCAAGAAATACAAATTGTCAAAATTCCCTTGGGAAGAAACAGAAACCCTAAATAGACAAATAACCATGAAAGAAACAAGAGGGGAAAAAAGGGCCATCAACAAATTATCTCCAAGAAGGAGATCAGACTCATAAAGTGTTTCCACCAGCTACACACATAAAGTCAAGAAATAGATCATTCCCCTGTTTACACAAAATATTCCATGAACTGGAGGTCACTATGTTAAGTGTACAAGCCAAGCACAGAAGGATAAATAGCAAATGTTCTCACTCATATGTAGGGAGCTAAAAAGGTGGATCATGAGATAAAGAATAGATTGGTAGTTACTAGAGGCCAGGAAGGTTAAGGAAAAAGAGGAATGAAGAGAGGTTGATTAGTGACATGGAAGAAATAAGACCTGGTGTTCAATAGATCAATAGAGTGACTGTAATTAACATTCATCAATTGTACATCTCAAAATAGCCAGAAAAGGATAATTTGAATGTTCCTAACAAAGAAAATGTCACTATTTAAGGTGATGGCTATCCCAATTACCCTGATCTGATTAAATGAATGTATCAAATAATCAAAGGTACAGAAAATATGTACATCTAATATATATCAATATAAATAAATAAAAATATCCCATGGCATAAAAACAAGAAAACTTCACAAATCATTTTACAAAGCCAGCATAATCCTTATATGGAAACTCAAGATAAATATCACAAAAGGGAGGCAGGAGAATCACTTGAACCCGGGAGACGGAGGTTGCAGTGAGCTGAGACTGCACCACTGCACTCCAGCCTGGGTGACAAAGCAAGACTCCACCTCAACAAAATCACAAAAGGGAACATTACAGCCGTACCTGTTCAATAAGCAACCATCTAGAACCTTCCCTTGGTGCTCCCTGCCTTTGTCCCTCACTGCACTGCTCACTCCACACTAGCAAGGTGAGCACCACTCATTGTTTGCACGGTGCTTGACACATAGTAGGCCCTCTACAGACCTATCAAACTCTGTAACCATGTGAATGAGTGGTTTACTCCTGGGGTTAAGAGTTCAGCAGGTCAGTGGCTGAGCCCAGATTGATAACCTCATTTTCTAGTCCTCAGCACCTTTCACAACAAAACAGCCAAAGACAGCAGCCTGCTTGACAATATTCATTCTGCAAAGTTTTTCATAAATGCGGCTTACTAAGATCTCAGAGAATTCTTTTGAGATAAACTCAGGCTACAGGGGACATTTGGTAAGAAGCAATGCTTACTGTGTTATTGAGAGGATATGTAATCATCTCTGGCACACAACACAGGTTGAGAGAAACTGCAGTTTTCCCTCACCACAAAAACCTTTCTGAGTGCTCTGGGAACTGACCCTACTGTGTTCTCTGAGGCCAGGAAAAAACATCTCTCCAAAGTCACATTTCCTTGCACCCTGCAGATGTTACACTTCCTAAGAGTTGGACAGTCAAACAAAAGGATCTAAATATATTTCCCCTATTTTTTTTATTGGTACATGATAGATGCATACATTTTGGGGGTACATGTGATAACTTAATACATTCATACAATTTGTTAAGATAAAATCAGTGTAATTGATATATCTACCACCTTAAATATTTGTCTTTTCTTTATGCTAGAAACATTTGAATTATTCTCTTCTATCTATTTTAAAATATACAATGGAGTATTGCAAACTATGGCCACCCTACTGACCTATTTAACACTAGATCTTAATTCTCTCTATTCTTAACTGGTAAAGTGATAAGCTACTCCTTGGGTCATCAAGCCACCTTCCTCTAGGGTCATGCTTTGAGTTACTCATCCATTTGTGCCTTTCCTACAATATCAACTTTATATTAACAAAGAGTCCCAGTACATGTGATAAGACGGGAAAGACGGTCCACAACCCATGACATAGGAACACAGATGTGATCTCCTCTCACCTCAACCTTCCAAAGCTCACCAATTTCAACAAGACAAACTTCTAACTCATTGGCTAAGGAGTGAGTATCCAAAAAAACTGGCATAATCAGACCACAGGCTACCTTTCCAATCCCATCTTCCCTCATTCTCGCTATGCCCCGGCCTCATACCTTGTAGTTTCCCAAGCTCAGGGACTTTCATTCTCAGTACTCCCTCTAGTAGGATGACTCTGAAAAACTTCCCTTCCTGCCGAGCTCCTACTCACCCTCCCAGGCCAAGGCCTGATATCATTCTCACTAGGAAATCTTCTACCAAGCCGGAAATAATCACTCATGTGTCTCAGGAAACCATCATGGCATAGGGTTGAATTATAATTACCTGAACACGACTTTTCTCCGCGTAATAAATTATAAGCTTTTTGAGGGCAGGGACCATGACATATTTGTTCTTGCATCCACAGTGCCTAGCACGGCAATGCAGGAGTTCCTTATATTTTCGTCAAATGACCTTGTTGAGTGCCTACTAGTTGCCTGACACAAAACGGTTGTAATCTGATGTAAAACTTAGAGTAATCAGAAGAACTAACAAGACCACCTTATAACAATGGGAAAATGGCACTCATGAGGAGAAAAATTGAGGGCAATGCCTTCTGAGACCGGCAAGAAGAGACGATTCCCAGATCAAGTGCGAAGCCTGAGAAATGTAGTCCTGGATCTCGTTGAGAACATTTCTTTCTGCCCTGATTCTCTGATTCATTAGTCGATTTGGTTTCCAAAGTAAACTTTCCTTCAGGGGAAATGGTGGGTGGTACGAGCCAATTCTTTTGATTACCTAGTGCTGTGTAACAAACTACCCCAAAACACAGAAGCTTAGAAAATAACTATTTTACTTGCCCACAATTCTGTGGGACAGAAATTCAGACAAGGATAGGCTGAATAGTCCTGCTCCCTGCAGCATTGGCTGGTGGCCCAACTGGGCTAGAAGTTCCAAC
The DNA here is from genome assembly GCF_000001405.40 of Homo sapiens. Classification (NCBI taxonomy): domain Eukaryota; kingdom Metazoa; phylum Chordata; class Mammalia; order Primates; family Hominidae; genus Homo; species Homo sapiens. Next base: position 24,680,692 of record NC_000018.10, on the reverse strand, counting down.
AAGGCTTCATGTACCTGCCTGACACCTCAGTGTTCCCTGGTGGCCAGTTTCTCTCTCACTCTCTCCACACAGCTAGCTTGGGCTTCCTCACAGCATACTAATCTCAGGCTAATCACACATCTTGCATGGATGCTGGCTTCCAAGAGGGCATGTCCCAAGCAGTAAAAATGGAAGCTGCAGCTCTCTTGAGGCCCCAGCCTCAGAAGACTGGCAGAGACTTCTACCACATTCTACAGGTCAAAACAGGTGCCAGAGCCATTCTGGACTCAAGAGGAAGAGAATTAGCCTTCATCTTTCAATGGGATGAAGGTTAAGAAATTTGTAGTCATTTTTAATCCACCACACTCATTTTTCCTGGGACCTGATAAACTTTGGATAAACCAAATATCAAAGGTCTAAGCCTACCAAGATGAGAGTATAAATCTTCACAATCAGACCATTCTTTAGCATAAATAAATTACTCATCACTATAATACATAATAGGTATACTTAACTTGGCACTTAGTGTATGTTCCTGAAACATGTCTATACTTCAGCATTTTGAGAAATGAATCACATTTTAAATGCATCAAAGGAGTTGGCTAAAGGAAATCTATTCTTCTGCAGGAATTTCTTTGCTTGTTTCCAAACTGGTTCTAATTCGGCTTATCTCTATTTATTTCACTAAAGACTATTCAATAAATGTGATACTGAATATATTCCTAAATACTTCATTAAATAAGATGTAATTTTATAAATTGTAAGCATTTCACATAAGTTCACAAAGAAGTAAAAAAAAATTCTGCCAGAATTACCACAGATATACTAATATTTTTGCTGAGACCCTCCCAGAGTTTGGAATTTTTATAGTTACTTTTGAAAAATTCTGATAAAATCAGAGATGTGACTTGTGGCCAAAACATCCTTTTAATCAAAGCCTCAAGCATTTACTTGGCAGAATCTTATGGTTTTGAGAGAGGTACTTTGGGAATGATTGATAAGAACTGTCATTTAATCTTTGCTCTCTGGCTAGACAACAGCTAGATATCCAGCGTGAAATTGTTAAGGCCTGAGAGCTATGTAATACAGGGTTAATTAACCTAGACAGGATGAGAAAAAACTATAAGGTTTCCAGGTCAAGTTCAATTTTCTCAAAAGATTCAACCCAGTGTTTCTCAGTAGCTGCGACATATGTCTCAATTTTTTGTGAAGTTAATTAGTGAATGAATGCTTGAATGAATATATCGCTTGCCCTTTTCCTCAATATGCTCTCAAGAAGCCCACAGACATACTGGAGGACCCATTAAAATATACAGGACAGTGGCAACAAGAATGAGAAAGAGGAAACAGATTTCAAAAAATGTATTTGGAGGACCAAATGAAGACGTGATGATTCAGTTAGATGTGACATGTGAGGGAGAAGAAACACGTGGCTTTTGAGTCTGGGTGTCTGGGCAGATGATGCTGACATCAAGTGAATTAAGAATAATAGTGAGGGTTCCAGTGTTGAGTGGTGGGAAGGATCACTCAGCAGGAATGTAGAGGACTTCTGGGGATCCACGGGAGATGTCCTGCAGGCAGCTGGTATATTTTTCTGATGCCTGGGGAGAGGTCAGAGTTAGAAAATCCGATTTGAGACATGGTACTGATGCCCTGAAAATGTATGTGATTGTCCAGAGTGTGAGAGAGAAAGACACATAGCAGGGTCAGCCCCATGGGGCACCAACACTCACCTGGCAGGTAGAGGAGACAGAGAAAGAATAATCAAAAGTATACAAGAAACGTGCAGAGTGACATAGTGCAGGATTCAAAGAACGAGAGTCTCTAAAAGGAGGGAATGACTAACCCAGTATTCCTATTAAACCCACATGTGAAACCTACATTGAATGACACTCATTCGAGGAATGAGTCTTCTCAGCATTGGAATATACACAAGCACTCATGTTCCAAGCAGTTAGAAAGACCTCAATTCACATGGCTCAATCTGCCAATTAATTAGCTTTATGACTTAGAGCTAGTCCCTTCACTTTTCTTCACCTCAGCTTTCTCATCTGAAAAATGGGGATAATGTTCATTAAGCCCCTTCCTTCAGCTTCATAGGATTTTGGATTTTGATGAGAAAATGCATGTGAAAGCCAGTCCATTGGGAACTAAAAAGCATGTATGGATATAAAGTTATTTTTTAACTTTGGTAGGCAGATTAATGATTGTTCGTAAATGCTTGAAACTAACAGTATATGAGAATAACATAAATAACTCTGCATTGATGAAGCTCTTTAAACCATGAAGACTGAACAACAACAAAGTGTTCTTTATTCTGGGAACTCATAAGTCCCTTTCCAGCAGCAACAGTACTGAGCTGGGATTCAGAGTCCTCCATCCACTCAGCCCTTTGTCACCACCATGTGCCTTTCTCCTTTGTCCACATGCCACAATTGATTGTTACTATTTGATGCTAGGTCCACTTCCCTTCCAAACTGTGAGCTCCTTAAAGGCAGACAATGCCCTATCTATTGCTCTTCTATTTTTATCTGTAGCCCCCAGAACAATGCTTGGAACACAAAAGGGGCTTCATATGTATTCACTGAAAGAGTAAATTAATTGTAACCTCGGACTGTCATTTAACCTTATCCCCATTATAAGAAAACAAAGTGAGATTACAGTTGCTCTAAGTCCTTAACATTAATATTTTCTTCAGTCATAGTAAGCAATACCAAGAAATATTTGACATGTTATTTGGAATAGATAATTAGGAACATACATAGAGATGAAAATTTCAAGTATTTGCAATCATTTGAATGGGTTCAAAACTCTTAAAGGGTGGCATTAGAATGATGTGGTTTCAAGCATTTCTCACCAGAGGAACAGTTGCCTCCATGCACAACAGAAAATGGTAACAGCTTGGGCAGCAGGTGAAGCTCCAGTCTAGAAAAGCTTTTTGCCCTTATGTCTCTCTATTTTGCTGGTTGTCCCTGAGCTCACCTGTATGTGTCAACCCCACCTCACCTTACTATCAAGTAAAAGATACTAGTTGGTTCTTAACCCCAGATAAAATATGCTAAGAACCTCAAGAACAGGGTGACTACTGTAGAGGTGACTCTGGCCCCTCAGGATGGTGCATTTTTAATCTGGCGCAGCTGCAGCCTACGACTGACCACTGAGCTGCTGGAGGTGTTGCTGAAGGTCACAGGAGGACAAGCAGTATTCATCATTTCACTGTGGTTATTATCTGTAGGGACTTGTTATAATTGTTGCAAAATATAATTGTGCCGATTGATTTCTTCCACCTTATACTCACTGCTCATCTATATTTAAAAATACATTTGAGGTATTTTTCCCCCAATACTATCTACCACCCTCAGAAATTTGAAAATAAGTGGCCCAAATTCAAAAATCAATGTCACTTAAGAAATGAATAAGATCAGGGAGTAGCAGGCATGACTTTCAAATAGCCAACCCTGTGAGTCATTAGTCCGGGTTAGTGGCCAAATTCTGATGCTCCTCACTTTTTTTTTTAATCACTTGCTCATAAGTTAGACCCAAGATATGCCTCCAGATGGCTAACTAGGAAGTGTCCCTGTTCTAGGAATCTCAGGAACAGCTGGAGTACTAGAAAGTTCACATTTCAGCCCACCCATTTTGATATAGGTTGTGATGGGCTCCAATGCCAGCATTCACAATGGTGGGGCCACTCTCCATCAGTCCTCCTTTGGCTCCATGCTGGGTCTTGCTGGTGTCTCAGAGGTGATTTCAGCCTTCAGTGCAGAGATATGCTCTACACTTCCATCACTGATCTGGTAAGCTATCAGCACACGATGTTTGTCATCTCTGCTTCAGCTATTCTATTTCAGTGCTAACCCTACCATTCAACTCTCCATTCTTGAGGCTTCCTTAAGAATCAACAAAGACAACTTTAATTATTCATTTAAAGCACCCTGTTTTCCTGAAGTGACTCAATCTCACAGAAAAAAAACAAAAACAACTTAAAAAAATGTAACTTCATCAGTGCCATGGAAATAATCATACAGAAAAACATAATTCCACAGAGCTACCTTAGACCAAATAGAAAATTGCAGGAAGGGTAGAGGACTGGCCTGGTTTCTGCATTGTTGCTGTAAGAAAGTTGGCATCCTTGCCTGGAAAGGCCTCCAAATTAACACCTAAAAATACTTTTTATTTGAAAGACTCCCAATGTAAGATTTGTAGTTCACCCCAAAACACCAAAAGGGAACAGGACACTAACTCTTCAATAATGTTGCTACTAAATCTTAAATGGGCCTTCAGAAAGCTATCTTCTTAAGAAGGTAATCAATGAAACTTCCTAATTCAGAGCATGTCACAGAAGTAAAAGCTTAATCTCTTAGTATGACAATTAGATCCCTGGATTTGCTGAGCTCCTTTAATTCATTCTATTATCCAATAGGTTTCCGGTTACGTTTTGTCAGAACACAGCTTTTCCTTATACTGATGACTTTTTTAAGGCGTACTTTCATGTCACTTTTAGATGTCACTTATAGAGCATGTTATTTAACTCATTGCCTTGATTTCTTTTCCAGGAGTTACTGGATATTGACAGTGAACCAGCTGCTTTGCTGAGTTCCTCATATGCTATCTTGCCAATCCTGATGACCACAACCCTGCATAGGCATCATGAGATTTCAACAGTGCTCAAGTTCAAGGTCACACAACAAGTATCAGACCTGTATTCAAACCTACCTCTGTCTGCCTGTAAAATCATTCCTTCTCTGGATATTCCTCCCTAAAGTTAAATGTCATCTTCTCAATGTGAAATGTCTCCCCTTCTCCCCAAACTTCTAGTCAAGATGGAAGTGAGGACCTATTCCAACACAATTCTTTGGGCTATATTTCAAGTTATCTGCTTCAAGAGCTCCCTGCAAACTCATTTCCTCCTGTGCACTGATCACACTCACAGAACAATATATGACTGGTGGAGCCCAAGTTTCAGGTGGGCAGTAATCAGTGAGGAAGACAAGCTTACTTGCAACCTTTTCCCAGAAGTAGAAGGTGAAGCATAGTGTTGCAGAGGAGAAACAGGAGAAGAGCATTCATTGCCAGTGCCCCCAGGGAGCAGGTAGCCCCTGCTGGGTGCTGGAAAAGCCCAGGGGGGCAGCTCCCTCTGGGTTATGGAGCCAGGGTCTCCAGGAAGTTTCCCCTACATCTACCTTTTGCTCCCTTCCTCCCCTCCACACACAGTGTGAGGGCTTGCTGCAGGGTAGAGTTAATGCAAAATGTGTCCTCTGACAGATCATATTTTCTAAACCAAAAAATCAATACGCATTGTTCTCACCATAGTAAATAATATTTGAAATTGAAATAGACTTGGAAAATCTGAGAATAAGGTCTCCCTACAATTATTGTTGCTTTCTGTGAACTGCTTGTTACTTGCAACCAATACACCTATAAATAAATATGTATCTAATTAGTCTTCCCTAAATTTTATTTTATTAAAAAAGTAAACCCTATTTGTATACATACACAGACTACGTTATTTGTTCTTCCTTACCAAGGCTGTCAATGTTGAAGTATATTAAAGAGGGTTTACTTGTAAACATTATATCAATTAATGACATGCATTGCCTAATAAATATAAAGTACACTCTTACAAAGCATAGCCTAAGTCTTTCAGAAAAAATACCTACTTATGTATGATTATTAGTCAAAAAACACATTATCAACTCTATCCTTATGGCACATGGCATATTCTCATACCTTGGCTCAAGATGACATTTGGGTGAAAATTCTTAAATATCATGTGATTACTCAGTCATCAATTGAAAACAATTTACAGTTCTTCTTGTCGATTATAATTACTGGTTTGCTTAAGCAGAGATATCGATCTGTTTCACTCTCTGCTTTGGAAAGTAAGAAATGCAAGTCTAAATTTCACAAGTGTGTGAATCACACATATAGAACATTTTACTCACACTACCCAAGGTGGGTTCAATAGTTTAGCCCAAAAGTTTCCATGAACTTTTTTCTTGTTCTGTTTTCTTCCATGACAAAGATCCACGGATTAGAGCATGATATGTCAGAACTAACTGGGATCTTAAAGATCTTCTCATTGTAGGTAATTGCTTTATCAGCACCTGTCTTCTGATGGTGTTGATTTTTCAAAGACAACATTCTTGTTATGCACTGTTTCAAATAGTGGTTGTATCAGTTAAGATGCTTTCAGTTCCAAGTAACAGAAACCCCAACTGAAAGTGGCTTAAACAATGAGAGAACTGTGTTACCTGATGTAGCAAGAAGTCTGAAGGTGGCCAGTTCCCAAGAGCAGGGTGCTTTGCATCTTTCCATTCTGCTGTGCTCAGCAGGTTGATAAAGCTTTCGTCTGTATTTGTAAGTTGGCTACAGCAATTCCAGATGGTACACGCAGACGCCACATCCAGCAAAGAGGAAGTATTCCTCCCAGGCTTCCCTTTATGGATTTCAAGAGAAACATTTCCTAGAGGCTTCCCGTACACATCCCACAATTGTCTTACTGTAATCAATATTTGCCTCTAGGGCTAGGGAGGGGTCTCTGAAGCTCCTACAGACCCAGTTTCTAAACAAATTCAGTACTCTACTAAGAAGGAAGAAGGAACTGGTTGATTTGGGATAAGTAGTCAATAGTTTCTGCCACAGGAGTCTCCCAAAATAATCCGTCTTGCCTATTCACCTTAGTATTAGTATGAGTTTATTATCTGTTCAATCCCCTTAACATTATCACCTCCACAAATTGCGCATGCTTCCACATTTCCAGGAAGTCTACCAAAATTTTCAACATATTTCCCTTTTCTATCCTGAGCCAATTTTCTCCTAGGGATTTAAAGAGTAACTAAATACAGAATCATGTGCTATATGTGTAGGCCTACCCAGGAATCATGCCTCCACCATCATTCAATTCTGGAAGAAAATCTACCCAATTTTCACTTTCAGCAAGGAAACACATCGACACACCCACACACTACAGTCCTGTCTGAGGATGGAGCAGTGACCCATCCTCACCTTTCCCAACTACAACTTTCTTCAGAATATATGTACTCACGAAGTAGTGCAGATTAGCCATATTGCTCTTCATATCATTTGGATGCTCACAGATCTTCACCAAAGAAAACTAGAAAGGCAAAATGCCTCGATTGTGATTCTTAGCCAACCAGACTATTTAGCGGCTGAATCAGGTGTGCCTCATTCTAACATTCTCCCTCCTCCCCTATGTCTGATTTGCTTCAGTCCTGGGGCACTTGGGCCAGCACGTATTCTCCTAGTTAAGATGTGAGTCTGCTCTAAGATTTCCAGCTTTTTTTCATTGTTGTTCTTCTTCTGTCTTGGCCCACAAATACAGGATTTGGCTGGTGAGACCGTTATTGGTAGCCAGGTGGTCTTCAAAGGAAAAAACCAGATCGCAGGGAGTGTTGTCATAATCTATAATTTATAAACCCTGTCACTGTGTTAATTGCCATTAGAAATTCATTATTGTCACAACCAGCATTCACTGATGAGACACAGGTCAGAGCTCTCTCCAGCTGCCAGAAGAGTAAAATGTGCCAAGACTGTGGTGGGGGTTGGCAGTGGGGGGGAGCAAGGGCGGTGGGGGAGGGGAGGTCAAGAGACACTCCCAGGTGCAAGGGCTTGAACCTCATTAGCCCTTTCCCTGTAACTGTTTACACATGAGTGTGCCAAGATTGCATACACCTTGGGAAATTTCCACATAAACTTGAACTGAGAGGCCCACAAAAGAATGATGGAGAGTACCATTATAGCAAGATTGTATGGACAGCATCATCCTGAGGGGTCCAAATCACCTGCCTGCACCCAGTGTTGATCATGTGGAACTCGTACACAGGAGCCCCATCAAATGTACAGGAATGTTCGATGATTCTGCTTGCAGGCATTTGTCTGCCTTTTCAAAGCTTTTCTATTTTCATATCCACACAGTCACAGCTACACTAGAGGGCACTTGAACCCCACTTTTACTGCAGACCAAGTCATTGACTCAGGTATTGGTGGTGCTTTTGGAAGGGGGGCGAGGAATGGGGAAGTGGAGGAGGGCAACGGGAGGGGTATATTTATTTTAACATCTTCAATAAACCCATCGGTATTTGAGGAAGCTTCCACGTCAGACTTTGGGGACCAAAACCTTAATTATACAATATAATTGTTGTTAATGGAACGTGTACATTTCAACCCAGCAAGATTGGTGGTGTTTAATGCCAGCATGACATATTTCCCAAATTGTGGTCTTTATTTGTATAAATAGGAAAGAAGCAAAAATTGCATCAGCTCTCTGCATAATGAAGAGGGAGGGAAGTGCAGCCTGTGCTGTGGTGGCCAGATGCTCTTTTATCTCTTTTCAAATCAACATGCAGAGCTGGTGGCCCTCAAACAGAAAGCATCTTTCCCAAGGGATGGCAGAACTGTACGTTTGGAATGATAACATTCCATAAATAAATAAAAAAGATTATTAAGAACGCTGTGTAAATCTCCTAGTCAAACACCCCTTCAAGCAACCATCATCAGTAATTCAGTTTGGTCCCTTAATCCCACTGTATACAAATACACAGCATAAATACAGTATTTAACAAGCACCAGAGAGAAAGCAGCACTCTTGCAATAAAGACTCATTTAGGAAGAATGAACATGCCTTGCCCCCAGTCCTGCTGGCCGCCCCCAGGATTCAGTTCTTGATTTGACTCTCCCACCTGGATGAGATGTCCAGCTCACATGACTGAATCCCTGGCATAACCCCCTATTTAAATAAAACCTAAAAATATTAACTTTGGTCCCACAACCTTTTTGTTCCACATCAGGGAATTCACAGGGTATCCATTAGAAACCATATCACATTTACAAGGCTCCACGGACTTCCTTAAGCCTTGATGCTCCAACGGGTTATACAGGCTAAGAGGTGGGGATGAGTGCAGATCCGAAGTGGGTGGGTGAGGATCTCCCAGCCTCTCAGCCCTGGCACGGGGACTTGCTTTTCTCCAGGCTATCTGGTTCTCTCTGTTTATTCTCTGCCTGCTTTCCTTGTGTCTCTCGTTGTTTCTCTCTAAATCTCCATCTTTCCCTCTCTGTCCCTCTCCCCCTCCCTCCTTTCCTCTCTGTCTTTGTAACTCTCCCTCAATTTTACTCATTTTAGTGGTTCACTCTTTGGATCTAGGACCTTGGTCAGCATGAGCATTGCACTCACAGAGAGGGTGACACGTTTCCTGATGGTGAGTACAAGCTAAACATGATGCCCTGGCTTTTCTCGCTGGCTTCTGGAAAATTGTGACAACCTGCAACCTCCAGGCATGGGGCTACAAACAGGCTAGTGCTCAGCTGTTTCCTCAGCTGAGTTACTAGCCCAGATAGAAGCACTTTGAGTATCTAGTTAAATGAATGCCATACTTTTTCCTTTCTTCCTCAGCCTGAAAGAGAGAAATAAGATGGCCCAGGAGACTCCAGGGCACTCTGCCCACTAAGCATCTTTTTGTGAGTGAGAGGCCATTTCTCCAGCTGTCCATTGCAGCATTCCACAACCCAGACTGCTGCTGTCCATGCTGATTGGTGTTTGAGAGGGCAGAATGGACCCCTGATTCACTTCCCATCAGGAACACTTGCCACCAGGAAACCCCCTCAATCTACTCTTCCCTTGCCCTTTAAGACCTTCTATTTCAGGGTCCTCCCCCTGCCAGATTGAAAGATGACAGACTGAGGACAAGCCCTAAGGGGACAGAGAGTCTAAGGCTCCATGTTCCAACTCTGCAAGCCCCACCTCAGCTCAACTCAACACCTTAGACCTTCAGCTCACAGGTGATGGGGCCAATGTGATTCCATATGTGTCATGTTTCTTAACCATGATCTAATACCTGATTTTTCAACTGTTAGCAAAAGTTGGCTTTTAGAAGCATCTTATTCTTACTATTTTTATGATCTTCTTTGTTATATCCAAATTTCAATCAAATATGGTGGAAAATGAACTATATTAATTTGCTAGGGCTGCCACAACAAAATATCACCAACTGCGTGGCACTTAAACAACAGAAATTTATTTTCTCACAGTTGTGGGGGCTAGAATTTCAAGATCAAGGTGTAGGCAAATTGGTTTCTCCTGAGGCCTCTCTCCTTGGTTTTCAGATCTCTGCTTTCTTGCTGTATCCCTACAGGGACTTTCTTCTATATATGCATGTCCTGGTGTCTCCATCTCCAAGTTTCCTCTTCTTATAAGGACACTGGTCAGATTGGGTTGGGGTGAAGGTATAGGACACAATTCAGCTACAACAGAAACTTTCATATTTCAGATATCATCTAAATTTTTGCCAAGCTCAGCCTAAAAAGAAATGGAAGGCCTGTTTCTAATGCACCGTTGATGCACTGTATAACAATGACATTTAATGAACATTGCAGTGATAAAAGAAAAAAATAATTTGCAGTTACAAATCAATTTCTAATAAATCTCTTAAGGATTTTCAAAATTCAGCTGCTCACAAGCAAGATTTCCTTCCCTAGTTAAAAAGAGGGAGAGAGAGAAGGAATTTTGCCTGTGATGTCTTTTATTTTGTTTGTTTGGAGGAGGGGGTTATCATGATTGTTTTGGTCTTACAATATTTTCTGCTTGGCACTTTCTTGACTGCAAAGCCTTTTGCTATTGTTTATATTTATCACATTCTTTTAATAAGCATCGCTCCTGTCCCAGTTCTCTACAGGACACTTGTGAAAACTTGGAAAATATTAATTGCTTAACAGTCCGCTTGCAAGTTGAACAGGCAGATAAGGAGGAAAAGCCTTTCTTCTTTGACAAGCTTTCCATGAAACATAACCCCAGGTTTGTTTCTTCACTTATTTTTCCCTTTAATAAATGTGATGGGGTAGTTTGGAGTGAGTCTGAGCATTGTGGTTAAATAGGAAAAAATGCTGCTTCGGACCTCAATTACATTGCACAAAAGCTATCCCAGAGGTCTGTCTCCCGCTCCCCTGTGCCTGATGCTTCAGCAGCTGCTCAAGGAGAGACAATTCCCTGAGGTGCCTCTGGCCCTGGTGCTGTCGAGCCAGTGCAGGGGAGGCCAGGAGACCCCACAGCTGGGTAAGGCTTCTCCCTTTGAGGCAGCCTCCAAGACTTAAAGGAATTCTTGTTTACTACAAACTGGCTATGAACTACAGCCCTTGATGTTTTCTATGCCTGGGCCTCTGTGTGTGATTTCAGAAAGCCATGTAAAAAAAAACAAGAGACCTTAGGTCAGATATGGTAAATAGAGTATACATGTTTATCCTTCTCCCGCCTAAATCCTGATTGAAATGACAATAAAAGAATTAAAAAGATGTAAACCCACAAGTCAGCAAGAACAGGAGAGGTAACAGCTGTAGGTAAGAAGTCAGATTTGTGGAGCGGGGAAGGGATGGGGAAATGGTAATTACCTCAGCAGAGGAGAAGAGGCTATAATGGAAGAACACACAAGTTCACCCACAGAACCCTTGACAGACTGGACATCTGCACACCATAGCTTCCGTGGAAGCTGGCAGGAGGCCTGGGCTTGGAGCAGAGATACTGACTAAAAGTCTGTATTTGTACACAGTATGTATCTGCTTCTTCCCTCACTCCACCCCAGCTCACCAAACACTAGCTCTTTCCCTCTGGCCTCTCCCAACCCATTCCCTGCTCCATCCTTTCCAGGCAGGTAAACATGTCTTCTTTAGAGAACTTCAACCAGAGAATCTTCATGTTCTGGTAACAACAGGGTGTGAGGCTGAAAACAAGGCACTAGGTGGAAGTCTGTCTTCCAAGTGCCCTTTCTGTCTCTGCTTCCAGAACACGAGTGCCCAGATGTATACATTCCAGGCATGAAAATGAAGGATAATTCTCCAAAAAGACTGACTGGCCCTTGGGACAAGATCCACAGAGACTTCATCTGAAACGTTCTTCATCAATCAAGTAAGCCCACTCATCTATTGATAATGCTTACTGAGGGGCAAGCCACCCCATGCACATAAAGTCTCCTCTTAGCTTTTTAGTGTACCACTTCTTAATCATAAATAAACATTTAAGGATCACCAGACATTTGTAGAAGACCTCAACTATGAAAAAAGAGAACTTAACAAATAAACTTTTTTTGGAAGGCTGAGAAGACATAGAGACAATAGAGGGAGCAGAAAAATAAATAACAAAAACAAACAACCCTATAGATATTATTGTCATCTGAAAGTTTTGAGAAAGTATTGCATTCATGAAACAAGAATAAGATGCAATTAAAAAGTATAATCGGAGTGAAAAAATGAATTAGCCAAGATAAAAAATATTCAATAGAACACTTGGAAGATAAGGTTGAGTAACTCTCCTTGAAAAGCCAAAGAAAAAGATGAGAATGAAGAGAAAGAAAATTAGGGGACCAAGCCAATGTATCCAACATCTGAAATTCCAAGAAGGGAAAGTGGAGAGAATTATGGGGTGGAAATAATCTAATAAGTGGTTTAATTTCCCAGAACTGAAAGACATGAGTTTCCAGAGAAGGCCCAGCATCATGTATTTAAAACAACAACCAAAAAAACTACCTAAGCAAATATTATGAAATTTCAGAATATCAGAAATAGGACAGATTGTAAGTTGACAGAGAAGAAAACCTGTCACAAAGGATAAGGAATAAAAATGGCATCATGCCTCTTACTAGCAACACTGAGGCCAGACAACAACATAACAATTGATATTCTGAGAAAAAAAGCATGTTCAGTCTACATCTATACCAAGACACACTCTTAATCAAGTATGAGGGTAAAACAATGAACTTTCAGATAAACACAGACTAAGGTAATATGCCTCTTATGCACCCTTTCTCAAGACTAACTGGAGTCAGTGTTTCCCTAAAATGTTTAATCAGCTAACAAGGTGCTATGATGTGGATATTTGACCCTCCAAATATCATGTTGAAAATTGATCCCCATTGGTAGAGGTAGGGCCTGGTGGGAGGTATGGGTTGTGGAGGTGGATCCCTCATGAATGGCTTGGTGCCATTCTCGCAGGAATGAGTGAGTTCTCACTCTTAGTTCTCATGAAAATTCGTTGTTGAAAAGAACCTGGCACCTACTCCCCATTGCTCTTTCTTCCCTTCGCCATGTGATGCCTGCTGCCCTTCATCTTCCACCATGACTGGAAGCTTCCTGAGGTCCCCACCAGAAGCAGATGCTGGCACCATGCTTCTTGTACAGCCTGCAGAACTGTTAACCAAATAAACCTCTTTTCTTTATAAATTACCCAGCCTCAGGTATTCCTGTATAGCAATACAAATGGACAAACACAAATAAAACAAAATTGGAATCCAGGAAAGGAGAGAGTGGAAAACAAACCCCAGAATAACATAGGAGAGGAATCCCAAAACAACTGTTCAATGAGCCTGAAGAGCAACCAATGCAGACTCTGGGAGTTTGGAGAACTCTAGGAGGAAAGCCTCCAACCTGGGAGTAAGGGCCAGGTGGGAGAATTCTAGATTATTTAATATCTCGAACTTGGGGAAAACTGTTTGAGAAGCATTTACACAGCTGTCAGAAGATGCAAGGAAAATTAGTGATAGATTCACAGAACACTAAGCAAATGGAAAAAAAAGACAGTTATTAACTTCTGGGAAAAACATTGTATAATAGACTAGATGTAAATATAGTACTTGTTTGCCTCAGTAGTAAATAATATTTACATAGCCACAATAATGTAAACCCTGAATATGGGCTATAAATATGAAAATGTGCTACAAATATGTTGAGAGGAAAGAGAAAGGGGAAGGGAATGATTAGAGAAAAGTTTCACAAGCATAATACAGAGTAAATAGGTAATATCTAAAAGAGATAAATCAAGCATTAGTAACATTAGCAAATTATTTATGAATGTGCAGGTACATAAGAAAAAAACTAAGAAAGCTAGAAGTAGCAGGCAATGAATGGAGAGAAAATGGGGAGGAGAAAAGTGGAACAAGGGTGCTGCTAGGTTTGATTTTAAACCTTTAACTGATAAATTGAATCATGAATTTGTGTTGGAGGAGATTGTTCATTTGTTTGTTTTAGAGACAGGATCTTGCTCTGCCACCCAGGCTTGAGTGCAGCGGCATCATCCTAGCTCACTTCAGTCTCAAACTCCTGGGCCCAAGCAATCTCCTGCCTTGGCCTCCCAAATCACTGGAATTAAAAGCATGAGCCACCATACCTGGCCAAATTGCTAAAATTATGTCCACATAGATGACTTTAATAACTATACAAATAATACTAAATAAATGAATATAAAGAAATAGGTAAGAGAGAGAGAATGAGGCAGACAGAAGAATGGACAGGAGGTAAGGTTTGAAGGAATAAGCAGGAAGCCTGCCATCAACACCAGAAACCATGAAGGGAAACCCAGGCTGAGCCAGGCACAGGTGCTGTTTTGCCAGAAATGCAAGACGAGCAATGGGGAATCAGGCAGAAAGAAATTGCTTTTTAGATTATGTAGGAAAGATTCTGGCTTGGACTGAGAGAAAAATAACATTGGAACTAAGGAAAATGTACTGACTCCTAGGAGAGTCTAGCAGAAATGAACCTGCAATGGTCATGAGCCAGCCTTGCATTGCCCAACTGCAGGGGACACTATCCCCATCAAACTCCACGTGACCCATGCTCCCTGGAGTTATGCAGGTGGATGCACCAGCCCTGTGGGTAGACATAGGGATCCAGGACCTAAATTCTTAAGACCTTCAGCAATGAAGATACGTTGCCCATAAGAAAGACATTACTGCCTTAGTCTTAAGAAAATATGTTCTAGGAGAGATAATAAAATGACAGGCCCCCAAGTGAAGTTTTTTTTTTTTAAGAGACAGGCTCTCACTCTGTTGCCCAGGCTGGAGTGCAGTGGCATGATCACAGCTCACCACAGCCTTGAACTCCTGAACTCCTGAACTCCTAGGCTCAAGTGATACTCCTGTCTCAGCCTCCCGAGTAGCTAGGACTACAGGTATGCACCACCGTGCCCAGATAATATTTTGGTTTTTTCTGTTGCTGTTGTTGTTGTTTTGTAGAGACAGGGTCTCTCTTAGTTGCCCAGGCTGGTCTTGAACTCCTGGCTTCAAGGGATCCTCCCACTCTGCCTCCCAAAGTGTTGGGATTACAGGCATGAGCCTCTTGGCTCAGTAAGAGGAAGTTCTTAAGTCCTCAAGTGGTAGAAGTGATAGCAAAGCAGACAGCTGGGCTTGGAATGGGGTCTCACAGCCATTCCCTAACAAAAGTGAGAGATCTCAGGCAGATCACTTCCCTAACCTTACCTAAGTGTCAAGACATTTACTGAGATGAGGAGTTGCACTAAATATGGAGTAGGGCCCATTCCAGCTCTGAACACTTAGCTATGTCTAAATCACACTGCTGGAGGAGCAGCAGCTGCCTCATGGACAGAAGTCCTCAGCCACTGCCACTCCATCAGGTTCCCCACAGGGTTGGGTACCATTTCACAACACTTCAGGTTCTGCCCAAAGGGCTTCTTCCTCTTTGTGCCACAAAAGCCACTCTACTGAATGTTCAACCTGTACCTCGAGTCAGGTCTAATCAGATTTCCTTTGGTGTGTATTTTCTTCTGATTTTAATGAATTCATGGTGAAGAACTAGTCATAATCCTCTACTAGCTCCTTCTGGAACAGGTGTTTAGTGGCAGAGGTTGCCATGTGGCATCCTTTGGCGTGTCCCTTCTGGTTGTTCCATTTGAGTTGGAAGGTGGCTACAGAGACTTAGCAGAAGACAAAGTCAGGATATAAGACAATCTTCTATATAGTTGCCAAAAGAAGTGCTAGGTGGTGAAAACATAAAACACACAGGATTTGTAAGTTGGCCTTAAACTCAAGCCATAGTCCTTTTGGTCCACACACCACCCACTGAGTTTATGGAAGCCCACTTATTATCAAAGCAGTGCCCCAGCTGACAAGCAGTGTTGTCATTTCCACTTTCTTGGACTAGGGTCATCAAGATTACTGCAATCTAATTCTGAGTCTTCTTTTCAGCCTTTTCTGCTTCACACACTACACAAAAAGGCCACTCCCTGAGCATACTTTATCATTTCTCATTTTCACCCTTTTTCTCAAATTCCAAACCTCTGGACTGTTTCTCGTTTACTCTATATTAGGAGTCCTTTGCACCTTTCCAGATTCAGACCCTGACCCCCACCCTAGCACACTTTCCCCAAACCTCACTGGCTGAAGTTTCCTCGCCCACCAAGCTTCGAGACATTCATCCCCTTTAGGACTCCACAGCATAGACAAACCTTCACAGCCCTGCTTCCACCATCTTGAATATTACTTAATGATTCCTCTATCTCTGCTAATCTCACCAGATTATAAGTGCCTTAAAGGCAGGATATACAACTTGTACTTCACAGTCCCTACCACAGCAATTGGTCCATACCTCAATAATACTCCTTTAATATTATTACTGAATAAAAAGCGTTTCAACAGCAGACACCTCTCACAGGTCACAATGGACATGAATAACATGTCCATTTCTTCAACTCTAGGATCATTTTTACTCAACACAACTTGTCACTCAAGTTTAATGACCTTCACTACCAGAAGCCCAGAGTTCTAGAGTTAACTGCATCCTACTTGACCCTGGTGTGGTATTGGCCAACAAAGAGGCAGCAGGACAAAGAACACACAATGGAGCTTGGGGCTCAACAACCTGGGATCTGGGGCCAGACTCCACTTTGAAACTTTGGGCAAGTTATTTCACCTCTTTCGGCTTTTATTCCTTCCTCTGTAAAATTATCCTCTCTCCCCAAAAATAACTGTTTGGTGAATCTTAACCTCTTTTATGATTCTGTTACATTTTACAATTCTTCCTTCAAGAGAGAGCTCTGCACAAGACTCTGAGTAACAATTGAAGAGATGGATCCAAGCCTCAGTTGGGCTGATGAGAGAACTTCCTTGGCCTCCCTATTTGCAAGCTCTGTATGAATGGTTTTGGTTGTTTAGCATAATAAAAATACTTCTAATAACAAACATGAAGTTCCTGCAGGAAATTAAGAGTGTGATGATTGAAGATAGCTTTTCTTTCACCAAATGTTTCTGGTCAGCTTCTGCTCACTCTGTGGGGAGGGAGAGGTGTACACAGGCTACTCCTGAGAGAAACCTATCTCTTGACCATCCGTAGGGGTTGAGATTTACACATTTGAGTATCGTTTTTCTCTTGAGGCTTTCACATTGAACAACTCCTTTTTTTTTTTTTTTTTTTTTTTTGAGATGCAGTTTCGCTCTTGTTGCCCAGGCTGGAGTGCAATGTTGCAATCTCGGCTCACTGCAACCTCTGCCTCCTAGTTTCAAGTGATTCTCCTGCCTCAGTCTCCCAATAGCTGGGATTACAGGAACGCGCCACCACACCCAGCTAATTTTGTATTTCTAGTTGAGATGGGGTTTCTCCATGTCAGTCAGGCTGAACAACTCTTTTCTTCCGGGCCTGAGAGTTATATACTGAATGACCTTCCCCCAGGGCCTGTGAGCTGCGCTGCACTCTTGGTACTTGGTCAGAGAGACAAGAGGCTGCTGAAGTCTGTGATCAGCCTGTCTGCTGGCTGGAGCCCTGTCACCAGGGGCCACTTTTACTGACTTCAATATCCATGTAAGGCAAGAGGAATGACAGAATAGCTGTGCACTCAAAAATCACAGTGTTTGTCCGAGTCTTAAGAACCATTTGCTACTATAATGATCACCCAGTTATTTGTTCCACTGTCCTAGGGAGAAGCTTATATTTGGGAGAATGGGGAGAAGGAAAGAGGGAGAGAGGGAGAGATACTCTCTCACACACATGCGCAGAGTGAGAGAGGAGACAGTGAAAGAGGAAAGAGAAAAAAAGGGAGAGAGAGATGAGAATTTGAAGAACTAGAGTGGAGATTAAACAGAATTCGCCCTCAGAAGCCTCACGCACCGGTGACAAGCCATGCAGGAACCGTCGTGTGGAAGGGCTTTGATGGCTTTATCCTCCAGCCCGAGAGCAGAGCTAGAGCTGCAGGGCCGGGTGTGCAGCAGCTGCACTCTGCCTCTACCTGCTGCAACCGAGATTTGTCCTTAAAGTGCCCGCGAGGCGAAGTTTTCATGAGCTGTCTCGGCAATTGATAAGTTGTTGGTCGGGAAGTGGAGACATTCACAGGTTCAGACCTGAAGCCTGGTCCTCAAAATGAATTGGAAGCATCTGGCTGTTTTGCTGTCTGTAGGTAATAATGCAGCCGCGTCACACACCCAGATGTGATTCTACATTTCTGCAGCTGTTCTGGTGGGAGTTTCAACACCCAAAACATCTGCTGCTGGGACTCTGTGGTACAATTCTCACTCCATCTCTCCGGGTTCTTATTCTTTTCCCAGAAAATGTACTTTCTTTCTGCTCAGTATTTTTTCTATTTTTCAAAGGAGTTATTCCCAGCAAAGGGATACCCACCAAATTCTATTTCACATGGAAGAGAAATTCATATCATCTTCAAAATTCACAGGCAAACTAAGGGGTTATGATGCTAATTAGTTTTATGAGGTTTGATGAGACAGAACATTAGAACCAGGCAAAGAATTCATAGTTTATTGCACATTTAGAAGAAATGGCTTTAATACAGTCACTTCTGTATGTTAAACAAAATAGGCATCATGTTTAACATTAACTTCTGTATGTTAAACATAAACAGAACATCTTTAAATTAAAAAATGTTTATCTCCGGGATATCTGTCAGCATCATCAAACTGCACACATAAAGCTCTCTCAGTACTGCATATTTAGTCAATAAAATACGCTCGTAAAGCATGAATTCCTCAAACATTTTAGGTGATAATATAAAGTCACATAATAGCTTTAAAGGTCAATAAGAAATATCAAGAGTCATAAAATATGTATCCACTTTGACCCTGTAATTTCTAGGAATTTATCCTAAAGAAATTATCTTATATATAGAAAAGGCTTATTTATAAAGATACTTATCATGGGATTAATTACAGTGAAAAATGAATTTGATCTATTGTCCCAAAATACAGAAATAGTTAATAGACTGTCTCTACTTCCATAGGACACATGGAAAGTCAATAAGAGGGACTGAATTGTTCCAGCTGTTTGGGCAGCAATTAAAAAGATAATTACTGAAGCTAATCATAACTTGGGGAGATGCTTCTGACATAGATTAAGTGAAAAAGCAACATGTAAAGTTGTTTGTACATTATGCTTAGAATCATACCAAAACTCAGCATTTGAAAATGACCCAAAGCAATTGCTCCAAAGCAATCATAGCTATTGCGTTTGAGCAGTAGAATTATGAGAAATTTTCTTCTTTATTTTCCTAATTATTTATGAAATGGTTATATTGCTTGAATCAATAAAAAGACAAAGAAAAGTGAGTTCTTACAGTATGGCCAAGACACAGAATCTGCCAAGGCAAGGGAGTCTGGAAAAAAAGCAAGACCACTTAAATCTGAGGCATGTTTTCAAACACAATCTAGAGCAAGCTGACTTCAGACAGAGGCCTGTTTCCCCACTACAACCGCAGCTGCCTATTTTCTCCAGC